>NC_000001.11:121023233-121757932 GCF_000001405.40 Homo sapiens | reverse complement strand
ANNNTTGAAAACCCAGGTTTCCCCACGTTTTCAAAAATTGTGCCCACAGGTTATTTTTTTTAATTTTTCCCCCAAGGGTATCCCTATCCAAGGGTCTGTTGTAGAAGTCTCCTGGGAAAACCACAAGATTGTATTTTTTTCCCAAAAGAACTTTTCAAGGCCCAGAGGTTTATTCCTCGCCTAACAGGGTTTCCAATCTTTGAAAGAAGTTAATTGTGGGTGACGCCCTTCCAAAGGGTTTGGAAACCTTGGTTGGTTTTATGGAGAATTTCTTTTTACCTTGACCCAAGCGGTGAATTTCCACTGCAAATTCCCAAAAGAGGGTCACGTTGCTTCGGTTAAGGATCGTCACTTTGGGAGTCCATCCACCCACCCAATGAGTTTTGAGAATTCTTCTTTAGCAGATAGGAGAAATCCAGTTTCNAAGAAAGCTCAAAGAGGTCTGATATCCCCTTGCAGACTTNACAAACAGAGGTTTCCTAACTGCTCTATGAAAAGAAAGGTTAAACTCTGTGAGTTGAACGCACACATCACAAAGGAGTTTCTGAGAATCATTCTGTCTAGTCTTTATACGAAGATATTCCTTTTCTACCATTGACCACAAAGCGGCTGAAATCTCCACTGAAAAATACCAAAAAAAGTGTGTTCAAGTCTGCTCTGTGTAAAGGATCGTTCAACTCTGTGAGTTGAATACACACAACACAAGGAAGTTACTGAGAATTCTTCTGTCTAGCAGAATATGAAGAAATCCCGTTTCCAACGAAGGCCTCTAGGAGGTCTGAATATCCACTTGCAGACTTTACAAACAGAGTGTTTCCTAAATGCTCTATGAAAAGAAACGTTAAACTCTGTGAGTTGAATGCACACATCATAAAGGAGTTTCTGAGAATCATTCTGTCTAGTTTCTATAGGAAGATATTTCCTATTCTACCATTGACCTCAAAGCGGCTGAAATCTCCACTTGAAATTCCACAAAAAGAGTGTTTCAAGTCTGCTCTGTTTGAAGGATCGTTCAACTCTGTGAGTTGAATACACACAACACAAAGAAGTTACTGAGAATTCTTCTGTCTACCAGAATATGAAGAAATCCCGTTTCCAACGAAGGTCTCAAAGAGGTCTGAATTTCCACTTGCAGACTTTACAAACAGAGTGTTTCCTAACTGCTCTATGAAAAGAAAGGTTAAACTCTGTGAGTTGAACGCACACATCACAAAGGAGTTTCTGAGAATCATTCTGTCTAGTTTCTATACGAAGATATTTCCTTTTCTACCATTGACCTCAAAGCGGCTGAAATCTCCACCTGCAAATTCCACAAAAAGAATGTTTCAAGTCTGCTCTGTGTAAAGGATCGTTCAACTCTGTGAGTTGAATACACACAACACAAGGAAGTTACTGAGAATTCTTCTGTCTAGCAGAATATGAAGAAATCCCGTTTCCAACGAAAGCCTCCAAGAGGTCTGAATATCCACTTGCAGACTTTACAAACAGAGTGTTTCCAAACCGCTGAATGAAAAGAAACTTTAAACTCTGAGAGTTGAACGCACACATCACGCAGCAGTTTCTGAGAATGATTCTGTCTAGTTTTTATACGAAGATATATCCTTTTCTGCCTTTGGCCCCAAAGCGCTTGAAACCTCCACTTGCAAATTCCACAAAAACAGTGTTTCAAATCTGCTCTCTCTAAATGAAAGTTCAACTCTGTCAGTTGAATACACACAACACAAGGAAGTTACTGAGAATTCTTCTGTCTAGCCTTACATGAAAAAAACCCGTTTCCAACGAAGACCTCAAAGAAGTCCAAATATCCACCTGCAGACGTTACAAACAGAGTGTTTCCTAACTGCTCTATGAAAAGAAAGGTTAAACTCTGTGAGTTCAACGCCCACATCACAAAGGAGTTTCTGAGAAACATTCTGTCTAGTTTTTATACGAAGATATTTCCTTTTCTATCATTGACCACAAAGCGGCTGAAATCTCCACTTGCAAATTCCACAAAAAGAGTGTTTCAAGTCTGCTCTGTGTAAAGGATCGTTAAATTCTGTGAGTTGAATACACACAACACAAGGAAGTTACTGAGAATTCTTCTGTCTAGCATAATATGAAGAAATCCCGTTTCCAACGAAGGCCTCAGAGAGGTCTGAATATCCATTTGCAGACTTTACAAACAGAGTGTTTCCTAACTGCTCTGTGAAAAGAAAGGTTAAGCTCTGTGAGTTGAATGCACACATCACAAAGGAGTTTCTGAGAATCATTCTGTCTAGTTTCTATAGGAAGATATTTCCTATTCTACCATTGACCTTAAAGCGGCTGAAATCTCCACTTGCAAATTACACAAAAAGAGTGTTTCCAGTATGCTCTGTGTAAAGGATCGTTCAACTCTGTGAGTTGAATACACACAACACAAGGAAGTTTCCGAGAATTCTTCTGTCTAGCAGAATATGAAGAAATCCGGTTTCCAAGGAAAGCCTCAAAGAGGTCTGAATATCCACTTGCAGACTTTACAAACAGAGTGTTTCCTAACTGCTCTATGAAAAGAAAGGTTAAACTCTGTGAGTTGAACGCACACATCACAAAGGAGTTTCTGAGAATCATTCTGTCTACTTTCTATAGGAAGATATTTCCTATTCTACCATTGATCTCAAAGCGGCTGAAATCTCCACTTGCAAATTCCACAAAAAGAGTGTTTCAAGTCTGCTCTGTGTAAAGGATCGTTCAACTCTGTGAGTTGAATACACACAACACAAGGAAGTTACTGAGAATTCTTCTGTCTAGCATAATATGAAGAAATCCCGTTTCCAACGAAGGCCTCTAGGAGGTCTGAATATCCACTTGCAGACTTTACAAACAGAGTGTTTCCTAACTGCTCTATGAAAAGAAACGTTAAACTCTGTGAGTTGAATGCACACATCATAAAGGAGTTTCTGAGAATCATTCTGTCTAGTTTCTATAGGAAGATATTTCCTATTCTACCATTGACCTCAAAGCGGCTGAAATCTCCACTTGAAATTCCACAAAAAGAGTGTTTCAAGTCTGCTCTGTGTAAAGGATCGTTCAACTCTGTGAGTTGAATACACACAACACAAAGAAGTTACTGAGAATTCTTCTGTCTAGCAGAATATGTAGAAATCCCGTTTCCAACGAAGGTCTCAAAGAGGTCTGAATATCCACTTGCAGACTTTACAAACAGAGTGTTTCCTAACTGCTCTATGAAAAGAAAGGTTAAACTCTGTGAGTTGAACGCACACATCACAAAGGAGTTTCTGAGAATCATTCTGTCTAATTTTTATACGAAGATATTTCTTTTTCTACAATTGACCTCAAAGCGGCTGAAATCTCCACTTGAAATTCCACAAAAAGAGTGTTTCACGTCTGCTCTGTGTAAAGGATCGTTCAACTCTGTGAGTTGAATACACACAACACAAAGAAGTTACTGAGAATTCTTCTGTCTAGCAGAATATGTAGAAATCCCGTTTCCAACGAAGGTCTCAAAGAGGTCTGAATATCCACTTGCAGACTTTACAAACAGAGTGTTTCCTAACTGCTCTATGAAAAGAAAGGTTAAACTCTGTGAGTTGAACGCACACATCACAAAGGAGTTTCTGAGAATCATTCTGTCTAATTTTTATACGAAGATATTTCTTTTTCTACAATTGACCTCAAAGCGGCTGAAATCTCCACTTGCAAATTCCACAAAAAGAGTGTTTCAAGTCTGCTCTGTGTAAAGGATCGTTCAACTCTGTGAGTTCAATACACACAACACAATGAAGTTTCTGAGAATTCTTCTGTCTAGCAGAATATGAAGAAATCCCGTTTCCAACGAAAGCCTCAAAGAGGTCTGAATATCCACTTGCAGACTTTACAGAGTGTTTCCCAACTGCTCTATGAAAAGAAAGCTTAAACTCTGTGAGTTGAACGCACACATCACAAAGGAGTTTCTGAGAATCATTCTGTCTAGTTTCTATAGGAAGATATTTCCTATTCTACCATTGACCTCAAAGCGGCTGAAATCTCCACTTGCGAATTCCACAAAAAGAGTGTTTCAAGTCTGCTCTGTGTAAAGGATCGTTCAACTCTGTGAGTTGAATACACACAACACAAGGAAGTTCCTGAGAATTCTTCTGTCTAGCAGAATATGAAGAAATCCCGTTTCCAACGAAGGCCTCAAAGAGGTCTGAATATCCACTTGCAGACTTTACAAACAGAGTGTTTCCTAACTGCTCTATGGAAAGAAAGGTTAAACTGTGTGAGTTGAACGCACACATCACAAAGGAGTTTCTGAGAATCATTCTGTCTAGTCTTTATACGAAGATATTTCCTTTTCTAACATTGACCTCAAAGCGGCTGAAATCTCCACTTGCAAATTCCACAAAAAGAGTGTTTCAAGTCTGCTCTGTGTAAAGGATCGTTCAACTCTGTGAGTTGAATACACACAACACAAGGAAGTTTCTGAGAATTCTTCTGTCTAGCAGAATAGGGAGAAATCCCGTTTCCAACGAAAGCCTCAAAGAGGTCTGAATATCCACTTGCAGACTTTACAAACAGAGTGTTCCCTAACTGCTCTATGAAAAGAAAGGTTAAACTCTGTGAGTTGAACGCACACATCACAAAGGAGTTTCTGAGAATCATTCTGTCTAGTTTCTATAGGAAGATATTTCCTATTTTACCATTGACCTTAAAGCGGCTGAAATCTCCACTTGCAAATTTCACAAAAAGAGTGTTTCCAGTCTGCTCTGTGTAAAGGATCGTTCAACTCTGTGAGTTGAATACACACAACACAAGGAAGTTTCCGAGAATTCTTCTGTCTAGCAGAATATGAAGAACTCCCGTTTCCAAGGAAAGCCTCAAAGAGGTCTGAATATCCACTTGCAGACTTTACAAACAGAGTGTTTCCTAACTGCTCTATGAAAAGAAAGGTTAAACTCTGTGAGTTGAACGCACACATCACAAAGGAGTTTCTGAGAATCATTCTGTCTAGTTTCTATACGAAGATATTTCTTTTTCTACAATTGACCTCAAAGCGGCTGAAATCTCCACTTGCAAATTCCACAAAAAGAGTGTTTCAAGTCTGCTCTGTGTAAAGGATCGTTCAACTCTGTGAGTTCAATACACACAACACAATGAAGTTTCTGAGAATTCTTCTGTCTAGCAGAATATGAAGAAATCCCGTTTCCAACGAAAGCCTCAAAGAGGTCTGAATATCCACTTGCAGACTTTACAGAGTGTTTCCCAACTGCTCTATGAAAAGAAAGCTTAAACTCTGTGAGTTGAACGCACACATCACAAAGGAGTTTCTGAGAATCATTCTGTCTAGTTTCTATAGGAAGATATTTCCTATTCTACCATTGACCTCAAAGCGGCTGAAATCTCCACTTGCGAATTCCACAAAAAGAGTGTTTCAAGTCTGCTCTGTGTAAAGGATCGTTCAACTCTGTGAGTTGAATACACACAACACAAGGAAGTTACTGAGAATTCTTCTGTCTAGCAGAATATGAAGAAATCCCGTTTCCAACGAAGGCCTCAAAGAGGTCTGAATATCCACTTGCAGACTTTACAAACAGAGTGTTTCCTAACTGCTCTATGGAAAGAAAGGTTAAACTGTGTGAGTTGAACGCACACATCACAAAGGAGTTTCTGAGAATCATTCTGTCTAGTCTTTATACGAAGATATTTCCTTTTCTAACATTGACCTCAAAGCGGCTGAAATCTCCACTTGCAAATTCCACAAAAAGAGTGTTTCAAGTCTGCTCTGTGTAAAGGATCGTTCAACTCTGTGAGTTGAATACACACAACACAAGGAAGTTTCTGAGAATTCTTCTGTCTAGCAGAATAGGGAGAAATCCCGTTTCCAACGAAAGCCTCAAAGAGGTCTGAATATCCACTTGCAGACTTTACAAACAGAGTGTTCCCTAACTGCTCTATGAAAAGAAAGGTTAAACTCTATGAGTTGAACGCACACATCACAAAGGAGTTTCTGAGAATCATTCTATCTAGTTTCTATAGGAAGATATTTCCTATTCTACCATTGACCTCAAAGCGGCTGAAATCTCCACTTGCAAATTCCACAAAAAGAGTGTTTCAAGTCTGCTCTGTGTAAAGGATCGTTCAACTCTGTGAGTTGAATACACACAACACAAGGAAGTTACTGAGAATTCTTCTGTATAGCATAATATGTAGAAATCCCGTTCCAACGAAGCCTCTAGAGGTCTGAGTATCCACTTGCAGACTTTACAAATAGAGAGTTTCCTAACTGCTCTATGAAAGGAAACGTTAAACTCTGTGAATTGAATGCACACATCATAAAGGAGTTTCTGAGAATCATTCTGTCTAGTTTCTATACGAAGATATTTCCTATTCTACCATTGACCTCAAAGTGGCTGAAATCTCCACTTCAAATTCCACAAAAAGAGTGTTTCATGTCTGTTCTGTGTAAAGGATCGTTCAACTCTGTGAGTTGAATACACACAACACAAAGAAGTTACTGAGAATTCTTCTGTCTAGCAGAATATGAAGAAATCCCGTTTCCAACGAAGGCCTCTAAGTGGTCAAAATATCCATGTGCAGACTTTACAAACAGAGTGTTTCCTAACTGCTCTATGAAAAGAAAGGTTAAACTCTGTGAGTTCAACGCCCACATCACAAAGGAGTTTCTGAGAATCATTCTGTCTAGTTTCTATACGAAGATATTTCCTTTTCTACCATTGACCACAAAGCGGCTGAAATCTCCACTTGCAAATTCCACAAAAAGAGTGTTTCAAGTCTGCTCTGTGTAAAGGATCGTTCAACTCTGTGAGTTGAATACACACAACACAAGGAAGTTTCTGAGAATTCTTCTGTCTAGCAGAATATGAAGAAATCCCGTTTCCAACAATGGCCTCAAAGAGGTCTGAATATCCACTTGCAGACTTTACAAACAGAGTGTTTCCTAACTGCTCTGTGAAAAGAAAGGTCAAACTCTGTGAGTTGAACGCACACATCACAAAGGAGTTTCTGAGAATCATTCTGTCTAGTCTTTATACGAAGATATTTCCTTTTCTACCATTGACCACAAAGCGGCTGAAATCTCCACTTGCAAATTCCACAAAAAGAGTGTTTCAAGTCTGCTCTGTGTAAAGGATCGTTCAACTCCGTGAGTTGAACACACACAACACAAGGAAGTTTCTGAGAATTCTTCTGTCTAGCAGAATATGAAGAAATCCCGTTTCCAACGAAAGCCTCAAAGAGGTCTGAATATCCACTTGCAGACTTTACAAACAGAGTGTTTCCTAACTGCTCTTTGAAAAAAAAGGTTAAACTCTGTGAGTTGAACGCACACATCACAAAGGAGTTTCTGAGAATCATTCTGTCTAGTTTCCATAGGAAGATATTTCCTATTCTACCATTGACCTCAAAGCGGCTGAAATCTCCACTTGCAAATTCCACAAAAAGAGTGTTTCAAGTCTGCTCTGTGTAAAGCATCGTTCAACTCTGTGAGTTGAATACACACAACACAAGGAAGTTTCTGAGAATTCTTCTGTCTAGCAGAATATGAAGAAATCCCGTTTCCAACGAAAGCCTCAAAGAGGTCTGAATATCCACTTGCAGACTTTACAAACAGAGTGTTTCCTAACTGCTCTATGAAAAGAAAGGTTAAACTCTGTGAGTTGAACGCACACATCACAAAGGAGTTTCTGAGAATCATTCTGTCTAGTTTCTATAGGAAGATATTTCCTATTCTACCGTTGACCTCAAAGCGGCTGAAATCTCCACTTGCAAATTCCACAAAAAGAGTGTTTCAAGTCTGCTCTATGTAAGGAATCGTTCAACTCTGTGAGTTCAATACACACAACACAAGGAAGTTTCTTAGAATTCTTCTGTCTAGCAGAATATGAAGAAATCCCTTTTCCAACGAAGGCCTCAAGGAGGTCAGAATATCCACTTGCAGACTGTACAAACAGAGTGTTTCCTAACTGCTCTATGAAAAGAAAGGTTAAACTCTGTGAGTTGAACGCACACATCACAAAGGAGTTTCTGAGAATCATTCTGTCTTGTTTCTTTACGAACATATTTCCTTTTCTACCATTGACCTCAAAGCGGCTGAAATCTCCACTTGCAAATTCCACAAAAAGAGTGTTTCAAGTCTGCTCTGTGTAAAGCATCGTTCAACTCTGTGAGTTGAATACACACAACACAAGGAAGTTACTGAGAATTCTACTTTCTAGCAGAAAATGAAGAAATCCCGTTTCCAACGAAGGCCACAAGATGTCAGAATATCCACTTACAGACTTTACAAACACAGTGTTTCCTAACTGCTCTATGAACAGAAAGGTTAAACTCTGTGAGTTGAACGAACACATCACAACGCAGTTTGTGGGAATGATTCTGTGTAGTTTTGAAACGAAGATATTTCCTTTTCTGCCATTGACCTTAAAGCGCTTGAAATCTACACTTGCAAATTGCACAAATAGAGTGTTTCAAATCTGCTCTGTCTAAGGGAACGTTCAACTCTGTGAGTTGAATGCACACAACACAAGGAAGTTACTGGGAATTCTTCTGTCTAGCCGTACATGAAAAAAACCCGTTTCCAACGAAGGCCTCTAAGTGGTCAAAATATCCACGTGCAGACTTTACAAACAGAGTGTTTCCAAACCGCTGAATGAAAAGAAAAGTTAAACTCTGAGAGTTGAACGCACACATCACGCAGCAGTTTCTGAGAATGATTCTGTCCAGTTTTTATACGAAGATATATCCTTTTCTGCCTTTGGCCCCAAAGCGCTTGAAATCTCCACTTGCAAATTCCACAAAAACAGTGATTCAAATCTGCTCTCTCTAAATGAAAGTTCAACTCTGTCAGTTGAATACACACAACACAAGGAAGTGACTGAGAATTCTTCTGTCTAGCACAATATGAAGAAATCCCGTTTCCAACGAAGGCCACAAGATGTCAGAATATCCACTTACAGACTTTACAAACACAGTGTTTCCTAACTGCTCTATGAACAGAAAGGTTAAACTCTGTGAGTTGAACGAACACATCACAACGCAGTTTGTGGGAATGATTCTGTCTAGTTTTGAAACGAAGATATTTCCTTTTCTGCCATTGACCTTAAAGCGCTTGAAATCTACACTTGCAAATTGCACAAATAGAGTGTTTCAAATCTGCTCTGTCTAAGGGAACGTTCATCTCTGTGAGTTGAATGCACACAACACAAGGAAGTTACTGGGAATTCTTCTGTCTAGCCATACATGAAAAAAACCCGTTTCCAACGAAGGCCTCTAAGTGGTCAAAATATCCATGTGCAGACTTTACAAACAGAGTGTTTCCTAACTGCTCTATGAAAAGAAAGGTTAAACTCTGTGAGTTCAACGTCCACATCACAAAGGAGTTTCTGAGAATCATTCTGTCTAGTTTCTATACGAAGATATTTCCTTTTCTACCATTGACCACAAAGCGGCTGAAATCTCCACTTGCAAATTCCACAAAAAGAGTGTTTCAAGTCTGCTCTGTGTAAAGGATCGTTCAACTCTGTGAGTTGAATACACACAACACAAGGAAGTTTCTGAGAATTCTTCTGTCTAGCAGAATATGAAGAAATCCCGTTTCCAACGATGGCCTCAAAGAGGTCTGAATATCCACTTGCAGACTTTACAAACAGAGTGTTTCCTAACTGCTCTGTAAAAAGAAAGGTCAAACTCTGTGAGTTGAACGCACACATCACAAAGGAGTTTCTGAGAATCATTCTGTCTAGTCTTTATACGAAGATATTTCCTTTTCTACCATTGACCTCAAAGCGGCTGAAATCTCCACTTGCAAATTCCACAAAAAGAGTGTTTCAAGTCTGCTCTGTGTAAAGGATTGTTCAACTCTGTGAGTTGAATACACACAACACAGGCAAGTTTCTGAGAATTCTTCTGTCTAGCAGAAAATGAAGAAATCCCGTTTCCAACGAAGGCCACAAGATGTCAGAATATCCACTTACAGACTTTACAAACACAGTGTTTCCTAACTGCTCTATGAACAGAAAGCTTAAACTCTGTGAGTTGAACGAACACATCACAACGCAGTTTGTGGGAATGATTCTGTGTAGTTTTGAAACGAAGATATTTCCTTTTCTGCCATTGACCTTAAAGCGCTTGAAATCTACACTTGCAAATTGCACAAATAGAGTGTTTCAAATCTGCTCTGTCTAAGGGAACGTTCAACTCTGTGAGTTGAATGCACACAACACAAGGAAGTTACTGGGAATTCTTCTGTCTAGCCTTACATGAAAAAAACCCGTTTCCAACGAAGGCCTCTAAGTGGTCAAAATATCCACGTGCAGACTTTACAAACAGAGTGTTTCCAAACCGCTGAATGAAAAGAAAAGTTAAACTCTGAGAGTTGAACGCACACATCACGCAGCAGTTTCTGAGAATGATTCTGTCTAGTTTTTATACGAAGATATATCCTTTTCTGCCTTTGGCCCCAAAGCGCTTGAAATCTCCACTTGCAAATTCCACAAAAACAGTGTTTCAAATCTGCTCTCTCTAAATGAAAGTTCAACTCTGTCAGTTGAATACACACAACACAAGGAAGTGACTGAGAATTCTTCTGTCTAGCACAATATGAAGAAATCCCGTTTCCAACGAAGGCCACAAGATGTCAGAATATCCACTTACAGACTTTACAAACAGAGTGTTTCCTAACTGCTCTATGAACAGAAAGGTTAAACTCTGTGAGTTGAACGAACACATCACAACGCAGTTTGTGGGAATGATTCTGTGTAGTTTTGAAACGAAGATATTTCCTTTTCTGCCATTGACCTTAAAGCGCTTGAAATCTACACTTGCAAATTGCACAAATAGAGTGTTTCAAATCTGCTCTGTCTAAGGGAACCTTCAACTCTGTGAGTTGAATGCACACAACACAAGGAAGTTACTGGGAATTCTTCTGTCTAGCCTTACATGAAAAAAACACGTTTCCAACGAAGGCCTCTAAGTGGTCAAAATATCCATGTGCAGACTTTACAAACAGAGTGTTTCCTAACTGCTCTATGAAAAGAAAGGTTAAACTCTGTGAGTTCAACGCCCACATCACAAAGGAGTTTCTGAGAATCATTCTGTCTAGTTTCTATACGAAGATATTTCCTTTTCTACCATTGACCACAAAGCGGCTGAAATCTCCACTTGCAAATTCCACAAAAAGAGTGTTTCAAGTCTGCTCTGTGTAAAGGATCGTTCAACTCTGTGAGTTGAATACACACAACACAAGGAAGTTTCTGAGAATTCTTCTGTCTAGCAGAATATGAAGAAATCCCGTTTCCAACAATGGCCTCAAAGAGGTCTGAATATCCACTTGCAGACTTTACAAACAGAGTGTTTCCTAACTGCTCTGTGAAAAGAAAGGTCAAACTCTGTGAGTTGAACGCACACATCACAAAGGAGTTTCTGAGAATCATTCTGTCTAGTCTTTATACGAAGATATTTCCTTTTCTACCATTGACCACAAAGCGGCTGAAATCTCCACTTGCAAATTCCACAAAAAGAGTGTTTCAAGTCTGCTCTGTGTAAAGGATCGTTCAACTCTGTGAGTTGAATACACACAACACAAGGAAGTTTCTGAGAATTATTCTGTCTAGCAGAATATGAAGAAATCCCGTTTCCAACGAAAGCCTCAAAGAGGTCTGAATATCCACTTGCAGACTTTACAAACAGAGTGTTTCCTAACTGCTCTTTGAAAAAAAAGGTTAAACTCTGTGAGTTGAACGCACACATCACAAAGGAGTTTCTGAGAATCATTCTGTCTAGTTTCCATAGGAAGATATTTCCTATTCTACCATTGACCTCAAAACGGCTGAAATCTCCACTTGCAAATTCCACAAAAAGAGTGTTTCAAGTCTGCTCTGTGTAAAGGATCATTCAACTCTGTGAGTTGAATACACACAACACAAGGAAGTTTCTGAGAATTCTTCTGTCTAGCAGAATATGAAGAAATCCCGTTTCCAACGAAAGCCTCAAAGAGGTCTGAATATCCACTTGCAGACTTTACAAACAGAGTGTTTCCTAACTGCTCTATGAAAAGAAAGGTTAAACTCTGTGAGTTGAACGCACACATCACAAAGGAGTTTCTGAGAATCATTCTGTCTAGTTTCTATAGGAAGATATTTCCTATTCTACCGTTGACCTCAAAGCGGCTGAAATCTCCACTTGCAAATTTCACAAAAAGAGTGTTTCAAGTCTGCTCTATGTAAAGGATCGTTCAACTCTGTGAGTTGAATACACACAACACAAGGAAGTTTCTGAGAATTCTTCTGTCTAGCAGAATATGAAGAAATCCCTTTTCCAACGAAGGCCTCAAGGAGGTCAGAATATCCACTTGCAGACTGTACAAACAGAGTGTTTCCTAACTGCTCTATGAAAAGAAAGGTTAAACTCTGTGAGTTGAACGCACACATCACAAAGGAGTTTCTGAGAATCATTCTGTCTTGTTTCTTTACGAACATATTTCCTTTTCTACCATTGACCTCAAAGCGGCTGAAATCTCCACTTGCAAATTCCACAAAAAGAGTGTTTCAAGTCTGCTCTGTGTAAAGCATCGTTCAACTCTGTGAGTTGAATACACACAACACAAGGAAGTTACTGAGAATTCTTCTGTCTAGCAGAAAATGAAGAAATCCCGTTTCCAACGAAGGCCACAAGATGTCAGAATATCCACTTACAGACTTTACAAACACAGTGTTTCCTAACTGCTCTATGAACAGAAAGGTTAAACTCTGTGAGTTGAACGAACACATCACAACGCAGTTTGTGGGAATGATTCTGTGTAGTTTTGAAACGAAGATATTTCCTTTTCTGCCATTGACCTTAAAGCGCTTGAAATCTACACTTGCAAATTGCACAAATACAGTGTTTCAAATCTGCTCTGTCTAAGGGAACGTTCAACTCTGTGAGTTGAATGCACACAACACAAGGAAGTTACTGGGAATTCTTCTGTCTAGCCTTACATGAAAAAAACCCGTTTCCAACGAAGGCCTCTAAGTGGTCAAAATATCCACGTGCAGACTTTACAAACAGAGTGTTTCCAAACCGCTGAATGAAAAGAAAAGTTAAACTCTGAGAGTTGAACGCACACATCACGCAGCAGTTTCTGAGAATGATTCTGTCCAGTTTTTATACGAAGATATATCCTTTTCTGCCTTTGGCCCCAAAGCGCTTGAAATCTCCACTTGCAAATTCCACAAAAACAGTGTTTCAAATCTGCTCTCTCTAAATGAAAGTTCAACTCTGTCAGTTGAATACACACAACACAAGGAAGTGACTGAGAATTCTTCTGTCTAGCACAATATGAAGAAATCCCGTTTCCAACGAAGGCCACAAGATGTCAGAATATCCACTTACAGACTTTACAAACAGAGTGTTTCCTAACTGCTCTATGAACAGAAAGGTTAAACTCTGTGTGTTGAACGAACACATCACAACGCAGTTTGTGGGAATGATTCTGTCTAGTTTTGAAACGAAGATATTTCCTTTTCTGCCATTGACCTTAAAGCGCTTGAAATCTACACTTGCAAATTGCACAAATAGAGTGTTTCAAATCTGCTCTGTCTAAGGGAACGTTCAACTCTGTGAGTTGAATGCACACAACACAAGGAAGTTACTGGGAATTCTTCTGTCTAGCCTTACATGAAAAAAACACGTTTCCAACGAAGGCCTCTAAGTGGTCAAAATATCCATGTGCAGACTTTACAAACAGAGTGTTTCCTAACTGCTCTATGAAAAGAAAGGTTAAACTCTGTGAGTTCAACGCCCACATCACAAAGGAGTTTCTGAGAATCATTCTGTCTAGTTTCTATACGAAGATATTTCCTTTTCTACCATTGACCACAAAGCGGCTGAAATCTCCACTTGCAAATTCCACAAAAAGAGTGTTTCAAGTCTGCTCTGTGTAAAGGATCGTTCAACACTGTGAGTTGAATACACACAACACAAGGAAGTTACTGACAATTCTTCTGTCTAGCAGAATATGAAGAAATCCCGTTTCCAACGAAAGCCTCAAAGAGGTCTGAATATCCACTTGCAGACTTTACAAACAGAGTGTTTCCTAACTGCTCTATGAAAAGAAAGGTTAAACTCTGTGAGTTGAACGCACATATCACAAAGGAGTTTCTGAGAATCATTCTGTCTAGTTTCTATACGAAGATATATCCTATTCTACAATTGACCTCAAAGCGGCTGAAATCTCCACTTGCAAATTCCACAAAAAGAGTGTTTCAAGTCTGCTCTGTGTAAAGGATCGTTCAACTCTGTGAGTTGAATACACACAACACAAGGAAGTGACTGAGAATTCTTCTGTCTAGCAGAATATGAAGAAATCCCGTTTCCAACGAAGGCCTCAAGGAGGTCTGAATATCCACTTGCAGACTTTACAAACAGAGTGTTTCCTAACTGCTCTATGAAAAGAAAGGTTAAACTCTGTGAGTTGAACGCACACATCACAAAGGAGTTTCTGAGAATCATTCTGTCTTGTTTCTATACGAAGATATTTCCTTTTCTACCATTGACCTCAAAGCGGCTGAAATCTCCACTTGCAAATTCCACAAAAAGAGTGTTTCAAGTCTGCTCTGTGTAAAGGATCGTTCAACTCTGTGAGTTGAATACACACAACACAAGGAAGTTACTGAGAATTCATCTGTCTAGCAGAATAGGAAGAAATCCCGTTTCCAACGAAGGCCACAAGATGTCAGAATATCCACTTACAGACTTTACAAACAGAGCGTTTCCTAACTGCTCTATGAACAGAAAGGTTAAACTCTGTGAGTTGAACAAACACATCACAACGCAGTTTGTGGGAATGATTCTGTCTAGTTTTGAAACGAAGATATTTCCTTTTCTGCCATTGACCTTAAAGCGCTTGAAATCTACACTTGCAAATTGCACAAATAGAGTGTTTCAAATCTGCTCTGTCTAAGGGAACGTTCAACTCTGTGAGTTGAATGCACACAACACAAGGAAGTTACTGGGAATTCTTCTGTCTAGCCTTACATGAGAAAAAACCGTTTCCAAAGAAGGCCTCTAAGTGGTCAAAATATCTACGTGCAGACTTTACAAACAGAGTGTTTCCAAACTGCTGAATGAAAAGAAAAGTTAAACTCTGAGAGTTGAACGCACACATCACAGAGCAGTTACTGAGAATGATTCTGTCTAGTTTTTATACGAAGATATTTCCTTTTCTGCCTTTGGCCCCAAAGCGCTTGAAATCTCCACTTGCAAATACCACAAAAACAGTGTTTCAAATCTGCTCTCTCTAAATGAAAGTTCAACTCTGTCAGTTGAATACACACAACACAAGGAAATTACTGAGAATTCTTCTGTCTAGCATAATATGAAAAAATACGGTTTCCAACGAAGGCCTCAAGGGGGTCTGAATATCCACTTGCAGACTTTACAAACAGAGTGTTTCCTAACTGCTCTATGAAAAGAAATGTTAAACTCAGTGAGTTGAAAGCACACATCATAAAGGAGTTTCTGAGAATCATTCTATCTAGTTTTTATACGAAGATATTTCCTTTTCTACCATTTACCACAAAGCGGCTGAAATCTCCACTTGCAAATTCCAGAAAAAGAGTGTTTCAAGTCTGCTCTGTGTAAAGGATCGTTCAACTCTGTGAGTTGAATACACACAACACAAGGAAGTTACTGAGAATTCTTCTGTCTAGCATAAAAAGTAAACAGAAGCATTCTCAAAAACTCCTTTGTGAGGCTTGTGTTCAACTCCCAGAGGATAACATTGCTTTTCATAGAGCAGTTTTGAAACATTCTTTTCGTTGAGTCTCCAAGTGGACATTTGGAGCGCTTTCAGGCCTGTGGTGGAAAAGGAAATATCTTCACATAAAAACTAGAGAGAAGCATTGTCAGAAACTTCTTTGTGATGATTGCATTCAACTCACGGAGTTGAAGATTCCTTTTGATACAGCAGTTTGGAAACACTCTTTCGGTGGAATCTGCAAGCGGATATGTGGACCTCTTTGAACATTTCGATGGAAAAGGGATTATCTTCCCATAAAAGCTAAACGGAAGCATGCTCAGGAACTTCTTTGTGATATTTGGATTCAACTCACAGAGTTGTACTTTCCTTTTGATAGAGCAGCTTTGAAACCCTCTCTTTCTAGCATCTGCAAGGGGACATTTGGAGGGCTTCGAGGCCTGGGGTGGAAAAGGAAATATCTGCTCATAAAAGCTACATGGAAGCATTCTGAGAAACGGCCTTGTGATGATTGCATTCAAGTCACAGAGTTGAACATTCCCTTTGATAGAGCCGTTTGGAAACACACTTTTGGTAGAATCTGAAAGGGGAGATTTGGACCGCTTTGAGGCCTTTGGCAGGAGAGGATATAACTGCCCATAAAAACTAGACAGTAGCATTCCCAGGAAACACTTTGTGACGATTGAGTTCAACTCACAGAGCTGAACATTCCTTTGGATGGAGCAGTTTCAAAACACACTTTCTGTAGAATCTGCAAGTGGATATTTGGACCTTTCTGAGGATTTCTTTGGATACGGGAGAAAACTCACCTATCTAAACAGAAGCATTCTCAGAACCTTCTTCGTGATGCTTGCATTCAACTCACAGTGTTGAACCTTTCTCTGATAGTTCAGGTTTGAAACACTCCTTCTGCAGAATCTGCAAGTGGAGATTTGGACCTCTTTGAGGCCTATCGTAGTAAAGGAAATAACTTCATCCTAAAACAAGACAGAAGCATTCTCAGAAAATTCTTTGCAATGATTGAGTTTACGTCACAGAGCTGAGCATATCTTCTGATGGAGCATGTTCAAAACACATTTTTGTAGAATATGCAAGTGGATATTTGGACTTCTCTGAGAATTTCTTTGGAAACGGGATAAACCTCACATAACTGAAGAGAAACATTCCCAGAACTTCTTTGTGATGTTGGCATTCAACTGACAGAGTTGAACCTTCCCTTGTGAGTTCAGGTTGAAACGCTCTTTTCGTAGTATCTGCAAGTGGAGATTTGTAACGCTTTGAGGCCTACGGTAGTAAAGGAAACAGCTTCATGTAAAAACTGGACAGAAGCATTCTCAGAAAATACTTTGTGATGATTGCGTTTAACTCACAGAGCTGAACATTCCTTTGGGTGGAGCAGTTTGGAAACACACGTTTTGTAGACTCTGCAGGTGGACATTTGGACTTCTCTGAGGATTTCATTGGAAAAGGGATAACGTCACCTAACTAAACAGAAGCTTTCGCAGAAACATCTTTCTGACGTTTGCATTCAATGTCCAGAGCTGAACCTTCCTTTGATAGTTCACGTTTGAAACACTCTTGTTGGAGGACCTGCAAGTGGATATTTGGAGCACTTTGTGGCCTTCGTTGGAAACGGGTATATCTTCACATAAAACCTAGACAGAAGCCTTCTCAGAAACTTCTCTGTGATGATTGCATTCAACTCACAGAGTTGAACATTCCTTTTGATAGAGCAGTTTTGAAACTCTCTTTTTCTAGCATCTGCAAAGGGATAGGTGGAACTCTGTGAAGATTTCTTTGGAAACGGGAATATCTTCACGTAAAAAGTAAACAGAAGCATTCTCAGAAACACCTTTGTGAGGCTTGTGTTCAACTCCCAGAGTATAACATTCCTTTTCATAGAGCAGTTTTGAGACATTCTTTTCGTAGAGTCTCCAAGTGGACATTTGGAGCGCTTTCAGGCCTGTGGTGGAAAAGGAAATATCTTCACATAAAAACTACAGAGAAGCATTGTCAGAAACTTCTTTGTGATGTTGGCATTCAACTGACAGAGTTGAACCTTCCCTTGTGAGTTCAGGTTGAAACGCTCTTTTCGTAGTATCTGCAAGTGGAGATTTTGAATGCTTTGAGGCCTACGGTAGTAAAGGAAACAGCTTCATGTAAAAACTGGACAGAAGCATTCTCAGAAAATACTTTGTGATGATTGAGTTTAACTCACAGAGCTGAACATTCCTTTGGGTGGAGCAGTTTGGAAACACACTTTTTGTAGACTCTGCAGGTGGACATTTGGACCTCTCTGAGGATTTCGTTGGAAACGGGATAACGTCACCTAACTAAACAGAAGCTTTCGCAGAAACTTATTTCTGACGTTTGCATTCAAAGTCCAGAGCTGACCTTTGCTTTGATAGTTCACGTTTGAAACACTCTTGTTGGAGGACCTGCAAGTGGATATTTGGAGCACTTTGTGGCCTTCGTTGGAAACGGGTATATCTTCACATAAAATCTAGACAGAAGCCTTCTCAGAAACTTCTCTGTGATGATTGCATGCAACTCACAGAGTTGAACATTCCTTTTGATAGAGCAGTTTTGAAACTCTCTTTTTCTAGCATCTGCAAAGGGAAGGTGGAACTCTGTGAAGATTTCTTTGGAAACGGGAATATCTTCACGTAAAAAGTAAACAGAAGCATTCTCAGAAACTCCTTTGTGAGGCTTGTGTTCAACTCCCAGAGTATAACATTGCTTTTCATAGAGCAGTTTTGAGACATTCTTTTCGTAGAGTCTCCAAGTGGACATTTGGAGCGCTTTCAGGCCTGTGTTGGAAAAGGAAATATCTTCACATAAAAACTAGAGAGAAGTATTGTCAGAAAATTCTTTGTGATGATGGCATTCAAACCACGGAGTTGAAGATTCCTTATGATACAGCGGTTTGGAAACAGTCTTTCGGTGGAATCTGCAAGCGGATATGTGGACCTCTTTGAACATTTCGATGGAAAAGGGATAATCTTCCCATAAAAGCTAAACGGAAGCATGCTCAGGAACTTCTTTGTGATGTTTGCGTTCAACTCACAGAGTTGTACTTTCCTTTTGATAGAGCAGCTTTGAAACCCTCTCTTTCTAGCATCTGCAAGGGGACATTTGGAGGGCTTCGAGGCCTGGGGTGGAAAAGGAAATATCTTCTCATAAAAGCTACATGGAAGCATTCTCAGAAACTGCTTTGTGGTGATTACATTCAAGTCACAGAGTTGAACATTCCGTTTGATGGAGCCGTTTGGAAACACACTTTTTGTACAATCTGAAAGGGGAGATTTGGACCGCTATGAGGCCTATGGCAGTAGAGGATATAACTGCACATAAAAACTAGACAGTAGCATTCCCAGGAAACACTTGGCGACAATTGAGTTCAACTCACAGAGCTGAACATTCCTTTGGATGGAGCAGTTTCAAAACATACTTTCTGTAGATTCTGCAAGTGGATATTTGGACCTTTCTGAGGATTTCGTTGGATGCGGGAGAAAACTCACCTATCTAAACAGAAGCATTCTCAGAATCTTCTTCGTGATGCTTGCATTCAACTCACAGTGTTGAACCTTTCTCTGATAGTTCAGGTTTGAAACACTCCTTCTGCAGAATCTGCAAGTGGAGATTTGGACCTTTTGAGGCCTATCGTAGTAAAGGAAATAACTTCATCCTAAAACAAGACAGAAGCATTCTCAGAAAATTCTTTGCGATGATTGAATTTAACTCACAGAGCTGAGCATATCTTCTGATGGAGTATGTTCAAAACACACTTTTTGTAGAATATGCAAGTGGATATTTGGACTTCTCTGAGAATTTCGTTGGAAACGGGATAAACCTCACATAACTGAAGAGAAACATTCCCAGAACTTCTTTGTGATGTTGGCATTCAACTGACAGAGTTGAACCTTCCCTTCTGTGTTCAGGTTGAAACGCTCTTTTCGTAGTATCTGCAAGTGGAGATTTGGAATGCTTTGAGGCCTACGGTAGTAAAGGAAACAGCTTCATGTAAAATCTGGACAGAAGCATTCTCAGAAAATACTTTGTGATGATTGAGTTTAACTCACACAGCTGAACATTCCTTTGGGTGGAGCAGTTTGGAAACACACTTTTTGTGGACCCTGCAGGTGGACATTTGGACCTCTCTGAGGATTTCTTTGGAAACGGGATAACGTCACCTAACTAAACAGAAGCTTTCGCAGAAACTTCTTTCTGACGTTTGCATTCAAAGTCCAGAGCTGACCTTTGCTTTGATAGTTCACGGTTGAAACACTCTTGTTGGAGGACCTGCAAGTGGATATTTGGAGCACTTTGTGGCCTTCGTTGGAAACGGGTATATCTTCACATAAAATCTAGACAGAAGCCTTCTCAGAAACTTCTCTGTGATGATTGTATTCAACTCACAGAGTTGAACATTCCTTTTGATAGAGCAGTTTTGAAACTCTCTTTTTCTAGCATCTGCAAAGGGAAGGTGGAACTCTGTGAAGATTTCTTTGGAAACGGGAATATCTTCACGTAAAAAGTAAACAGAAGCATTCTCAGAAACTCCTTTGTGAGGCTTGTGTTCAACTCCCAGAATATAACATTGCTTTTCGTAGAGCAGTTTTGAGACATTCTTTTCGTAGAGTCTCCAAGTGGACATTTGGAGCGCTTTCAGGCCTGTGGTGGAAAAGGAAATATCTTCACATAAAAACTAGAGAGAAGCATTGTCAGAAACTTCTTTGTGATGATTGCATTCAACTCACGGAGCTGAGGATTCCTTTTGATACAGCAGTTTGGAAAGACTCTTTCTGTGGAATCTGCAGGCGGATATGTGGACCTCTTTGAACATTTCGATGGAAAAGGGATAATCTTCCCATAAAAGCTAAACGGAAGCATGCTCAGGAACTTCCTTGTGATGTTTGCATTCAACTCACAGAGTTGTACTTTCCTTTTGATAGAGCAGCTTTGAAACCCTCTCTTTCTAGCATCTGCAAGGGGACATTTGGAGGGCTTCGAGGCCTGGGGTGGAAAAGGAAATATCTTCTCATAAAAGCTACATGGAAGCATTCTCAGAAACTGCTTTGTGATGATTGCATTCAAGTCACAGAGTTGAACATTCCCTTTGATGGAGCCGTTTGGAAACACACTTTTGGTAGAATCTGCAAGGGGAGATTTGGACCGCTTTGAGGCCTATGGCAGTAGAGGATATAACTGCACATAAAAACTAGACAGTAGCATTCCCAGGAAACGCTTTGTGACGATTGAGTTCAACTCACAGAGCTGAACATTCCTTTGGATGGAGGAGTTTCAAAACACACTTTCTGTAGAATCTGCAAGTGGATATTTGGACCTCTCTGAGGATTTCGTTGGATACGGGAGAAAACTCACCTATCTAAACAGAAGCATTCTTAGAACCTTCTTCGTGATGCTTGCATTCAACTCACATTGTTGAACCTTTCTCTGATAGTTCAGGTTTGAAAAACTCCTTCTGCAGAATCTGCAAGTGGAGATTTGGACCTCTTTGAGGCCTATCGTAGTAAAGGAAATAACTTCATCCTAAAACAAGACAGAAGCATTCTCAGAAATTTCTTTGTGATGATTGAGTTTAACTCACAGAGCTGAGCATATCTTTTGATGGAGCATTTTTTTTTTCTTTTTTTTTTATTATACTCTAAGTTTTAGGGTACATGTGCACATTGTGCAGGTCAGTTACATATGTATACATGTGCCATGCTGGTGCACTGCACCCACTAATGTGTCATCTAGCATTAGGTATATCTCCCAGTGCTATCCCTCCCACCTCCCCCGACCCCACCACAGTCCCCAGAGTGTGATATTCCCCTTCCTGTTTCCATGTGATCTCATTGTTCAATTCCCACCTATGAGTGAGAATATGTGGTGTTTTGTTTTTTGTTCTTGCAATAGTTTACTGAGAATGATGGTTTCCAATTTCATCCATGTCCCTACAAAGGATATGAACTCATCATTTTTTATGGCTGCATAGTATTCCGTGGTGTATATGTGCCACATTTTCTTAATCCATTCTATCATTGTTGGACATTTGGGTTGGTTCCAAGTCTTTGCTATTGTGAATAGTGCCGCAATAAACATACGTGTGCATGTGTCTTTATAGCAGCATGATTTATACTCATTTGGGTATATACCCAGTAATGGGATGGTTGGGTCAAATGGTATTTCCAGTTCTAGATCCCTGAGGAATCGCCACACTGTCTTCCACAATGGTTGAACTAGTTTACAGTCCCACCAACAGTGTAAAAGTGTTCCTATTTCTCCACATCCTCTCCAGCACCTGTTGTTTCCTGACTTTTTAATGATTGCCATTCTAACTGGTATGAGATGATATCTCATAGTGGTTTTCAGTTGCATTTCTCTGATGGCCAGTGATGATGAGCATTTCTTCATGTGTTTTTTGGCTGCATAAATGTCTTCTTTTGAGAAGTGTCTGTTCATGTCCTTCGCCCACTTTTTGATGGGGTTGTTTGTTTTTTTCTTGTAAATTTGTTTGAGTTCATTGTAGATTCTGGATATTAGCCCTTTGTCAGATGAGTAGGTTGCGAAAATTTTCTCCCATTTTGTAGGTTGCCTGTTCACTCTGATGGTAGTTTCTTTTGCTGTGCAGAAGCTCTTTAGTTTAATTAGATCCCATTTGTCAATTTTGTCTTTTGTTGCCATTGCTTTTAGTGTTTTGGACATGAAGTCCTTGCCCACGCCTATGTCCTGAATGGTAATGCCTAGGTTTTCTTCTAGGGTTTTTATGGTTTTAGGTTTAATGTTTAAATCTTTAATCCATCTTGAATTGATTTTTGTGTAAGGTGTAAGGAAGGGATCCAGTTTCAGCTTTCTACATATGGCTAACCAGTTTTCCCAGCACCATTTATTAAATAGGGAATCCTTTCCCCATTGCTTGTTTTTCTCAGGTTTGTCAAAGATCAGATAGTTGTAGATATGCGGCATTATTTCTGAGGGCTCTGTTCTGTTCCATTGATCTATATCTCTGTTTTGGTACCAGTACCATGCTGTTTTGGTTACTGTAGCCTTGTAGTATAGTTTGAAGTGAGGTAGTGTGATGCCCCCAGCTTTGTTCTTTTGGCTTAGGATTGACTTGGCAATGCGAGCTCTTTTTTGGTTCCATATGAACTTTAAAGCAGATTTTTCCAATTCTGGGAAGAAAGTCATTGGTAGCCTGATGGGGATGGCATTGAATCTGTAAATTACTTTGGGCAGTATGGCCATTTTCACGATATTGATTCTTCCTACCCATGAGCATGGAATGTTCTTCCATTTGTTTGTGTCCTCTTTTATTTCCTTGAGCAGTGGTTTGTAGTTCTCCTTGAAGAGGTCCTTCACATCCCTTGTAAGTTGGATTCCTAGGTATTTTATTCACTTTGAAGCAATTGTGAATGGGAGTTCACCCATGATTTGGCTCTCTGTTTGTCTGTTGTTGGTGTATAAGAATGCTTGTGATTTTTGTACATTGATTTTGTATCCTGAGACTTTGCTGAAGTTGCTTATCAGCTTAAGGAGATTTTGGGCTGAGACGACGGGGTTTTCTAGATAAACAATCATGTCGTCTGCAAACAGGGACAATTTGACTTCCTCTTTTCCTAATTGAATACCCTTTATTTCCTTCTCCTGCCTGATTGCCCTGGCCAGAACTTCCAACACTATGTTGAATAGGAGCGGTGAGAGAGGGCATCCCGGTCTTGTGCCAGTTTTCAAAGGGAATGCTTCCAGTTTTTGCCCATTCAGTATGATATTCGCTGTGGGTTTGTCATAGATGATGGAGCATTTTCAAAACACACCTTTTGTAGAATATGCAAGTGGATATTGGGATTTCTCTGAGAATTTCGTTGGAAACAGGATAAACCTCACATAACTGAAGAGGAACATTCTCAGAACTTCTTTGTGATGTTGGCATTCAACTGACAGAGTTGAACCTTCCCTTGTGAGTTCAGGTTGAAACGCTCTTTTCGTACTATCTGCAAGTGGGGATTTGGAACGCTTTGAGGCCTACGGTAGTAAAGGAAACAGCTTCATGTAAAAACTGGACAGAAGCATTCTCAGAAAATACTTTGGGATGATTGAGTTCAACTCACAGAGCTGAACATTCCTTTGGGTGGAGCAGATTTGAAACAAACTTTTTGTAGACTCTGCAGGTGGATATTTGGACCTCTCTGAGGATTTCACTGGAAACGGGATAACGTCGCCTAAGAAAACAGAAGCTTTCGCAGAAACATCTTTCTGACGTTGGCATTCAAAGTCCAGAGTTGAGCCTTCCTTTGGTAGTTCACGTTTGAAACACTCTTTTTGGAGGACCTGCAAGTGGATATTTGGAGCACTTTGTGGCCTTCGTTCGAAACGGCTATATCTTCACGTAAAATCTAGACAGAGGCCTTCTCAGAAACTTCTCTGTGATGATTGCATGCAACTCACAGAGTTGAACATTCCTTTTGATAGAGCAGTTTTGAAACTCTCTTTTGCTAGCATCTGCAAATGGATAGGTGGAACTCTGTGAAGACTTCTTTGGAAACGGGAATATCCTCACGTATAAAGTAAACAGAAGCCTTCTCAGAAACTACTTTGTGAGGCTTGTGTTCAACTCCCAGAGTATAACATTGCTTTTCATAGAGCAGTTTTGAAACATTCTTTTCGTAGAGCCTCCAAGTGGACATTTGGAACGCTTTCAGGCCAGTGGTGGAAAAGGAAATATCTTCACATAAAAACTAGAGAGAAGCATTGTCAGAAACTTCTTGGTGATGATTGCATTCAACTCACGGAGCTGAGGATTCCTTTTGATGCAGCAGTTTAGAAACACTCTTTCGGTGGAATCTGCAAGCGGATATGTGGACCTCTTTGAACATTCCGATGGAAAAGGGATAATCTTCCCGTAAAAGCTAAACGGAAGCATGCTCAGGAACTTCTTTGTGATGTTTGCATTCAACTCACAGAGTTGTACTTTCCTTTTGAGAGAGTAGCTTTGAAACCCCCTCTTTCTAGCATCTGCAAGGGGACATTTGGTGGGCTTCGAGGCTTGGGGTGGAAAAGGAAATATCTTCTCATCAAAGCTACATGGAAACATTCTCAGAAGCTGCTTTGAGATGATTGCATTCAAGTCACCGTGTTGAACATTCCCTTTGATGGAGCCGTTTGGAAACACACTTTTGGTAGAATCTGAAAGGGGAGATTTGGACCGCTTTGAGGCCTATGGCAGTAGAGGATATAACTGCACATAAAAACGAGACAGGAGCATTCCGAGGAAACACTTTGTGACGATTGAGTTCAACTCACAGAGCTGAACATTCCTTTGGATGGAGCAGTTTCCAAACACACTTTGTGTAGAATCTGCAAGTGGAGATTTGCACCGCTCTGAGGATTTCGTTGGATACGGGAGAGAAGTCACCTACGTAAACAGAAGCATTCTCAGAACCTTCTTCATGATGCTTGCATTCAACACACAGTGTTGAACCTTTCTCTGATAGTTCAGGTTTGAAACACTCCTTCTGCAGAATCTGCAAGTGGAGATTTGGACCTCTTTGAGGCCTGTCGCAGTAAAGGAAAGAACTTCATCTAAAAACAAGACAGAAGCATTCTCAGAAAATTCTTTGCGATGATTGAGTTTAACTCACAGAGCTCAGCAAATCTTTTGATGGCGCATTTTCAAAACACTCCTTTTGTAGAATATGCAAGTGGATATTGGGACTTCTCTGAGAATTTCGTTAGAAACGGGATAAACCTCACATAACTGAAGAGGAACATTCTCAGAACTTCTTTGTGATGTTGACATTCAACTGACAGAGGTGAACCTTCCCTTGTGAGTTCAGGTTGAAACGCTCTTTTCGTAGCATCTGCAAGTGGAGATTTGGAACGCTTTGACGCCTACGGTAGTAAAGGAAACAGCTTCATGTAAAAACTGGACAGAAGCATTCTCAGGAAATACTTTGGGATGATTGAGTTCAACTCACAGAGCTGAACATTCCTTTGGGTGGAGCAGTTTTGAAAAACACTTTTTGTAGACTCTGCCGGTGGATATTTGGAACTCTCTGAGGATTTCGTTGGAAACGGGATAACGTTGCCTAACTAAACAGAAGCTTTCGCAGAAACATCTTTCTGACGTTGGCATTCAAAGTCCAGAGTTGAGCCTTCCTTTGGTAGTTCACGTTTGAAACACTCTTTTTGGAGGACCTGCAAGTGGATATTGGAGCACTTTGTGGCCTTCGTTCAAAACGGCTATATCTTCACATAAAATCTAGACAGAAGCCTTCTCAGAAACTTCTCTGTGATGATTGCACGCAACTCACAGAGTTGAACATTCCTTTTGATAGAGCAGTTTTGAAACTCTCTTTTGCTAGCATCTGCAAATGGATAGGTGGAACTCTGTGAAGACTTCTTTGGAAACGGGAATATCCTCATGTGAAAAGTAAACAGAAGCATTCTCAGAAACTCCTTTGTGAGGCTTGTGTTCAACTCCCAGAGTACAACATTGCTTTTCATGGAGCAGTTTTGAAACATTCTTTTCGTAGAGCCTCCAAGTGGACATTTGGAGCGCTTTCAGGCCTGTGGTGGATAAGGAAATATCTTCACATAAAAACTAGAGAGAAGCATTGTCAGAAACTTCTTGGTGATGATTGCATTCAACTCACGGAGCTGAGGATTCCTTTTGATGCAGCAGTTTGGAAACACTCTTTCGTTGGAATCTGCAAGCGGATATGAGGACCTCTTTGAACATTCCGATGGAAAAGGGATAATCTTCCCGTAAAAGCTAAACGGAAGCATGCTCAGGAACTTCTTTGTGATGTTTGCATTCAACTCGCAGAGTTGTACTTTCCTTTTGATAGAGCAGCTTTGAAACCCTCTCTTTCTAGCATCTGCAAGGGGACATTTGGAGGGCTTCGAGGCCTGGGGTGGAAAAGGAAATATCTTCTCATCAAAGCTACATGGAAGCATTCTCAGAAGCTGCTTTGTGATGATTGCTTTCAAGTCACCGAGCTGAACATTCCCTTTGATGGAGCCGTTTGGAAACACACTTTTGGTAGAATCTGAAAGGGGAGATTTGGACCGCTTTGAGGCCTATGGCAGTAGAGGATATAACTGCACATAAAAACGAGACAGTAGCATTCCCAGGAAACGCTTTGTGACGATTGAGTTCAACTCACGGAGCTGAACATTCCTTTGGATGGAGCAGTTTCCAAACACACTTTGTGTAGAATCTGCAAGTGGAGATTCGGACCGCTCTGAGGATTTCGTTGGATACGGGAGAGAACTCACCTATGTAAACGGAAGCAATCTCAGAACTTTCTTCGCGATGCTTGCATTCAACTCACAGTGTTGAACCTTTCTCTGACAGTTCAGGTTTGAAACACTCCTTCTGCAGAATCTGCAAGTGGAGATTTGGACCTCTTTGAGGCCTGTCGTAGTAAAGGAAAGAACTTCATCTAAAAACAAGACAGAAGCATTCTCAGAAAATTCTTTGCGATGATTGAGTTTAACTCACAGAGCTGAGCAGGTCTTTTGATGGAGCATTTTCAAAACACACGTTTTGTAGAATATGCAAGTGGATATTGGGACTTCTCCGAGAATTTCGTTGGAAACGGGATAAACCTCACATTACTGAAGAGGAACATTCTCAGAACTTCTTTGTGATGTTGACATTCAACTGACAGAGGTGAACCTTCCCTTGTGAGTTCAGGTTGAAACGCTCTTTTCGTAGCATCTGCAAGTGGAGATTTGGAACGCTTTGAGGCCTACGGTAGTAAAGGAAACAGCTTCACGTAAAAACTGGACAGAAGCATTCTCAGGAAATACTTTGGGATGATTGAGTTCAACTCACAGAGCTGAACATTCCTTTGGGTGGAGCAGTTTTGAAACACACTTTTTGTAGACTCTGCTGGTGGATATTTGGACCTCTCTGAGGATTTCGTTGGAAACGGGATAACGTCGCCTAACTAAACAGAAGCTTTCGCGGAAACATCTTTCTGACGTTGGCATTCAAAGTCCACAGTTGAGCCTTCCTTTGGTAGTTCACGTTTGAAACACTCTTTTTGGAGGACCTGCAAGTGGATATTGGAGCACTTTGTGGCCTTCGTTCGAAACGGCTATATCTTCACATAAAATCTAGACAGAAGCCTTCTCAGAAACTTCTCTGTGATGATTGCATGCAACTCACAAAGTTGAACATTCCTTTTGATAGAGCAGTTTTGAAACTCTCTTTTTCTAGCATCTGCAAATGGATAGGTGGAACTCTGTGAAGACTTCTTTGGAAACGGGAATATCCTCACGTAAAAAGTAAACAGAAGCATTCTCAGAAACTCCTTTGTGAGGCTTGTGTTCAACTCCCAGAGTATAACATTGCTTTTCATGGAGCAGTTTTGAAACATTCTTTTCGTAGAGCCTCCAAGTGGACATTTGGAGCGCTTTCAGGCCTGTGGTGGATAAGGAAATATCTTCACATAAAAACTAGAGAGAAGCATTCTCAGAATCTTCTTGGTGATGATTGCATTCAACTCACGGAGCTGAGGATTCCTTTTGATGCAGCAGTATGGAAACACTCTTTCGGTGGAAGCTGCAAGCGGATATGTGGACCTCTTTGAACATTCCGATGGAAAAGGGATAATCTTCCCGTAAAAGCTAAACGGAAGCATGCTCAGGAACTTCTTTGTGATGTTTGCATTCAACTCGCAGTGTTGTACTTTCCTTTTGATAGAGCAGCTTTGAAACCCTCCCTTTCTAGCATCTGCAAGGGGACATTTGGAGGGCTTCGAGGCCTGGGGTGGAAAAGGAAATATCTTCTCATCAAAGATACATGGAAGCATTCTCAGAAACTGCTGTGTGATGATTGCTTTCAAGTCACCGAGTTGAACATTCCCTTTGATGGAGCCGTTTGGAAACACACTTTTGGTAGAATCTGAAAGGGGAGATTTGGACCGCTTTCAGGCCTATGGCAGTAGAGGATATAACTGCACATAAAAACGAGACAGTAGCATTCCCAGGAAACACTTTGTGACGATTGAGTTCAACTCACGGAGCTGAACATTCCTTTGGATGGAGCAGTTTCCAAACACACTTTGTGTAGTATCTGCAAGTGGAGATTCGGACCGCTCTGAGGATTTCGTTGGATACGGGAGAGAACTCACCTACGTAAACGGAAGCATTCTCAGAACCTTCTTCGTGATGCTTGCCTTCAAATCACAGTATTGAACCTTTCTCTGACAGTTCAGGTTTGAAACACTCCTTCTGCAGAATCTGCAAGTGGAGATTTGGACCTCTTTGAGGCCTGTCGTAGTAAAGGAAAGAACTTCATCTAAAAACAAGACAGAAGCATTCTCAGAAAATTCTTTGCGATGATTGAGTTTAACTCACAGAGCTGAGCAGGTCTTTTGATGGAGCATTTTCAAAACACACGTTTTGTAGTATATGCAAGTGGATATTGGGACTTCTCCGAGAATTTCGTTGGAAACGGGATAAACCTCACATAACTGAAGAGGAACATTCTCAGAACTTCTTTGTGATGTTGACATTCAACTGACAGAGTTGAACCTTCCCTTGTGAGTTCAGGTTGAAACGCTCTTTTCGTAGCATCTGCAAGTGGAGATTTGGAACGCTTTGAGGCCTACGGTAGTAAAGGAAACAGCTTCACGTAAAAACTGGACAGAAGCATTCTCAGTAAATACTTTGGGATGATTGAGTTCAACTCACAGAGCTGAACATTCCTTTGGGTGGAGCAGTTTTGAAACACACTTTTTGTAGACTCTGCTGGTGGATATTTGGACCTCTCTGAGGATTTCGTTGGAAACGGGATAACGTCACCTAACTAAACAGAAGCTTTCGCAGAAACATCTTTCTGACGTTGGCATTCAAAGTCCACAGTTGAGCCTTCCTTTGGTAGTTCACGTTTGAAACACTCTTTTTGGAGGACCTGCAAGTGGATATTGGAGCACATTGTGATCTTCGTTCGAAACGGGTATATCTTCACATAAAATCTAGACAGAAGCCTTCTCAGAAACTTCTCTGTGATGATTGCATGCAACTCACAGAGTTGAACATTCCTTTTGATAGAGCAGTTTTGAAACTCTCTTTTGCTAGCATCTGCAAATGGATAGGTGGAACTCTGTGAAGACTTCTTTGGAAACGGGAATATCCTCACGTAAAAAGTAAACAGAAGCATTCTCAGAAACTCCTTTGTGAGGCTTGTGTTCAACTCCCAGAGTATAACATTGCTTTTCATGGAGCAGTTTTGAAACATTCTTTTCATAGAGCCTCCATGTGGACATTTGGAGCCCTTTCAGGCCTGTGGTGGTTAAGGAAATATCTTCACATAAAAACTAGAGAGAAGCATTCTCAGAATCCTCTTGGTGATGATTGCATTCAACTCACGGAGCTGAGGATTCCTTTTGATGCAGCAGTTTGGAAACACTCTTTCGGTGGAATCTGCAAGCGGATATGTGGACCTCTTTGAACATTCTGATGGAAAAGGGATAATCTTCCCGTAAAAGCTAAACAGAAGCATGCTCAGGAACTTCTTTGTGATGTTTGCATTCAACTCGCAGAGTTGTACTTTCCTTTTGATAGAGCAGCTTTGAAACCCTCTCTTTCTAGCATCTGCAAGGGTACATTTGGAGGGCTTCGAGGCCTGGGGTGGAAAAGGAAATATCTTCTCATCAAAGCTACATGGAAGCATTCTCAGAAGCTGCTTTGTGATGATTGCTTTCAAGTCACCGAGCTGAACATTCCCTTTGATGGAGCCGTTGGGAAACACACTTTTGGTAGAATCTGAAAGGGGATATTTGGACAGCTTTGAGGCCTATGGCAGTAGAGGATATAACTGCACATAAAAACGAGACAGTAGCATTCCCAGGAAACACTTTGTGACGATTGAGTTCAACTCACGGAGCTGAACATTCCTTTGGATGGAGCAGTTTCCAAACACACTTTGTGTAGAATCTGCAAGTGGAGATTCGGACCGCTCTGAGGATTTCGTTGGATACGGGAGAGAACTCACCTACGTAAACGGAAGCATTCTCAGAACCTTCTTCGTGATGCTTGCATTCAACTCACAGTGTTGAACCTTTCTCTGACAGTTCAGGTTTGAAACACTCCTTCTGCAGAATCTGCAAGTGGAGATTTGGACGTCTTTGAGGCCTGTCGTAGTAAAGGAAAGAACTTCATCTAAAAACAAGACAGAAGCATTCTCAGAAAATTCTTTGCGATGATTGAGTTTAACTCACAGAGCTGAGCAGGTCTTTTGATGGAGCATTTTCAAAACACACGTTTTGTAGAATATGCAAGTGGATATTGGGACTTCTCTGAGAATTTCGTTGGAAACGGGATAAACCTCACATAACTGAAGAGGAACATTCTCAGAACTTCTTTGTGATGTTGACATTCAACTGACAGAGGTGAACCTTCCCTTGTGAGTTCAGGTTGAAACGCTCTTTTCGTAGCATCTGCAAGTGGAGATTTGGAACGCTTTGAGGCCTACGGTAGTAAAGGAAACAGCTTCATGTAAAAACTGGACAGAAGCATTCTCAGAAAATACTTTGGGATGATTGAGTTCAACTCACAGAGCTGAACATTCCTTTGGGTGGAGCAGTTTTGAAACACACTTTTTGTAGACTCGGCTGGTGGATATTTGGACCTCTCTGAGGATTTCGTTGGAAACGGGATAACGTCGCCTAAGTAAACAGAAGCTTTCGGAGAAACATCTTTCTGACGTTGGCATTCAAAGTCCACAGTTGAGCCTTCCTTTGGTAGTTCACGTTTGAAACACTCTTTTTGGAGGACCTGCAAGTGGATATTTGGAGCACTTTGTGGCCTTCGTTCGAAACGGGTATATCTTCACATAAAATCTAGACAGAAGCCTTCTCAGAAACTTCTCTGTGATGATTGCATGCAACTCACAGAGTTGAACATTCCTTTTGATAGAGCAGTTTTGAAACTCTCTTTTGCTAGCATCTGCAAATGGATAGGTGGAACTCTGTGAAGACTTCTTTGGAAACGGGAATATCCTCACGTAAAAAGTAAACAGAAGCATTCTCAGAAACTCCTTTGTGAGGCTTGTGTTCAACTCCCAGAGTATAACATTGCTTTTCATAGAGCAGTTTTGAAACATTCTTTTCGTAGAGCCTCCATGTGGACATTTGGAGCCCTTTCAGGCCTGTGGTGGATAAGGAAATATCTTCACATAAAAACTAGAGAGAAGCATTGTCAGAAACTTCTTGGTGATGATTGCATTCAACTCACGGAGCTGAGGATTCCTTTTGATGCAGCAGTTTGGAAACACTCTTTCGGTGGAATCTGCAAGCGGATATGTGGACCTCTTTGAACATTGCGATGGAAAAGGGATAATCTTCCCATAAAAGCTAAACTGAAGCATGCTCAGGAACTTCTTTGTGATGTTTGCATTCAACTCGCAGAGTTGTACTTTCCTTTTGATAGAGCAGCTTTGAAACCCTCTCTTTCTAGCATCTGCAAGGGGACATTTGGAGGGCTTCGAGGCCTGGGGTGGAAAAGGAAATATCTTCTCATCAAAGCTACATGGAAGCATTCTCAGAAGCTGCTTTGTGATGATTGCTTTCAAGTCACCGAGCTGAACATTCCCTTTGATGGAGCCGTTTGGAAACACACTTTCGGTAGAATCTGAAAGGGGAGATTTGGACCGCTTTGAGGCCTATGGCAGTAGAGGATATAACTGCACATAAAAACGAGACAGTAGCATTCCCAGGAAACACTTTGTGACGATAGAGTTCAACTCACGGAGCTGAACATTCCTTTGGATGGAGCAGTTTCCAAACACACTTTGTGTAGAATCTGCAAGTGGAGATTCGGACCGCACTGAGGATTTCGTTGGATACGGGAGAGAACTCACCTATGTAAACGGAAGCATTCTCAGAACCTTCTTCGTGATGCTTGCATTCAACTCACAGTGTTGAACCTTTCTCTGACAGTTCAGGTTTGAAACACTCCTTCTGCAGAATCTGCAAGTGGAGATTTGGACCTCTTTGAGGCCTGTCGTAGTAAAGGAAAGAACTTCATCTAAAAACAAGACAGAAGCATTCTCAGAAAATTCTTTGCGATGATTGAGTTTTACTCTCAGAGCTGAGCAGGTCTTTTGATGGAGCATTTTCAAAACACACGTTTTGTAGTATATGCAAGTGGATATTGGGACTTCTCCGAGAATTTCGTTGGAAACGGGATAAACCTCACATAACTGAAGAGGAACATTCTCAGAACTTCTTTGTGATGTTGACATTCAACTGACAGAGGTGAACCTTCCCTTGTGAGTTCAGGTTGAAACGCTCTTTTCGTAGCTTCTGCAAGTGGAGATTTGGAACGCTTTGAGGCCTACGGTAGTAAAGGAAACAGCTTCATGTAAAAACTGGACAGAAGCATTCTCAGAAACTACTTTGGGATGATTGAGTTCAACTCACAGAGCTGAACATTCCTTTGGGTGGAGCAGTTTTGAAACACACTTTTTGTAGACTCTGCAGGTGGATATTTGGACCTCTCTGAGGATTTCGTTGGAAACGGGATAACGTCGCCTAACTAAACAGAAGCTTTCGCAGAAACATCTTTCCGACGTTGGCATTCAAACTCCAGAGTTGAGCCTTCCTTTGGTAGTTCACGTTTGAAACACTCTTTTTGGAGGACCTGCAAGTGGATATTTGGAGCACTTTGTGGCCTTCGTTCGAAAAGGCTATATCTTCACATAAAATCTAGACAGAAGCCTTCTCAGAAACTTCTCTGTGATGATTGCATGCAACTCACAGAGTTGAACATTCCTTTTGATAGAGCAGTTTTGAAACTCTCTTTTGCTAGCATCTGCAAATGGATAGGTGGAACTCTGTGAAGACTTCTTTGGAAACGGGAATATCCTCACGTAAAAAGTAAACAGAAGAATTCTCAGAAACTCCTTTGTGAGGCTTGTGTTCAACTCCCAGAGTATAACATTGCTTTTCATGGAGCAGTTTTGAAACATTCTTTTCGTAGAGCCTCCAAGTGGACATTTGGAGCCCTTTCAGGCCTGTGGTGGATAAGGAAATATCTTCACATAAAAACTAGAGAGAAGCATTCTCAGAATCTTCTTGGTGATGATTGCATTCAACTCACGGAGCTGAGGATTCCTTTTGATGCAGCAGTATGGAAACACTCTTTCGGTGGAAGCTGCAAGCGGATATGTGGACCTCTTTGAACATTCCGATGGAAAAGGGATAATCTTCCCGCAAAAGCTAAACGGAAGCATGCTCAGGAACTTCTTTGTGATGTTTGCATTCAACTCGCAGTGTTGTACTTTCCTTTTGATAGAGCAGCTTTGAAACCCTCCCTTTCTAGCATCTGCAAGGGGACATTTGGAGGGCTTCGAGGCCTGGGGTGGAAAAGGAAATATCTTCTCATCAAAGATACATGGAAGCATTCTCAGAAACTGCTGTGTGATGATTGCTTTCAAGTCACCGAGTTGAACATTCCCTTTGATGGAGCCGTTTGGAAACACACTTTTGGTAGAATCTGAAAGGGGAGATTTGGACCGCTTTGAGGCCTATGGCAGTAGAGGATATAACTGCACATAAAAACGAGACAGTAGCATTCCCAGGAAACACTTTGTGACGATTGAGTTCAACTCACGGAGCTGAACATTCCTTTGGATGGAGCAGTTTCCAAACACACTTTGTGTAGTATCTGCAAGTGGAGATTCGGACCGCTCTGAGGATTTCGTTGGATACGGGAGAGAACTCACCTACGTAAACGGAAGCATTCTCAGAACCTTCTTCGTGATGCTTGCCTTCAAATCACAGTATTGAACCTTTCTCTGACAGTTCAGGTTTGAAACACTCCTTCTGCAGAATCTGCAAGTGGAGATTTGGACGTCTTTGAGGCCTGTCGTAGTAAAGGAAAGAACTTCATCTAAAAACAAGACAGAAGCATTCTCAGAAAATTCTTTGCGATGATTGAGTTTAACTCACAGAGCTGAGCAGGTCTTTTGATGGAGCATTTTCAAAACACACGTTTTGTAGTATATGCAAGTGGATATTGGGACTTCTCCGAGAATTTCGTTGGAAACGGGATAAACCTCACATAACTGAAGAGGAACATTCTCAGAACTTCTTTGTGATGTTGACATTCAACTGACAGTGGTGAACCTTCCCTTGTGAGTTCAGGTTGAAACGCTCTTTTCGTAGCATCTGCAAGTGGAGATTTGGAACGCTTTGAGGCCTACGGTAGTAAAGGAAACAGCTTCACGTAAAAACTGGACAGAAGCATTCTCAGTAAATACTTTGGGATGATTGAGTTCAACTCACAGAGCTGAACATTCCTTTGGGTGGAGCAGTTTTGAAACACACTTTTTGTAGACTCTGCTGGTGGATATTTGGACCTCTCTGAGGATTTCGTTGGAAACGGGATAACGTCACCTAACTAAACAGAAGCTTTCGCAGAAACATCTTTCTGACGTTGGCATTCAAAGTCCACAGTTGAGCCTTCCTTTGGTAGTTCACGTTTGAAACACTCTTTTTGGAGGACCTGCAAGTGGATATTGGAGCACATTGTGGTCTTCGTTCGAAACGGCTATATCTTCACATAAAATCTAGACAGAAGCCTTCTCAGAAACTTCTCTGTGATGATTGCATGCAACTCACAGAGTTGAACATTCCTTTTGATAGAGCAGTTTTGAAACTCTCTTTTGCTAGCATCTGCAAATGGATAGGTGGAACTCTGTGAAGACTTCTTTGGAAACGGGAATATCCTCACGTAAAAAGTAAACAGAAGCATTCTCAGAAACTCCTTTGTGAGGCTTGTGTTCAACTCCCAGAGTATAACATTGCTTTTCATGGAGCAGTTTTGAAACATTCTTTTCATAGAGCCTCCAAGTGGACATTTGGAGCCCTTTCAGGCCTGTGGTGGTTAAGGAAATATCTTCACATAAAAACTAGAGAGAAGCATTCTCAGAATCCTCTTGGTGATGATTGCATTCAACTCACGGAGCTGAGGATTCCTTTTGATGCAGCAGTTTGGAAACACTCTTTCGGTGGAATCTGCAAGCGGATATGTGGACCTCTTTGAACATTCTGATGGAAAAGGGATAATCTTCCCGTAAAAGCTAAACAGAAGCATGCTCAGGAACTTCTTTGTGATGTTTGCATTCAACTCGCAGAGTTGTACTTTCCTTTTGATAGAGCAGCTTTGAAACCCTCTCTTTCTAGCATCTGCAAGGGTACATTTGGAGGGCTTCGAGGCCTGGGGTGGAAAAGGAAATATCTTCTCATCAAAGCTACATGGAAGCATTCTCAGAAGCTGCTTTGTGATGATTGCTTTCAAGTCACCGAGCTGAACATTCCCTTTGATGGAGCCGTTGGGAAACACACTTTTGGTAGAATCTGAAAGGGGATATTTGGACAGCTTTGAGGCCTATGGCAGTAGAGGATATAACTGCACATAAAAACGAGACAGTAGCATTCCCAGGAAACACTTTGTGACGATTGAGTTCAACTCACGGAGCTGAACATTCCTTTGGATGGAGCAGTTTCCAAACACACTTTGTGTAGAATCTGCAAGTGGAGATTCGGACCGCTCTGAGGATTTCGTTGGATACGGGAGAGAACTCACCTACGTAAACGGAAGCATTCTCAGAACCTTCTTCGTGATGCTTGCATTCAACTCACAGTGTTGAACCTTTCTCTGACAGTTCAGGTTTGAAACACTCCTTCTGCAGAATCTGCAAGTGGAGATTTGGACGTCTTTGAGGCCTGTCGTAGTAAAGGAAAGAACTTCATCTAAAAACAAGACAGAAGCATTCTCAGAAAATTCTTTGCGATGATTGAGTTTAACTCACAGAGCTGAGCAGGTCTTTTGATGGAGCATTTTCAAAACACACGTTTTGTAGAATATGCAAGTGGATATTGGGACTTCTCTGAGAATTTCGTTGGAAACGGGATAAACCTCACATAACTGAAGAGGAACATTCTCAGAACTTCTTTGTGATGTTGACATTCAACTGACAGAGGTGAACCTTCCCTTGTGAGTTCAGGTTGAAATGCTCTTTTCGTAGCATCTGCAAGTGGAGATTTGGAACGCTTTGAGGCCTACGGTAGTAAAGGAAACAGCTTCATGTAAAAACTGGACAGAAGCATTCTCAGAAAATACTTTGGGATGATTGAGTTCAACTCACAGAGCTGAACATTCCTTTGGGTGGAGCAGTTTTGAGACACACTTTTTGTAGACTCGGCTGGTGGATATTTGGACCTCTCTGAGGATTTCGTTGGAAACGGGATAACGTCGCCTAAGTAAACAGAAGCTTTCGGAGAAACATCTTTCTGACGTTGGCATTCAAAGTCCACAGTTGAGCCTTCCTTTGGTAGTTCACGTTTGAAACACTCTTTTTGGAGGACCTGCAAGTGGATATTTGGAGCACTTTGTGGCCTTCGTTCGAAACGGGTATATCTTCACATAAAATCTAGACAGAAGCCTTCTCAGAAACTTCTCTGTGATGATTGCATGCAACTCACAGAGTTGAACATTCCTTTTGATAGAGCAGTTTTGAAACTCTCTTTTGCTAGCATCTGCAAATGGATAGGTGGAACTCTGTGAAGACTTCTTTGGAAACGGGAATATCCTCACGTAAAAAGTAAACAGAAGCATTCTCAGAAACTCCTTTGTGAGGCTTGTGTTCAACTCCCAGAGTATAACATTGCTTTTCATGGAGCAGTTTTGAAACATTCTTTTCGTAGAGCCTCCATGTGGACATTTGGAGCCCTTTCAGGCCTGTGGTGGATAAGGAAATATCTTCACATAAAAACTAGAGAGAAGCATTGTCAGAAACTTCTTGGTGATGATTGCATTCAACTCACGGAGCTGAGGATTCCTTTTGATGCAGCAGTTTGGAAACACACTTTCGGTGGAATCTGCAAGCGGATATGTGGACCTCTTTGAACATTGCGATGGAAAAGGGATAATCTTCCCATAAAAGCTAAACTGAAGCATGCTCAGGAACTTCTTTGTGATGTTTGCATTCAACTCGCAGAGTTGTACTTTCCTTTTGATAGAGCAGCTTTGAAACCCTCTCTTTCTAGCATCTGCAAGGGGACATTTGGAGGGCTTCGAGGCCTGGGGTGGAAAAGGAAATATCTTCTCATCAAAGCTACATGGAAGCATTCTCAGAAGCTGCTTTGTGATGATTGCTTTCAAGTCACCGAGCTGAACATTCCCTTTGATAGAGCCGTTGGGAAACACACTTTTGGTAGAATCTGAAAGGGGAGATTTGGACCGCCTTGAGGCCTATGGCAGTAGAGGATATAACTGCACATAAAAACGAGACAGTAGCATTCCCAGGAAACACTTTGTGACGATTGAGTTCACCTCACGGAGCTGAACATTCCTTTGGATGGAGCAGTTTCCAAACACACTTTGTGTAGAATCTGCAAGTGGAGATTCGGACCGCTCTGAGGATTTCATTGGATACGGGAGAGAACTCACCTACGTAAACGGAAGCATTCTCAGAACCTTCTTCGTGATGCTTGCATTCAACTCACAGTGTTGAACCTTTCTCTGACAGTTCAGGTTTGAAACACTCCTTCTGCAGAATCTGCAAGTGGAGATTTGGACCTCTTTGAAGCCTGTCGTAGTAAAGGAAAGAACTTCATCTAAAAACAAGACAGAAGCATTCTCAGAAAATTCTTTGCGATGATTGAGTTTAACTCACAGAGCTGAGCAGGTCTTTTGATGGAGCATTTTCAAAACACACGTTTTGTAGAATATGCAAGTGGATATTGGGACTTCTCTGAGAATTTCGTTGGAAACGGGATAAACCTCACATAACTGAAGAGGAACATTCTCAGAACTTCTTTGTGATGTTGACATTCAACTGACAGAGGTGAAACTTCCCTTGTGAGTTCAGGTTGAAACGCTCTTTTCGTAGCATCTGCAAGTGGAGATTTGGAACGCTTTGAGGCCTACGGTAGTAAAGGAAACAGCCTCATGTAAAAACTGGACAGAAGCATTCTCAGAAAATACTTTGGGATGATTGAGTTCAACTCACAGAGCTGAACATTCCTTTGGGTGGAGCAGTTTTGAAACACACTTTTTGTAGACTCTGCTGGTGGATATTTGGACCTCTCTGAGGATTTCGTTGGAAACGGGATAACGTCACCTAACTAAACAGAAGCTTTCGCAGAAACATCTTTCTGACGTTGGCATTCAAAGTCCACAGTTGAGCCTTCCTTTGGTAGTTCACGTTTGAAACACTCTTTTTGGAGGACCTGCAAGTGGATATTGGAGCACATTGTGGTCTTCGTTCGAAACGGCTATATCTTCACATAAAATCTAGACAGAAGCCTTCTCAGAAACTTCTCTGTGATGATTGCATGCAACTCACAGAGTTGAACATTCCTTTTGATAGAGCAGTTTTGAAACTCTCTTTTGCTAGCATCTGCAAATGGATAGGTGGAACTCTGTGAAGACTTCTTTGGAAACGGGAATATCCTCACGTAAAAAGTAAACAGAAGCATTCTCAGAAACTCCTTTGTGAGGCTTGTGTTCAACTCCCAGAGTATAACATTGCTTTTCATGGAGCAGTTTTGAAACATTCTTTTCATAGAGCCTCCAAGTGGACATTTGGAGCCCTTTCAGGCCTGTGGTGGTTAAGGAAATATCTTCACATAAAAACTAGAGAGAAGCATTCTCAGAATCCTCTTGGTGATGATTGCATTCAACTCACGGAGCTGAGGATTCCTTTTGATGCAGCAGTTTGGAAACACTCTTTCGGTGGAATCTGCAAGCGGATATGTGGACCTCTTTGAACATTCTGATGGAAAAGGGATAATCTTCCCGTAAAAGCTAAACAGAAGCATGCTCAGGAACTTCTTTGTGATGTTTGCATTCAACTCGCAGAGTTGTACTTTCCTTTTGATAGAGCAGCTTTGAAACCCTCTCTTTCTAGCATCTGCAAGGGTACATTTGGAGGGCTTCGAGGCCTGGGGTGGAAAAGGAAATATCTTCTCATCAAAGCTACATGGAAGCATTCTCAGAAGCTGCTTTGTGATGATTGCTTTCAAGTCACCGAGCTGAAGATTCCCTTTGATGGAGCCGTTGGGAAACACACTTTTGGTAGAATCTGAAAGGGGATATTTGGACAGCTTTGAGGCCTATGGCAGTAGAGGATATAACTGCACATAAAAACGAGACAGTAGCATTCCCAGGAAACACTTTGTGACGATTGAGTTCAACTCACGGAGCTGAACATTCCTTTGGATGGAGCAGTTTCCAAACACACTTTGTGTAGAATCTGCAAGTGGAGATTCGGACCGCTCTGAGGATTTCGTTGGATACGGGAGAGAACTCACCTACGTAAACGGAAGCATTCTCAGAACCTTCTTCGTGATGCTTGCATTCAACTCACAGTGTTGAACCTTTCTCTGACAGTTCAGGTTTGAAACACTCCTTCTGCAGAATCTGCAAGTGGAGATTTGGACGTCTTTGAGGCCTGTCGTAGTAAAGGAAAGAAATTCATCTAAAAACAAGACAGAAGCATTCTCAGAAAATTCTTTGCGATGATTGAGTTTAACTCACAGAGCTGAGCAGGTCTTTTGATGGAGCATTTTCAAAACACACGTTTTGTAGAATATGCAAGTGGATATTGGGACTTCTCTGAGAATTTCGTTGGAAACGGGATAAACCTCACATAACTGAAGAGGAACATTCTCAGAACTTCTTTGTGATGTTGACATTCAACTGACAGAGGTGAACCTTCCCTTGTGAGTTCAGGTTGAAACGCTCTTTTCGTAGCATCTGCAAGTGGAGATTTGGAACGCTTTGAGGCCTACGGTAGTAAAGGAAACAGCTTCATGTAAAAACTGGACAGAAGCATTCTCAGAAAATACTTTGGGATGATTGAGTTCAACTCACAGAGCTGAACATTCCTTTGGGTGGAGCAGTTTTGAGACACACTTTTTGTAGACTCGGCTGGTGGATATTTGGACCTCTCTGAGGATTTCGTTGGAAACGGGATAACGTCGCCTAAGTAAACAGAAGCTTTCGGAGAAACATCTTTCTGACGTTGGCATTCAAAGTCCACAGTTGAGCCTTCCTTTGGTAGTTCACGTTTGAAACACTCTTTTTGGAGGACCTGCAAGTGGATATTTGGAGCACTTTGTGGCCTTCGTTCGAAACGGGTATATCTTCACATAAAATCTAGACAGAAGCCTTCTCAGAAACTTCTCTGTGATGATTGCATGCAACTCACAGAGTTGAACATTCCTTTTGATAGAGCAGTTTTGAAACTCTCTTTTGCTAGCATCTGCAAATGGATAGGTGGAACTCTGTGAAGACTTCTTTGGAAACGGGAATATCCTCACGTAAAAAGTAAACAGAAGCATTCTCAGAAACTCCTTTGTGAGGCTTGTGTTCAACTCCCAGAGTATAACATTGCTTTTCATGGAGCAGTTTTGAAACATTCTTTTCGTAGAGCCTCCATGTGGACATTTGGAGCCCTTTCAGGCCTGTGGTGGATAAGGAAATATCTTCACATAAAAACTAGAGAGAAGCATTGTCAGAAACTTCTTGGTGATGATTGCATTCAACTCACGGAGCTGAGGATTCCTTTTGATGCGGCAGTTTGGAAACACTCTTTCGGTGGAATCTGCAAGCGGATACGTGGACCTCTTTGAACATTCCGATGGAAAAGGGATAATCTTCCCATAAAAGCTAAACGGAAGCATGCTCAGGAACTTCTTTGTGATGTTTGCATTCAACTCGCAGAGTTGTACTTTCCTTTTGATAGAGCAGCTTTGAAACACTCTCTTTCTAGCATCTGCAAGGGGACATTTGGAGGGCTTCGAGGCCTGGGGTGGAAAAGGAAATGTCTTCTCATCAAAGATACATGGAAGCATTCTCAGAAGCTGCTTTGTGATGATTGCTTTCAAGTCACCGAGCTGAACATTGCCTTTGATGGAGCCGTTTGGAAACATACTTTTGGTAGAATCTGAAAGGGGAGACTTGGACTGCTTTGAGGCCTATGGCAGTAGAGGATATAACTGCACATAAAAACGAGACAGTAGCATTCCCAGGAAACACTTTGTGACGATTGAGTTCAACTCACGGAGCTGAACATTCCTTTGGATGGAGCAGTTTCCAAACACACTTTGTGTAGAATCTGCAAGTGGAGATTCGGACCGCTCTGAGGATTTCGTTGGATACGGGAGAGAACTCACCTACGTAAACAGAAGCATTCTCAGAACCTTCTTCGTGATGCTTGCATTCAACTCACAGTGTTGAACCTTTCTCTGACAGTTCAGGTTTGAAACACTCCTTCTGCAGAATCTGCAAGTGGAGATTTGGACCTCTTTGAGGCCTGTCGTAGTAAAGGAAAGAACTTCATCTAAAAACAAGACAGAAGCATTCTCAGAAAATTCTTTGCGATGATTGAGTTTAACTCACAGAGCTGAGCAGGTCTTTTGATGGAGCATTTTCAAAACACACGTTTTGTAGAATATGCAAGTGGATATTGGGATTTCTCTGAGAATTTCGTTGGAAACGGGATAAACCTCACATAACTGAAGAGGAACATTCTCAGAACTTCTTTGTGATGTTGACATTCAACTGACAGAGGTGAACCTTCCCTTGTGAGTTCAGGTTGAAACGCTCCTTTCGTAGCATCTGCAAGTGGAGATTTGGAACGCTTTGAGGCCTACGTTAGTAAAGGAAACAGCTTCATGTAAAAACTGGACAGAAGCATTCTCAGAAAATACTTTGGGATGATTGAGTTCAACTCACAGAGCTGAACATTCCTTTGGGTGGAGCAGTTTTGAAACACACTTTTTGTAGACTCTGCAGGTGGATATTTGGACCTCTCTGAGGATTTCGTTGGAAACGGGATAACGTCGCCTAACTAAACAGAAGCTTTCGCAGAAACATCCTTCTGACGTTGGCATTCAAAGTCCAGAGTTGAGCCTTCCTTTGGTAGTTCACGTTTGAAACACTCTTTTTGGAGGACCTGCAAGTGGATATTTGGAGCACTTTGTGGCCTTCGTTCGAAACGGCTATATCTTCACATAAAATCTAGACAGAAGCCTTCTCAGAAACTTCTCTGTGATGATTGCATGCAACTCACAGAGTTGAACATTCCTTTTGATAGAGCAGTTTTGAAACTCTCTTTTGCTAGCATCTGCAAATGGATAGGTGGAACTCTGTGAAGACTTCTTTGGAAACGGGAATATCCTCACGTAAAAAGTAAACAGAAGCATTCTCAGAAACTCCTTTGTGAGGCTTGTGTTCAACTCCCAGAGTATAACATTGCTTTTCATGGAGCAGTTTTGAAACATTCTTTTCGTAGAGCCTCCAAGTGGACATTTGGAGCCCTTTCAGGCCTGTGGTGGATAAGGAAATATCTTCACATAACAACTAGAGAGAAGCATTGTCAGAAACTTCTTGGTGATGATTGCATTCAACTCACGGAGCTGAGGATTCCTTTTGATGCAGCAGTTTGGAAACACTCTTTCGGTGGAATCTGCAAGCGGATACGTGGACCTCTTTGAACATTCCGATGGAAAAGGGATAATCTTCCCATAAAAGCTAAACGGAAGCATGCTCAGGAACTTCTTTGTGACGTTTGCATTCAACTCGCAGAGTTGTACTTTCCTTTTGATAGAGCAGCTTTGAAACACTCTCTTTCTAGCATCTGCAAGGGGACATTTGGAGGGCTTCGAGGCCTGGGGTGGAAAAGGAAATGTCTTCTCATCAAAGATACATGGAAGCATTCTCAGAAGCTGCTTTGTGATGATTGCTTTCAAGTCACCGAGCTGAACATTGCCTTTGATGGAGCCGTTTGGAAACACACTTTTGGTAGAATCTGAAAGGGGAGATTTGGACCGCTTTGAGGCCTATGGCAGTAGAGGATATAACTGCACATAAAAACGAGACAGTAGCATTCCCAGGAAACACTTTGTGACGATTGAGTTCAACTCACGGAGCTGAACATTCCTTTGGATGGAGCAGTTTCCAAACACACTTTGTGTAGAATCTGCAAGTGGAGATTCGGACCGCTCTGAGGATTTCGTTGGATACGGGAGAGAACTCACCTACGTAAACAGAAGCATTCTCAGAACCTTCTTCGTGATGCTTGCATTCAACTCACAGTGTTGAACCTTTCTCTGACGGTTCAGGTTTGAAACACTCCTTCTGCAGAATCTGCAAGTGGAGATTTGGACCTCTTTGAGGCCTGTCGTAGTAAAGGAAAGAACTTCATCTAAAAACAAGACAGAAGCATTCTCAGAAAATTCTTTGCGATGATTGAGTTTAACTCACAGAGCTGAGCAGGTCTTTTGATGGAGCATTTTCAAAACACACGTTTTGTAGAATATGCAAGTGGATATTGGGACTTCTCTGAGAATTTCGTTGGAAACGGGATAAACCTCACATAACTGAAGAGGAACATTCTCAGAACTTCTTTGTGATGTTGACATTCAACTGACAGAGGTGAACCTTCCCTTGTGAGTTCAGGTTGAAACGCTCCTTTCGTAGCATCCGCAAGTGGAGATTTGGAACGCTTTGAGGCCTACGGTAGTAAAGGAAACAGCTTCATGTAAAAACTGGACAGGAGCATTCTCAGAAAATACTTTGGGATGATTGAGTTCAACTCACAGAGCTGAACATTCCTTTGGGTGGAGCAGTTTTGAAACACACTTTTTGTAGACTCTGCAGGTGGATATTTGGACCTCTCTGAGGATTTCGTTGGAAACGGGATAACGTCGCCTAACTAAACAGAAGCTTTCGCAGAAACATCCTTCTGACGTTGGCATTCAAAGTCCAGAGTTGAGCCTTCCTTTGGTAGTTCACGTTTGAAACACTCTTTTTGGAGGAGCTGCAAGTGGATATTTGGAGCACTTTGTGGCCTTCGTTCGAAACGGCTATATCTTCACATAAAATCTAGACAGAAGCCTTCTCAGAAACTTCTCTGTGATGATTGCATGCAACTCACAGAGTTGAACATTCCTTTTGATAGAGCAGTTTTGAAACTCTCTTTTGCTAGCATCTGCAAATGGATAGGTGGAACTCTGTGAAGACTTCTTTGGAAACGGGAATATCCTCACGTAAAAAGTAAACAGAAGCATTCTCAGAAACTCCTTTGTGAGGCTTGTGTTCAACTCCCAGAGTATAACATTGCTTTTCATGGAGCAGTTTTGAAACATTCTTTTCGTAGAGCCTCCAAGTGGACATTTGGAGCCCTTTCAGGCCTGTGGTGGATAAGGAAATATCTTCACATAAAAACTAGAGAGAAGCATTGTCAGAAACTTCTTGGTGATGATTGCATTCAACTCACGGAGCTGAGGATTCCTTTTGATGCAGCAGTTTGGAAACACTCTTTCGGTGGAATCTGCAAGCGGATATGTGGACCTCTTTGAACATTTCGATGGAAAAGGGATAATCTTCCCGTAAAAGCTAAACGGAAGCATGCTCAGGAACTTCCTTGTGATGTTTGCATTCAACTCGCAGAGTTGTACTTTCCTTTTGATAGAGCAGCTTTGAAACCCTCTCTTTCTAGCATCTGCAAGGGGACATTTGGAGGGCTTCGAGGCCTGGGGTGGAAAAGGAAATGTCTTCTCATCAAAGATACATGGAAGCATTCTCAGAAGCTGCTTTGTGATGATTGCTTTCAAGTCACCGAGCTGAACATTCCCTTTGATGGAGCCTTTTGGAAACACACTTTTGGTAGAATCTGAAAGGGGAGATTTGGACCGCTTTGAGGCCTGTGGCAGTAGAGGATAAAACTGCACATAAAAACGAGACAGTAGCATTCCCAGGAAACACTTTGTGACGATTGAGTTCAACTCAGGGAGCTGAACATTCCTTTGGATGGAGCAGTTTCCAAACACACTTTGTGTAGAATCTGCAAGTGGAGATTCGGACCGCTTTGAGGATTTCGTTGGATACGGGAGAGAACTCACCTACGTAAACAGAAGCATTCTCAGAACCTTCTTCGTGATGCTTGCATTCAACTCACAGTGTTGAACCTTCCTCTGACGGTTCAGGTTTGAAACACTCCTTCTGCAGAATCTGCAAGTGGAGATTTGGACCTCTTTGAGGCCTGTCGTAGTAAAGGAAAGAACTTCATCTAAAAACAAGACAGAAGCATTCTCAGAAAATTCTTTGCGATGATTGAGTTTAACTCACAGAGCTGAGCAGGTCTTTTGATGGAGCATTTTCAAAACACACGTTTTGTAGAATATGCAAGTGGATATTGGGACTTCTCTGAGAATTTCGTTGGAAACGGGATAAACCTCACATAACTGAAGAGGAACATTCTCAGAACTTCTTTGTGATGTTGACATTCAACTGACAGAGGTGAACCTTCCCTTGTGAGTTCAGGTTGAAACGCTCCTTTCGTAGCATCTGCAAGTGGAGATTTGGAACGCTTTGAGACCTACGGTAGTAAAGGAAACAGCTTCATGTAAAAACTGGACAGAAGCATTCTCAGAAAATACTTTGGGATGATTGAGTTCAACTCACAGAGCTGAACATTCCTTTGGGTGGAGCAGTTTTGAAACACACTTTTTGTAGACTCTGCAGGTGGATATTTGGACCTCTCTGAGGATTTCGTTGGAAACGGGATAACGTCGCCTAACTAAACAGAAGCTTTCGCAGAAACATCCTTCTGACGTTGGCATTCAAAGTCCAGAGTTGAGCCTTCCTTTGGTAGTTCACGTTTGAAACACTCTTTTTGGAGGACCTGCAAGTGGATATTTGGAGCACTTTGTGGCCTTCGTTCAAAACGGCTATATCTTCACATAAAATCTAGACAGAAGCCTTCTCAGAAACTTCTCTGTGATGATTGCATGCAACTCACAGAGTTGAACATTCCTTTTGATAGAGCAGTTTTGAAACTCTCTTTTGCTAGCATCTGCAAATGGATAGGTGGAACTCTGTGAAGACTTCTTTGGAAACGGGAATATCCTCACGTAAAAAGTAAACAGAAGCATTCTCAGAAACTCCTTTGTGAGGCTTGTGTTCAACTCCCAGAGTATAACATTGCTTTTCATGGAGCAGTTTTGAAACATTCTTTTCGTAGAGCTTCCAAGTGGACATTTGGAGCCCTTTCAGGCCTGTGGTGGATAAGGAAATATCTTCACATAAAAACTAGAGAGAAGCATTGTCAGAAACTTCTTGGTGATGATTGCATTCAACTCACGGAGCTGAGGATTCCTTTTGATGCAGCAGTTTGGAAACACTCTTTCGGTGGAATCTGCAAGCGGATACGTGGACCTCTTTGAACATTCCGATGGAAAAGGGATAATCTTCCCATAAAAGCTAAACGGAAGCATGCTCAGGAACTTCTTTGTGATGTTTGCATTCAACTCGCAGAGTTGTACTTTCCTTTTGAGAGAGCAGCTTTGAAACCCTCTCTTTCTAGCATCTGCAAGGGGACATTTGGAGGGCTTCGAGGCCTGGGGTGGAAAAGGAAATGTCTTCTCATCAAAGATACATGGAAGCATTCTCAGAAGCTGCTTTGTGATGATTGCTTTCAAGTCACCGAGCTGAACATTGCCTTTGATGGAGCCGTTTGGAAACACACTTTTGGTAGAATCTGAAAGGGGAGATTTGGACCGCTTTGAGGCCTATGGCAGTAGAGAATATGACTGCACATAAAAACGAGACAGTAGCATTCCCAGGAAACACTTTGTGACGATTGAGTTCAACTCACGGAGCTGAACATTCCTTTGGATGGAGCAGTTTCCAAACACACTTTGTGTAGAATCTGCAAGTGGAGATTCGGACCGCTCTGAGGATTTCGTTGGATACGGGAGAGAACTCACCTACGTAAACAGAAGCATTCTCAGAACCTTCTTCGTGATGCTTGCATTCAACTCACAGTGTTGAACCTTTCTCTGACGGTTCAGGTTTGAAACACTCCTTCTGCAGAATCTGCAAGTGGAGATTTGGACCTCTTTGAGGCCTGTCGTAGTAAAGGAAAGAACTTCATCTAAAAACAAGACAGAAGCATTCTCAGAAAATTCTTTGTGATGATTGAGTTTAACTCACAGAGCTGAGCAGGTCTTTTGATGGAGCATTTTCAAATCACACGTTTTGTAGAATATGCAAGTGGATATTGGGACTTCTCTGAGAATTTCGTTGGAAACGGGATAAACCTCACATAACTGAAGAGGAACATTCTCAGAACTTCTTTGTGATGTTGACATTCAACTGACAGAGGTGAACCTTCCCTTGTGAGTTCAGGTTGAAACGCTCCTTTCGTAGCATCTGCAAGTGGAGATTTGGAACGCTTTGAGGCCTACGGTAGTAAAGGAAACAGCTTCATGTAAAAACTGGACAGAAGCATTCTCAGAAAATACTTTGGGATGATTGAGTTCAACTCACAGAGCTGAACATTCCTTTGGGTGGAGCAGTTTTGAAACACACTTTTTGTAGACTCTGCAGGTGGATATTTGGACCTCTCTGAGGATTTCGTTGGAAACGGGATAACGTCGCCTAACTAAACAGAAGCTTTCGCAGAAACATCCTTCTGACGTTGGCATTCAAAGTCCAGAGTTGAGCCTTCCTTTGGTAGTTCACGTTTGAAACACTCTTTTTGGAGGACCTGCAAGTGGATATTTGGAGCACTTTGTGGCCTTCGTTCGAAACGGCTATATCTTCACATAAAATCTAGACAGAAGCCTTCTCAGAAACTTCTCTGTGATGATTGCATGCAACTCACAGAGTTGAACATTCCTTTTGATAGAGCAGTTTTGAAACTCTCTTTTGCTAGCATCTGCAAATGGATAGGTGGAACTCTGTGAAGACTTCTTTGGAAACGGGAATATCCTCACGTAAAAAGTAAACAGAAGCATTCTCAGAAACTCCTTTGTGAGGCTTGTGTTCAACTCCCAGAGTATAACATTGCTTTTCATGGAGCAGTTTTGAAACATTCTTTTCGTAGAGCCTCCAAGTGGACATTTGGAGCCCTTTCAGGCCTGTGGTGGATAAGGAAATATCTTCACATAAAAACTAGAGAGAAGCATTGTCAGAAACTTCTTGGTGATGATTGCATTCAACTCACGGAGCTGAGGATTCCTTTTGATGCAGCAGTTTGGAAACACTCTTTCGGTGGAATCTGCAAGCGGATACGTGGACCTCTTTGAACATTCCGATGGAAAAGGGATAATCTTCCCATAAAAGCTAAACGGAAGCATGCTCAGGAACTTCTTTGTGATGTTTGCATTCAACTCGCAGAGTTGTACTTTCCTTTTGATAGAGCAGCTTTGAAACCCTCTCTTTCTAGCATCTGCAAGGGGACATTTGGAGGGCTTCGAGGCCTGGGGTGGAAAAGGAAATGTCTTCTCATCAAAGATACATGGAAGCATTCTCAGAAGCTGCTTTGTGATGATTGCTTTCAAGTCACCGAGCTGAACATTCCCTTTGATGGTGCCTTTTGGAAACACACTTTTGGTAGAATCTGAAAGGGGAGATTTGGACCGCTTTGAGGCCTATGGCACTAGAGTTTATAACTGCACATAAAAACGAGACAGTAGCATTCCCAGGAAACACTTTGTGACGATTGAGTTCAACTCACGGAGCTGAACATTCCTTTGGATGGAGCAGTTTCCAAACACACTTTGTGTAGAATCTGCAAGTGGAGATTCGGACCGCTCTGATGATTTCGTTGGATACGGGAGAGAACTCACCTACGTAAACAGAAGCATTCTCAGAACCTTCTTCGTGATGCTTGCATTCAACTCACAGTGTTGAACCTTTCTCTGACAGTTCAGGTTTGAAACACTCCTTCTGCAGAATCTGCAAGTGGAGATTTGGACCTCTTTGAGGCCTGTCGTAGTAAAGGAAAGAACTTCATCTAAAAACAAGACAGAAGCATTCTCAGAAAATTCTTTGCGATGATTGAGTTTAACTCACAGAGCAGAGCAGTTCTTTTGATGGAGCATTTTCAAAACACACGTTTTGTAGGATATGCAAGTGGATATTGGGACTTCTCTGAGAATTTCGTTGGAAACGGGAAAAACCTCACGTAACTGAAGAGGAACATTCTCAGAACTTCTTTGTGATGTTGACATTCAACTGACAGAGGTGAACCTTCCCTTGTGAGTTCAGGTTGAAACGCTCCTTTCGTAGCATCTGCAAGTGGAGATTTGGAACGCTATGAGGCCTACGGTAGTAAAGGAAACAGCTTCATGTAAAAACTGGACAGAAGCATTCTCAGAAAATACTTTGGGATGATTGAGTTCAACTCACAGAGCTGAACATTCCTTTGGGTGGAGCAGTTTTGAAACACACTTTTTGTAGACTCTGCAGGTGGATATTTGGACCTCTCTGAGGATTTCGTTGGAAACGGGATAACGTCGCCTAACTAAACAGAAGCTTTCGCAGAAATATCCTTCTGAGGTTGGCATTCAAAGTCCAGAGCTAAGCCTTCCTTTGGTAGTTCACGTTTGAAACACTCTTTTTGGAGGACCTGCAAGTGGATATTTGGAGCACTTTGTGGCCTTCGTTCGAAACGGCTATATCTTCACATAAAATCTAGACAGAAGCCTTCTCAGAAACTTCTCTGTGATGATTGCATGCAACTCACAGAGTTGAACATTCCTTTTGATAGAGCAGTTTTGAAACTCTCTTTTGCTAGCATCTGCAAATGGATAGGTGGAACTCTGTGAGGACTTCTTTAGAAACGGGAATATCCTCACGTAAAAAGTAAACAGAAGCATTCTCAGAAACTCCTTTGTGAGGCTTGTGTTCAACTCCCAGAGTATAACATTGCTTTTCATGGAGCAGTTTTGAAACATTCTTTTCGTAGAGCCTCCAAGTGGACATTTGGAGCCCTTTCAGGCCTGTGGTGGATAAGGAAATATATTCAAATAAAAACTAGAGAGAAGCATTGTCAGAAACTTCTTGGTGAGGATTGCATTCAACTCACGGAGCTGAGGATTCCTTTTGATACATCAGTTTGGAAACACTCTTTCGGTGGAATCTGCAAGCGGATACGTGGACCTCTTTGAACATTCTGATGGAAAAAGGATAATCTTACCATAAAAGCTAAACGGAAGCATGCTCAGGAACTTCTTTGTGATGTTTGCATTCAACTCGCAGAGTTGTACTTTCCTTTTGATAGAGCAGCTTTGAAACCCTCTCTTTCTAGCATCTGCAAGGGGACATTTGGAGGGCTTCGAGGCCTGGGGTGGAAAAGGAAATGTCTTCTCATCAAAGCTACATGGAAGCATTCTCAGAAGCTGCTTTGTGATGATTGCTTTCAAGTCACCGAGCTGAACATTCCCTTTGATGGAGCCTTTTGGAAACACACTTTTGGTAGAATCTGAAAGGGGAGATTTGGACCGCTTTGAGGCCTATGGCACGAGAGTTTATAACTGCACATAAAAACGAGACAGTAGCATTCCCAGGAAACACTTTGTGACGATTGAGTTCAACTCACGGAGCTGAACATTCCTTTGGATGGAGCAGTTTCCAAACACACTTTGTGTAGAATCTGCAAGTGGAGATTCGGACCGCTCTGAGGATTTCGTTGGATACGGGAGAGAACTCACCTACGTAAACAGAAGCATTCTCAGAACCTTCTTCGTGATGCTTGCATTCAACTCACAGTGTTGAACCTTCCTCTGACGGTTCAGGTTTGAAACACTCCTTCTGCAGAATCTGCAAGTGGAGATTTGGACCTCTTTGAGGCCTGTCGTAGTAAAGGAAAGAACTTCATCTAAAAACAAGACAGAAGCATTCTCAGAAAATTCTTTGCGATGATTGAGTTTAACTCACAGAGCTGAGCAGGTCTTTTGATGGAGCATTTTCAAAACACACGTTTTGTAGAATATGCAAGTGGATATTGGGACTTCTCTGAGAATTTCGTTGGAAACGGGATAAACCTCACATAACTGAAGAGGAACATTCTCAGAACTTCTTTGTGATGTTGACATTCAACTGACAGAGGTGAACCTTCCCTTGTGAGTTCAGGTTGAAACGCTCCTTTCGTAGCATCTGCAAGTGGAGATTTGGAACGCTTTGAGGCCTACGGTAGTAAAGGAAACAGCTTCATGTAAAAACTGGACAGAAGCATTCTCAGAAAATACTTTGGGATGATTGAGTTCAACTCACAGAGCTGAACATTCCTTTGGGTGGAGCAGTTTTGAAACACACTTTTTGTAGACTCTGCAGGTGGATATTTGGACCTCTCTGAGTATTTCGTTGGAAACGGGATAACGTCGCCTAACTAAACAGAAGCTTTCGCAGAAACATCCTTCTGACGTTGGCATTCAAAGTCCAGAGTTGAGCCTTCCTTTGGTAGTTCACGTTTGAAACACTCTTTTTGGAGGACCTGCAAGTGGATATTTGGAGCACTTTGTGGCCTTCGTTCGAAACGGCTATATCTTCACATAAAATCTAGACAGAAGCCTTCTCAGAAACTTCTCTGTGATGATTGCATGCAACTCACAGAGTTGAACATTCCTTTTGATAGAGCAGTTTTGAAACTCTCTTTTGCTAGCATCTGCAAATGGATAGGTGGAACTCTGTGAAGACTTCTTTGGAAATGGGAATATCCTCACGTAAAAAGTAAACAGAAGCATTCTCAGAAACTCCTTTGTGAGGCTTGTGTTCAACTCCCAGAGTATAACATGGCTTTTCATGGAGCAGTTTTGAAACATTCTTTTCGTAGAGCCTCCAAGTGGACATTTGGAGCCCTTTCAGGCCTGTGGTGAATAAGGAAATATCTTCACATAAAAACTAGAGAGAAGCATTGTCAGAAACTTCTTGGTGATGATTGCATTCAACTCACGGAGCTGAGGATTCCTTTGGATGCAGCAGTTTGGAAACACTCTTTCGGTGGAATCTGCAAGCGGATACGTGGACCTCTTTGAACATTCCGATGGTAAAGGGATAATCTTCCCATAAAAGCTAAACGGAAGCATGCTCAGGAACTTCTTTGTGATGTTTGCATTCAACTCGCAGAGTTTTACTTTCCTTTTGAGAGAGCAGCTTTGAAACCCTCTCTTTCTAGCATCTGCAAGGGGACATTTGGAGGGCTTCGAGGCCTGGGGTGGAAAAGGAAATGTCTTCTCATCAAAGCTACATGGAAGCATTCTCAGAAGCTGCTTTGTGATGATTGCTTTCAAGTCACCGAGCTGAACATTCCCTTTGATGGAGCCTTTTGGAAACACACTTTTGGTAGAATCTGAAAGGGGAGATTTGGACCGCTTTGAGGCCTGTGGCAGTAGAGGATAAAACTGCACATAAAAACGAGACAGTAGCATTCCCAGGAAACACTTTGTGACGATTGAGTTCAACTCACGGAGCTGAACATTCCTTTGGATGGAGCAGTTTCCAAACACACTTTGTGTAGAATCTGCAAGTGGAGATTCGGACCGCTCTGAGGATTTCGTTGGATACGGGAGAGAACTCACCTACGTAAACAGAAGCATTCTCAGAACCTTCTTCGTGATGCTTGCATTCAACTCACAGTGTTGAACCTTCCTCTGACGGTTCAGGTTTGAAACACTCCTTCTGCAGAATCTGCAAGTGGAGATTTGGACCTCTTTGAGGCCTGTCGTAGTAAAGGAAAGAACTTCATCTAAAAACAAGACAGAAGCATTCTCAGAAAATTCTTTGCGATGATTGAGTTTAACTCACAGAGCTGAGCAGGTCTTTTGATGGAGCATTTTCAAAACACACGTTTTGTAGAATATGCAAGTGGATATTGGGACTTCTCTGAGAATTTCGTTGGAAACGGGATAAACCTCACATAACTGAAGAGGAACATTCTCAGAACTTCTTTGTGATGTTGACATTCAACTGACAGAGGTGAACCTTCCCTTGTGAGTTCAGGTTGAAACGCTCCTTTCGTAGCATCTGCAAGTGGAGATTTGGAACGCTTTGAGGCCTACGGTAGTAAAGGAAACAGCTTCATGTAAAAACTGGACAGAAGCATTCTCAGAAAATACTTTGGGATGATTGAGTTCAACTCACAGAGCTGAACATTCCTTTGGGTGGAGCAGTTTTGAAACACACTTTTTGTAGACTCTGCAGGTGGATATTTGGACCTCTCTGAGGATTTCGTTGGAAACGGGATAACGTCGCCTAACTAAACAGAAGCTTTCGCAGAAACATCCTTCTGACGTTGGCATTCAAAGTCCAGAGTTGAGCCTTCCTTTGGTAGTTCACGTTTGAAACACTCTTTTTGGAGGACCTGCAAGTGGATATTTGGAGCACTTTGTGGCCTTCGTTCGAAACGGCTATATCTTCACATAAAATCTAGACAGAAGCCTTCTCAGAAACTTCTCTGTGATGATTGCATGCAACTCACAGAGTTGAACATTCCTTTTGATAGAGCAGTTTTGAAACTCTCTTTTGCTAGCATCTGCAAATGGATAGGTGGAACTCTGTGAAGACTTCTTTGGAAACGGGAATATCCTCACGTAAAAAGTAAACAGAAGCATTCTCAGAAACTCCTTTGTGAGGCTTGTGTTCAACTCCCAGAGTATAACATTGCTTTTCATGGAGCAGTTTTGAAACATTCTTTTCGTAGAGCCTCCAAGTGGACATTTGGAGCCCTTTCAGGCCTGTGGTGGATAAGGAAATATCTTCACATAAAAACTAGAGAGAAGCATTGTCAGAAACTTCTTGGTGATGATTGCATTCAACTCACGGAGCTGAGGATTCCTTTTGATGCAGCAGTTTGGAAACACTCTTTCGGTGGAATCTGCAAGCAGATACGTGGACCTCTTTGAACATTCCGATGGAAAAGGGATAATCTTCCCATAAAAGCTAAACGGAAGCATGCTCAGGAACTTCTTTGTGATGTTTGCATTCAACTCGCAGAGTTGTACTTTCCTTTTGATAGAGCAGATTTGAAACCCTCTCTTTCTAGCATCTGCAAGGGGACATTTGGAGGGCTTCGAGGCCTGGGGTGGAAAAGGAAATGTCTTCTCATCAAAGATACATGGAAGCATTCTCAGAAGCTGCTTTGTGATGATTGCTTTCAAGTCACCGAGCTGAACATTGCCTTTGATGGAGCCGTTTGGAAACACACTTTTGGTAGAATCTGAAAGGGGAGATTTGGACCGCTTTGAGGCCTATGGCAGTAGAGGATATAACTGCACATAAAAATGAGACAGTAGCATTCCCAGGAAACACTTTGTGACGATTGAGTTCAACTCACGGAGCTGAACATTCCTTTGGATGGAGCAGTTTCCAAACACACTTTGTGTAGAATCTGCAAGTGGAGATTCGGACCGCTCTGAGGATTTCGTTGGATACGGGAGAGAACTCACCTACGTAAACAGAAGCATTCTCAGAACCTTCTTCGTGATGCTTGCATTCAACTCACAGTGTTGAACCTTCCTCTGACGGTTCAGGTTTGAAACACTCCTTCTGCAGAATCTGCAAGTGGAGATTTGGACCTCTTTGAGGCCTGTCGTAGTAAAGGAAAGAACTTCATCTAAAAACAAGACAGAAGCATTCTCAGAAAATTCTTTGCGATGATTGAGTTTAACTCACAGAGCTGAGCAGGTCTTTTGATGGAGCATTTTCAAAACACACGTTTTGTAGAATATGCAAGTGGATATTGGGACTTCTCTGAGAATTTCGTTGGAAACGGGATAAACCTCACATAACTGAAGAGGAACATTCTCAGAACTTCTTTGTGATGTTGACATTCAACTGACAGAGGTGAACCTTCCCTTGTGAGTTCAGGTTGAAACGCTCCTTTCGTAGCATCTGCAAGTGGAGATTTGGAACGCTTTGAGGCCTACGGTAGTAAAGGAAACAGCTTCATGTAAAAACTGGACAGAAGCATTCTCAGAAAATACTTTGGGATGATTGAGTTCAACTCACAGAGCTGAACATTCCTTTGGGTGGAGCAGTTTTGAAACACACTTTTTGTAGACTCTGCAGGTGGATATTTGGACCTCTCTGAGGATTTCGTTGGAAACGGGATAACGTCGCCTAACTAAACAGAAGCTTTCGCAGAAACATCCTTCTGACGTTGGCATTCAAAGTCCAGAGTTGAGCCTTCCTTTGGTAGTTCACGTTTGAAACACTCTTTTTGGAGGACCTGCAAGTGGATATTTGGAGCACTTTGTGGCCTTCGTTCGAAACGGCTATATCTTCACATAAAATCTAGACAGAAGCCTTCTCAGAAACTTCTCTGTGATGATTGCATGCAACTCACAGAGTTGAACATTCCTTTTGATAGAGCAGTTTTGAAACTCTCTTTTGCTAGCATCTGCAAATGGATAGGTGGAACTCTGTGAAGACTTCTTTGGAAATGGGAATATCCTCACGTAAAAAGTAAACAGAAGCATTCTCAGAAACTCCTTTGTGAGGCTTGTGTTCAACTCCCAGAGTATAACATTGCTTTTCATGGAGCAGTTTTGAAACATTCTTTTCGTAGAGCCTCCAAGTGGACATTTGGAGCCCTTTCAGGCCTGTGGTGGATAAGGAAATATCTTCACATAACAACTAGAGAGAAGCATTGTCAGAAACTTCTTGGTGATGATTGCATTCAACTCACGGAGCTGAGGATTCCTTTGGATGCAGCAGTTTGGAAACACTCTTTCGGTGGAATCTGCAAGCGGATACGTGGACCTCTTTGAACATTCCGATGGAAAAGGGATAATCTTCCCATAAAAGCTAAACGGAAGCATGCTCAGGAACTTCTTTGTGATGTTTGCATTCAACTCGCAGAGTTGTACTATCCTTTTGATAGAGCAGCTTTGAAACCCTCTCTTTCTAGCATCTGCAAGGGGACATTTGGAGGGCTTCGAGGCCTGGGGTGGAAAAGGAAATGTCTTCTCATCAAAGATACATGGAAGCATTCTCAGAAGCTGCTTTGTGATGATAGCTTTCAAGTCACCGAGCTGAACATTCCCTTTGATGGAGCCTTTTGGAAACACACTTTTGGTAGAATCTGAAAGGGGATATTTGGACCCCTTTGAGGCCTGTGGCAGTAGAGGATAAAACTGCACATAAAAACGAGACAGTAGCATTCCTAGGAAACACTTTGTGACGATTGAGTTCAACTCACGGAGCTGAACATTCCTTTGGATGGAGCAGTTTCCAAACACACTTTGTGTAGAATCTGCAAGTGGAGATTCGGACCGCTCTGAGGATTTCGTTGGATACGGGAGAGAACTCACCTACGTAAACAGAAGCATTCTCAGAACCTTCTTCGTGATGCTTGCATTCAACTCACAGTGTTGAACCTTCCTCTGACGGTTCAGGTTTGAAACACTCCTTCTGCAGAATCTGCAAGTGGAGATTTGGACCTCTTTGAGGCCTGTCGTAGTAAAGGAAAGAACTTCATCTAAAAACAAGACAGAAGCATTCTCAGAAAATTCTTTGCGATGATTGAGTTTAACTCACAGAGCTGAGCAGGTCTTTTGATGGAGCATTTTCAAAACACACGTTTTGTAGAATATGCAAGTGGATATTGGGACTTCTCTGAGAATTTCGTTGGAAACGGGATAAACCTCACATAACTGAAGAGGAACATTCTCAGAAATTCTTTGTGATGTTGACATTCAACTGACAGAGGTGAACCTTCCCTTGTGAGTTCAGGTTGAAACACTCCTTTCGTAGCGTATGCAAGTGGAGATTTGGAACGCTTTGAGGCCTACGGTAGTAAAGGAAACAGCTTCATGTAAAAACTGGACAGAAGCATTCTCAGAAAATACTTTGGGATGATTGAGTTCAACTCACAGAGCTGAACATTCCTTTGGGTGGAGCAGTTTTGAAACACACTTTTTGTAGACTCTGCAGGTGGATATTTGGACCTCTCTGAGGATTTCGTTGGAAACGGGATAACGTCGCCTAACTAAACAGAAGCTTTCGCAGAAACATCCTTCTGACGTTGGCATTCAAAGTCCAGAGTTGAGCCTTCCTTTGGTAGTTCACGTTTGAAACACTCTTTTTGGAGGACCTGCAAGTGGATATTTGGAGCACTTTGTGGCCTTCGTTCGAAACGGCTATATCTTCACATAAAATCTAGACAGAAGCCTTCTCAGAAACTTCTCTGTGATGATTGCATGCAACTCACAGAGTTGAACATTCCTTTTGATAGAGCAGTTTTGAAACTCTCTTTTGCTAGCATCTGCAAATGGATAGGTGGAACTCTGTGAAGACTTCTTTGGAAATGGGAATATCCTCACGTAAAAAGTAAACAGAAGCATTCTCAGAAACTCCTTTGTGAGGCTTGTGTTCAACTCCCAGAGTATAACATTGCTTTTCATGGAGCAGTTTTGAAACATTCTTTTCGTAGAGCCTCCAAGTGGACATTTGGAGCCCTTTCAGGCCTGTGGTGGATAAGGAAATATCTTCACATAACAACTAGAGAGAAGCATTGTCAGAAACTTCTTGGTGATGATTGCATTCAACTCACGGAGCTGAGGATTCCTTTTGATGCAGCAGTTTGGAAACACTCTTTCGGTGGAATCTGCAAGCGGATACGTGGACCTCTTTGAACATTCCGATGGAAAAGGGATAATCTTCCCATAAAAGCTAAACGGAAGCATGCTCAGGAACTTCTTTGTGATGTTTGCATTCAACTCGCAGAGTTGTACTTTCCTTTTGATAGAGCAGCTTTGAAACCCTCTCTTTCTAGCATCTGCAAGGGGACATTTGGAGGGCTTCGAGGCCTGGGGTGGAAAAGGAAATGTCTTCTCATCAAAGATACATGGAAGCATTCTCAGAAGCTGCTTTGTGATGATAGCTTTCAAGTCACCGAGCTGAACATTCCCTTTGATGGAGCCTTTTGGAAACACACTTTTGGTAGAATCTGAAAGGGGAGATTTGGACCGCTTTGAGGCCTGTGGCAGTAGAGGATAAAACTGCACATAAAAACGAGACAGTAGCATTCCCAGGAAACACTTTGTGACGATTGAGTTCAACTCACGGAGCTGAACATTCCTTTGGATGGAGCAGTTTCCAAACACACTTTGTGTAGAATCTGCAAGTGGAGATTCGGACCGCTCTGAGGATTTCGTTGGATACGGGAGAGAACTCACCTACGTAAACAGAAGCATTCTCAGAACCTTCTTCGTGATGCTTGCATTCAACTCACAGTGTTGAACCTTCCTCTGACGGTTCAGGTTTGAAACACTCCTTCTGCAGAATCTGCAAGTGGAGATTTGGACCTCTTTGAGGCCTGTCGTAGTAAAGGAAAGAACTTCATCTAAAAACAAGACAGAAGCATTCTCAGAAAATTCTTTGCGATGATTGAGTTTAACTCACAGAGCTGAGCAGGTCTTTTGATGGAGCATTTTCAAAACACACGTTTTGTAGAATATGCAAGTGGATATTGGGACTTCTCTGAGAATTTCGTTGGAAACGGGATAAACCTCACATAACTGAAGAGGAACATTCTCAGAAATTCTTTGTGATGTTGACATTCAACTGACAGAGGTGAACCTTCCCTTGTGAGTTCAGGTTGAAACGCTCCTTTCGTAGCATCTGCAAGTGGAGATTTGGAACGCTTTGAGGCCTACGGTAGTAAAGGAAACAGCTTCATGTAAAAACTGGACAGAAGCATTCTCAGAAAATACTTTGGGATGATTGAGTTCAACTCACAGAGCTGAACATTCCTTTGGGTGGAGCAGTTTTGAAACACACTTTTTGTAGACTCTGCAGGTGGATATTTGGACCTCTCTGAGGATTTCGTTGGAAACGGGATAACGTCGCCTAACTAAACAGAAGCTTTCGCAGAAACATCCTTCTGACGTTGGCCTTCAAAGTCCAGAGTTGAGCCTTCCTTTGGTAGTTCACGTTTGAAACACTCTTTTTGGAGGACCTGCAAGTGGATATTTGGAGCACTTTGTGGCCTTCGTTCGAAACGGCTATATCTTCACATAAAATCTAGACAGAAGCCTTCTCAGAAACTTCTCTGAGATGATTGCATGCAACTCACAGAGTTGAACATTCCTTTTGATAGAGCAGTTTTGAAACTCTCTTTTGCTAGCATCTGCAAATGGATAGGTGGAACTCTGTGAAGACTTCTTTGGAAATAGGAATATCCTCACGTAAAAAGTAAACAGAAGCATTCTCAGAAACTCCTTTGTGAGGCTTGTGTTCAACTCCCACAGTATAACATTGCTTTTCATGGAGCAGTTTTGAAACATTCTTTTCGTAGAGCCTCCAAGTGGACATTTGGAGCCCTTTCAGGCCTGTGGTGGATAAGGAAATATCTTCACATAAAAACTAGAGAGAAGCATTGTCAGAAACTTCTTGGTGATGATTGCATTCAACTCACGGAGCTGAGGATTCCTTTTGATGCAGCAGTTTGGAAACACTCTTTCGGTGGAATCTGCAAGCGGATACGTGGACCTCTTTGAACATTCCGATGGAAAAGGGATAATCTTCCCATAAAAGCTAAACGGAAGCATGCTCAGGAACTTCTTTGTGATGTTTGCATTCAACTCGCAGAGTTGTACTTTCCTTTTGATAGAGCAGCTTTGAAACCCTCTCTTTCTAGCATCTGCAAGGGGACATTTGGAGGGCTTCGAGGCCTGGGGTGGAAAAGGAAATATCTTCTCATCAAAGCTACATGGAAGCATTCTCAGAAGCTGCTTTGTGATGATTGCATTCAAGTCACCGAGTTGAACATTCCCTTTGATGGAGCCGTTTGGAAACACACTTTTGGTAGAATCTGAAAGGGGATATTTGGACCGCTTTGAGGCCTATGGCAGTAGAGGACATAACTGCACATAAAAACGAGACAGTGGCATTCCCAGGAAACACTTTGTGACGATGGAGATCAACTCACAGAGCTGAACATTCCTTTGGATGGAGCAGTTTCCAAACACACTTTGTGTAGAATCTGCAAGTGGAGATTCGGACCGCTCTGAGGATTTCGTTGGATACGGGAGAGAACTCACCTGCGTAAACAGAAGCATTCTCAGAACCTTCTTCGTGATGCTTGCATTCAACTCACAGTGTTGAACCTTCCTCTGACGGTTCAGGTTTGAAACACTCCTTCTGCAGAATCTGCAAGTGGAGATTTGGACCTCTTTGAGGCCTGTCGTAGTAAAGGAAAGAACTTCATCTAAAAACAAGACAGAAGCATTCTCAGAAAATTCTTTGCGATGATTGAGTTTAACTCACAGAGCTGAGCAGGTCTTTTGATGGAGCATTTTCAAAACACACGTTTTGTAGAATATGCAAGTGGATATTGGGACTTCTCTGAGAATTTCGTTGGAAACGGGATAAACCTCACATAACTGAAGAGGAACATTCTCAGAAATTCTTTGTGATGTTGACATTCAACTGACAGAGGTGAACCTTCCCTTGTGAGTTCAGGTTGAAACGCTCCTTTCGTAGCATCTGCAAGTGGAGATTTGGAACGCTTTGAGGCCTACGGTAGTAAAGGAAAGAGCTTCATGTAAAAACTGGACAGAAGCATTCTCAGAAAATACTTTGGGATGATTGAGTTCAACTCACAGAGCTGAACATTCCTTTGGGTGGAGCAGTTTTGAAACACACTTTTTGTAGACTCTGCAGGTGGATATTTGGACCTCTCTGAGGATTTCGTTGGAAACGGGATAACGTCGCCTAACTAAACAGAAGCTTTCGCAGAAACATCCTTCTGACGTTGGCATTCAAAGTCCAGAGTTGAGCCTTCCTTTGGTAGTTCACGTTTGAAACACTCTTTTTGGAGGACCTGCAAGTGGATATTTGGAGCACTTTGTGGCCTTCGTTCGAAACGGCTATATCTTCACATAAAATCTAGACAGAAGCCTTCTCAGAAACTTCTCTGAGATGATTGCATGCAACTCACAGAGTTGAACATTCCTTTTGATAGAGCAGTTTTGAAACTCTCTTTTGCTAGCATCTGCAAATGGATAGGTGGAACTCTGTGAAGACTTCTTTGGAAATAGGAATATCCTCACGTAAAAAGTAAACAGAAGCATTCTCAGAAACTCCTTTGTGAGGCTTGTGTTCAACTCCCACAGTATAACATTGCTTTTCATGGAGCAGTTTTGAAACATTCTTTTCGTAGAGCCTCCAAGTGGACATTTGGAGCCCTTTCAGGCCTGTGGTGGATAAGGAAATATCTTCACATAAAAACTAGAGAGAAGCATTGTCAGAAACTTCTTGGTGATGATTGCATTCAACTCACGGAGCTGAGGATTCCTTTTGATGCAGCAGTTTGGAAACACTCTTTCGGTGGAATCTGCAAGCGGATACGTGGACCTCTTTGAACATTCCGATGGAAAAGGGATAATCTTCCCATAAAAGCTAAACGGAAGCATGCTCAGGAACTTCTTTGTGATGTTTGCATTCAACTCGCAGAGTTGTACTTTCCTTTTGATAGAGCAGCTTTGAAACCCTCTCTTTCTAGCATCTGCAAGGGGACATTTGGAGGGCTTCGAGGCCTGGGGTGGAAAAGGAAATATCTTCTCATCAAAGCTACATGGAAGCATTCTCAGAAGCTGCTTTGTGATGATTGCATTCAAGTCACCGAGTTGAACATTCCCTTTGATGGAGCCGTTTGGAAACACACTTTTGGTAGAATCTGAAAGGGGAGATTTGGACCGCTTTGAGGCCTATGGCAGTAGAGGACATAACTGCACATAAAAACGAGACAGTGGCATTCCCAGGAAACACTTTGTGACGATGGAGATCAACTCACAGAGCTGAACATTCCTTTGGATGGAGCAGTTTGCAAACACACTTTGTGTAGAATCTGCAAGTGGAGATTCGGACCGCTCTGAGGATTTCGTTGGATACGGGAGAGAACTCACCTACGTAAACAGAAGCATTCTCAGAACCTTCTTCGTGATGCTTGCATTCAACTCACAGTGTTGAACCTTTCTCTGACAGTTCAGGTTTGAAACACTCCTTCTGCAGAATCTGCAAGTGGAGATTTGGACCTCTTTGAGGCCTGTCGTAGTAAAGGAAAGAACTTCATCTAAAAAGAAGACAGAAGCATTCTCAGAAAATTCTTTGCGATGATTGAGTTTAACTCACAGAGCTGAGCATATCTTTTGATGGCGCATTTTCAAAGCACACCTTTTGTAGAATAGGCAAGTGGATTTTGGGACTTCTCTGAGAATTTCGTTGGAAACGGGATAAACCTCACTTAACTGAAGAGGAACATTCTCAGAACTTCTTTGTGATGTTGGCATTCAACTGACAGAGTTGAACCTTCCCTTGTGAGTTCAGGTTGAAACGCTCTTTTCGTACTATCTTCAAGTGGAGATTTGGAATGCTTTGAGGCCTATGGTAGTAAACGAAACAGCTTCATGTAAAAACTGGACAGAAGCATTCTCAGAAAATACTTTGGGATGATTGAGTTCAACTCACAGAGCTGAACATTCCTTTGGGTGGAGCAGTTTTGAAACACACTTTTGGAGACTCTGCAGGTGGATATTTGGACCTCTCTGAGGATTTCGTTGGAAGCGGGATAACGTCACCTAACTAAACAGAAGCTTTCGCAGAAACATCTTTCTGACGTTGGCATTCAAAGTCCAGAGTTGAGCCTTCCTTTGGTAGTTCACGTTTGAAACACTCTTTTTGGAGGACCTGCAAGTGGATATTTGGAGCACTTTGTGGCCTTCGTTCGAAACGGCTATATCTTCACATAAAATCTAGACAGAAGCCTTCTCAGAAACTTCTCTGTGATGATTGCATGCAACTCACAGAGTTGAACATTCCTTTTGATAGAGCAGTTTTGAAACTCTCTTTTGCTAGCATCTGCAAATGGGTAGGTGGAACTCTGTGAAGACTTCTTTGGAAACGGGAATATCCTCACGTAAAAAGTAAACAGAAGCATTCTCAGAAACTCCTTTGTGAGGCTTGTGTTCAACTCGCAGAGTATAATATTGCTTTTCATAGAGCAGTTTTGAAACATTCTTTTCGTAGAGCCTCCAAGTGGACATTTGGAGTGCTTTCAGGCCTGTGGTGGAAAAGGAAATATCTTCACATAAAAACTAGAGAGAAGCATTGTCAGAAACTTCTTGGTGATGATTGCATTCAACTCACGGAGGTGAGGATTCCTTTTGATGCAGCAGTTTGGAACCACTCTTTCTGTGGAATCTGCAAGCGGATATGTGGACCTCTTTGAACATTTCGTTGGAAAAGGGATAATCTTCCCGTAATAGCTAAACGGCAGCATGCTCAGGAACTTTTTGTGATGTTTGCATTCAACTCACAGAGTTGTATTTTCCTTTTCATTGAGCAGCTTTGAAACCCTCTCTTTCTAGCATCTGCACGGGGACATTTGGAGGGCTTCGAGGCCTGGGGAGGAAAAGGAAATATCTTCTCATCAAAGCTACATGGAACATTCTCAGAAGCTGCTTTGTGATGATTGCATTCAAGTCACCGAGTTGAACATTCCCCTTGATGAAGCCGTTTGGAAACACACTTTTGTTAGAATCTGAAAGGGGAGATTTGGACCGCTCTGAGGCACATGACAGTAGAGGATATAACTGCACATAAAAACGAGACAGGAGCATTCCCAGGAAACACTTTGTGACTATTGAGTGCAACTCACAGAGCTGAACATTCCTTTGGATGGAGCAGTTTCCAAACACACTTTGTGTAGAATCTGCAAGAGGAGATTTGGACCCCTCTGAGGATTTCGTTGGATACGGGAGAGTACTCACCTACGTAAACAGAAGCATTCTCAGAACCTTCTTCGTGATGCTTGCATTCAACTCACAGTGTTGAACCTTTCTCTGACAGTTCAGGTTTGAAACACTCCTTCTGCAGAATCTGCAAGTAGAGATTTGGACCTCTTTGAGGCCTATCGTAGTAAAGGAAAGAACTTCATCTAAAAACAAGACAGAAGCATTCTCAGAAAATTCTTTGCGATGATTGAGTTTAACTCACAGAGCTGAGCCTATCTTTTGATGGCGCATTTTCAAAATACGCCTTTTGTAGAATATGCAAGTGGATTTTGGGACTTCTCTGAGAATTTCGTTGGAAACGGGATAAACCTCACATAACTGAAGAGGAACATTCTCAGAACTTCTTGGTGATGTTGGCATTCAACTGACAGAGTTGAACCTTCCCTTGTGAGTTCAGGTTGAAAGGCTTTTTTCGTACTATCTGCAAGTGGAGATTTGGAACGCTTTGAGGCCTACGGTAGTAAAGGAAACAGCTTCATGTAAAAACTGGACAGAAGCATTCTCAGAAACTACTTTGGGATGATTGAGTTCAACTCACAGAGCTGAACATTCCTTTGGGTGGAGCAGTTTTGAAACATACTTTTTGTAGACTCTGCAGGTGGATATTTGGAACTCTCTAAGGATTTCGTTGGAAACGGGATAACGTCACCTAACTAAACAGAAGCTTTCGCAGAAACATCCTTCTGACGTTGGCATTCAAAGTCCAGAGTTGAGCCTTCCTTTGGTAGTTCACGTTTGAAACACTCTTTTTGGAGGACCTGCAAGTGGATATTTGGAGCACTTTGTGGCCTTCGTTCGAAACGGCTATATCTTCACATAAAATCTAGACAGAAGCCTTCTCAGAAACTTCTCTGTGATGATTGCATGCAACTCACAGAGTTGAACGTTCCTTTTGATAGAGCAGTTTTGAAACTCTCTTTTGCTAGCATCTGCAAATGGATAGGTGGAACTCTGTGAAGACTTCTTTGGAAACGGGAATATCCTCACGTAAGAAGTAAACAGAAGCATTCTCAGAAACTCCTTTGTGAGGCTTGTGTTCAACTCCCAGAGTATAACATTGCTTTTCATAGAGCAGTTTTGAAACATTCTTTTCGTAGAGCCTCCAAGTGGACATTTGGAGTGCTTTCAGGCCTGTGGTGGAAAAGGAAATATCTTCACATAAAAACTAGAGAGAAGCATTGTCAGAAACTTCTTGGTGATGATTGCATTCAACTCACGGAGCTGAGGATTCCTTTTGATGCAGCAGTTTGGAAACACTCTTTCGGTGGAATCTGCAAGCGGATATGCGGACCTCTTTGAACATTTCGATGGAAATGGAATAATCTTCCCGTAAAAGCTAAACGGAACCATGCTCAGGAACTTCCTTGTGACGTTTGTATTCAACTCACAGAGCTGTACTTTCCTTTTGATAGAGCTACTTTGAAACCCCCTCTTTCTAGCATCTGCAAGGGGACATTTGGAGGGCTTCGAGGCCTGGGGAGGAAAAGGAAATATCTTCTCATCAAACCTACATGGAAGCATTCTCAGAAGCTGCTTTGTGATGATTGCATTCAAGTCACCGAGTTGAACATTCCCTTTGATGGAGCCGTTTGGAAACACACTTTTGGTAGAATCTGAAAGGGGAGATTTGTACCGTTTTGAAGCCTATGGCAGTAGAGGATATAACTGCACATAAAAACGAGACAGGAGCATTCCCAGGAAACACATTGTGATGCTTGAGTTCAACTCACAGAGCTGAACATTCCTTTGGATGGAGCAGTTTCCAAACACACTTTGTGTAGAATCTGCAAGTGGAGATTTGGACCGCTCTGAGGATTTCGTTGGATACGGGAGAGAAGTCACCTACACAAACAGAAGCATTCTCAGAACCTTCTTCGTGATGCTTGCATTCAACTCACAGTGTTGAACCTTTCTCTGACATTTCAGGTTTGAAACACTCCTCCTGCAGAATCTGCAAGTGGAGATTTGGAACTCTTTGAGGCCTATCGTAGTAAAGGAAAGACCTTCATCTAAAAACAAGACAGAAGCATTCTCAGAAAATTCTTTACGATGATTGAGTTTAACTCACAGAGCTGAGCATATCTTTTGATGGCGCATTTTCAAAACACACTTTTTGTAGAATATGCAAGTGGATTTTGGGACTTCTCAGAGAATTTCGTTGGAAACGCGATAAACCTCACATAACTGAAGAGGAACACTCTCAGAACTTCTTTGTGATGTTGGCATTCAACTGACAGAGTTGAAACTTCCCTTGTGAGTTCAGGTTGAAACCCTCTTTTCGTACTATCTTCAAATGGAGATTTGGAATGCTTTGAGGCCTATGGTAGTAAACGAAACAGCTTCATGTAAAAACTGGACAGAAGCATTCTCAGAAAATACTTTGGGATGATTGAGTTCAACTCACAGAGCTGAACATTCCTTTGGGTGGAGCAGTTTTGAAACACACTTTTGGAGACTCTGCAGGTGAATATTTGGACCTCTCTGAGGATTTCGTTGGAAGCGGGATAACGTCACCTAACTAAACAGAAGCTTTCGCAGAAACATCTTTCTGACGTTGGCATTCAAAGTCCAGAGTTGAGCCTTCCTTTGGTAGTTCACGTTTGAAACACTCTTTTTGGAGGACCTGCAAGTGGATATTTGGAGCACTTTGTGGCCTTCGTTCGAAACGGCTATATCTTCACATAAAATCTAGACAGAAGCCTTCTCAGAAACTTCTCTGTGATGATTGCATGCAACTCACAGAGTTGAACATTCCTTTTGATAGAGCAGTTTTGAAACTCTCTTTTGCTAGCATCTGCAAATGGGTAGGTGGAACTCTGTGAAGACTTCTTTGGAAACGGGAATATCCTCACGTAAAAAGTAAACAGAAGCATTCTCAGAAACTCCTTTGTGAGGCTTGTGTTCAACTCCCAGAGTATAACATTGCTTTTCAGAGAGCAGTTTTGAAACATTCTTTTCGTAGAGCCTCCAAGTGGACATTTGGAGCGCTTTCAGGCCTGTGGTGGAAAAGGAAATATCTTCACATAAAAACTAGAGAGAAGCATTGTCAGAAACTTCTTGGTGATGATTGCATTCAACTCACGGAGCTGAGGATTCCTTTTGATGCAGCAGTTTGGAAACACTCTTTCGGTGGAATCTGCAAGCGGATATGCGGACCTCTTTGAACATTTCGATGGAAATGGAATAATCTTCCCGTAAAAGCTAAACGGAACGATGCTCAGGAACTTCCTTGTGACGTTTGTATTCAACTCACAGAGCTGTACTTTCCTTTTGATAGAGCTACTTTGAAACCCCCTCTTTCTAGCATCTGCAAGGGGACATTTGGAGGGCTTCGAGGCCTGGGGAGGAAAAGGAAATATCTTCTCATCAAAGCTACATGGAAGCATTCTCAGAAGCTGCTTTGTGATGATTGCATTCAAGTCACCGAGTTGAACATTCCCTTTGATGGAGCCGTTTGGAAACACACTTTTGGTAGAATCTGAAAGGGGAGATTTGTACCGTTTTGAGGCCTATGGCAGTAGAGGATATAACTGCACATAAAAACGAGACAGGAGCATTCCCAGGAAACACATTGTGATGCTTGAGTTCAACTCACAGAGCTGAACATTCCTTTGGATGGAGCAGTTTCCAAACACACTTTGTGTAGAATCTGCAAGTGGAGATTTGGACCGCTCTGAGGATTTCGTTGGATACGGGAGAGAAGTCACCTACACAAACAGAAGCATTCTCAGAACCTTCTTCGTGATGCTTGCATTCAACTCACAGTGTTGAACCTTTCTCTGACATTTCAGGTTTGAAACACTCCTCCTGCAGAATCTGCAAGTGGAGATTTGGAACTCTTTGAGGCCTATCGTAGTAAAGGAAAGACCTTCATCTAAAAACAAGACAGAAGCATTCTCAGAAAATTCTTTACGATGATTGAGTTTAACTCACAGAGCTGAGCATATCTTTTGATGGCGCATTTTCAAAACACACTTTTTGTAGAATATGCAAGTGGATTTTGGGACTTCTCAGAGAATTTCGTTGGAAACGCGATAAACCTCACATAACTGAAGAGGAACACTCTCAGAACTTCTTTGTGATGTTGGCATTCAACTGACAGAGTTGAAACTTCCCTTGTGAGTTCAGGTTGAAACCCTCTTTTCGTACTATCTTCAAGTGGAGATTTGGAATGCTTTGAGGCCTATGGTAGTAAACGAAACAGCTTCATGTAAAAACTGGACAGAAGCATTCTCAGAAAATACTTTGGGATGATTGAGTTCAACTCACAGAGCTGAACATTCCTTTGGGTGGAGCAGTTTTGAAACACACTTTTGGAGACTCTGCAGGTGAATATTTGGACCTCTCTGAGGATTTCGTTGGAAGCGGGATAACGTCACCTAACTAAACAGAAGCTTTCGCAGAAACATCTTTCTGACGTTGGCATTCAAAGTCCAGAGTTGAGCCTTCCTTTGGTAGTTCACGTTTGAAACACTCTTTTTGGAGGACCTGCAAGTGGATATTTGGAGCACTTTGTGGCCTTCGTTCGAAACGGCTATATCTTCACATAAAATCTAGACAGAAGCCTTCTCAGAAACTTCTCTGTGATGATTGCATGCAACTCACAGAGTTGAACATTCCTTTTGATAGAGCAGTTTTGAAACTCTCTTTTGCTAGCATCTGCAAATGGGTAGGTGGAACTCTGTGAAGACTTCTTTGGAAACGGGAATATCCTCACGTAAAAAGTAAACAGAAGCATTCTCAGAAACTCCTTTGTGAGGCTTGTGTTCAACTCCCAGAGTATAACATTGCTTTTCATAGAGCAGTTTTGAAACATTCCTTTCGTAGAGCCTCCAAGTGGACATTTGGAGCGCTTTCAGGCCTGTGGTGGAAAAGGAAATATCTTCACATAAAAACTAGAGAGAAGCATTGTCAGAAACTTCTTGGTGATGATTGCATTCAACTCACGGAGCTGAGGATTCCTTTTGATGCAGCAGTTTGGAAACACTCTTTCGGTGGAATCTGCAAGCGGATATGTGGACCTCTTTGAACATTTCGATGGAAAAGGGATAATCTTCCCGTAAAAGCTAAACGGAAGCATGCTCAGGAACTTCTTTGTGATGTTTGCATTCAACTCGCAGAGTTGTACTTTCCTTTTGATAGAGCAGCTTTGAAACCCTCTCTTTCTAGCATCTGCAAGGGGACATTTGGAGGGCTTCGAGGCCCGGGGTGGAAAAGGAAATATCTTCTCATCAAAGCTACATGGAAGCATTCTCAGAAGCTGCTTTGTGATGATTGCATTCAAGTCACCGAGTTGAACTTTCCCTTTGATGGAGCCGTTTGGAAACACACTTTTGGTAGAATCTGAAAGGGGAGATTTGGACCGCTTTGAGGACTATGGCAGTAGAGGACATAACTGCACATAAAAACGAGACAGTGGCATTCCCAGGAAACACTTTGTGACGATGGAGATCAACTCACAGAGCTGAACATTCCTTTGGATGGAGCAGTTTCCAAACACACTTTTTGTAGAATCTGCAAGTGGAGATTCGGACCGCTCTGAGGATTTCGTTGGATACGGGAGAGAACTCACCTACGTAAACAGAAGCATTCTCAGAACCATCTTCGTGATGCTTGCATTCAACTCACAGTGTTGAACCTTTCTCTGATAGTTCAGGTTTGAAACACTCCTTCTGCAGAATCTGCAAGTGGAGATTTGGACCTCTTTGAGGCCTGTCGTAGTAAAGGAAAGAACTTCATCTAAAAAGAAGACAGAAGCATTCTCAGAAAATTCTTTGCGATGATTGAGTTTAACTCACAGAGCTGAGCATATCTTTTGATGGCTCATTTTCAAAGCACACCTTTTGTAGAATAGGCAAGTGGATTTTGGGACTTCTCTGAGAATTTCGTTGGAAACGGGATAAACCTCACTTAACTGAAGAGGAACATTCTCAGAACTTCTTGGTGATGTTGGCATTCAACTGACAGAGTTGAACCTTCCCTTGTGAGATCAGGTTGAAACTCTCTTTTCGTAGTATCTGCAAGTGGAGGTTTGGAACGCTTTGAGGCCTACGGTAGTAAAGGAAACAGCTTCATGTAAAAACTGGACAGAAGCATTCTCAGAAAATACTTTGGGATGATTGAGTTCAACTCACAGAGCTGAACATTCCTTTGGGTGGAGCAGTTCTGAAACACACTTTTTGTAGACTCTGCAGGTGGATATTTGGACCTCTCTGAGGATTTCGTTGGAAGCGGATAACGTCACCTAACTAAACAGAAGCTTTTGCAGAAAAATCTCTCTGACATTGGCATTCAAAGTCCAGAGTTGAACCTTCCTTTGGTTGTTCACGTTTGAAACACTCTTTTGGAGGACCTGCAAGTGGCTATTTGGAGCACTTTGTGGCCTTCGTTCGAAACGGCTATATCTTCACATAAAATCTAGACAGAAGCCTTCTCAGAAACTTCTCTGTGATGATTGCACGCAACTCACAGAGTTGGACATTCCTTTTGATAGAGCAGTTTTGAAACTCTCTTTTGATAGCATCTGCAAATGGATAGGTGGAACTCTGTGAAGACTTCTTTGGAAACGGGAATATTCTCACGTAGAAAGTAAACCGAAGCATTCTCAGAAACTCCTTTGTGAGGCTTGTCTTCAACTCCCAGAGTATAACATTGCTTTTCATAGAGCAGTTTTGAAACATTCTTTTCGTAGAGCCTCCAAGTGGACATTTGGAGCGCTTTCAGGCCTGTGGTGGAAAAGGAAATATCTTCACATAAAAACTAGAGAGAAGCATTGTCAGAAACTTCTTGGTGATGATTGCATTCAACTCACGGAGCTGAGGATTCCTTTTGATGCAGCAGTTTGGAAACACTCTTTCGGTGGAATCTGCAAGCGGATATGCGGACCTCTTTGAACATTTCGATGGAAATGGAATAATCTTCCCTTAAAAGCTAAACGGAACCATGCTCAGGAACTTCCTTGTGACGTTTGTATTCAACTCACAGAGATGTACTTTCCTTTGGATAGAGCTACTTTGAAACCCCCTCTTTCTAGCATCTGCAAGGGGACTTTTGGAGGGCTTCGAGGCCTGGGGAGGAAAAGGAAATATCTTCTCATCAAAGCTACATGGAAGCATTCTCAGAAGCTGCTTTGTGATGATTGTATTCAAGTCACCGAGTTGAACATTCCCTTTGATGGAGCCGTTTGGAAACACACTTTTGGTAGAATCTGAAAGGGGAGATTTGTACCGTTTTGAGGCCTATGGCAGTAGAGGATATAACTGCACATAAAAGCGAGAAAGGAGCATTCCCAGGAAACACTTTGTGACGATTGAGTTCAACTCACAGAGCTGAACATTCCTTTGGATGGAGCAGTTTCCAAACACACTTTGTGTAGAATCTGCAAGTGGAGATTTGGACCGCTCTGAGGATTTCGTTGGATACGGGAGAGAAGTCACCTACGTAAACAGAAGCATTCTCAGAACCTTCTTCGTGATGCTTGCATTCAACTCACAGTGTTGAACCTTTCTCTGACACTTCACGTTTGAAACACTCCTTCTGCAGAATCTGCAAGTGGAGATTTGGACCTCTTTGAGGACTATCGTAGTAAAGGAAAGAACTTCATCTAAAAACAAGACAGAAGCATTCTCAGAAAATTCTTTGCGATGATTGAGTTTAACTCACAGAGCTGAGCATATCTTTTGATGGCGCATTTTCCAAACACACCTTTTGTAGAATATGCAAGTGGATTTTGGGACTTCTCTGAGAATTTCGTTTGAAACGGGATAAACCTCACGTAACTGAAGAGGAACATTCTCAGAAATTCTTGGTGATGTTGGCATTCAACTGACAGAGTTGAACCTTCCCTTGTGAGTTCACGTTGAAACGCTCTTTTCGTAGTATCTGCAAGTGGAGGTTTGGTACGCTTTGAGGCCTACGGTAGTAAAGGAAACAGCTTCATGTAAAAACTGGGCAGAAGCATTCTCAGAAAATACTTCGGGACGATTGAGTTCAACTCACAGAGCTGAACATTCCTTTGGGTGGAGCAGTTTTGAAACACACTTTTTGTAGACTCTGCAGGTGGATATTTGGACCTCTCTGAGGATTTCGTTGGAAACGGGATAACGTCACCTAACTAAACAGAAGCTTTCGCAGAAACATCCTTCTGACGTTGGCATTCAAAGTCCAGAGTTGAGCCTTCCTTTGGTAGTTCACGTTTGAAACACTCTTTTTGGAGGACCTGCAAGTGGATATTTGGAGCACTTTGTGGCCTTCGTTCGAAACGGCTATATCTTCACCTAAAATCTAGACAGAAGCCTTCTCAGAAACTTCTCTGTGATGATTGCATGCAACTCACAGAGTTGAACATTCCTTTTGATGGAGCAGTTTTGAAACTCTCTTTTGCTAGCATCTGCAAATGGATAGGTGGAACTCTGTGAAGACTTCTTTGGAAACGGGAATATCCTCACGTAAAAAGTAAACAGAAGCATTCTCAGAAACTCCTTTGTGAGGCTTGTGTTCAACTCCCAGAGTATAACATTGCTTTTCATAGAGCAGTTTTGAAACATTCTTTTCGTAGAGCCTCCAAGTGGACATTTGGAGCGCTTTCAGGCCTGTGGTGGAAAAGGAAATATCTTCACATAAAAACTAGAGAGAAGCATTGTCAGAAACTTCTTGGTGATGATTGCATTCAACTCACGGAGCTGAGGATTCCTTTTGATGCAGCAGTTTGGAAACACTCTTTCGGTGGAATCTGCAAGCGGATATGTGGACCTCTTTGAACATTTCGATGGAAAAGGGATAATCTTCCCGTAAAAGCTAAACGGAAGCATGCTCAGGAACTTCCTTGTGATGTTTGCATTCAACTCACAGAGTTGTACTTTCCTTTTGATAGAGCAGCTTTGAAACCCCCTCTTTCTAGCATCTGCAAGGCGACATTTGGAGGGCTTCGAGGCCTGGGGTGGAAAAGGAAATATCTTCTCATCAAAGCTACATGGAAGCATTCTCAGAAGCTGCTTTGTGATGATTGCATTCAAGTCACCGGGTTGAACATCCCCTTTGATGGGGCCGTTTGGAAACACACTTCTGGTAGAATCTGAAAGGGGAGATTTGGACCGCTTTGAGGCCTATGGCAGTAGAGGATATAACTGCACATAAAAGCGAGACAGGAGCATTCCCAGGAAACGCTTTGTGACGATTGAGTTCAACTCACAGAGCTGAACATTCCTTTGGGTGGAGCAGTTTCCAAACACACTTTGTGTAGAATCTGCAAGTGGAGATTTGGACCGCTCTGAGGATTTCGCTGGATACGGCAGAAAAGTCACCTACGTAAACAGAAGCATTCTCAGAACCTTCTTCGTGATGCTTACATTCAACTCACAGTGTTGAACCTTTCTCTGACAGTTCAGGTTTGAAACACTCCTTCTACAGAATCTGCCAGTGGAGATTTAGACCTCTTTGAGGCCTATCCTAGTAAAGGAAAGAACTTCATCTAAAAACAAGACGGAAGCATTCTCAGAAAATTCTTTGCGATGATTGAGTTTAACTCACAGAGCTGAGCATATCTTTTGATGGCGCATTTTCCAAACACACCTTTTGTGGAATATGCAAGTGGATTTTGGGACTTCTCTGAGAATTTCGTGGGAAACGGGATAAACCTCACATAACTGAAGAGGAACATCCTGAGAAGTTCTTGGTGATGTTGGCATTCAACTGACAGAGTTGAACCTTCCCTTGTGAGTTCAGGTTGAAACGCTCTTTTCGTAGTATCTGCAAGTGGAGGTTTGGAACGCTTTGAGGCCTACGGTAGTAAAGGAAAGAGCTTCACGTAAAAACTGGGCAGAAGCATTCTCAGAAAATACTTCGGGACGATTGAGTTCAACTCATAGAGCTGAACATTCCTTTGGGTGGAGCAGTTTTGAAACACACTTTTTGTAGACTCTGCAGGTGGATATTTGGACCTCTCTGAGGATTTCGTTGGAAACGGGATAACGTCACCTAACTAAACAGAAGCTTTCGCAGAAACATCCTTCTGACGTTGGCCTTCAAAGTCTAGAGTTGAGCCTTCCTTTGGTAGTTCACGTTTGAAACACTCTTTTTGGAGGACCTGCAAGTGGATATTTGGAGCACTTTGTGGCCTTCGTTCGAAACGGCTATATCTTCACGTAAAATCTAGACAGAAGCCTTCTCAGAAACTTCTCTGTGATGATTGCATGCAACTCACAGAGTTGAACATTCCTTTTGATGGAGCAGTTTTGAAACTCTCTTTTGCTAGCATCTGCAAATGGATAGGTGGAACTCTGTGAAGACTTCTTTGGAAACGGGAATATCCTCACGTAAAAAGTAAACAGAAGCATTCTCAGAAACTCCTTTGTGAGGCTTGTGTTCAACCCCCAGAGTATAACATTGCTTTTCATAGAGCAGTTTTGAAACATTCTTTTCGTAGAGCCTCCAAGTGGACATTTGGAGCGCTTTCAGGCCTGCGGTGGAAAAGGAAATATCTTCACATAAAAACTAGAGAGAAGCATTGTCAGAAACTTCTTGGTGATGATTGCATTCAACTCACGGAGCTGAGGATTCCTTTGGATGCAGCAGTTTGGAAACACTCTTTCGGTGGAATCTGCAAGCGGATATGTGGACCTCTTTGAACATTTCGATGGAAAAGGGATAATCTTCCCGTAAAAGCTAAACGGAAGCATGCTCAGGAACTTCCTTGTGATGTTTGCATTCAACTCACAGAGTTGTACTTTCCTTTTGATAGAGCAGCTTTGAAACCCCCTCTTTCTAGCATCTGCAAGGGGACATTTGGAGGGCTTCGAGGCCTGGGGTGGAAAAGGAAATATCTTCTCATCAAAGCTACATGGAAGCATTCTCAGAAGCTGCTTTGTGATGATTGCATTCAAGTCACCGAGTTGAACATCCCCTTTGATGGGGCCGTTTGGAAACACACTTCTGGTAGAATCTGAAAGGGGAGATTTGGACCGCTTTGAGGCCTATGGCAGTAGAGGATATAACTGCACATAAAAGCGAGACAGGAGCATTCCCAGGAAACGCTTTGTGACGATTGAGTTCAACTCACAGAGCTGAACATTCCTTTGGGTGGAGCAGTTTCCAAACACACTTTGTGTAGAATCTGCAAGTGGAGATTTGGACCGCTCTGAGGATTTCGCTGGATACGGCAGAAAAGTCACCTACGTAAACAGAAGCATTCTCAGAACCTTCTTCATGATGCTTACATTCAACTCACAGTGTTGAACCTTTCTCTGACAGTTCAGGTTTGAAACACTCCTTCTGCAGAATCTGCCAGTGGAGATTTGGACCTCTTTGAGGCCTATCGTAGTAAAGGAAAGAACTTCATCTAAAAACAAGACGGAAGCATTCTCAGAAAATTCTTTGCGATGATTGAGTTTAACTCACAGAGCTGAGCATATCTTTTGATGGCGCATTTTACAAACACACCTTTTGTGGAATATGCAAGTGGATTTTGGGACTTCTCTGAGAATTTCGTGGGAAACGGGATAAACCTCACATAACTGAAGAGGAACATTCTCAGATCTTCTTGGTGATGTTGGCATTCAACTGACAGAGTTGAACCTTCCCTTGTGAGTTCAGGTTGAAACGCTCTTTTCGTAGTATCTGCAAGTGGAGGTTTGGAACGCTTTCAGGCCTACGGTAGTAAAGGAAACAGCTTCACGTAAAAACTGGGCAGAAGCATTCTCAGAAAATACTTCGGGACGATTGAGTACAACTCACAGAGCTGAACATTCCTTTGGGTGGAGCAGTTTGGAAACACACTTTTTGTAGACTCCGCAGGTGGATATTTGGACCTCTCTGAGTATTTCGTTGGAAACGGGATAACGTCACCTAACTAAACAGAAGCTTTCGCAGAAACATCCTTCTGACGTTGGCCTTCAAAGTCTAGAGTTGAGCCTTCCTTTGGTAGTTCACGTTTGAAACACTCTTTTTGGAGGACCTGCAAGTGGATATTTGGAGCACTTTGTGGCCTTCGTTCGAAACGGCTATATCTTCACATACAATCTAGACAGAAGCCTTCTCAGAAACTTCTCTGTGATGATTGCATGCAAGTCACAGAGTTGAACATTCCTTTTGATGGAGCAGTTTTGAAACTCTCTTTTGCTAGCATCTGCAAATGGATAGGTGGAACTCTGTGAAGACTTCTTTGGAAACGGGAATATCCTCACGTAAAAAGTAAACACAAGCATTCTCAGAAACTCCTTTGTGAGTCTTGTGTTCAACTCCCAGAGTATAACATTGCTTTTCATAGAGCAGTTTTGAAACATTCTTTTCGTAGAGCCTCCAAGTGGACATTTGGAGCGCTTTCAGGCCTGCGGTGGAAAAGGAAATATCTTCACATAAAAACTAGAGAGAAGCATTGTCAGAAACTTCTTGGTGATGATTGCATTCAACTCACGGAGCTGAGGATTCCTTTGGATGCAGCAGTTTGGAAACACTCTTTGTGTGGAATCTGCAAGCGGATATGTGGACCTCTTTGAACATTTCGATGGAAAAGGGATAATCTTCCCGTAAAAGCTAAACGGAAGCATGCTCAGGAACTTCCTTGTGATGTTTGCATTCAACTCACAGAGTTGTACTTTCCTTTTGATAGAGCAGCTTTGAAACCCCCTCTTTCTAGCATCTGCAAGGGGACATTTGGAGGGCTTCGAGGCCTGGGGTGGAAAAGGAAATATCTTCTCATCAAAGCTACATGGAAGCATTCTCAGAAGCTGCTTTGTGATGATTGCATTCAAGTCACCGAGTTGAACATCCCCTTTGATGGGGCCGTTTGGAAACACATTTCTGGTAGAATCTGAAAGGGGAGATTTGGACCGCTTTGAGGCCTATGGCAGTAGAGGATATAACTGTACATAAAAGCGAGACAGGAGCATTCCCAGGAAACGCTTTCTGACCATTGAGTTCAACTCACAGAGCCGAACATTCCTTTGGGTGGAGCAGTTTCCAAACACACTTTGTGTAGAATCTGCAAGTGGAGATATGGACCGCTCTGAGGATTTCGCTGGATATGGGAGAAAAGTCACCTACGTAAACAGAAGCATTCTCAGAACCTTCTTCGTGATGCTTGCATTCAACTCACAGTGTTGAACCTTTCTCTGACAGTTCAGGTTTGAAACACTCCTTCTGCAGAATCTGCCAGTGGAGATTTGGACCTCTTTGAGGCCTATCGTAGTAAAGGAAAGAACTTCATCTAAAAACAAGACGGAAGCATTCTCAGAAAATTCTTTGCGATGATTGAGTTTAACTCACAGAGCTGAGCATATCTTTTGATGGCGCATTTTACAAACACACCTTTTGTAGAATATGCAAGTGGATTTTGGGACTTCTCTGAGAATTTCGTGGGAAACGGGATAAACCTCACATAACTGAAGAGGAACATTCTCAGATCTTCTTGGTGATGTTGGCATTCAACTGACAGAGTTGAGCCTTCCCTTGTGAGTTCAGGTTGAAACGCTCTTTTCGTAGTATCTGCAAGTGGAGGTTTGGAACGCTTTCAGGCCTACGGTAGTAAAGGAAACAGCTTCACGTAAAAACTGGGCAGAAGCATTCTCAGAAAATACTTCGGGACGATTGAGTACAACTCACAGAGCTGAACATTCCTTTGGGTGGAGCAGTTTGGAAACACACTTTTTGTAGACTCCGCAGATGGATATTTGGACCTCTCTGAGTATTTCGTTGGAAACGGGATAACGTCACCTAACTAAACAGAAGCTTTCGCAGAAACATCCTTCTGACGTTGGCCTTCAAAGTCTAGAGTTGAGCCTTCCTTTGGTAGTTCACGTTTGAAACACTCTTTTTGGAGGACCTGCAAGTGGATATTTGGAGCACTTTGTGGCCTTCGTTCGAAACGGCTATATCTTCACATACAATCTAGACAGAAGCCTTCTCAGAAACTTCTCTGTGATGATTGCATGCAAGTCACAGAGTTGAACATTCCTTTTGATGGAGCAGTTTTGAAACTCTCTTTTGCTAGCATCTGCAAATGGATAGGTGGAACTCTGTGAAGACTTCTTTGGAAACGGGAATATCCTCACGTAAAAAGTAAACACAAGCATTCTCAGAAACACCTTTGTGAGTCTTGTGTTCAACTCCCAGAGTATAACATTGCTTTTCATAGAGCAGTTTTGAAACATTCTTTTCGTAGAGCCTCCAAGTGGACATTTGGAGCGCTTTCAGGCCTGCGGTGGAAAAGGAAATATCTTCACATAAAAACTAGAGAGAAGCATTGTCAGAAACTTCTTGGTGATGATTGCATTCAACTCACGGAGCTGAGGATTCCTTTGGATGCAGCAGTTTGGAAACACTCTTTGTGTGGAATCTGCAAGCGGATATGTGGACCTCTTTGAACATTTCGATGGAAAAGGGATAATCTTCCCGTAAAAGCTAAACGGAAGCATGCTCAGGAACTTCCTTGTGATGTTTGCATTCAACTCACAGAGTTGTACTTTCCTTTTGATAGAGCAGCTTTGAAACCCCCTCTTTCTAGCATCTGCAAGGGGACATTTGGAGGGCTTCGAGGCCTGGGGTGGAAAAGGAAATATCTTCTCATCAAAGCTACATGGAAGCATTCTCAGAAGCTGCTTTGTGATGATTGCATTCAAGTCACCGAGTTGAACATCCCCTTTGATGGGGCCGTTTGGAAACACATTTCTGGTAGAATCTGAAAGGGGAGATTTGGACCGCTTTGAGGCCTATGGCAGTAGAGGATATAACTGTACATAAAAGCGAGACAGGAGCATTCCCAGGAAACGCTTTCTGACCATTGAGTTCAACTCACAGAGCCGAACATTCCTTTGGGTGGAGCAGTTTCCAAACACACTTTGTGTAGAATCTGCAAGTGGAGATATGGACCGCTCTGAGGATTTCGCTGGATATGGGAGAAAAGTCACCTACGTAAACAGAAGCATTCTCAGAACCTTCTTCGTGATGCTTGCATTCAACTCACAGTGTTGAACCTTTCTCTGACAGTTCAGGTTTGAAACACTCCTTCTGCAGAATCTGCCAGTGGAGATTTGGACCTCTTTGAGGCCTATCGTAGTAAAGGAAAGAACTTCATCTAAAAACAAGACGGAAGCATTCTCAGAAAATTCTTTGCGATGATTGAGTTTAACTCACAGAGCTGAGCATATCTTTTGATGGCGCATTTTACAAACACACCTTTTGTGGAATATGCAAGTGGATTTTGGGACTTCTCTGAGAATTTCGTGGGAAACGGGATAAACCTCACATAACTGAAGAGGAACATTCTCAGAACTTCTTGGTGATGTTGGCATTCAACTGACAGAGTTGAACCTTCCCTTGTGAGTTCAGGTTGAAACGCTCTTTTCGTAGGATCTGCAAGTGGAGGTTTGGAACGCTTTGAGGCCTACGGTAGTAAAGGAAACAGCTTCATGTAAAAACTGGGCAGAAGCATTCTCAGAAAATACTTCGGGACGATTGAGTACAACTCACAGAGCTGAACATTCCTTTGGGTGGAGCAGTTTGGAAACACACTTTTTGTAGACTCCGCAGGTGGATATTTGGACCTCTCTGAGGATTTCGTTGGAAACGGGATAACGTCACCTAACTAAACAGAAGCTTTCGCAGAAACATCCTTCTGACGTTGGCCTTCAAAGTCCAGAGTTGAGCCTTCCTTTGGTAGTTCACGTTTGAAACACTCTTTTTGGAGGACCTGCAAGTGGATATTTGGAGCACTTTGTGGCCTTCGTTCGAAACGGCTATATCTTCATGTAAAATCTAGACAGAAGCCTTCTCAGAAACTTCTCTGTGATGATTGCATGCAACTCACAGAGTTGAACATTCCTTTTGATGGAGCAGTTTTGAAACTCTCTTTTGCTAACATCTGCAAATGTATAGGTGGAACTCTGTGAAGACTTCTTTGGAAACGGGAATATCCTCACGTAAAAAGTAAACAGAAGCATTCTCAGAAACTCCTTTGTGAGGCTTGTGTTCAACTCCCAGAGTATAACATTGCGTTTCATAGAGCAGTTTTGAAACATTCTTTTCGTAGAGCCTCCAAGTGGACATTTGGAGCGCTTTCAGGCCTGCGGTGGAAAAGGAAATATCTTCACATAAAAACTAGAGAGAAGCATTGTCAGAAACTTCTTGGTGATGATTGCATTCAACTCACGGAGCTGAGGATTCCTTTGGATGCAGCAGTTTGGAAACACTCTTTCGGTGGAATCTGCAAAAGGATATGTGGACCTCTTTGAACATTTCGATGGAAAAGGGATAATCTTCCCGTAAAAGCTAAACGGAAGCATGCTCAGGAACTTCCTTGTGATGTTTGCATTCAACTCACAGAGTTGTACTTTCCTTTTGATAGAGCAGCTTTGAAACCCCCTCTTTCTAGCATCGGCAAGGGGACATTTGGAGGGCTTCGAGGCCTGGGGTGGAAAAGGAAATATCTTCTCATCAAAGCTACATGGAAGCATTCTCAGAAGCTGCTTTGTGATGATTGCATTCAACTCACCGAGTTGAACATCCCCTTTGATGGGGCCGTTTGGAAACACACTTCTGGTAGAATCTGAAAGGGGAGATTTGGACCGCTTTGAGGCCTATGGCAGTAGAGGATATAACTGCACATAAAAGCGAGACAGGAGCATTCCCAGGAAACGCTTTGTGACCATTGAGTTCAACTCACAGAGCTGAACATTCCTTTGGGTGGAGCAGTTTCCAAACACACTTTGTGTAGAATCTGCAAGTGGAGATTTGGACCGCTCTGAGGATTTCGCTGGATACGGGAGAAAAGTCACCTATGTAAACAGAAGCATTGTCAGAACCTTCTTCGTGATGCTTGCATTCAACTCACAGTGTTGAACCTTTCTCTGACAGTTCAGGTTTGAAACACTCCTTCTGCAGAATCTGCAAGTGGAGATTTGTACCTCTTTGAGGCCTATCGTAGTAAAGGAAAGAACTTCATCTAAAAACAAGACGGAAGCATTCTCAGAAAATTCTTTGCGATGCTTGAGTTTAACTCACAGAGCTGAGCATATCTTTTGATGGCGCATTTTCCAAACACACCTTTTGTGGAATATGCAAGAGGATTTTGGGACTTCTCTGAGAATTTCGTTGGAAACGGGATAAACCTCACATAACTGAAGAGGAACATTCTCAGAACTTCTTGGTGATGTTGGCATTCAACTGACAGAGTTGAACCTTCCCTTGTGAGTTCAGGTTGAAACGCTCTTTTCGTAGGATCTGCAAGTGGAGGTTTGGAACGCTTTGAGGCCTACGGTAGTAAAGGAAACAGCTTCATGTAAAAACTGGACAGAAGCATTCTCAGAAAATGCTTTCGGACGATTGAGTTCAACTCACAGAGCTGAACATTCCTTTGGGTGGAGCAGTTTGGAAACACACTTTCTGTAGACTCCCCAGGTGGATATTTGGACCTCTCTGAGGATTTCGTTGGAAACGGGATAACGTCACCTAACTAAACAGAAGCTTTCGCAGAAACATCCTTCTGACGTTGGCCTTCAAAGTCCAGAGTTGAGCCTTCCTTTGGTAGTTCACGTTTGAAACACTCTTTTTGGAGGACCTGCAAGTGGATATTTGGAGCACTTTGTGGCCTTCGTTCGAAACGGCTATATCTTCACGTAAAATCTAGACAGAAGCCTTCTCAGAAACTTCTCTGTGATGATTGCATGCAACTCACAGAGTTGAACGTTCCTTTTGATGGAGCAGTTTTGAAACTTTCTTTTGCTAGCATCTGCAAATGGATAGGTGGAACTCTGTGAAGACTTCTTCGGAAACGGGAATATCCTCACGTAAAAAGTAAACAGAAGCATTCTCAGAAACTCCTTTGTGAGGCTTGTGTTCAACTCCCAGAGTATAACATTGCTTTTCATAGAGCAGTTTTGAAACATTCTTTTCGTAGAGCCTCCAAGTGGACATTTGGAGCGCTTTCAGGCCTGCGGTGGAAAAGGAAATATCTTCACATAAAAACTAGAGAGAAGCATTGTCAGAAACTTCTTGGTGATGATTGCATTCAACTCACGGAGCTGAGGATTCCTTTGGATGCAGCAGTTTGGAAACACTCTTTGGGTGGAATCTGCAAGCAGATATGTGGACCTCTTTGAACATTTCGATGGAAAAGGGATAATCTTCCCGTAAAAGCTAAACGGAAGCATGCTCAGGAACTTCCTTGTGATGTTTGCATTCAACTCACAGAGTTGTACTTTCCTTCTGATAGAGCAGCTTTGAAACCCCCTCTTTCTAGCATCTGCAAGGGGACATTTGGAGGGCTTCGAGGCCTGGGGTGGAAAAGGAAATATCTTCTCATCAAAGCTACATGGAAGCATTCTCAGAAGCTGCTTTGTGATGATTGCATTCAAGTCACTGAGTTGAACATTCCCTTTGATGGGGCCGTTTGGAAACACATTTCTGGTAGAATCTGAAAGGGGAGATTTGGACCGCTTTGTGGCCTATGTCAGTAGAGGATATAACTGTACATAAAAGCGAGAAAGGAGCATTCCCAGGAAACGCTTTGTGACCATTGAGTTCAACTCACAGAGCCGAACATTCCTTTGGGTGGAGCAGTTTCCAAACACACTTTGTGTAGAATCTGCAAGTGGAGATTTGGACCGCTCTGAGGATTTCGCTGGATACGGGAGAAAAGTCACCTACGTAAACAGAAGCATTCTCAGAACCTTCTTCGTGATGCTTGCATTCAACTCACAGTGTTGAACCTTTCTCTGACAGTTCAGATTTGAAACACTCCTTCTGCAGAATCTGCCAGTGGAGATTTGGACCTCTTTGAGGCCTATCGTAGTAAAGGAAAGAACTTCATCTAAAAACAAGACGGAAGCATTCTCAGAAAATTCTTTGCAATGATTGAGTTTAACTCACAGAGCTGAGCATATCTTTTGATGGCGCATTTTACAAACACACCTTTTGTGGAATATGCAAGTGGATTTTGGGACTTCTCTGAGAATTTCGTGGGAAACGGGATAAACCTCACATAACTGAAGAGGAACATTCTCAGAACTTCTTGGTGATGTTGGCATTCAACTGACAGAGTTGAACCTTCCCTTGTGAGTTCAGGTTGAAACGCTCTTTTCGTAGTATCTGCAAGTGGAGGTTTGGAACGCTTTCAGGCCTACGGTAGTAAAGGAAACAGCTTCACGTAAAAACTGGGCAGAAGCATTCTCAGAAAATACTTCGGGACGATTGAGTACAACTCACAGAGCTGAACATTCCTTTGGGTGGAGCAGTTTGGAAACACACTTTTTGTAGACTCCGCAGGTGGATATTTGGACCTCTCTGAGTATTTCGTTGGAAACGGGATAACGTCACCTAACTAAACAGAAGCTTTCGCAGAAACATCCTTCTGACGTTGGCCTTCAAAGTCCAGATTTGGCCTTCCTTTGGTAGTTCACGTTTGAAACACTCTTTTTGGAGGACCTGCAAGTGGATATTTGGAGCACTTTGTGGCCTTCGTTCGAAACGGCTATATCTTCACGTAAAATCTAGACAGAAGCCTTCTCAGAAACTTCTCTGTGATGATTGCATGCAACTCACAGAGTTGAACATTCCTTTTGATGGAGCAGTTTTGAAACTCTCTTTTGCTAGCATCTGCAAATGGATAGGTGGAACTCTGTGAAGACTTCTTTGGAAACGGGAATATCCTCACGTAAAAAGTAAACAGAAGCATTCTCAGAAACTCCTTTGTGAGGCTTGTGTTCAACTCCCAGAGTATAACATTGCTTTTCATAGAGCAGTTTTGAAACATTCTTTTCGTAGAGCCTCCAAGTGGACATTTGGAACGCTTTCAGGCCTGCGGTGGAAAAGGAAATATCTTCACATAAAAGCTAGAGGGAAGCATTGTCAGAAACTTCTTGGTGATGATTGCCTTCAACTCACGGAGCTGAGGATTCCTTTGGATGCAGCAGTTTGGAAACACTCTTTCGGTGGAATCTGCAAGCGGATATGTGGACCTCTTTGAACATTTCGATGGAAAAGGGATAATCTTCCCGTAAAAGCTAAACGGAAGCATGCTCAGGAACTTCCTTGTGATGTTTGCATTCAACTCACAGAGTTGTACTTTCCTTTTGATAGAGCAGCTTTGAAACCCCCTCTTTCTAGCATCTGCAAGGGGACATTTGGAGGGCTTCGAGGCCTGGGGTGGAAAAGGAAATATCTTCTCATCAAAGCTACATGGAAGCATTCTCAGAAGCTGCTTTGTGATGATTGCATTCAAGTCACCGAGTTGAACATCCCCTTTGATGGGGCCGTTTGGAAACACACTTCTGGTAGAATCTGAAAGGGGAGATTTGGACCGCTTTGAGGCCTATGGCAGTAGAGGATATAACTGCACATAAAAGCGAGACAGGAGCATTCCCAGGAAACGCTTTGTGACGATTGAGTTCAACTCACAGAGCTGAACATTCCTTTGGGTGGAGCAGTTTCCAAACACACTTTGTGTAGAATCTGCAAGTGGAGATTTGGACCGCTCTGAGGATTTCGCTGGATACGGCAGAAAAGTCACCTACGTAAACAGAAGCATTCTCAGAACCTTCTTCATGATGCTTACATTCAACTCACAGTGTTGAACCTTTCTCTGACAGTTCAGGTTTGAAACACTCCTTCTGCAGAATCTGCCAGTGGAGATTTGGACCTCTTTGAGGCCTATCGTAGTAAAGGAAAGAACTTCATCTAAAAACAAGACGGAAGCATTCTCAGAAAATTCTTTGCGATGATTGAGTTTAACTCACAGAGCTGAGCATATCTTTTGATGGCGCATTTTACAAACACACCTTTTGTGGAATATGCAAGTGGATTTTGGGACTTCTCTGAGAATTTCGTGGGAAACGGGATAAACCTCACATAACTGAAGAGGAACATTCTCAGATCTTCTTGGTGATGTTGGCATTCAACTGACAGAGTTGAACCTTCCCTTGTGAGTTCAGGTTGAAACGCTCTTTTCGTAGTATCTGCAAGTGGAGGTTTGGAACGCTTTCAGGCCTACGGTAGTAAAGGAAACAGCTTCACGTAAAAACTGGGCAGAAGCATTCTCAGAAAATACTTCGGGACGATTGAGTACAACTCACAGAGCTGAACATTCCTTTGGGTGGAGCAGTTTGGAAACACACTTTTTGTAGACTCCGCAGGTGGATATTTGGACCTCTCTGAGTATTTCGTTGGAAACGGGATAACGTCACCTAACTAAACAGAAGCTTTCGCAGAAACATCCTTCTGACGTTGGCCTTCAAAGTCTAGAGTTGAGCCTTCCTTTGGTAGTTCACGTTTGAAACACTCTTTTTGGAGGACCTGCAAGTGGATATTTGGAGCACTTTGTGGCCTTCGTTCGAAACGGCTATATCTTCACATACAATCTAGACAGAAGCCTTCTCAGAAACTTCTCTGTGATGATTGCATGCAAGTCACAGAGTTGAACATTCCTTTTGATGGAGCAGTTTTGAAACTCTCTTTTGCTAGCATCTGCAAATGGATAGGTGGAACTCTGTGAAGACTTCTTTGGAAACGGGAATATCCTCACGTAAAAAGTAAACACAAGCATTCTCAGAAACTCCTTTGTGAGTCTTGTGTTCAACTCCCAGAGTATAACATTGCTTTTCATAGAGCAGTTTTGAAACATTCTTTTCGTAGAGCCTCCAAGTGGACATTTGGAGCGCTTTCAGGCCTGCGGTGGAAAAGGAAATATCTTCACATAAAAACTAGAGAGAAGCATTGTCAGAAACTTCTTGGTGATGATTGCATTCAACTCACGGAGCTGAGGATTCCTTTGGATGCAGCAGTTTGGAAACACTCTTTGTGTGGAATCTGCAAGCGGATATGTGGACCTCTTTGAACATTTCGATGGAAAAGGGATAATCTTCCCGTAAAAGCTAAACGGAAGCATGCTCAGGAACTTCCTTGTGATGTTTGCATTCAACTCACAGAGTTGTACTTTCCTTTTGATAGAGCAGCTTTGAAACCCCCTCTTTCTAGCATCTGCAAGGGGACATTTGGAGGGCTTCGAGGCCTGGGGTGGAAAAGGAAATATCTTCTCATCAAAGCTACATGGAAGCATTCTCAGAAGCTGCTTTGTGATGATTGCATTCAAGTCACCGAGTTGAACATCCCCTTTGATGGGGCCGTTTGGAAACACATTTCTGGTAGAATCTGAAAGGGGAGATTTGGACCGCTTTGAGGCCTATGGCAGTAGAGGATATAACTGTACATAAAAGCGAGACAGGAGCATTCCCAGGAAACGCTTTGTGACCATTGAGTTCAACTCACAGAGCCGAACATTCCTTTGGGTGGAGCAGTTTCCAAACACACTTTGTGTAGAATCTGCAAGTGGAGATATGGACCGCTCTGAGGATTTCGCTGGATATGGGAGAAAAGTCACCTACGTAAACAGAAGCATTCTCAGAACCTTCTTCGTGATGCTTGCATTCAACTCACAGTGTTGAACCTTTCTCTGACAGTTCAGGTTTGAAACACTCCTTCTGCAGAATCTGCCAGTGGAGATTTGGACCTCTTTGAGGCCTATCGTAGTAAAGGAAAGAACTTCATCTAAAAACAAGACGGAAGCATTCTCAGAAAATTCTTTGCGATGATTGAGTTTAACTCACAGAGCTGAGCATATCTTTTGATGGCGCATTTTACAAACACACCTTTTGTAGAATATGCAAGTGGATTTTGGGACTTCTCTGAGAATTTCGTGGGAAACGGGATAAACCTCACATAACTGAAGAGGAACATTCTCAGATCTTCTTGGTGATGTTGGCATTCAACTGACAGAGTTGAGCCTTCCCTTGTGAGTTCAGGTTGAAACGCTCTTTTCGTAGTATCTGCAAGTGGAGGTTTGGAACGCTTTCAGGCCTACGGTAGTAAAGGAAACAGCTTCACGTAAAAACTGGGCAGAAGCATTCTCAGAAAATACTTCGGGACGATTGAGTACAACTCACAGAGCTGAACATTCCTTTGGGTGGAGCAGTTTGGAAACACACTTTTTGTAGACTCCGCAGATGGATATTTGGACCTCTCTGAGTATTTCGTTGGAAACGGGATAACGTCACCTAACTAAACAGAAGCTTTCGCAGAAACATCCTTCTGACGTTGGCCTTCAAAGTCCAGAGTTGAGCCTTCCTTTGGTAGTTCACGTTTGAAACACTCTTTTTGGAGGACCTGCAAGTGGATATTTGGAGCACTTTGTGGCCTTCGTTCGAAACGGCTATATCTTCACATACAATCTAGACAGAAGCCTTCTCAGAAACTTCTCTGTGATGATTGCATGCAAGTCACAGAGTTGAACATTCCTTTTGATGGAGCAGTTTTGAAACTCTCTTTTGCTAGCATCTGCAAATGGATAGGTGGAACTCTGTGAAGACTTCTTTGGAAACGGGAATATCCTCACGTAAAAAGTAAACACAAGCATTCTCAGAAACACCTTTGTGAGTCTTGTGTTCAACTCCCAGAGTATAACATTGCTTTTCATAGAGCAGTTTTGAAACATTCTTTTCGTAGAGCCTCCAAGTGGACATTTGGAGCGCTTTCAGGCCTGCGGTGGAAAAGGAAATATCTTCACATAAAAACTAGAGAGAAGCATTGTCAGAAACTTCTTGGTGATGATTGCATTCAACTCACGGAGCTGAGGATTCCTTTGGATGCAGCAGTTTGGAAACACTCTTTGTGTGGAATCTGCAAGCGGATATGTGGACCTCTTTGAACATTTCGATGGAAAAGGGATAATCTTCCCGTAAAAGCTAAACGGAAGCATGCTCAGGAACTTCCTTGTGATGTTTGCATTCAACTCACAGAGTTGTACTTTCCTTTTGATAGAGCAGCTTTGAAACCCCCTCTTTCTAGCATCTGCAAGGGGACATTTGGAGGGCTTCGAGGCCTGGGGTGGAAAAGGAAATATCTTCTCATCAAAGCTACATGGAAGCATTCTCAGAAGCTGCTTTGTGATGATTGCATTCAAGTCACCGAGTTGAACATCCCCTTTGATGGGGCCGTTTGGAAACACATTTCTGGTAGAATCTGAAAGGGGAGATTTGGACCGCTTTGAGGCCTATGGCAGTAGAGGATATAACTGTACATAAAAGCGAGACAGGAGCATTCCCAGGAAACGCTTTCTGACCATTGAGTTCAACTCACAGAGCCGAACATTCCTTTGGGTGGAGCAGTTTCCAAACACACTTTGTGTAGAATCTGCAAGTGGAGATATGGACCGCTCTGAGGATTTCGCTGGATATGGGAGAAAAGTCACCTACGTAAACAGAAGCATTCTCAGAACCTTCTTCGTGATGCTTGCATTCAACTCACAGTGTTGAACCTTTCTCTGACAGTTCAGGTTTGAAACACTCCTTCTGCAGAATCTGCCAGTGGAGATTTGGACCTCTTTGAGGCCTATCGTAGTAAAGGAAAGAACTTCATCTAAAAACAAGACGGAAGCATTCTCAGAAAATTCTTTGCGATGATTGAGTTTAACTCACAGAGCTGAGCATATCTTTTGATGGCGCATTTTACAAACACACCTTTTGTGGAATATGCAAGTGGATTTTGGGACTTCTCTGAGAATTTCGTGGGAAACGGGATAAACCTCACATAACTGAAGAGGAACATTCTCAGAACTTCTTGGTGATGTTGGCATTCAACTGACAGAGTTGAACCTTCCCTTGTGAGTTCAGGTTGAAACGCTCTTTTCGTAGGATCTGCAAGTGGAGGTTTGGAACGCTTTGAGGCCTACGGTAGTAAAGGAAACAGCTTCATGTAAAAACTGGGCAGAAGCATTCTCAGAAAATACTTCGGGACGATTGAGTACAACTCACAGAGCTGAACATTCCTTTGGGTGGAGCAGTTTGGAAACACACTTTTTGTAGACTCCGCAGGTGGATATTTGGACCTCTCTGAGGATTTCGTTGGAAACGGGATAACGTCACCTAACTAAACAGAAGCTTTCGCAGAAACATCCTTCTGACGTTGGCCTTCAAAGTCCAGAGTTGAGCCTTCCTTTGGTAGTTCACGTTTGAAACACTCTTTTTGGAGGACCTGCAAGTGGATATTTGGAGCACTTTGTGGCCTTCGTTCGAAACGGCTATATCTTCATGTAAAATCTAGACAGAAGCCTTCTCAGAAACTTCTCTGTGATGATTGCATGCAACTCACAGAGTTGAACATTCCTTTTGATGGAGCAGTTTTGAAACTCTCTTTTGCTAACATCTGCAAATGTATAGGTGGAACTCTGTGAAGACTTCTTTGGAAACGGGAATATCCTCACGTAAAAAGTAAACAGAAGCATTCTCAGAAACTCCTTTGTGAGGCTTGTGTTCAACTCCCAGAGTATAACATTGCGTTTCATAGAGCAGTTTTGAAACATTCTTTTCGTAGAGCCTCCAAGTGGACATTTGGAGCGCTTTCAGGCCTGCGGTGGAAAAGGAAATATCTTCACATAAAAACTAGAGAGAAGCATTGTCAGAAACTTCTTGGTGATGATTGCATTCAACTCACGGAGCTGAGGATTCCTTTGGATGCAGCAGTTTGGAAACACTCTTTCGGTGGAATCTGCAAAAGGATATGTGGACCTCTTTGAACATTTCGATGGAAAAGGGATAATCTTCCCGTAAAAGCTAAACGGAAGCATGCTCAGGAACTTCCTTGTGATGTTTGCATTCAACTCACAGAGTTGTACTTTCCTTTTGATAGAGCAGCTTTGAAACCCCCTCTTTCTAGCATCGGCAAGGGGACATTTGGAGGGCTTCGAGGCCTGGGGTGGAAAAGGAAATATCTTCTCATCAAAGCTACATGGAAGCATTCTCAGAAGCTGCTTTGTGATGATTGCATTCAACTCACCGAGTTGAACATCCCCTTTGATGGGGCCGTTTGGAAACACACTTCTGGTAGAATCTGAAAGGGGAGATTTGGACCGCTTTGAGGCCTATGGCAGTAGAGGATATAACTGCACATAAAAGCGAGACAGGAGCATTCCCAGGAAACGCTTTGTGACCATTGAGTTCAACTCACAGAGCTGAACATTCCTTTGGGTGGAGCAGTTTCCAAACACACTTTGTGTAGAATCTGCAAGTGGAGATTTGGACCGCTCTGAGGATTTCGCTGGATACGGGAGAAAAGTCACCTATGTAAACAGAAGCATTGTCAGAACCTTCTTCGTGATGCTTGCATTCAACTCACAGTGTTGAACCTTTCTCTGACAGTTCAGGTTTGAAACACTCCTTCTGCAGAATCTGCAAGTGGAGATTTGTACCTCTTTGAGGCCTATCGTAGTAAAGGAAAGAACTTCATCTAAAAACAAGACGGAAGCATTCTCAGAAAATTCTTTGCGATGCTTGAGTTTAACTCACAGAGCTGAGCATATCTTTTGATGGCGCATTTTCCAAACACACCTTTTGTGGAATATGCAAGAGGATTTTGGGACTTCTCTGAGAATTTCGTTGGAAACGGGATAAACCTCACATAACTGAAGAGGAACATTCTCAGAACTTCTTGGTGATGTTGGCATTCAACTGACAGAGTTGAACCTTCCCTTGTGAGTTCAGGTTGAAACGCTCTTTTCGTAGGATCTGCAAGTGGAGGTTTGGAACGCTTTGAGGCCTACGGTAGTAAAGGAAACAGCTTCATGTAAAAACTGGACAGAAGCATTCTCAGAAAATGCTTTCGGACGATTGAGTTCAACTCACAGAGCTGAACATTCCTTTGGGTGGAGCAGTTTGGAAACACACTTTCTGTAGACTCACCAGGTGGATATTTGGACCTCTCTGAGGATTTCGTTGGAAACGGGATAACGTCACCTAACTAAACAGAAGCTTTCGCAGAAACATCCTTCTGACGTTGGCCTTCAAAGTCCAGAGTTGAGCCTTCCTTTGGTAGTTCACGTTTGAAACACTCTTTTTGGAGGACCTGCAAGTGGATATTTGGAGCACTTTGTGGCCTTCGTTCGAAACGGCTATATCTTCACGTAAAATCTAGACAGAAGCCTTCTCAGAAACTTCTCTGTGATGATTGCATGCAACTCACAGAGTTGAACGTTCCTTTTGATGGAGCAGTTTTGAAACTTTCTTTTGCTAGCATCTGCAAATGGATAGGTGGAACTCTGTGAAGACTTCTTCGGAAACGGGAATATCCTCACGTAAAAAGTAAACAGAAGCATTCTCAGAAACTCCTTTGTGAGGCTTGTGTTCAACTCCCAGAGTATAACATTGCTTTTCATAGAGCAGTTTTGAAACATTCTTTTCGTAGAGCCTCCAAGTGGACATTTGGAGCGCTTTCAGGCCTGCGGTGGAAAAGGAAATATCTTCACATAAAAACTAGAGAGAAGCATTGTCAGAAACTTCTTGGTGATGATTGCATTCAACTCACGGAGCTGAGGATTCCTTTGGATGCAGCAGTTTGGAAACACTCTTTGGGTGGAATCTGCAAGCAGATATGTGGACCTCTTTGAACATTTCGATGGAAAAGGGATAATCTTCCCGTAAAAGCTAAACGGAAGCATGCTCAGGAACTTCCTTGTGATGTTTGCATTCAACTCACAGAGTTGTACTTTCCTTCTGATAGAGCAGCTTTGAAACCCCCTCTTTCTAGCATCTGCAAGGGGACATTTGGAGGGCTTCGAGGCCTGGGGTGGAAAAGGAAATATCTTCTCATCAAAGCTACATGGAAGCATTCTCAGAAGCTGCTTTGTGATGATTGCATTCAAGTCACTGAGTTGAACATTCCCTTTGATGGGGCCGTTTGGAAACACATTTCTGGTAGAATCTGAAAGGGGAGATTTGGACCGCTTTGTGGCCTATGTCAGTAGAGGATATAACTGTACATAAAAGCGAGAAAGGAGCATTCCCAGGAAACGCTTTGTGACCATTGAGTTCAACTCACAGAGCCGAACATTCCTTTGGGTGGAGCAGTTTCCAAACACACTTTGTGTAGAATCTGCAAGTGGAGATTTGGACCGCTCTGAGGATTTCGCTGGATACGGGAGAAAAGTCACCTACGTAAACAGAAGCATTCTCAGAACCTTCTTCGTGATGCTTGCATTCAACTCACAGTGTTGAACCTTTCTCTGACAGTTCAGATTTGAAACACTCCTTCTGCAGAATCTGCCAGTGGAGATTTGGACCTCTTTGAGGCCTATCGTAGTAAAGGAAAGAACTTCATCTAAAAACAAGACGGAAGCATTCTCAGAAAATTCTTTGCAATGATTGAGTTTAACTCACAGAGCTGAGCATATCTTTTGATGGCGCATTTTACAAACACACCTTTTGTGGAATATGCAAGTGGATTTTGGGACTTCTCTGAGAATTTCGTGGGAAACGGGATAAACCTCACATAACTGAAGAGGAACATTCTCAGAACTTCTTGGTGATGTTGGCATTCAACTGACAGAGTTGAACCTTCCCTTGTGAGTTCAGGTTGAAACGCTCTTTTCGTAGTATCTGCAAGTGGAGGTTTGGAACGCTTTCAGGCCTACGGTAGTAAAGGAAACAGCTTCACGTAAAAACTGGGCAGAAGCATTCTCAGAAAATACTTCGGGACGATTGAGTACAACTCACAGAGCTGAACATTCCTTTGGGTGGAGCAGTTTGGAAACACACTTTTTGTAGACTCCGCAGGTGGATATTTGGACCTCTCTGAGTATTTCGTTGGAAACGGGATAACGTCACCTAACTAAACAGAAGCTTTCGCAGAAACATCCTTCTGACGTTGGCCTTCAAAGTCCAGATTTGGCCTTCCTTTGGTAGTTCACGTTTGAAACACTCTTTTTGGAGGACCTGCAAGTGAATATTGGGAGCACTTTGTGGCCTTCATTCGAAACGGCCATATCTTCACATAAAATCTAGACAGAAGCATTCTCAGAAACTTCTCTGTGATGATTGCATGCAACTCACAGAGTTAAACATTCCTTTTGATGAAGCAGTTTTGAAACTCTCTTTTGCTAGCATCTGCAAATGGATAGGTGGAACTCTGTGAAGACTTCTTTGGAAACGGGAATATCCTCACGTAAAAAGTAAACAGAAGCATTCTCAGAAACTCCTTTGTGAGGCTTGTGTTCAACTCCCAGAGTATAACATTGCTTTTCATAGAGCAGTTTTGAAACATTCTTTTCGTAGAGCCTCCAAGTGGACATTTGGAGCGCTTTCAGGCCTGCGGTGGAAAAGGAAATATCTTCACATAAAAACTAGAGAGAAGCATTGTCAGAAACTTCTTGGTGATGATTGCATTCAACTCACGGAGCTGAGGATTCCTTTGGATGCAGCAGTTTGGAAACACTCTTTCGGTGGAATCTGCAAGCGGATATGTGGACCTGTTTGAACATTTCGATGGAAAAGGGATAATCTTCCCATAAAAGCTAAACGGAAGCATGCTCAGGAACTTCCTTGTGATGTTTGCATTCAACACACAGAGTTGTACTTTCCTTTTGATAGAGCAGCTTTGAAACCCCCTCTTTCTAGCATCTGCAAGGGGACATTTGGAGGGCTTCGAGGCCTGGGGTGGAAAAGGAAATATCTTCTCATCAAAGCTACATGGAAGCATTCCCAGAAGCTGCTTTGTGATGATTGCATTCAAGTCACCGAATTGAACATCCCCCTTGATGGGTCCGTTTGGAAACACACTTTTGGTAGAATCTGAAAGGGGAGATTTGGACCGCTTTGAGGCCTATGGCAGTAGAGGATATAACTGCACATAAAAGCGAGACAGGAGCATTCCCAGGAAACGCTTTGTGACCATTGAGTTCAACTCACAGAGCTGAACATTCCTGTGGGTGGAGCAATTTCCAAACACACTTTGTGTAGAATCTGCAAGTGGAGATTTGGACCGCTCTGAGGATTTCGTTGGATAGGGAGAAAAGTCACCTACGTAAACAGAAGCATTCTCAGAACCTTCTTCGTGATGCTTGCATTCAACTCACAGTGTTGAACTTTTCTCTGACAGTTCAGGTTTGAAACACTCCTTCTGCAGAATCTGCAAGTGGAGATTTGGACCTCTTTGAGGCCTATCGTAGTAAAGGAAAGAACTTCATCTAAAAACAAGACGGAAGCATTCTCAGAAAATTCTTTGCGATGATTGAGTTTAACTCACAGAGCTGAGCATATCTTTTGATGGCGCATTTTCCAAACACACCTTTTGTGGAATATGCAAGTGGATTTTGGGACTTCTCTGAGAATTTCGTTGGAAACGGGATAAACCTCACGTAACTGAAGAGGAACATTCTCAGAAGTTCTTGGTGATGTTGGCATTCAACTGACAGAGTTGAACCTTCCCTTGTGAGTTCAGGTTGAAACGCTCTTTTCGTAGTATCTGCAAGTGGAGGTTTGGAACGCTTTGAGGCCTACAGTAGTAAAGGAAACAGCTTCATGTAAAAACTGGACAGAAGCATTCTCAGAAAATACTTTGGGATGATTGAGTTCAACTCACAGAGCTGAACATTCCTTTGGGTGGAGCAGTTTTGAAACACACTTTTTGTAGACTCTGCAGGTGGATATTTGGACCTCTCTGAGGATTTCGTTGCAGACGGGATAACGTCACCTAACTAAACAGAAGCTTTCGCAGAAACATCCTTCTGACGTTGGCCTTCAAAGTCCAGAGTTGAGCCTTCCTTTGGTAGTTCACGTTTGAAACACTCTTTTTGGAGGACCTGCAAGTGGATATTGGGAGCACTTTGTGGCCTTCGTTCGAAACGGCCATATCTTCACATAAAATCTAGACAGAAGCATTCTCAGAAACTTCTCTGTGATGATTGCATGCAACTCACAGAGTTAAACATTCCTTTTGATGGAGCAGTTTTGAAACTCTCTTTTGCTAGCATCTGCAAATGGATAGGTGGAACTCTGTGAAGACTTCTTTGGAAACGGGAATATCCTCACGTAAAAAGTAAACAGAAGCATTCTCAGAAACTCCTTTGTGAGGCTTGTGTTCAACTCCCAGAGTATAACATTGCTTTTCATAGAGCAGTTTTGAAACATTCTTTTCGTAGAGCCTCCAAGTGGACATTTGGAGCGCTTTCAGGCCTGCGGTGGAAAAGGAAATATCTTCACATAAAAACTAGAGAGAAGCATTGTCAGAAACTTCTTGGTGATGATTGCATTCAACTCACGGAGCTGAGGATTCCTTTGGATGCAGCAGTTTGGAAACACTCTTTCGGTGGAATCTGCAAGCGGATATGTGGACCTCTTTGAACATTTCGATGGAAAAGGGATAATCTTCCCGTAAAAGCTAAACGGAAGCATGCTCAGGAACTTCCTTGTGATGTTTGCATTCAACTCACAGAGTTGTACTTTCCTTTTGATAGAGCAGCTTTGAAACCCCCTCTTTCTAGCATCTGCAAGGGGACATTTGGAGGGCTTCGAGGCCTGGGGTGGAAAAGGAAATATCTTCTCATCAAAGCTACATGGAAGCATTCTCAGAAGCTGCTTTGTGATGATTGCATTCAAGTCACCGAGTTGAACATCCCCTTTGATGGGGCCGTTTGGAAACACACTTTTGGTAGAATCTGAAAGGGGAGATTTGGACCGCTTTGAGGCCTATGGCAGTAGAGGATATAACTGCACAGAAAAGCGAGACAGGAGCATTCCCAGGAAACGCTTTGTGACCATTGAGTTCAACTCACAGAGCTGAACATTCCTTTGGGTGGAGCAGTTTCCAAACACACTTTGTGTAGAATCTGCAAGTGGAGATTTGCACCGCTCTGAGGATTTCGTTGGAGAGGGAGAAAAGTCACCTACGTAAACAGAAGCATTCTCAGAACCTTCTTCGTGATGCTTGCATTCAACTCACAGTGTTGAACTTTTCTCTGACAGTTCAGGTTTGAAACACTCCTTCTGCAGAATCTGCAAGTGGAGATTTGGACCTCCTTGAGGCCTATCATAGTAAAGGAAAGAACTTCATCTAAAAACAAGACGGAAGCATTCTCAGAAAATTCTTTGCGATGATTGAGTTTAACTCACAGAGCTGAGCATATCTTTTGATGGCGCATTTTCAAAACACACCTTTTTTGGAATATGCAAGTGGATTTTGGGACTTCTCTGAGAATTTCGTTGGAAATGGGATAAACCTCACGTAACTGAAGAGGAACATTCTCAGAACTTCTTGGTGATGTTGGCATTCAACTGACAGAGTTGAACCTTCCCTTGTGAGTTCAGGTTGAAACGCTCTTTTCGTAGTATCTGCAAGTGGAGGTTTGGAACCCTTTGAGGCCTACGGTAGTAAAGGAAACAGCTTCATGTAAAAACTGGACAGAAGCATTCTCAGAAAATACTTTGGGATGATTGAGTTCAACTCACAGAGCTGAACATTCCTTTGGGTGGAGCAGTTTTGAAACACACTTTTTGTAGACTCTGCAGGTGGATATTTGGACCTCTCTGAGGATTTCGTTGGAGACGGGATAACGTCACCTAACTAAACAGAAGCTTTCGCAGAAACATCCTTCTGACGTTGGCATTCAAAGTCCAGAGTTGAGCCTTCCTTTGGTAGTTCACGTTTGAAACACTCTTTTTGGAGGACCTGCAAGTGAATATTGGGAGCACTTTGTGGCCTTCATTCGAAACGGCCATATCTTCACATAAAATCTAGACAGAAGCATTCTCAGAAACTTCTCTGTGATGATTGCATGCAACTCACAGAGTTAAACATTCCTTTTGATGAAGCAGTTTTGAAACTCTCTTTTGCTAGCATCTGCAAATGGATAGGTGGAACTCTGTGAAGACTTCTTAGGAAACGGGAATATCCTCACGTAAAAAGTAAACAGAAGCATTCTCAGAAACTCCTTTGTGAGGCTTGTGTTCAACTCCCAGAGTATAACATTGCTTTTCATAGAGCAGTTTTGAAACATTCTTTTCGTAGAGCCTCCAAGTGGACATTTGGAGCGCTTTCAGGCCTGCGGTGGAAAAGGAAATATCTTCACATAAAAACTAGAGAGAAGCATTGTCAGAAACTTCTTGGTGATGATTGCATTCAACTCACGGAGCTGAGGATTCCTTTGGATGCAGCAGTTTGGAAACACTCTTTCGGTGGAATCTGCAAGCGGATATGTGGACCTCTTTGAACATTTCGATGGAAAAGGGATAATCTTCCCGTAAAAGCTAAACGGAAGCATGCTCAGGAACTTCCTTGTGATGTTTGCATTCAACTCACAGAGTTGTACTTTCCTTTTGATAGAGCAGCTTTGAAACCCCCTCTTTCTAGCATCTGCAAGGGGACATTTGGGGGGCTTCGAGGCCTGGGGTGGAAAAGGAAATATCTTCTCATCAGAGCTACATGGAAGCATTCTCAGAAGCTGCTTTGTGATGATTGCATTCAAGTCACCGAGTTGAACATCCCCTTTGATGGGGCCGTTTGGAAACACACTTTTGGTAGAATCTGAAAGGGGAGATTTGGAACGCTTTGAGGCCTATGGCAGTAGAGGATATAACTGCACATAAAAGCGAGACAGGAGCATTCCCAGGAAACGCTTTGTGACCATTGAGTTCAACTCACAGAGCTGAACATTCCTTTGGGTGGAGCAGTTTCCAAACACACTTTGTGTAGAATCTGCAAGTGGAGATTTGGACCGCTCTGAGGATTTCGTTGGATACGGGAGAAAAGTCACCTACGTAAACAGAAGCATTCTCAGAACCTTCTTCGTGATGCTTGCATTCAACTCACAGTGTTGAACTTTTCTCTGACAGTTCAGGTTTGAAACACTCCTTCTGCAGAATCTGCAAGTGGAGATTTGGACCTCTTTGAGGCCTATCGTAGTAAAGGAAAGAGCTTCATCTAAAAACAAGACGGAAGCATTCTCAGAAAATTCTTTGCGATGATTGAGTTTAACTCACAGAGCTGAGCATATCTTTTGATGGCGCATTTTCCAAACACACCTTTTGTGGAATATGCAAGTGGATTTTTGGACTTCTCTGAGAATTTCGTTGGAAACGGGATAAACCTCACATAACTGAAGAGGAACATTCTCAGAAGTTCTTGGTGATGTTGGCATTCAACTGACAGAGTTGAACCTTCCCTTGTGAGTTCAGGTTGAAACGCTCTTTTCGTAGTATCTGCAAGTGGAGGTTTGGAACGCTTTGAGGCCTACAGTAGTAAAGGAAACAGCTTCATGTAAAAACTGGACAGAAGCATTCTCAGAAAATACTTTGGGATGATTGAGTTCAACTCACAGAGCTGAACATTCCTTTGGGTGGAGCAGTTTTGAAACACACTTTTTGTAGACTCTGCAGGTGGATATTTGGACCTCTCTGAGGATTTCGTTGGAAACGGGATAACGTCACCTAACTAAACAGAAGCTTTCGCAGAAACATCCTTCTGACGTTGGCCTTCAAAGTCCAGAGTTGAGCCTTCCTTTGGTAGTTCACGTTTGAAACACTCTTTTTGGAGGACCTGCAAGTGGATATTGGGAGCACTTTGTGGCCTTCGTTCGAAACGGCCATATCTTCACATAAAATCTAGACAGAAGCATTCTCAGAAACTTCTCTGTGATGATTGCATGCAACTCACAGAGTTGAACATTCCTTTTGATGGAGCAGTTTTGAAACTCTCTTTTGCTAGCATCTGCAAATGGATAGGTGGAACTCTGTGAAGACTGCTTTGAAAACGGGAATATCCTCACGTAAAAAGTAAACAGAAGCATTCTCAGAAACTCCTTTGTGAGGCTTGTGTTCAACTCCCAGAGTATAACATTGCTTTTCATAGAGCAGTTTTGAAACATTCTTTTCGTAGAGCCTCCAAGTGGACATTTGGAGCGCTTTCAGGCCTGCGGTGGAAAAGGAAATATCTTCACATAAAAACTAGAGAGAAGCATTGTCAGAAACTTCTTGGTGATGATTGCATTCAACTCACGGAGCTGAGGATTCCTTTGGATGCAGCAGTTTGGAAACACTCTTTCGGTGGAATCTGCAAGCGGATATGTGGACCTCTTTGAACATTTCGATGGAAAAGGGATAATCTTCCCGTAAAAGCTAAACGGAAGCATGCTCAGGAACTTCCTTGTGATGTTTGCATTCAACTCACAGAGTTGTACTTTCCTTTTGATAGAGCAGCTTTGAAACCCCCTCTTTCTAGCATCTGCAAGGGGACATTTGGAGGGCTTCGAGGCCTGGGGTGGAAAAGGAAATATCTTCTCATCAAACCTACATGGAAGCATTCTCAGAAGCTGCTTTGTGATGATTGCATTCAAGTCACCGAGTTGAACATCCCCTTTGATGGGGCCGTTTGGAAACACACTTTTGGTAGAATCTGAAAGGGGAGATTTGGACCGCTTTGAGGCCTATGGCAGTAGAGGATATAACTGCACATAAAATCGAGACAGGAGCATTCCCAGGAAACGCTTTGTGACGATTGAGTTCAACTCACAGAGCTGAACATTCCTTTGGGTGAAGCAGTTTCCAAACACACTTTGTGTAGAATCTGCAAGTGGAGATTTGGACCGCTCTGAGGATTTCGTTGGATACGGGAGAAAAGTCACCTACGTAAACAGAAGCATTCTCAGAACCTTCTTCGTGATGCTTGCATTCAACTCACAGTGTTGAACCTTTCTCTGACAGTTCAGGTTTGAAACACTCCTTCTGCAGAATCTGCAAGTGGACATTTGGACCTCCTTGAGGCCTATCGTAGTAAAGGAAAGAACTTCATCTAAAAACAAGACGGAAGCATTCTCAGAAAATACTTTGCGATGATTGAGTTTAACTCACAGAGCTGAGCATATCTTTTGATGGCGCATTTTCAAAACACACCTTTTGTGGAATATGCAAGTGGATTTTGGGACTTCTCTGAGAATTTCGTTGGAAAGGGGATAAACCTCACGTAACTGAAGAGGAACATTCTCAGAAGTTCTTGGTGATGTTGGCATTCAACTGGCAGAGTTGAACCTTCCCTTGTGAGTTCAGGTTGAAACGCTCTTTTCGTAGTATCTGCAAGTGGAGGTTTGGAACGCTTTGAGGCCTACGGTAGTAAAGGAAACAGCTTCATGTAAAAACTGGACAGAAGCATTCTCAGAAAATACTTTGGGATGATTGAGTTCAACTCACAGAGCTGAACATTCCTTTGGGTGGAGCAGTTTTGAAACACACTTTTTGTAGACTCTGCAGGTGGATATTTGGACCTCTCTGAGGATTTCGTTGGAAACGGGATAACGTCACCTAACTAAACAGAAGCTTTCGCAGAAACATCCTTCTGACGTTGGCATTCAAAGTCCAGAGTTGAGCCTTCCTTTGGTAGTTCACGTTTGAAACACTCTTTTTGGAGGACCTGCAAGTGGATATTGGGAGCGCTTTGTGGCCTTCGTTCGAAACGGCCATATCTTCACATAAAATCTAGACAGAAGCCTTCTCAGAAACTTCTCTGTGATGATTGCATGCAACTCACAGAGTTGAACATTCCTTTTGATGGAGCAGTTTTGAAACTCTCTTTTGCTAGCATCTGCAAATGGATAGGTGGAACTCTGTGAAGACTTCTTTGGAAACGGGAATATCCTCACGTAAAAAGTAAACAGAAGCATTCTCAGAAACTCCTTTGTGAGGCTTGTGTTCAACTCCCAGAGTATAACATTGCTTTTCATAGAGCAGTTTTGAAACATTCTTTTCGTAGAGCCTCCAAGTGGACATTTGGAGCGCTTTCAGGCCTGCGGTGGAAAAGGAAATATCTTCACATAAAAACTAGAGAGAAGCATTGTCAGAAACTTCTTGGTGATGATTGCATTCAACTCACGGAGCTGAGGATTCCTTTTGATGCAGCAGTTTGGAAACACTCTTTCGGTGGAATCTGCAAGCGGATATGTGGACCTCTTTGAACATTTCGATGGAAAAGGGATAATCTTCCCGTAAAAGCTAAACGGAAGCATGCTCAGGAACTTCCTTGTGATGTTTGCATTCAACGCACAGAGTTGTACTTTCCTTTTGATAGAGCAGCTTTGAAACCCCCTCTTTCTAGCATCTGCAAGGGGACATTTGGAGGGCTTCGAGGCCTGGGGTGGAAAAGGAAATATCTTCTCATCAAAGCTACATGGAAGCATTCTCAGAAGCTGCTTTGTGATGATTGCATTCAAGTCACCGAGTTGAACATCCCCTTTGATGGGGCCGTTTGGAAACACACTTTTGGTAGAATCTGGAAGGGGAGATTTGGACCGCTTTGAGGCCTATGGCAGTAGAGGATATAACTGCACATAAAAGCGAGACAGGAGCATTCCCAGGAAACGCTTTGTGACGATTGAGTTCAACTCACAGAGCTGAACATTCCTTTGGGTGGAGCAGTTTCCAAACACACTTTGTGTAGAATCTGCAAGTGGAGATTTGGACCGCTCTGAGGATTTCGTTGGATACGGGAGAAAAGTCACCTACGTAAACAGAAGCATTCTCAGAACCTTCTTCGTGATGCTTGCATTCAACTCACAGTGTTGAACCTTTCTCTGACAGTTCAGGTTTGAAACACTCCTTCTGCAGAATCTGCAAGTGGAGATTTGGACCTCCTTGAGGCCTATCATAGTAAAGGAAAGAACTTCATCTAAAAACAAGACGGAAGCATTCTCAGAAAATACTTTGCGATGATTGAGTTTAACTCACAGAGCTGAGCATATCTTTTGATGGCGCATTTTCAAAACACACCTTTTGTGGAATATGCAAGTGGATTTTGGGACTTCTCTGAGAATTTCGTTGGAAACGGGATAAACCTCACGTAACTGAAGAGGAACATTCTCAGAAGTTCTTGGTGATGTTGGCATTCAACTGGCAGAGTTGAACCTTCCCTTGTGAGTTCAGGTTGAAACGCTCTTTTCGTAGTATCTGCAAGTGGAGGTTTGGAACGCTTTGAGGCCTACGGTAGTAAAGGAAACAGCTTCATGTAAAAACTGGACAGAAGCATTCTCAGAAAATACTTTGGGATGATTGAGTTCAACTCACAGAGCTGAACATTCCTTTGGGTGGAGCAGTTTTGAAACACACTTTTTGTAGACTCTGCAGGTGGATATTTGGACCTCTCTGAGGATTTCGTTGGAAACGGGATAACGTCACCTAACTAAACACAAGCTTTCGCAGAAACATCCTTCTGACGTTGGCATTCAAAGTCCAGAGTTGAGCCTTCCTTTGGTAGTTCACGTTTGAAACACTCTTTTTGGAGGACCTGCAAGTGGATATTGGGAGCACTTTGTGGCCTTCGTTCGAAACGGTCATATCTTCACATAAAATCTAGACAGAAGCCTTCTCAGAAACTTCTCTGTGATGATTGCATGCAACTCACAGAGTTGAACATTCCTTTTGATGGAGCAGTTTTGAAACTCTCTTTTGCTAGCATCTGCAAATGGGTAGGTGGAACTCTTTGAAGACTTCTTTGGAAACGGGAATATCCTCACGTAAAAAGTAAACAGAAGCATTCTCAGAAACTCCTTTGTGAGGCTTGTGTTCAACTCCCAGAGTATAACATTGCTTTTCATAGAGCAGTTTTGAAACATTCTTTTCGTAGAGCCTCCAAGTGGACATTTGGAGCGCTTTCAGGCCTGCGGTGGAAAAGGAAATATCTTCACATAAAAACTAGAGAGAAGCATTGTCAGAAACTTCTTGGTGATGATTGCATTCAACTCACGGAGCTGAGGATTCCTTTGGATGCAGCAGTTTGGAAACACTCTTTCGGTGGAATCTGCAAGCGGATATGTGGACCTGTTTGAACATTTCGATGGAAAAGGGATAATCTTCCCATAAAAGCTAAACGGAAGCATGCTCAGGAACTTCCTTGTGATGTTTGCATTCAACACACAGAGTTGTACTTTCCTTTTGATAGAGCAGCTTTGAAACCCCCTCTTTCTAGCATCTGCAAGGGGACATTTGGAGGGCTTCGAGGCCTGGGGTGGAAAAGGAAATATCTTCTCATCAAAGCTACATGGAAGCATTCCCAGAAGCTGCTTTGTGATGATTGCATTCAAGTCACCGAGTTGAACATCCCCCTTGATGGGTCCGTTTGGAAACACACTTTTGGTAGAATCTGAAAGGGGAGATTTGGACCGCTTTGAGGCCTATGGCAGTAGAGGATATAACTGCACATAAAAGCGAGACAGGAGCATTCCCAGGAAACGCTTTGTGACCATTGAGTTCAACTCACAGAGCTGAACATTCCTGTGGGTGGAGCAGTTTCCAAACACACTTTGTGTAGAATCTGCAAGTGGAGATTTGGACCGCTCTGAGGATTTCGTTGGATAGGGAGAAAAGTCACCTACGTAAACAGAAGCATTCTCAGAACCTTCTTCGTGATGCTTGCATTCAACTCACAGTGTTGAACTTTTCTCTGACAGTTCAGGTTTGAAACACTCCTTCTGCAGAATCTGCAAGTGGAGATTTGGACCTCTTTGAGGCCTATCGTAGTAAAGAAAGAACTTCATCTAAAAACAAGACGGAAGCATTCTCAGAAAATTCTTTGCGATGATTGAGTTTAACTCACAGAGCTGAGCATATCTTTTGATGGCGCATTTTCCAAACACACCTTTTGTGGAATATGCAAGTGGATTTTTGGACTTCTCTGAGAATTTCGTTGGAAACGGGATAAACCTCACATAACTGAAGAGGAACATTCTCAGAAGTTCTTGGTGATGTTGGCATTCAACTGACAGAGTTGAACCTTCCCTTGTGAGTTCAGGTTGAAACGCTCTTTTCGTAGTATCTGCAAGTGGAGGTTTGGAACGCTTTGAGGCCTACAGTAGTAAAGGAAACAGCTTCATGTAAAAACTGGACAGAAGCATTCTCAGAAAATACTTTGGGATGATTGAGTTCAACTCACAGAGCTGAACATTCCTTTGGGTGGAGCAGTTTTGAAACACACTTTTTGTAGACTCTGCAGGTGGATATTTGGACCTCTCTGAGGATTTCGTTGGAAACGGGATAACGTCACCTAACTAAACAGAAGCTTTCGCAGAAACATCCTTCTGACGTTGGCATTCAAAGTCCAGAGTTGAGCCTTCCTTTGGTAGTTCACGTTTGAAACACTCTTTTTGGAGGACCTGCAAGTGGATATTGGGAGCACTTTGTGGCCTTCGTTCGAAACGGCCATATCTTCACATAAAATCTAGACAGAAGCATTCTCAGAAACTTCTCTGTGATGATTGCATGCAACTCACAGAGTTGAACATTCCTTTTGATGGAGCAGTTTTGAAACTCTCTTTTGCTAGCATCTGCAAATGGATAGGTGGAACTCTGTGAAGACTGCTTTGAAAACGGGAATATCCTCACGTAAAAAGTAAACAGAAGCATTCTCAGAAACTCCTTTGTGAGGCTTGTGTTCAACTCCCAGAGTATAACATTGCTTTTCATAGAGCAGTTTTGAAACATTCTTTTCGTAGAGCCTCCAAGTGGACATTTGGAGCGCTTTCAGGCCTGCGGTGGAAAAGGAAATATCTTCACATAAAAACTAGAGAGAAGCATTGTCAGAAACTTCTTGGTGATGATTGCATTCAACTCACGGAGCTGAGGATTCCTTTGGATGCAGCAGTTTGGAAACACTCTTTCGGTGGAATCTGCAAGCGGATATGTGGACCTCTTTGAACATTTCGATGGAAAAGGGATAATCTTCCCGTAAAAGCTAAACGGAAGCATGCTCAGGAACTTCCTTGTGATGTTTGCATTCAACTCACAGAGTTGTACTTTCCTTTTGATAGAGCAGCTTTGAAACCCCCTCTTTCTAGCATCTGCAAGGGGACATTTGGAGGGCTTCGAGGCCTGGGGTGGAAAAGGAAATATCTTCTCATCAAACCTACATGGAAGCATTCTCAGAAGCTGCTTTGTGATGATTGCATTCAAGTCACCGAGTTGAACATCCCCTTTGATGGGGCCGTTTGGAAACACACTTTTGGTAGAATCTGAAAGGGGAGATTTGGACCGCTTTGAGGCCTATGGCAGTAGAGGATATAACTGCACATAAAATCGAGACAGGAGCATTCCCAGGAAACGCTTTGTGACGATTGAGTTCAACTCACAGAGCTGAACATTCCTTTGGGTGAAGCAGTTTCCAAACACACTTTGTGTAGAATCTGCAAGTGGAGATTTGGACCGCTCTGAGGATTTCGTTGGATACGGGAGAAAAGTCACCTACGTAAACAGAAGCATTCTCAGAACCTTCTTCGTGATGCTTGCATTCAACTCACAGTGTTGAACCTTTCTCTGACAGTTCAGGTTTGAAACACTCCTTCTGCAGAATCTGCAAGTGGACATTTGGACCTCCTTGAGGCCTATCGTAGTAAAGGAAAGAACTTCATCTAAAAACAAGACGGAAGCATTCTCAGAAAATACTTTGCGATGATTGAGTTTAACTCACAGAGCTGAGCATATCTTTTGATGGCGCATTTTCAAAACACACCTTTTGTGGAATATGCAAGTGGATTTTGGGACTTCTCTGAGAATTTCGTTGGAAAGGGGATAAACCTCACGTAACTGAAGAGGAACATTCTCAGAAGTTCTTGGTGATGTTGGCATTCAACTGGCAGAGTTGAACCTTCCCTTGTGAGTTCAGGTTGAAACGCTCTTTTCGTAGTATCTGCAAGTGGAGGTTTGGAACGCTTTGAGGCCTACGGTAGTAAAGGAAACAGCTTCATGTAAAAACTGGACAGAAGCATTCTCAGAAAATACTTTGGGATGATTGAGTTCAACTCACAGAGCTGAACATTCCTTTGGGTGGAGCAGTTTTGAAACACACTTTTTGTAGACTCTGCAGGTGGATATTTGGACCTCTCTGAGGATTTCGTTGGAAACGGGATAACGTCACCTAACTAAACACAAGCTTTCGCAGAAACATCCTTCTGACGTTGGCATTCAAAGTCCAGAGTTGAGCCTTCCTTTGGTAGTTCACGTTTGAAACACTCTTTTTGGAGGACCTGCAAGTGGATATTGGGAGCGCTTTGTGGCCTTCGTTCGAAACGGCCATATCTTCACATAAAATCTAGACAGAAGCCTTCTCAGAAACTTCTCTGTGATGATTGCATGCAACTCACAGAGTTGAACATTCCTTTTGATGGAGCAGTTTTGAAACTCTCTTTTGCTAGCATCTGCAAATGGATAGGTGGAACTCTGTGAAGACTTCTTTGGAAACGGGAATATCCTCACGTAAAAAGTAAACAGAAGCATTCTCAGAAACTCCTTTGTGAGGCTTGTGTTCAACTCCCAGAGTATAACATTGCTTTTCATAGAGCAGTTTTGAAACATTCTTTTCGTAGAGCCTCCAAGTGGACATTTGGAGCGCTTTCAGGCCTGCGGTGGAAAAGGAAATATCTTCACATAAAAACTAGAGAGAAGCATTGTCAGAAACTTCTTGGTGATGATTGCATTCAACTCACGGAGCTGAGGATTCCTTTTGATGCAGCAGTTTGGAAACACTCTTTCGGTGGAATCTGCAAGCGGATATGTGGACCTCTTTGAACATTTCGATGGAAAAGGGATAATCTTCCCGTAAAAGCTAAACGGAAGCATGCTCAGGAACTTCCTTGTGATGTTTGCATTCAACTCACAGAGTTTTACTTTCCTTTTGATAGAGCAGCTTTGAAACCCCCTCTTTCTAGCATCTGCAAGGGGACATTTGGAGGGCTTCGAGGCCTGGGGTGGAAAAGGAAATATCTTCTCATCAAAGCTACATGGAAGCATTCTCAGAAGCTGCTTTGTGATCATTGCATTCAAGTCACCGGGTTGAACATCCCCTTTGATGGGGCCGTTTGGAAACACACTTTTGGTAGAATCTGGAAGGGGAGATTTGGACCGCTTTGAGGCCTATGGCAGTAGAGGATATAACTGCACATAAAAGCGAGACAGGAGCATTCCCAGGAAACGCTTTGTGACGATTGAGTTCAACTCACAGAGCTGAACATTCCTTTGGGTGAAGCAGTTTCCAAACACACTTTGTGTAGAATCTGCAAGTGGAGATTTGGACCGCTCTGAGGATTTCGTTGGATACGGGAGAAAAGTCACCTACGTAAACAGAAGCATTCTCAGAACCTTCTTCGTGATGCTTGCATTCAACTCACAGTGTTGAACCTTTCTCTGACAGTTCAGGTTTGAAACACTCCTTCTGCAGAATCTGCAAGTGGACATTTGGACCTCCTTGAGGCCTATCGTAGTAAAGGAAAGAACTTCATCTAAAAACAAGACGGAAGCATTCTCAGAAAATACTTTGCGATGATTGAGTTTAACTCACAGAGCTGAGCATATCTTTTGATGGCGCATTTTCAAAACACACCTTTTGTGGAATATGCAAGTGGATTTTGGGACTTCTCTGAGAATTTCGTTGGAAAGGGGATAAACCTCACGTAACTGAAGAGGAACATTCTCAGAAGTTCTTGGTGATGTTGGCATTCAACTGGCAGAGTTGAACCTTCCCTTGTGAGTTCAGGTTGAAACGCTCTTTTCGTAGTATCTGCAAGTGGAGGTTTGGAACGCTTTGAGGCCTACGGTAGTAAAGGAAACAGCTTCATGTAAAAACTGGACAGAAGCATTCTCAGAAAATACTTTGGGATGATTGAGTTCAACTCACAGAGCTGAACATTCCTTTGGGTGGAGCAGTTTTGAAACACACTTTTTGTAGACTCTGCAGGTGGATATTTGGACCTCTCTGAGGATTTCGTTGGAAACGGGATAACGTCACCTAACTAAACACAAGCTTTCGCAGAAACATCCTTCTGACGTTGGCATTCAAAGTCCAGAGTTGAGCCTTCCTTTGGTAGTTCACGTTTGAAACACTCTTTTTGGAGGACCTGCAAGTGGATATTGGGAGCACTTTGTGGCCTTCGTTCGAAACGGTCATATCTTCACATAAAATCTAGACAGAAGCCTTCTCAGAAACTTCTCTGTGATGATTGCATGCAACTCACAGAGTTGAACATTCCTTTTGATGGAGCAGTTTTGAAACTCTCTTTTGCTAGCATCTGCAAATGGGTAGGTGGAACTCTTTGAAGACTTCTTTGGAAACGGGAATATCCTCACGTAAAAAGTAAACAGAAGCATTCTCAGAAACTCCTTTGTGAGGCTTGTGTTCAACTCCCAGAGTATAACATTGCTTTTCATAGAGCAGTTTTGAAACATTCTTTTCGTAGAGCCTCCAAGTGGACATTTGGAGCGCTTTCAGGCCTGCGGTGGAAAAGGAAATATCTTCACATAAAAACTAGAGAGAAGCATTGTCAGAAACTTCTTGGTGATGATTGCATTCAACTCACGGAGCTGAGGATTCCTTTGGATGCAGCAGTTTGGAAACACTCTTTCGGTGGAATCTGCAAGCGGATATGTGGACCTGTTTGAACATTTCGATGGAAAAGGGATAATCTTCCCATAAAAGCTAAACGGAAGCATGCTCAGGAACTTCCTTTTGATGTTTGCATTCAACACACAGAGTTGTACTTTCCTTTTGATAGAGCAGCTTTGAAACCCCCTCTTTCTAGCATCTGCAAGGGGACATTTGGAGGGCTTCGAGGCCTGGGGTGGAAAAGGAAATATCTTCTCATCAAAGCTACATGGAAGCATTCCCAGAAGCTGCTTTGTGATTATTGCATTCAAGTCACCGAGTTGAACATCCCCCTTGATGGGTCCGTTTGGAAACACACTTTTGGTAGAATCTGAAAGGGGAGATTTGGACCGCTTTGAGGCCTATGGCAGTAGAGGATATAACTGCACATAAAAGCGAGACAGGAGCATTCCCAGGAAACGCTTTGTGACCATTGAGTTCAACTCACAGAGCTGAACATTCCTGTGGGTGGAGCAGTTTCCAAACACACTTTGTGTAGAATCTGCAAGTGGAGATTTGGACCGCTCTGAGGATTTCGTTGGATAGGGAGAAAAGTCACCTACGTAAACAGAAGCATTCTCAGAACCTTCTTCGTGATGCTTGCATTCAACTCACAGTGTTGAACTTTTCTCTGACAGTTCAGGTTTGAAACACTCCTTCTGCAGAATCTGCAAGTGGAGATTTGGACCTCTTTGAGGCCTATCGTAGTAAAGGAAAGAACTTCATCTAAAAACAAGACGGAAGCATTCTCAGAAAATTCTTTGCGATGATTGAGTTTAACTCACAGAGCTGAGCATATCTTTTGATGGCGCATTTTCCAAACACACCTTTTGTGGCATATGCAAGTGGATTTTTGGACTTCTCTGAGAATTTCGTTGGAAACGGGATAAACCTCACATAACTGAAGAGGAACATTCTCAGAAGTTCTTGGTGATGTTGGCATTCAACTGACAGAGTTGAACCTTCCCTTGTGAGTTCAGGTTGAAACGCTCTTTTCGTAGTATCTGCAAGTGGAGGTTTGGAACGCTTTGAGGCCTACAGTAGTAAAGGAAACAGCTTCATGTAAAAACTGGACAGAAGCATTCTCAGAAAATACTTTGGGATGATTGAGTTCAACTCACAGAGCTGAACATTCCTTTGGGTGGAGCAGTTTTGAAACACACTTTTTGTAGACTCTGCAGGTGGATATTTGGACCTCTCTGAGGATTTCGTTGGAAACGGGATAACGTCACCTAACTAAACAGAAGCTTTCGCAGAAACATCCTTCTGACGTTGGCATTCAAAGTCCAGAGTTGAGCCTTCCTTTGGTAGTTCACGTTTGAAACACTCTTTTTGGAGGACCTGCAAGTGGATATTGGGAGCACTTTGTGGCCTTCGTTCGAAACGGCCATATCTTCACATAAAATCTAGACAGAAGCATTCTCAGAAACTTCTCTGTGATGATTGCATGCAACTCACAGAGTTGAACATTCCTTTTGATGGAGCAGTTTTGAAACTCTCTTTTGCTAGCATCTGCAAATGGATAGGTGGAACTCTGTGAAGACTGCTTTGAAAACGGGAATATCCTCACGTAAAAAGTAAACAGAAGCATTCTCAGAAACTCCTTTGTGAGGCTTGTGTTCAACTCCCAGAGTATAACATTGCTTTTCATAGAGCAGTTTTGAAACATTCTTTTCGTAGAGCCTCCAAGTGGACATTTGGAGCGCTTTCAGGCCTGCGGTGGAAAAGGAAATATCTTCACATAAAAACTAGAGAGAAGCATTGTCAGAAACTTCTTGGTGATGATTGCATTCAACTCACGGAGCTGAGGATTCCTTTGGATGCAGCAGTTTGGAAACACTCTTTCGGTGGAATCTGCAAGCGGATATGTGGACCTCTTTGAACATTTCGATGGAAAAGGGATAATCTTCCCGTAAAAGCTAAACGGAAGCATGCTCAGGAACTTCCTTGTGATGTTTGCATTCAACTCACAGAGTTGTACTTTCCTTTTGATAGAGCAGCTTTGAAACCCCCTCTTTCTAGCATCTGCAAGGGGACATTTGGAGGGCTTCGAGGCCTGGGGTGGAAAAGGAAATATCTTCTCATCAAACCTACATGGAAGCATTCTCAGAAGCTGCTTTGTGATGATTGCATTCAAGTCACCGAGTTGAACATCCCCTTTGATGGGGCCGTTTGGAAACACACTTTTGGTAGAATCTGAAAGGGGAGATTTGGACCGCTTTGAGGCCTATGGCAGTAGAGGATATAACTGCACATAAAATCGAGACAGGAGCATTCCCAGGAAACGCTTTGTGACGATTGAGTTCAACTCACAGAGCTGAACATTCCTTTGGGTGAAGCAGTTTCCAAACACACTTTGTGTAGAATCTGCAAGTGGAGATTTGGACCGCTCTGAGGATTTCGTTGGATACGGGAGAAAAGTCACCTACGTAAACAGAAGCATTCTCAGAACCTTCTTCGTGATGCTTGCATTCAACTCACAGTGTTGAACCTTTCTCTGACAGTTCAGGTTTGAAACACTCCTTCTGCAGAATCTGCAAGTGGACATTTGGACCTCCTTGAGGCCTATCGTAGTAAAGGAAAGAACTTCATCTAAAAACAAGACGGAAGCATTCTCAGAAAATACTTTGCGATGATTGAGTTTAACTCACAGAGCTGAGCATATCTTTTGATGGCGCATTTTCAAAACACACCTTTTGTGGAATATGCAAGTGGATTTTGGGACTTCTCTGAGAATTTCGTTGGAAAGGGGATAAACCTCACGTAACTGAAGAGGAACATTCTCAGAAGTTCTTGGTGATGTTGGCATTCAACTGGCAGAGTTGAACCTTCCCTTGTGAGTTCAGGTTGAAACGCTCTTTTCGTAGTATCTGCAAGTGGAGGTTTGGAACGCTTTGAGGCCTACGGTAGTAAAGGAAACAGCTTCATGTAAAAACTGGACAGAAGCATTCTCAGAAAATACTTTGGGATGATTGAGTTCAACTCACAGAGCTGAACATTCCTTTGGGTGGAGCAGTTTTGAAACACACTTTTTGTAGACTCTGCAGGTGGATATTTGGACCTCTCTGAGGATTTCGTTGGAAACGGGATAACGTCACCTAACTAAACACAAGCTTTCGCAGAAACATCCTTCTGACGTTGGCATTCAAAGTCCAGAGTTGAGCCTTCCTTTGGTAGTTCACGTTTGAAACACTCTTTTTGGAGGACCTGCAAGTGGATATTGGGAGCGCTTTGTGGCCTTCGTTCGAAACGGCCATATCTTCACATAAAATCTAGACAGAAGCCTTCTCAGAAACTTCTCTGTGATGATTGCATGCAACTCACAGAGTTGAACATTCCTTTTGATGGAGCAGTTTTGAAACTGTCTTTTGCTAGCATCTGCAAATGGATAGGTGGAACTCTGTGAAGACTTCTTTGGAAACGGGAATATCCTCACGTAAAAAGTAAACAGAAGCATTCTCAGAAACTCCTTTGTGAGGCTTGTGTTCAACTCCCAGAGTATAACATTGCTTTTCATAGAGCAGTTTTGAAACATTCTTTTCGTAGAGCCTCCAAGTGGACATTTGGAGCGCTTTCAGGCCTGCGGTGGAAAAGGAAATATCTTCACATAAAAACTAGAGAGAAGCATTGTCAGAAACTTCTTGGTGATGATTGCATTCAACTCACGGAGCTGAGGATTCCTTTTGATGCAGCAGTTTGGAAACACTCTTTCGGTGGAATCTGCAAGCGGATATGTGGACCTCTTTGAACATTTCGATGGAAAAGGGATAATCTTCCCATAAAAGCTAAACGGAAGCATGCTCAGGAACTTCCTTGTGATGTTTGCATTCAACTCACAGAGTTGTACTTTCCTTTTGATAGAGCAGCTTTGAAACCCCCTCTTTCTAGCATCTGCAAGGGGACATTTGGAGGGCTTCGAGGCCTGGGTTGGAAAAGGAAATATCTTCTCATCAAAGCTACATGGAAGCATTCTCAGAAGCTGCTTTGTGATGATTGCATTCAAGTCACCGAGTTGAACATCCCCTTTGATGGGGCCGTTTTGAAACACACTTTTGGTAGAAACTGAAAGGGGAGATTTGGACCGCTTTGAGGCCTATGGCAGTAGATGATATAACTGCACATGAAAGCGAGACAGGAGCATTCCCAGGAAACGCTTTGTGACGATTCAGTTCAACTCACAGAGCTGAACATTCCTTTGGGTGGAGCAGTTTCCAAACTCACTTTGTGTAGAATCTGCAAGTGGAGATTTGGACTGCTCTGAGGATTTCGTTGGATACGGGAGAAAAGTCACCTACGTAAACAGAAGCATTCTCAGAACCTTCTTCGTGATGCTTGCATTCAACTCACAGTGTTGAAACTTTCTCTGACAGTTCAGGTTTGAAACACTCCTTCTGCAGAATCTGCAAGTGGAGATTTGGACCTCCTTGAGGCCTATCGTAGTAAAGGAAAGAACTTCATCTAAAAACAAGACGGAAGCATTCTCAGAAAATTCTTTGCGACGATTGAGTTTAACTCACAGAGCTGAGCATATCTTTTGAAGGCGCATTTTCAAAACACACCTTTGTGGAATATGCAAGTGGATTTTGGGACTTCTCTGAGAATTTCGTTGGAAACGGGATAAACCTCACATAACTGAAGAGGAACATTCTCAGAACTTCTTGGTGATGTTGGCATTCAACTGACAGAGTTGAACCTTCCCTTGTGAGTTCAGGTTGAAACGCTCTTTTCGTAGTATCTGCAAGTGGAGGTTTGGAACGCTTTGAGGCCTACGGTAGTAAAGGAAACAGCTTCATGTAAAAACTGGACAGAAGCATTCTCAGAAAATACTTTGTGTTGATTGAGTTTAACTCACAGAGCTGAACATTCCTTTGGGTGGAGCAGTTTGGAAACACACTTTTTGGAGAATCTGCAGGTGGATATTTGGACCTCTCTGAGGATTTCGTTGGAAACAGGATAACGTCACCTAACTAAACAATAGCTTCCGCATAAACATCCTTCTGACGTTGGCCTTCAAAGTCCCGAGTTGAGCCTTCCTTTGGTAGTTCACGTTTGAAACACTCTTTTTGGAGGACCTGCAAGTGGATATTTGGAGCACTTTGTGGCCTTCGTTCGAAACGGCTATATCTTCACATAAAATCTAGACAGAAGCCTTCTCAGAAACTTCTCTGTGATGATTGCATGCAACTCACAGAGTTGAACATTCCTTTTGATAGAGCAGTTTTGAAACTCTCTAGTTTTGCTGGCATCTGCAAATGGATAGGTGGAACTCTGTGAAGACTTCTTTGGAAACGGGAATATCCTCACGTAAAAAGTAAACAGAAGCATTCTCAGAAACTCCTTTGTGAGGCTTGTGTTCAACTCCCAGAGTATAACATTGCTTTTCATAGAGCAGTTTTGAAACATTCTTTTCGTAGAGCCTCCAAGTGGACATTTGGGGCGCTTTCAGGCCTGCGGTGGAAAAGGAAATATCTTCACATAAAAACTAGAGAGAAGCATTGTCAGAAACTTCTTGGTGATGATTGCATTCAACTCACGGAGCTGAGGATTCCTTTGGATGCAGCAGTTTGGAAACACTCTTTCGGTGGAATCTGCAAGCGGATATGTGGACCTCTTTGAACATTTCGATGGAAAAGGGATAATCTTCCCGTAAAAGCTAAACGGAAGCATGCTCAGGAACTTCCTTGTGATGTTTGCATTCAACTCACAGAGTTGTACTTTCCTTTTGATAGAGCAGCTTTGAAACCCCCTCTTTCTAGCATCTGCAAGGGGACATTTGGAGGGCTTCGAGGCCTGGCGTGGAAAAGGAAATATCTTCTCATCAAAGCTACATGGAAGCATTCTCAGAAGCTGCTTTGTGATGATTGCATTCAAGTCACCGAGTTGAATATCCCCTTTGATGGGGCCGTTTGGAAACACACCTTTGGTAGAATCTGAAAGGGGAGATTTCGACCGCTTTGAGGCCTATGGCAGTAGAGGATATAACTGCACATAAAAGCGAGACAGGAGCATTCCCAGGAAACGCTTTGTGACGATTGAGTTCAACTCACAGAGCTGAACATTCCTTTGGGTGGAGCAGTTTCCAAACACACTTTGTGTAGAATCTGCAAGTGGAGATTTGGACCGCTCTGAGGATTTCGTTGGATACGGGAGAAAACTCACCTACGTAAACAGAAGCATTCTCAGAACCTTCTTCGTGATGCTTGCATTCAACTCACAGTGTTGAACCTTTCTCTGACAGTTCAGGTTTGAAACACTCCTTCTGCAGAATCTGCAAGTGGAGATTTGGACCTCTTTGAGGCCTATCGTAGTAAAGGAAAGAACTTCATCTAAAAACAAGACAGAAGCATTCTCAGAAAATTCTTTGCGATGATTGAGTTTAACTCACAGAGCTGAGCATATCTTTTGATGGCGCATTTTCAAGACACACCTTTTGTAGAATATGCAAGTGGATTTTGGGACTTCTCTGAGAATTTCGTTGGAAACGGGATAAACCTCACATAACTGAAGAGGAACATTCTCAGAAGTTCTTGGTGACGTTGGCATTCAACTGACAGAGTTGAACCTTCCCTTGTGAGTTCAGGTTGAAACGCTCTTTTCGTAGTATCTGCAAGTGGAGGTTTGGAACGCTTTGAGGCCTACGGTAGTAAAGGAAACAGCTTCATGTAAAAACTGGACAGAAGCCTTCTCAGAAAATACTTTGGGATGATTGAGTTCAACTCACAGAGCTGAACCTTCCTTTGGGTGGAGCAGTTTTGAAACACACTTTTTGTAGACTCTGCAGGTGGATATTTGGACCTCTCTGAGGATTTCGTTGGAAACGGGATAACGTCACCTAACTAAACAGAAGCTTCCGCAGAAACATCCTTCTGACGTTGGCCTTCAAAGTCCCGAGTTGAGCCTTCCTTTGGTAGTTCACGTTTGAAACACTCTTTTTGGAGGACCTGCAAGTGGATATTTGGAGCACTTTGTGGCCTTCATTCGAAACGGCTATATCTTCACATAAAATCTAGACAGAAGCCTTCTCAGAAACTTCTCTGTGATGATTGCACGCAACTCACAGAGGTGAACATTCCTTTTGATAGAGCTGTTTTGAAACTCTCTAGTTTTGCTGGCATCTGCAAATGGATAGGTGGAACTCTGTGAAGACTTCTTTGGAAACGGGAATATCCTCACGTAAAAAGTAAACAGAAGCATTCTCAGAAACTCCTTTGTGAGGCTTGTGTTCAACTCCCAGAGTATAACTTGGCTCTTCATACAGCAGTTTTGAAACATTCTTTTCGTAGAGCCTCCAAGTGGACATTTGGAGCGCTTTCAGGCCTGCGGTGGAAAAGCAAATATCTTCACATAAAAACTAGAGAGAAGCATTGTCAGAAACTTCTTGGTGATGATTGCATTCAACTCACGGAGCTGAGGATTCCTTTTGATGCAGCAGTTTGGAAACACTCTTTCGGTGGAATCTGCAAGCGGATATGTGGACCTCTTTGAACATTTCGATGGAAAAGGGATAATCTTCCCGTAAAAGCTAAACGGAAGCATGCTCAGGAACTTCCTTGTGATGTTTGCATTCAACTCACAGAGTTGTACTTTCCTTCTGATAGAGCAGCTTTGAAACCCCCTCTTTCTAGCATCTGCAAGGGGACATTTGGAGGGCTTCGAGGCCTGGGGTGGAAAAGGAAATATCTTCTCATCAAAGCTACATGGAAGCATTCTCAGAAGCTGCTTTGTGATGATTGCTTTCAAGTCACCGAGTTGAACATTCCCTTTGATGGAGCCGTTTGGAAACACACTTCTGGTAGAATCTGAAAGGGGATATTTGGACCGCTTTGAGGCCTATGGCAGCAGAGGATATAACTGCACATAAAAGCGAAACAGGAGCATTCCCAGGAAACACTTTGTGACGATTGAGTTCAACTCACAGAGCTGAATATTCCTTTGGTTGGAGCAGTTTCCAAACACACTTTGTGTAGAATCTGCAAGTGGAGATTTGGACCGCTCTGAGGATTTCGCTGGATACGGGAGAAAACTCACCTACGTAAACAGAGGCATTCTCAGAACCTTCTTCGTGATGCTTGAATTCAATTCACAGTGTTGAACCTTTCTCTGACAGTTCAGGTTTGAAACACTCCTTCTGCAGAATCTGCAAGTGGAGATTTGGACCTCTTTGAGGCCTATCGTAGTAAAGGAAAGAACTTCATCTGAAAACAAGACAGAAGCATTCTCAGAAAATTCTTTGCGATGATTGAGTTTAACTCACAGAGCTGAGCATATCTTTTGATGGCGCATTTTCAAGACAAACCTTTTGTAGAATATGCAAGTGGATTTTGGGACTTCTCTGAGAATTTCGTTGGAAACGGGATAAACCTCACATAACTGAAGAGGAACATTCTCAGAAGTTCTTGGTGACGTTGGCATTCAACTGACAGAGTTGAACCTTCCCTTGTGAGTTCAGGTAGAAACGCTCTTTTCGTAGTATCTGCAAGTGGAGGTTTGGAACGCTTTGAGGCCTACGGTAGTAAAGGAAACAGCTTCATGTAAAAACTGGACAGAAGCCTTCTCAGAAAATACTTTGGGATGATTGAGTTCAACTCACAGAGCTGAACCTTCCTTTGGGTGGAGCAGTTTTGAAACACACTTTTTGTAGACTCTGCAGGTGGATATTTGGACCTCTCTGAGGATTTCGTTGAAAACGGGATAACGTCACCTAACTAAACAGAAGCTTCCGCAGAAACATCCTTCTGACGTTGGCCTTCAAAGTCCCGAGTTGAGCCTTCCTTTGGTAGTTCACGTTTGAAACACTCTTTTTGGAGGACCTGCAAGTGGATATTTGGAGCACTTTGTGGCCTTCGTTCGAAACGGCTATATCTTCACATAAAATCTAGACAGAAGACTTCTCAGAAACTTCTCTGTGATGATTGCACGCAACTCACAGAGTTGAACATTCCTTTTGATAGAGCAGTTTTGAAACTCTCTACTTTTGCTGGCATCTGCAAATGGATAGGTGGAACTCTGTGAAAACTTCTTTGGAAACGGGAATATCCTCACGTAAAAAGTAAACAGAAGCATTCTCAGAAACTCCTTTGTGAGGCTTGTGTTCAACTCCCAGAGTATAACATTGCTTCTCATAGAGCAGTTTTGAAACATTCTTTTCGGAGTGCCTCCAAGTGGACATTTGGGTCACTTTCAGGCCTGCGTTGGAAAAGGAAATATCTTCACATAAAAACTAGAGAGAAGCATTGTCAGAAACTTCTTGGTGATGATTGCATTCAACTCACGGAGCTGAGGATTCCTTTGGATGCAGCAGTTTGGAAACACTCTTTCGGTGGAATCTGCAAGCGGATATGTGGACCTCTTTGACCATTTCGATGGAAAAGGGATAATCTTCCCGTAAAAGCTAAACGGAAGCATGCTCAGGAACTTCCTTGTGATGTTTGCATTCAACTCACAGAGTTGTACTTTCCTTTTGATAGAGCAGCTTTGAAACCCCCTCTTTCTAGCATCTGCAAGGGGACATTTGGAGGGCTTCGAGGCCTGGGGTGGAAAAGGAAATATCTTCTCATCAAAGCTACATGGAAGCATTCTCAGAAGCTGCTTTGTGATGATTGCTTTCAAGTCACCGAGTTGAACATCTCCTTTGATGGGGCCGTTAGGAAACACACTTTTGGTAGAATCTGAAAGGGGAGATTTCGACCGCTTTGAGGCCTATGGCAGTAGAGGATATAACTGCACATAAAAGCGAGACAGGAGCATTCCCAGGAAACGCTTTGTGACGATTGAGTTCAACTCACAGAACTGAACATTCCTTTGGGTGGAGCAGTTTCCAAACACACTTTGCGTAGAATCTGCAAGTGGAGATTTGGACCGCTCTGAGGATTTCGCTGGATACGGGAGAAAAGTCTCCTACGTAAACAGAAGCATTCTCAGAACCTTCTTCGTGATGCTTGCATTCAACTCACAGTGTTGAACCTTTCTCTGACAGTTCAGGTTTGAAACACTCCTTCTGCAGAATCTGCCAGTGGAGATTTGGACCTCTTTGAGGCCTGTCGTAGTAAAGGAAAGAACTTCATCTAAAAACAAGACGGAAGCATTCTCAGAAAATTCTTTGCGATGATTGAGTTTAACTCACAGAGCTGAGCATATCTTTTGATGGCGCATTTTACAAACACACCTTTTGTGGAATATGCAAGTGGATTTAGGGACTTCTCTGAGAATTTCGTGGGAAACGGGATAAACCTCACATAACTGAAGAGGAACATTCTCAGAAGTTCTTGGTAACGTTGGCATTCAACTGACAGAGTTGAACCTTCCCTTGTGAGTTCAGGTTGAAACGCTCTTTTCGTAGTATCTGCAAGTGGAGGTTTGGAACGCTTTGAGGCCTACGGTAGTAAAGGAAACAGCTTCATGTAAAAACTGGACAGAAGCCTTCTCAGAAAATACTTTGGGATGATTGAGTTCAACTCACAGATCTGAACCTTCCTTTGGGTGGAGCAGTTTTGAAACACACTTTTTGTAGACTCTGCAGGTGGATATTTGGACCTCTCTGAGGATTTCGTTGGAAACGGGATAACGTCACCTAACTAAACAGAAGCTTCCGCAGAAACATCCTTCTGACGTTGGCCTTCAAAGTCCCGAGTTGAGCCTTCCTTTGGTAGTTCACGTTTGAAACACTCTTTTTGGAGGACCTGCAAGTGGATATTTGGAGCACTTTGTGGCCTTCGTTCGAAACGGCTATATCTTCACATAAAATCTAGACAGAAGCCTTCTCAGAAACTTCTCTGTGATGATTGCATGCAACTCACAGAGTTGAACATTCCTTTTGATAGAGCAGTTTTGAAACTCTCTAGTTTTGCTGGCATCTGCAAATGGATAGGTGGAACTCTGTGAAGACTTCTTTGGAAACGGGAATATCCCCACGTAAAAAGTAAACAGAAGCATTCTCAGAAACTCCTTTGTGAGGCTTGTGTTCAACTCCCAGAGTATAACATTGCTCTTCATAGAGCAGTTTTGAAACATTCTTTTCGTAGAGCCTCCAAGTGGACATTTGGAGCGCTTTCAGGCCTGCGGTGGAAAAGGAAATATCTTCACATAAAAACTAGAGAGAAGCATTGTCAGAAACTTCTTGGTGATGATTGCATTCAACTCACGGAGCTGAGGATTCCTTTTGATGCAGCAGTTTGGAAACACTCTTTCGGTGGAATCTGCAAGCGTATATGTGGACCTCTTTGACCATTTCGATGGAAAAGGGATAATCTTCCCCTAAAAGCTAAACGGAAGCATGCTCAGGAACTTCCTTGTGATGTTTGCATTCAACTCACAGAGTTGTACTTTCCTTCTGATAGAGCAGCTTTGAAACCCCCTCTTTCTAGCATCTGCAAGGGGACATTTGGAGGGCTTCGAGGCCTGGGGTGGAAAAGGAAATATCTTCTCATCAAAGCTACATGGAAGCATTCTCAGAAGCTGCTTTGTGATGATTGCTTTCAAGTCACCGAGTTGAACATTCCCTTTGATGGAGCCGTTTGGAAACACACTTCTGGTAGAATCTGAAAGGGGATATTTGGACCGCTTTGAGGCCTATGGCAGCAGAGGATATAACTGCACATAAAAGCGAAACAGGAGCATTCCCAGGAAACACTTTGTGACGATTGAGTTCAACTCACAGAGCTGAACATTCCTTTGGTTGGAGCAGTTTCCAAACACACTTTGTGTAGAATCTGCAAGTGGAGATTTGGACCGCTCTGAGGATTTCCCTGGATACGGGAGAAAACTCACGTACGTAAACAGAGGCATTCTCAGAACCTTCTTCGTGATGCTTGCATTCAATTCACAGTGTTGAACCTTTCTCTGACAGTTCAGGTTTGAAACACTCCTTCTGCAGAATCTGCAAGTGGAGATTTGGACCTCTTTGAGGCCTATCGTAGTAAAGGAAAGAACTTCATCTGAAAACAAGACAGAAGCATTCTCAGACAATTCTTTGCGATGATTGAGTTTAACTCACAGAGCTGAGCATATCTTTTGATGGCGCATTTTCAAGACACACCTTTTGTAGAATATGCAAGTGGATTTTGGGACTTCTCTGAGAATTTCGTTGGAAACGGGATAAACCTCACATAACTGAAGAGGAACATTCTCAGAACTTCTTTGTGATGTTGGCATTCAACTGACAGAGTTGAACCTTCCCTTGTGAGTTCAGGTTGAAACGCTCTTTTCGTAGTATCTGCAAGTGGAGGTTTGGAACGCTTTGAGGCCTACGGTAGTAAAGGAAACAGCTTCATGTAAAAACTGGACAGAAGCCTTCTCAGAAAATACTTTGGGATGATTGAGTTCAACTCACAGAGCTGAACCTTCCTTTGGGTGGAGCAGTTTTGAAACACACTTTTTGTAGACTCTGCAGGTGGATATTTGGACCTCTCTGAGGATTTCGTTGGAAACGGGATAACGTCACCTAACTAAACAGAAGCTTCCGCAGAAACATCCTTCTGACGTTGGCCTTCAAAGTCCCGAGTTGAGCCTTCCTTTGGTAGTTCACGTTTGAAACACTCTTTTTGGAGGACCTGCAAGTGGATATTTGGAGCACTTTGTGGCCTTCGTTCGAAACGGCTATATCTTCACATAAAATGTAGACAGAAGCATTCTCAGAAACTTCTCTGTGATGATTGCATGCATCTCACAGAGTTGAACATTCCTTTTGATAGAGCAGTTTTGAAACTCTCTAGTTTTGCTGGCATCTGCAAATGGATAGGTGGAACTCTGTGAAAACTTCTTTGGAAACGGGAATATCCTCACGTAAAAAGTAAACAGAAGCATTCTCAGAAACTCCTTTGTGAGGCTTGTGTTCAACTCCCAGAGTATAACATTGCTTTTCATAGAGCAGTTTTAAAACGTTCTTTTCGTAGAGCCTCCAAGTGGACATTTGGGGCGCTTTCAGGCCTGCGGTGGAAAAGGAAATATCTTCACATAAAAACTAGTGAGAAGCATTGTCAGAAACTTCTTGGTGATGATTGCATTCAACTCACGGAGCTGAGGATTCCTTTTGATGCAGCAGTTTGGAAACACTCTTTCGGTGGAATCTGCAAGCGGATATGTGGACCTCTTTGAACATTTCGATGGAAAAGGGATAATCTTCCCGTAAAAGCTAAACGGAAGCATGCTCAGGAACTTCCTTGTGATGTTTGCATTCAACTCGCAGAGTTGTACTTTCCTTTTGATAGAGCAGCTTTGAAACCCCCTCTTTCTAGCATCTGCAAGGGGACATTTGGAGGGCTTCGAGGCCTGGGGTGGAAAAGGAAATATCTTCTCATCAAAGCTACATGGAAGCATTCTCAGAAGCTGCTTTGTGATGATTGCATTCAAGTCACCGAGTTGAACATCCCCTTTGATGGGGCCGTTTGGAAACACACTTTTGGTAGAATCTGAAAGGGGAGATATCGACCGCTTTGAGGCCTATGGCAGTAGAGGATATAACTGCACATAAAAGCGAGACAGGAGCATTCCCAGGAAACGCTTTGTGACGATTGAGTTCAACTCACAGAGCTGAACATTCCTTTGGGTGGAGCAGTTTCCAAACACACTTTGTGTAGAATCTGCAAGTGGAGATTTGGACCGCTCTGAGGATTTCGCTGGATACGGGAGAAAAGTCACCTACGTAAACAGAAGCATTCTCAGAACCTTCTTCGTGATGCTTGCATTCAACTCACAGTGTTGAACCTTTCTCTGACAGTTCAGGTTTGAAACACTCCTTCTGCAGAATCTGCCAGTGGAGATTTGGACCTCTTTGAGGCCTGTCGTAGTAAAGGAAAGAACTTCCTCTAAAAACAAGACGGAAGCATTCTCAGAAAATTCTTTGCGATGATTGAGTTTAACTCACAGAGCTGAGCATATCTTTTGATGGCGCATTTTCCAAACACACCTTTTGTGGAATATGCAAGTGGATTTAGGGACTTCTCTGAGAATTTCGTGGGAAACGGGATAAACCTCACATAACTGAAGAGGAACATTCTCAGAACTTCTTGGTGATGTTGGCATTCAACTGACAGAGTTGAACCTTCCCTTGTGAGTTCAGGTTGAAACGCTCTTTTCGTAGTATCTGCAAGTGGAGGTTTGGAACGCTTTGAGGCCTACGGTAGTAAAGGAAACAGCTTCATGTAAAAACTGGACAGAAGCATTCTCAGAAAATACTTTGGGATGATTGAGTTCAACTCACAGAGCTGAACATTCCTTTGGGTGGAGCAGTTTTGAAACACACTTTTTGTAGACTCTGCAGGTGGATATTTGGACCTCTCTGAGGATTTCGTTGCAGAAGGGATAACGTCACCTAACTAAACAGAAGCTTCCGCAGAAACATCCTTCTGACGTTGGCCTTCAAAGTCCCGAGTTGAGCCTTCCTTTGGTAGTTCACGTTTGAAACACTCTTTTTGGAGGACCTGCAAGTGGATATTTGGAGCACATTGTGGCCTTCGTTCGAAACGGCTATATCTTCACATAAAATCTAGACAGAAGCCTTCTCAGAAACTTCTCTGTGACGATTGCACGCAACTCACAGAGTTGAACATTCCTTTTGATAGAGCAGTTTTGAAACTCTCTAGTTTTCCTGGCATCTGCAAATGGATAGGTGGAAATCTGTGAAGACTTCTTTGGAAACGGGAATATCCTCACGTAAAAAGTAAACAGAAGCATTCTCAGAAACTCCTTTGTGAGGCTTGTGTTCAACTCCCAGAGTATAACATTGCTTTTCATAGAGCAGTTTTGAAACATTCTTTTAGTAGAGCCTCCAAGTGGACATTTGGAGCGCTTTCAGGCCTGCGGTGGAAAAGGAAATATCTTCACATAAAAGCTAGAGAGAAGCATTGTCAGAAACTTCTTGGTGATGATTGCATTCAACTCACGGAGCTGAGGATTCCTTTTGATGCAGCAGTTTGGAAACACTCTTTCGGTGGAATCTGCAAGCGTATATGTGGACCTCTTTGACCATTTCGATGGAAAAGGGATAATCTTCCCGTAAAAGCTAAACGGAAGCATGCTCAGGAACTTCCTTGTGATGTTTGCATTCAACTCACAGAGTTGTACTTTCCTTCTGATAGAGCAGCTTTGAAACCCCCTCTTTCTAGCATCTGCAAGGGGACATTTGGAGGGCTTCGAGGCCTGGGGTGGAAAAGGAAATATCTTCTCATCAAAGCTACATGGAAGCATTCTCAGAAGCTGCTTCGGGATGATTGCATTCAAGTCACCGAGTTGAACATCCTCTTTGATGGGGCCGTTTGGAAACACACTTTTGGTAGAATCTGAAAGGGGAGATTTGGACCGCTTTGAGGCCTATGGCAGTAGAGGATATTACTGCACATAAAAGCGAGACAGGAGCATTCCCAGGAAACACTTTGTGACGATTGAGTTCAACTCACAGAGCTGAACATTCCTTTGGATGGAGCAGTTTCCAAACACACTTTGTGTAGAATCTGCAAGTGGAGATTTGGACCGCTCTGAGGATTTCGTTGGATACGGGAGAAAACTCACCTACGTAAACAGAAGCATTCTCAGAACCTTCTTCGTGATGCTTGCATTCAACTCACAGTGTTGAACCTTTCTCTGACAGTTCAGGTTTGAAACACTCCTTCTGCAGAATCTGCAAGTGGAGATTTGGACCTCTTTGAGGCCTATCGTAGTAAAGGAAAGAACTTCATCTAAAAACAAGACAGAAGCATTCTCAGAAAATACTTTGCGATGATTGAGTTTAACTCACAGAGCTGAGCATATCTTTTGATGGCGCATTTTCAAGACAAACCTTTTGTAGAATATGCAAGTGGATTTTGGGACTTCTCTGAGAATTTCGTTGGAAACGGGATAAACCTCACATAACTGAAGAGGAACATTCTCAGAACTTCTTGGTGACGTTGGCATTCAACTGACAGAGTTGAACCTTCCCTTGTGAGTTCAGGTTGAAACGCTCTTTTCGTAGTATCTGCAAGTGGAGGTTTGGAACGCTTTGAGGCCTACGGTAGTAAAGGAAACAGCTTCATGTAAAAACTGGACAGAAGCCTTCTCAGAAAATACTTTGGGATGATTGAGTTCAACTCACAGAGCTGAACCTTCCTTTGGGTGGAGCAGTTTTGAAACACACTTTTTGTAGACTCTGCAGGTGGATATTTGGACCTCTCTGAGGATTTCGTTGGAAACGGGATAACGTCACCTAACTAAACAGAAGCTTCCGCAGAAACATCCTTCTGACGTTGGCCTTCAAAGTCCCGAGTTGAGCCTTCCTTTGGTAGTTCACGTTTGAAACACTCTTTTTGGAGGACCTGCAAGTGGATATTTGGAGCACTTTGGGGCCTTCGTTCGAAATGGCTATATCTTCACATAAAATCTAGACAGAAGCCTTCTCAGAAACTTCTCTGTGATGATTGCATGCAACTCACAGAGTTGAACATTCCTTTTGATGGAGCAGTTTTGAAACTCTCTTTTGCTAGCATCTGCAAATGGATAGGTGGAACTCTGTGAAGACTTCTTTGGAAACGGGAATATCCTCACGTAAAAAGTAAACACAAGCATTCTCAGAAACTCCTTTGTGAGGCTTGTGTTCAACTCCCAGAGTATAACATTGCTCCTCATAGAGCAGTTTTGAAACATTCTTTTCGTAGAGCCTCCAAGTGGACATTTGGAGCGCTTTCAGGCCTGCGGTGGAAAAGGAAATATCTTCACATAAAAACTAGAGAGAAGCATTGTCAGAAACTTCTTGGTGATGATTGCATTCAACTCACGGAGCTGAGGATTCCCTTTAATGCAGCAGTTTGCAAACACTCTTTCGGTGGAATCTGCAAGCGGATATGTGGACCTCTTTGACCATTTCGATGGAAAAGGGATAATCTTCCCGTAAAAGCTAAACGGAAGCATGCTCAGGAACTTCCTTGTGATGTTTGCATTCAACTCACAGAGTTGTACTTTCCTTCTGATAGAGCAGCTTTGAAACCCCCTCTTTCTAGCATCTGCAAGGGGACATTTGGAGGGCTTCGAGGCCTGGGGTGGAAAAGGAAATATCTTCTCATCAAAGCTACATGGAAGCATTCTCAGAAGCTGCTTTGTGATGATTGCATTCAAGTCACAGAGTTGAACATTCCTTTTGATGGAGCCGTTTGGAAACACACTTCTGGTAGAATCTGAAAGGGGAGATTTGGACCGCTTTGGGGCCTATGGCAGTAGAGGATATAACTGCACATAAAAGCGAAACAGGAGCATTCCCAGGAAACACTTTGTGACGATTGAGTTCAACTCACAGAGCTGAACATTCCTTTGGATGGAGCAGTTTCCAAACACACTTTTTGTAGAATCTGCAAGTGGAGATTTGGACCGCTCTGAGGATTTCGTTGGATACGGGAGAAAACTCACCTACATAAACAGAAGCATTCTCAGAACCTTCTTCGTGATGCTTGCATTCAACTCACAGTGTTGAACCTTTCTCTGACAGTTCAGGTTTGAAACACTCCTTCTGCAGAATCTGCAAGTGGAGATTTAGACCTCTTTGAGGCCTATCGTAGTAAAGGAAAGAACTTCATCTAAAAACAAGACAGAAGCATTCTCAGAAAATTCTTTGCGATGATTGAGTTTAACTCACAGAGCGGAGCATATATTTTGATGGCGCATTTTCAAGACACACCTTTTGTAGAATATGCAAGTGGATTTTGGGACTTCTCTGAGAATTTCGTTGGAAACGGGATAAACCTCACATAACTGAAGAGGAACATTCTCAGAAGTTCTTGGTGACGTTGGCATTCAACTGACAGAGTTGAACCTTCCCTTCTGAGTTCAGGTTGAAACGCTCTTTTCGTAGTATCTGCAAGTGGAGGTTTGCAACGCTTTGAGGCCTACGGTAGTAAAGGAAACAGCTTCATGTAAAAACTGGACAGAAGCCTTCTCAGAAAATACTTTGGGATGATTGAGTTCAACTCACAGAGCTGAACCTTCCTTTGGGTGGAGCAGTTTTGAAACACACTTTTTGTAGACTCTGCAAGTGGATATTTGGACCTCTCTGAGGATTTCGTTGGAAACGGGATAACGTCACCTAACTAAACAGAAGCTTCCGCAGAAACATCCTTCTGACGTTGGCCTTCAAAGTCCCGAGTTGAGCCTTCCTTTGGTAGTTCACGTTTGAAACACTCTTTTTGGAGGACCTGCAAGTGGATATTTGGAGCACTTTGTGGCCTTCGTTCGAAACGGCTATATCTTCACATAAAATCTAGACAGAAGCCTTCTCAGAAACTTCTCTGTGATGATTGCACGCAACTCACAGAGTTGAACATTCCTTTTGATAGAGCAGTTTTGAAACTCTCTAGTTTTGCTGGCATCTGCAAATGGATAGGTGGAACTCTGTGAAGACTTCTTTGGAGACGGGAATATCCTCACGTAAAAAGTAAACAGAAGCATTCTCAGAAACTCCTTTGTGAGACTTGTGTTCAACTCCCAGAGTATAACATTGCTCTTCATAGAGCAGTTTTGAAACATTCTTTTCGTAGAGCCTCCAAGTGGACATTTGGAGCGCTTTCAGGCCTTCGGTGGAAAAGGAAATATCTTCACATAAAAACTAGAGAGAAGCATTGTCAGAAACTTCTTGGTGATGATTGCATTCAACTCACGGAGCTGAGGATTCCTTTTGATGCAGCACTTTGGAAACACTCTTTCGGTGGAATCTGCAAGCGGATATGTGGACCTCTTTGAACATTTCTATGGAAAAGGGATAATCTTCCCGTAAAAGCTAAACGGAAGCATGCTCAGGAACTTCCTTGTGATGTTTGCATTCAACTCACAGCGTTGTACTTTCCTTTTGATAGAGCAGCTTTGAAACCCCCTCTTTCTAGCATCTGCAAGGGGACATTTGGAGGGCTTCGAGGCCTGGGGTGGAAAAGGAAATATCTTCTCATCAAAGCTACATGGAAGCATTCTCAGAAGCTGCTTTGGGATGATTGCATTCAAGTCACCGAGTTGAACATTCCCTTTGATGGAGCCGTTTGGAAACACACTTTTGGTAGGATCTGAAAGGGGAGATTTGGACCGCTTTGAGGCCTATGGCAGTAGAGGATATAACTGCACATAAAAGCGACACAGGAGCATTCCCAGGAAACACTTTGTGACGCTTGAGTTCAACTCACAGAGCTGAACATTCCTTTGGATGGAGCAGTTTCCAAACACACTTTGTGTAGAATCTGCAAGTGGAGATTTGGACCGCTCTGAGGATTTCGTTGGATACGGCAGAAAACTCAAGTACGTAAACAGAAGCATTCTCAGAACCTTCTTCGTGATGCTTGCATTCAACTCACAGTGTTGAACCTTTCTCTGACAGTTCAGGTTTGAAACACTCCTTCTGCAGAATCTGCAAGTGGAGATTTGGACCTCTTTGAGGCCTATCGTAGTAAAGGAAAGAACTTCATCTAAAAACAAGACAGAAGCATTCTCAGAAAATTCTTTGCGATGATTGAGTTTAACTCACAGAGCTGAGCATATCTTTTGATGGCGCATTTTCAAGACACACCTTTTTTAGAATATGCAAGTGGATTTTGGGACTTCTCTGAGAATTTCGTTGGAATCGGGATAAACCTCACATAACTGAAGAGGAACATTCTCAGAACTTCTTGGTGACGTTGGCATTCAACTGACAGAGTTGAACCTTCCCTTGTGAGTTCAGGTTGAAACGCTCTTTTCGTAGTATCTGCAAGTGGAGGTTTGGAACGCTTTGACGCCTACGGTAGTAAAGGAAACAGCTTCATGTAAAAACTGGACAGAAGCATTCTCAGAAAGTACTTTGGGATGATTGACTTCAACTCACAGAGCTGAACATTCCTTTGGATAGAGCAGTTTCCAAACACACTTTGTGTAGAATCTGCAAGTGGAGATTTGGACCGCTCTGAGGATTTCGTTGGATACGGGAGAAAACTCACCTACGTAAACAGAAGCATTCTCAGAACCTTCTTCGTGATGCTTGCATTCAACTCACAGTGTTGAATCTTTCTCTGACAGTTCTGGTTTGAAACACTCCTTCTGCAGAATCTGCAAGTGGAGATTTGGACCTCTTTGTTGCCTATCGTAGTAAAGGAAAGAACTTCATCTAAAAACAAGACAGAAGCATTCTCAGAAAATTATTTGTGATGATTGAGTTTAACACACAGACCTGAGCATATCTTTTGATGGCGCATTTTCCAAACACACCTTTTGTAGAATATGCAAGTGGATTTTGGGACTTCTCTGAGAATTTCGTTGGAATCGGGATAAACCTCCCATAACTGAAGAGGAACATTCTCAGAACTTCTTGGTGACGTTGGCATTCAACTGACAGAGTTGAACCTTCCCTTGTGAGTTCAGGTTGAAACGCTCTTTTCGTAGTATCTGCAAGTGGAGGTTTGGAACGCTTTGAGGCCTACGGTAGTAAAGGAAACAGCTTCATGTAAAAACTGGACAGAAGCCTTCTCAGAAAATACTTTGGGATGATTGAGTTCAACTCACAGAGCTGAACATTCCTTTGGGTGGAGCAGTTTTGAAACACACTTTTTGTAGACTCTGCAGGTGGATATTTGGACCTCTCTGAGGATTTCGTTGGAAACGGTATAACGTCACATAACTAAACAGAAGCTTTCGCAGAAACATCCTTCTGAAGTTGGCTTTCAAAGTCCCGAGTTGAGCCTTCCTTTGGTAGTTCACGTTTGAAACACTCTTTTTGGAGGACCTGCAAGTGGATATTTGGAGCACTTTGTGGCCTTCGTTCGAAACGACTATATCTTCACATAAAATCTAGACAGAAGCCTTCTCAGAAACTCCTCTGTGATGATTGCACGCAACTCACAGAGTTGAACATTCCTTTTGATAGAGCAGTTTTGAAACTCTCTAGTTTTGCTGGCATCTGCAAATGGATAGGTGGAACTCTGTGAAGATTTCTTTGGAAACGGGAATATCCTCACGTAAAAAGTAAACAGAAGCATTCTCAGAAACTCCTTTGTGAGGCTTGTGTTCAACTCCCAGAGTATAACATTTCTTTTCATAGAGCAGTTTTGAAACTTTCTTTTCGTAGAGCCTCCAAGTGGACATTTGGAGCGCTTTCAGGCCTGTGTTGGAAAAGAAAATATCTTCACATAAAAACTAGAGAGAAGCATGGTCAGAAACCTCTTGGTGATGATTGCATTCAACTCACGGAGCTGAGGATTCCTTTTGATGCAGCAGTTTGGAAACACTCTTTCGGTGGAATCTGCAAGCGGATATGTGGACCTCTTTGAACATTTCGATGGAAAAGGGATAATCTTCCCATAAAAGCTAAACGGAAGCATGCTCAGGAACTTCCTTGTGATGTTTGCATTCAACTCACAGAGTTGTACTTTCCTTTTGATAGAGCAGCTTTGAAACCCTCTCTTTCTAGCATCTGCAAGGGGACATTTGGAGGGCTTTGAGGCCTGGGGTGGAAAAGGAAATATCTTGTCATCAAAGCTACATGGAAGCATTCTCAGAAGCTGCTTTGTGATGATTGCATTCAAGTCACCGAGTTGAACATTCCCTTTGATGGAGCCGTTTGGAAACATACTTTTGGTAGGATCTGAAAGGGGAGATTTGGACCGCATTGAGGCCTATGGCAGTAGAGGATATAACTGCACATAAAAACGGGACAGGAGCATTCCCAGGAAACACTTTGTGACGATTGAGTACAACTCACAGAGCTGAACATTCCTTTGGATGGAGCAGTTTCCAAACACACTTTGTGTAGAATCTGCAAGTGGAGATTTGGACCGCTCTGAGGATTTCGTTGGATTTGGGAGAAAAGTCACCTACGTAAACAGAAGCATTCTCAGAACCTTCTTCGTGAAGCTTGCATTCAACTCACAGTGTTGAACCTTTCTCTGACAGTTCAGGTTTGAAACACTCCTGCAGAATCTGCAAGTGGAGATTTGGACCTCTTTGAGGCCTATCGTAGTAAAGGAAAGAACTTCATCTAAAAACAAGACAGAAGCATTCTCAGAAAATTCTTTGCGATGATTGAGTTTAACTCACAGAGCTGAGCATATCTTTTGATGGCGCATTTTCAAAACACACCTTTTGTAGAATATGCAAGTGGATTTTGGGACTTCTCTGAGAATTTCGTTGGAAACGGGATAAACCTCACATAACTGAAGAGGAACATTCTCAGAACTTCTTTGTGATGTTGGCATTCAACTGACAAAGTTGAACCTTCCCTTGTGAGTTCAGGTTGAAACGCTCTTTTCGTACTATCTGCAAGTGGAGATTTGGAACGCTTTGAGGCCTACGGTAGTAAAGGAAACAGCTTCATGTAAAAACTGGACAGAAGCATTCTCAGAAAATACTTTGGGATGATTGAGTTCAACTCACAGAGCTGAACATTCCTTTGGGTGGAGCAGTTTTGAAACACACTTTTTGTAGACTCTGCAGGTGGATATTTGGACCTCTCTGAGGATTTCGTTGGAAACGGGATAACGTCACCTAACTAAACAGAAGCTTTCGCAAAAACATCTTTCTGACGTTGGCATTCAAAGTCCAGAGTTGAGCCTTCCTTTGGTAGTTCACGTTTGAAACACTCTTTTTGGAGGACCTGCAAGTGGATATTTGGAGCACTTTGTGGCCTTCGTTCGAAACGGCTATATCTTCACATAAAATCTAGACAGAAGCCTTCTCAGAAACTTCTCTGTGATGATTGCATGCAACTCACAGAGTTGAACATTCCTTTTGATAGAGCAGTTTTGAAACTGTCTTTTGCTAGCATCTGCAAATGGATAGGTGGAACTCTGTGAAGACTTCTTTGGAAACGGGAATATCCTCACGTAAAAAGTAAACAGAAGCATTCTCAGAAACTCCTTTGTGAGGCTTGTGTTCAACTCCCAGAGTATAACATTGCTTTTCATAGAGCAGTTTTGAAACATTCTTTTCGTAGAGCGTCCAGGTGGACATTTGGAACGCTTTCAGGCCTGTGTTGGAAAAGGAAATATCTTCACATAAAAACTAGAGAGAAGCATTGTCAGAAACCTCTTGGTGATGATTGCATTCAACTCACGGAGCTGAGGATTCCTTTTGATGCAGCAGTTTGGAAACACTCTTTCGGTGGAATCTGCAAGCGGATATGTGGACCTCTTTGAACATTTTGATGGAAAAGGGATAATCTTCCCGTAAAAGCTAAACGGAAGCATGCTCAGGAACTTCCTTGTGATGTTTGCATTCAACTCACAGAGTTGTACTTTCCTTTTGATAGAGCAGCTTTGAAACCCTCTCTTTCTAGCATCTGCAAGGGGACATTTGGAGGGCTTCGAGGCCTGGGGTGGAAAAGGAAATATCTTCTCATCAAAGCTACATGGAAGCATTCTCAGAAGCTGCTTTGTGATGATTGCATTCAAGTCACCGAGGTCAACATTCCCTTTGATGGAGCCGTTTGGAAACACACTTTTGGTAGAAACTGAAAGGGGAGATTTGGACCGTTTTGGGGCCTATTGCAGTAGAGGATATAACTGCACATAAAAACGAGACAGGAGCATTCCCAGGAAACACTTTGTGACGATTGAGTTCAATTCACAGAGCTGAACATTCCTTTGGATGGAGCAGTTTCCAAACACACTTTGTGTAGAATCTGCAAGTGGAGATTTGGACCGCTCTGAGGATTTCGTTGGATACGGGAGAAAACTCACCTATGTAAACAGAAGCATTCTCAGAACCTTCTTCGTGATGCTTGCATTCAACTCACAGTGTTGAACCTTTCTCTGATAGTTCAGGTTTGAAACACTCCTTCTGCAGAATCTGCAAGTGGAGATTTGGACCTCTTTGAGGCCTATCGTAGTAAAGGAAAGAACTTCATCTAAAAACAAGACAGAAGCATTCTCAGAAAATTCTTTGTGATGATTGAGTTTAACTCACAGAGCTGAGCATATCTTTTGATGGATACGGGAGAAAACTCACCTGTATAAACAGAAGCATTCTCAGAACCTTCTTCGTGATGCTTGCATTCAACTCACAGTGTTCAAACTTTCTCTGATAGTTCAGGTTTTAAACACTCCTTCTGCAGAATCTGCAAGTGGAGATTTGGACCTCTTTGAGGCCTATCGTAGTAAAGGATGTAACCTCATCTAAAAACAAAACAGAAGCATTCTCAGAGAATTCTTTGTGACGATTGAGTTTAACATACAGAGCTGAGCATATCTTTTGATGGAGCATTTTCAAAACACACTTTTTGTAGAATATCCAAGTGGATATTTGGACATCTCTGAGAATTTCGTGGGAAACGGGATAAACCTCACATAACTGAAGAGAAACATTCTCAGAACTTCTTTGTGATGTTGGCATTCAACTGACAGAGTTGAACCTTCCCTTGTGAGTTCAGGTTGAATCGCTCTTTTCGTAGTATCTGCAAGTGGAGATTTGGAACGCTTTGAGGCCTACGGTAGTAAAGGAAACAGCTTCATGTAAAAACTGGACAGAAGCATTCTCAGAAAATACTTTGGGATGATTGAGTTTAACTCACAGAGCTGAACATTCCTTTGGGTGGAGCAGTTTTGAAACACACTTTTTGTAGACTCTGCAGGTGGATATTTGGACCTCTCTGAGGATTTCGTTGGAAACGGGATAACGTCACCTAACTAAACACAAGCTTTCGCAGAAACATCCTTCTGACGTTGGCATTCAAAGTCCAGAGTTGAGCCTTCCTTTGGTAGTTCACGTTTGAAACACTCTTTTTGGAGGACCTGCAAGTGGATATTGGGAGCGCTTTGTGGCCTTCGTTCGAAACGGCCATATCTTCACATAAAATCTAGACAGAAGCCTTCTCAGAAACTTCTCTGTGATGATTGCATGCAACTCACAGAGTTGAACATTCCTTTTGATGGAGCAGTTTTGAAACTGTCTTTTGCTAGCATCTGCAAATGGATAGGTGGAACTCTGTGAAGACTTCTTTGGAAACGGGAATATCCTCACGTAAAAAGTAAACAGAAGCATTCTCAGAAACTCCTTTGTGAGGCTTGTGTTCAACTCCCAGAGTATAACATTGCTTTTCATAGAGCAGTTTTGAAACATTCTTTTCGTAGAGCCTCCAAGTGGACATTTGGAGCGCTTTCAGGCCTGCGGTGGAAAAGGAAATATCTTCACATAAAAACTAGAGAGAAGCATTGTCAGAAACTTCTTGGTGATGATTGCATTCAACTCACGGAGCTGAGGATTCCTTTTGATGCAGCAGTTTGGAAACACTCTTTCGGTGGAATCTGCAAGCGGATATGTGGACCTCTTTGAACATTTCGATGGAAAAGGGATAATCTTCCCATAAAAGCTAAACGGAAGCATGCTCAGGAACTTGTTTGTGATGTTTGCATTCAACTCACAGAGTTGTACTTTCCTTTTGATAGAGCAGCTTTGAAACCCTCTCTTTCTAGCATCTGCAAGGGGACATTTGGAGGGCTTCGAGGCCTGGGGTGGAAAAGGAAATGTCTTCTCATCAAAGCTACATGGAAGCATTCTCAGAAACTGGTTTGTGATGATTGCATTCAAGTCACCGAGTTGAACATTCCCTTTGATGGTTCCGTTTGGAAACACACTTTTGGTAGAATCTTAAAGGGGAGATTTGAACCGCTTTGAGGCCTATGGCAGTAGAGGATATAACTGCACATAAAAACGAGACAGGAGCATTCCCAGGAAACACTTTGTGACGATTGAGTTCAATTCACAGAGCTGAACATTCCTTTGGATGGAGCAGTTTCAAAACACACTTTTTGTAGAATCTGCAAGTGGAGATTTGGACCGCTCTGAGGATTTCATTGGATACGGGAGAAAACTCACCTATGTAAACAGAAGCATTCTCAGAACCTTCTTCGTGATGCTTGCATTCAACTCACAGTGTTCAAACTTTCTCTGATAGTTCAGGTTTTAAACACTCCTTCTGCAGAATCTGCAAGTGGAGATTTGGACCTCTTTGAGGCCTATCGTAGTAAAGGATATAACCTCATCTAAAAACAAGACAGAAGCATTCTCAGAAAATACTTTGTGATGATTGAGTTTAACACACAGAGCTGAGCATATCTTTTGATGGAGCATTTTGAAAACACACCTTTTGTAGAATATGCAAGTGGATTTTGGGACTTCTCTGAGAATTTCGTTGGAAACGGGATAAACCTCACATAACTGAAGAGGAACATTCTCAGAAGTTCTTGGTGACGTTGGCATTCAACTGACAGAGTTGAACCTTCCCTTGTGAGTTCAGGTTGAAACGCTCTTTCCGTACTATCTGCAAGTGGAGGTTTGGAACGCTTTGAAGCCTACGGTAGTAAAGGAAACAGCTTCATGTAAAAACTGGACAGAAGCCTTCTCAGAAAATACTTTGGGATGATTGAGTTCAACTCACAGAGCTGAACCTTCCTTTGGGTTGAGCAGTTTTGAAACACACTTTTTGTAGACTCTGCAGGTGGATATTTGGACCTCTCTGAGGATTTCGTTGGAAACGGGATAACGTCACCTAACTAAACAGAAGCTTCCGCAGAAACATCCTTCTGACGTTGGTCTTCAAAGTCCCGAGTTGAGCCTTCCTTTGGTAGTTCACGTTTGAAACACTCTTTTTGGAGGACCTGCAAGTGGATATTTGGAGCACTTTGTGGCCTTCGTTCGAAACGGCTATATCTTCACATAAAATCTAGACAGAAGCCTTCTCAGAAACTTCTCTGTGATGATTGCACGCAACTCACAGAGTTGAACATTCCTTTTGATAGAGCAGTTTTGAAACTCTCTAGTTTTGCTGGCATCTGCAAATGGATAGGTGTAACTCTGTGAAGACTTCTTTGGAGACGGGAATATCCTCACGTAAAAAGTAAACAGAAGCATTCTCAGAAACTCCTTTGTGAGGCTTGTGTTCAACTCCCAGAGTATAACATTGCTTTTCATAGAGCAGTTTTGAAACATTCTTTTCGTAGAGCCTCCAAGTGGACATTTGGAGCGCTTTCAGGCCTGTGGTGGAAAAGGAAATATCTTCACATAAAAACTAGAGAGAAGCATTGTCAGAAACTTCTTGGTGATGATTGCATTCAACTCACGGAGCTGAGGATTCCTTTTGATGCAGCAGTTTGGAAACACTCTTTCGGTGGAATCTGCAAGCGGATATGTGGACCTCTTTGAACATTTCGATGGAAAAGGGATAATCTTCCCGTAAAAGCTAAACGGAAGCATGCTCAGGAACTTCCTTGTGATGTTTGCATTCAACTCACAGCGTTGTACTTTCCTTTTGATAGAGCAGCTTTGAAACACCCTCTTTCTAGCATCTGCAAGGGGACATTTGGAGGGCTTCGAGGCCTGGGGTGGAAAAGGAAATATCTTCTCATCAAAGCTACATGGAAGCATTCTCAGAAGCTGCTTTGGGATGATTGCATTCAAGTCACCGAGTTGAACATTCCCTTTGATGGAGCCGTTTGGAAACACACTTTTGGTAGAATCTGAAAGGGGAGATTTGGACCGCTTTGAGGCCTATGGCAGTAGAGGATATAACTGCACATAAAAAGGAGACAGGAGCATTCCCAGGAAACACTTTGTGACGATTGAGTTCAATTCACAGAGCTGAACATTCCTTTGGATGGAGCAGTTTCAAAACACACTTTTTGTAGAATCTGCAAGTGGAGATTTGGACCGCTCTGAGGATTTCATTGGATACGGGAGAAAACTCACCTATGTAAACAGAAGCATTCTCAGAACCTTCTTCGTGATGCTTGCATTCAACTCACAGTGTTGAACCTTTCTCTGATAGTTCAGGTTTGAAACACTCCTTCTGCAGAATCTGCAAGTGGAGATTTGGACCTCTTTGAGGCCTATCGTAGTAAAGGAAAGAACTTCATCTAAAAACAAGACAGAAGCATTCTCAGAAAATTCTTTGTGATGATTGAGTTTAACTCACAGAGCTGAGCATATCTTTTGATGGATACGGGAGAAAACTCACCTATATAAACAGAAGCATTCTCAGAACCTTCTTCGTGATGCTTGCTTTCAACTCACAGTGTTCAACCTTTCTCTGATAGTTCAGGTTTTAAACACTCCTTCTGCAGAATCTGCAAGTGGAGATTTGAACCTCTTTGAGGCCTATCGTAGTAAAGGATGTAACCTCATCTAAAAACAAGACAGAAGCATTCTCAGAAAATTCTTTGTGATGATTGAGTTTAACAAACAGAGCTGAGCATATCTTTTGATGGAGCATTTTCAAAACACACTTTTTGTAGAATCTCCAAGTGGATATTTGGACTTCTCTGAGAATTTCGTTGGAAACGGGATAAACCTCACATAACTGAAGAGAAACATTCTCAGAATTCTTTGTGATGTTGGCATTCAACTGACAGAGTTGAACCTTCCCTTGTGAGTTCAGGTTGAATCGCTCTTTTCGTAGTATCTGCAAGTGGAGATTTGGAACGCTTTGAGGCCTACGGTAGTAAAGGAAACAGCTTCATGTAAAAACTGGACAGAAGCATTCTCAGAAAATACTTTGGGATGATTGAGTTTAACTCACAGAGCTGAACATTCCTTTGGGTGGAGCAGTTTTGAAACACACTTTTTGTAGACTCTGCAGGTGGATATTTGGACCTCTCTGAGGATTTCGTTGGAAACGGGATAACGTCACCTAACTAAACAGAAGCTTTCGCAGAAAAATCTTTCTGACGTTTGCATTCAAAGTCCAGAGTTGAGCCTTCCTTTGGTAGTTCACGTTTGAAACACTCTTTTTGGAGGACATGCAAGTGGATATTTGGAGCACTTTGTGGCCTTCGTTCGAAACGGCTATATCTTCACATAAAATCTAGACAGAAGCCTTCTCAGAAACTTCTCTGTGATGATTGCATGCAACTCACAGAGTTGAACATTCCTTTTGATAGAGCAATTTTGAAACTCTCTTTTGCTAGCATCTGCAAATGGATAGGTGGAACTCTGTGAAGACTTCTTTGGAAACGGGAATATCCTCACGTAAAAAGTAAACAGAAGCATTCTCAGAAACTCCTTTGTGGGGCTTGTGTTCAACTCCCAGAGTATAACATTGCTTTTCATAGAGCAGTTTTGAAACATTCTTTTCGTAGAGCATCCAGGTGGACATTTGGAACGCTTTCAGGCCTGTGTTGGAAAAGGAAATATCTTCACATAAAAACTAGAGAGAAGCATTGTCAGAAACCTCTTGGTGATGATTGCATTCAACTCACGGAGCTGAGGATTCCTTTTGATGCAGCTGTTTGGAAACACTCTTTCGGTGGAATCTGCAAGCGGATATGTGGACCTCTTTGAACATTTCGATGGAAAAGGGATAATCTTCCCGTAAAAGCTAAACGGAAGCATGCTCAGGAACTTCTTTGTGAAGTTTGCATTCAACTCACAGAGTTGTACTTTCCTTTTGATAGAGCAGCTTTGAAACCCTCTCTTTCTAGCATCTGCAAGGGGACATTTGGAGGGCTTCGAGGCCTGGGGTGGAAAAGGAAATATCTTCTCATAAAAGCTACATGGAAGCATTCTCAGAAACTGGTTTGTGATGATTGCATTCAAGTCACCGAGTTGAACATTCCCTTTGATGGAGCCGTTTGGAAACACACTTTTGGTAGAATCTGAAAGGGGAGATTTGGACCGCTTTGAGGCCTATGGCAGTAGAGGATATAACTGCACATAAAAAGGAGACAGGAGCATTCCCAGGAAACACTTTGTGACGATTGAGTTCAATTCACAGAGCTGAACATTCCTTTGGATGGAGCAGTTTCAAAACACACTTTTTGTAGAATCTGCAAGTGGAGATTTGGACCGCTCTGAGGATTTCATTGGATACGGGAGAAAACTCACCTATGTAAACAGAAGCATTCTCAGAACCTTCTTCGTGATGCTTGCATTCAACTCACAGTGTTGAACCTTTCTCTGATAGTTCAGGTTTGAAACACTCCTTCTGCAGAATCTGCAAGTGGAGATTTGGACCTCTTTGAGGCCTATCGTAGTAAAGGAAAGAACTTCATCTAAAAACAAGACAGAAGTATTCTCAGAAAATTCTTTGTGATGATTGAGTTTAACTCACAGAGCTGAGCATATCTTTTGATGGATACGGGAGAAAACTCACGTATGTAAACAGAAGCATTCTCAGAACCTTCTTCCTGATGCTTGCATTCAACTCACAGTGTTGAAGCTTTCTCTGATAGTTCAGGTTTTAAACACTCCTTCTGCAGAATCTGCAAGTCGAGATTTGGACCTCTTTGAGGCCTATCGTAGTAAATGAAAGAACTTCATCTAAAAACAAGACAGAAGCATTCTCAGAAAATTCTTTCTGATGATTGGGTTTAACTCACAGAGCTGAGCATATCTTTTGATGGATACGGGAGAAAACACACCTATGTAAACAGAAGCATTCTCAGAACCTTCTTCGTGATGCTTGCATTCAACTCACAGTGTTGAACCTTTCTCTGATAGTTCAGGTTTTAAACACTCCTTCGGCAGAATCTGCAAGTGGAGATTTGGACCTCTTTGAGGCCTATCGTAGTAAAGGAAAGAACTTCATCTAAAAACAAGACAGAAGCATTCTGAGAAAATTCTTTGTGATGATTGAGTTTAACTCACACAGCTGAGCATATCTTTTGATGGATACGGGAGAAAACTCACCTATATAAACAGAAGCATTCTCAGAACCTTCTTCGTGATGCTTGCATTCAACTCACAGTGTTCAACCTTTCTCTGATAGTTCAGGTTTTAAACACTCCTTCTGCAGAATCTGCAAGTGGAGATTTGGACCTCTTTGAGGCCTATCGTAGTAAAGGAAAGAACTTCATCTAAAAACAAGACAGAAGCATTCTCAGAAAATTCTTTGTGATGATTGAGTTTAACACACAGAGCTCAGCATATCTTTTGATGGAGCATTTTCAAAACACACTTTTTGTAGAATATCCAAGTGGATATTTGGACTTCTCTGAGAATTTCGTTGGAAACGGGATAAACCTCACATAGCTGAGGAGAAACATTCTCAGAACTTCTTTGTAATGTTGGCATTCAAATGACAGAGTTGAACCTTCCCTTGTGAGTTCAGGCTGAATCGCTCTTTTCGTAGTATCTGCAAGTGGAGATTTGGAACGCTTTGAGGCCTACGGTAGTAAAGGAAACAGCTTCATGTAAAAACTGGACAGAAGCATTCTCAGAAAATACTTTGTGATGATTGAGTTTAACTCACAGAGCTGAACATTCCTTTGGGTGGAGCAGTTTTGAAACACACTTTTTGTAGACTCTGCAGGTGGGTATTTGGACCTCTCTGAGGATTTCGTTGGAAACGGGATAACGTCACCTAACTAAACAGAAGCTTTCGCAGAAACATCTTTCTGACGTTTGCATTGAAAGTCCAGAGTTGAACCTTCCTTTGATAGTTCACGTTTGAAACACTCTTTTTGGAGGACCTGCAAGTGGACATTTGGAGCACTTTGTGGCCTTCGTTCGAAACAGGTATATCTTCACATAAAATCTAGACAGAAGCCTTCTCAGAAACTTCTCTGTGATGATTGCATTCAACTCACAGATTTGAACATTTCTTTTGACAGAGCAGTTTTGAAACTCTCTTTTTCTAGCATCTGCAAATGGATACGTGGAACTCTGTGAAGATTTCTTTGGAAACGGGAATATCCTCACGTAAAATGTAAACAGAAGCCTTCTCGGAAACTACTTTGGGAGGCTTGTGTTCAACTCCCAGAGTATAACATTGCTTTTCATAGAGCAGTTTTGAAACATTCTTTTCGTAGATTCTCCAAGTGGACATTTGGAGCGCTTTCAGGCCTGTGGTGGAAAAGGAAATATCTTCACATAAAAACTAGAGAGAAGCATTGTCAGAAACTTCTTTGTGATGATTGCATGGAACTCACGGAGTTGAGGATTCCTTTTGATACAGCAGTTTGGAAACACACTTTCGGTGGAATCTGCAAGCGGATATGCGGACCTCTTTGAACATTTCGATGGAAAAGGGATAATCTTTCCATAAAAGCTAAACGGAAGCATGCTCAGGAACTTCTTTTTGATGTTTGCATTCAACTCACAGAGTTGTACTTTCCTTTTGATAGAGCAGCTTTGAAACCCTCTCTTTCTGGCATCTGCAAGGGGACATTTGGAGGGCTTCGAGGCCTGGGGTGGAAAAGGAAATATCTTCTCATAAAAGCTACATGGAAGCATTCTCAGAAACTGCTTTGTGATGATTGCATTCAAGTCACAGAGTTGAACATTCCCTTTGATAGAGCCATTTGGAAACACACTTTTGGTAGAATCTGAAAGGGGAGATTTGGACCGCTGTGAGGCCTATGGCAGTAGAGGATATAACTGCACATAAAAACTAGACAGTAGCATTCCCAGGAAACACTTTTTGACGATTGAGATCAACTCACAGAGCTGAACATTCCTTTGGATGGAGCAGTTTCAAAACACACTTTTTGTAGAATCTGCAAGTGGATATTTGGACCTCTCTGAGGATTTCATTGGATAAGGTAGAAAACTCACCTATCTAAACAGAAGCATTCTCAGAACCTCCTTCGTGATGCTTGCATTCAACTCACAGTGTTGAACCTTTCTCTCATAGTTCAGGTTTGAAACACTCCTTCTGCAGAATCTGCAAGTGGAGATTTGGACCACTTTGAGGCCTATCGTAGTAAAGGAGAGAACTTCATCTAAAAACTAGACAGAAGCATTCTCAGAAAATTCTTTGTGATGATTGAGTTTAACTCACAGAGCTGAGCATATCTTTTGATGGAGCATTTTCAAAACACACTTTTTGTAGATTATGCAAGTGGATATTTGGACATCTCTGAGAATTTCGTTGGAAACGGTATAAACCTCACATAACTGAAGAGAAGCATTCTGAGAACTTCTTTGTGATGTTGGTATTCAACTGACAGAGTTGAACCTTCCCTTGTGAGTTCAGGTTGAATCGCTCTTTTCGTAGTATCTGCAAGTGGAGATTTGGAATGCTTTGAGGATTACGGTAGTAAAGGAAACAGCTTCATGTAAAAACTGGACAGAAGCATTCTCAGAAAATACTTTGGGATGATTGAGTTTAACTCACAGAGCTGAGCATTCCTTTGGGTGGAGCAGTTTTGAAACACACTTTTTGTAGACTCTGCAGGTGGATATTTGGACCTCTCTGAGGATTTCTTTGGAAACGGGATAACGTCACCTAACTAAACAGAAGCTTTCGCAGAAACATCTTTCTGACGTTTGCATTCAAAGTCCAGAGTTGAACCTTCCTTTGATAGTTCACGTTTGAAACACTCTTGTTGGAGGACCTGCAAGTGGATATTTGGAGCACTTTGTGGTCTTCGTTCGAAACGGGTATATCTTCACATAAAATCTAGACAGAAGCCTTCTCAGAAACTTCTCTGTGATGATTGCATTCAACTCACAGAGTTGAACAGTCCTTTTGATAGAGCAGTTTTGAAACTCTCTTTTTCTAGCATCTGCAAATGGATAGGTGGAACTCTGTGAAGACTTCTTTGCAAACGGGAATATCTTCACGTAAAAAGTAAACAGAAGCATTTTCAGAAACTCCTTTGTGAGGCTTGTGTTCAACTCCCAGAGTAGAACATTGCTTTTCATAGAGCAGTTTTGAAACATTCCTTTCGTAGGGTCTGCAAGTGGACATTTTGAGCGCTTTCAGGCCTGCGGTGGAAAAGGAAATATCTTCACATAAAAACTAGAGAGAAGCATTGTCAGAAACTTCTTTGTGATGATTGCATTCACCTCACTGAGTTGAACATTCGTTTTGATACAGCAGTTTGGAATCACTCTTTCGGTGGAATCTGCAAGCTGATATTTGGACCTCTTTGAAGATTTCGATGGAAAAGGGATAATCTTCCCATAAAAGCTAAACGGAAACATTCTCAGAAACTTCTTTGTGATGTTTGCATTCAACTCACAGAGTTGTACTTTCCTTTAGATAGAGCCGCTTTGAAACCCTCTCTTTCTAGAACCTGCAAGTGGACATTTGGAGGGCTTCGCGGCCTGTGGTGGAAAAGGAAATATCTTCCCATAAAAGCTAGATGGAAGCATTCTCAGAAACTACATTGTGATGATTGCATTCACGTCACAGAGTTGAACACTCCGTTTGATAGAGCCGTTTGGAAACACACTTTTGGTAGAATCTGCAAGGGGAGATTTGGACCGTTTGAGGCGTACGGCCATAGAGGAAATAACTACATATAAAAACTAGACAGTAGCATTCCCAGGAAACACTTTGTGACGATTGAGTTCAACTCACAGAGCTGAACATTCCTTTGGATGGAGCAGTTTTGAAACACACTTTTTGTAGAATCTGCAAATGGATATTTGGACCTCTCTGAGGATTTCGTTGGAAACGGGATAACGTCCCCTAACTAAACAGAAGGTTTCGCAGAAACTACTTTGTGATGTTTGCATTCAAAGCCCAGAGTTGAACCTTCCTTTGATAGTTCACGTTTGAAACACTCTTTTTGCAGGATCTGCAAGTGGATATTTGGAGCCCTTTGTGGCCTTCATTCGAAACGGTTATATCTTCACATAAAATCTAGACAGAAGCCTTCTCAGAAACTTCTCTGTGATGATTGCATGCAACTCACAGTGTTGAACATTCCTTTTGATAGAACAGTTTTGAAACTCTCTTTGTGTAGAATCTGCAAGTGGATATGTGGACCTCTGTGAAGATTTCCTTGGAAACAAGAATATCTTCACATAAAAAGTAAACAGAAGCATTCTCAGAAACTTCTTTGTGAGGCTTGTGTTCAACTCCCAGAGTTTAACATTGCTCTTCATAGAGCAGTTTTGAAACATTCTTTTTGTAATGTCTGCAAGTGGACATTTAGAGCGCTTTCAGGCCTGTTGTGGCAAAGGAAATATCTTCACATAAAAACTAGAGAGAAGCATTGTCAGAAACTTCTTTGTGATGATTGCATTCAACTCACGGAGTTGAAGATTCCTTTTGATACAGCAGTTTGGAAACACTCTTTCGGTGGAATCTGCAGGCGGATATTTGGACCTCTTTGAAGATTTCGATGGAAAAGGGATAATCTTCCGAAAAGCTAAACGAAAGCATTCTCAGAAACTTCTTTGTGATGTTTGCATTCAACTCACAGAGTTGTACTTTCCTTTTGATAGAGCAGCTTTGAAACCCTCTCTTTCTAGAATCTGCAAGTGGACATTTGGAGGGCTTCGAGGCATGTGGTCGAAAAGGAAATATCTTTTCATAAAAGCTACATGGAAGAATTCTCAGAACCTACTTTGTGATGATTGCATTCAAGTCACAGAGTTGAACATTCCGTTTGATAGAGCCGTTTGCAAACACACTTTTGGTAGAATCTGAAAGGGGAGATTGGGACCGCTTTCTGGCCTACGGCAGCAGAGGAAATAACTACATATAAAAACAAGACAGTAGCATTCTCAGGAAACACTTTGTGACCATTAAGTTCAACTCACCTTGCTGAACATTCCTTTGGATGGAGCAGTTTCGAAACACACTTTTTGTAGAATCTGCAAGTGGATATTTGGACCTCTCTGAGGATTTCGTTGGAAACGGGATAAACCTCTCTTATCTAAACAGAAGCATTCTCAGAACCTTTTTCCTGATGTTTGCATTCAACTCACAGTGTTGAACATTGCTCTGATAGTTCAGGTTTGAAACACACTTTCTGTAGAATCTGCAAGTGGAGATTTGGACCTCTTTGAGGCCTATCGTAGTAAGGGAAATAACTTCATCGTAAAACAAGACAGAAGCATTCTCAGAAACTTCTTTGTGATGTTGTCATTCAACTCACAGGTTTGAACCTTCTCTTGTGAGTTCAGGTTGAAACTCTCTTTTTGTAGAATCTGCAAGTGGAGATTTGGACCACTTGGAGTCCTACGGTAGTAAAGGAAATAGCTTCATCTAAAAACTGGACAGAAGCATTCTTAGAAAATTCTTTCTGATGATTGAATTTAACTCACAGAGCACAACATGCCTTTGGATGGAGCAGTTTTGAAACACACTTTTTGTAGAATCTGCAAGTGGATATTTGGACCTCTCTGAGGATTTCGTTGGAAACGGGATAACGTCACCTAACTAAACAGAAGCTTTCGCAGAAACTTCTTTGTGATGTTTGCATTCAAAGCCCAGAGTTGAACCTTCCTTTGATAGTTCACTTTTGAAACACTCTTTTTGAAGGATCTGCAAGTGGATATTTGGAGCACTTTGTGGCCTTCGTTCGAAACGGGTATATCTTCACATAAAATCTAGACAGAAGCCTTCTCAGAAACTTCTCTGTGATGATTGCATGCAACTCACAGAGTTGAACATTCCTTTTGATAGAGCAGTTTTGAAACTCTCTTTTTGTAGAATCCGCAAGTGGATATGTGGACCTCTGTGAAGATTTCTTTGGAAACGGGAATATCTTCACATAAAAAGTAAACCGAAGCATTCTCAGAAACTTCTTTGTGAGGCTTGTGTTCAACTCCCAGAGTTTAACATTGCTTTTCAGAGAGCAGTTTTGAAACATTCCTTTCGTAGAGTCTGCAAGTGGACATTTGGAGCGCTTTCAGGCCTGATATCTTCACATAAAATCTAGAGAGAAGCATTGTCAGAAACTTCTTTGGATTGATTGCATTCAACTCACGGAGCTGAAGATTCCTTTTGATACAGCAGTTTGGAATCACTCTTTCGGTGGAATCTGCAAGTGGATATTTGGACCTCTTTGAAGATTTCGATGGAAAAAGGATAATCTTCCCATAAAAGCTAAACGGAAGCATTCTCAGAAACTTCTTTGTGATGTTTGCATTCAACTCACAGAGTTGTACTTTCCTTTTCATAGAGCAGCTATGAAACCCTCTCTTTCTAGAATCTGTAAGTGGACATTTGGAGGGCTTCGAAGCCTGTGGTGGAAAAGGAAATATCTTCTCATAAAAGCTAGATGGAAGCATTCTCAGAAACTACTTTGTGATGATTGCATTCAAGTCACAGAGTTTAACATTCCCTTTGATAGAGCCGTTTGGAAACACACTTTTGGTAGAATCTGCAAGGGGAGATTTGGACCGCTTTGAGGCCTATGGCAGTAGAGGATATAACTGCACATATGAAAACTAGACAGTAGCATTCTCAGGAAACAATTTGTGACGATTGAGTTCAACTCACAGAGGTGAACATTCCTTTGGATGGAGCAGTTTTGAAACACAGTTTTTGTAGAATCTGCAAGTGGATATTTGGACCTCTCTGAGGATATCGTTGGAAACGGGATAAACCTCACCTATCTAAACAGAAGCATTCTCAGAACCTTCTTCGTGATGTTTGCATTCAACTCACAGTGTTGATCCTTTCTCTGATAATTCAGGTTTGAAACACTCTTTCTGTAGAATCTGCAAGTGGAGATTTGGACCTCTTTGAGGCCTATCGTGGTAAAGGAAATAACTTCATCTAAAAACAAGACAGAAGCATTCTCAGAAAATTCTTTGTGATGTTGGCATTCCACTCACAGGGTTGAACCTTCCTTTCTGAGTTCTGGTTGAAACACTCTTTTTGTAGAATCTGCAAGTGGAGATTTGGACTGCTTGGAGGCCTACGGTAGTAAAGGAAATAGCTTCATGTAAAAACTGGACAGAAGCATTCTCAGAAAATACTTTGTGATGATTGAATTTAACTCACAGATCTGAACGTGCCTTTGGATGGAGCAGTTTTGAAACACACTTTTTGTAGAATCTGCAAGTGGATATTTGGACCTCTCTGAGGATTTTGTTGGAAACGGGATAACATCATCTAACTAAACAGAAGCTTTCCCAGAAACTTCTTTGTAATGTTTGCATTCAAAGCCCAGAGTTGAACCTTCCTTTGTTAGTTCACGTTTGTAACACTCTTTTTGTAGGATCTGCATGTGGATATTTGGAGCACTTTGTGGCCTTCATTCGAAACGGGTATATCTTCACGTAAAATCTAGACGGAAGCCTTCTCAGAAACTGCTTTGTGATGATTGCATTCAACTCGCAGAGTTGAACATTCCTTTTGATACAGCAGTTTTGAAACTCTCTTTTTGTAGAATCTGCAAGTGGATATGTGGACCTCTGTGAAGATTTCTTTGGAAACGGGAATATCTTCACATAAAAAATAAACAGAAGCATTCTCAGAAACTTCTTTGTGAGGCTTGTGGTCAACTCCCAGAGTTTAACATTGCTTTTCATAGAGCAGTTTTGAAGCATTCTTTTCGTAGAGTCTGCAAGTGGACATTTACAGCGCTTTCAGGCCTGTGGTGGAAAAGGAAATATCTTCACATAAAAACTAGGGAGAAGCATTGTCAGAAACTTCTTTGTGATGATTGCATTGAACTCACGGAGTTGAAGATTCCTTTTGATACAGCAGTTTGGAATCACTCTTTCGGTGGAATCTGCAAGCGGATATTTGGACCTCTTTGAAGATTTCGATGGAAAAGGGATAATCTTCCCATAAAAGCTACACTGAAGTATTCTCAGAAACTTCTTTGTGGTGTTTGCATTCAACTCACAGAGTTGTACTTTCTTTTTGATAGAGCAGCCTTGAAACCCTCTCTTTCTAGAATCTGCAAATGGACATTTGGAGGGCTTCGAGGCCTGTGGTGGGAAAGGAAATATCTTCTCATAAAAGCTAGATGGAAGCATTCTCAGAAACTACTTTTTTGATGATTGCATTCAAGTCACAGAGTTGAACATTCCCTTTGATAGAGCCGTTTGGAAACACACTTTTGGTAGAATCTGAAAGGGGAGATTTGGACCGCTTTCAGGCCTACGGCAGCAGAGCAAATAACTACATATAAAAACAAGACAGTAGCATTCTCAGGAAACAATTTGTGACGATTGAGTTCAACTCACAGAGCTGAACATTCCTTTGGATGGAGCAGTTTCAAAACACACTTTTTGTAGAATCTGCAAGTGGATATTTGGACCTCTCTGAGGATTTCGTTGGAAACGGGAGAAACCTCACCTATCTAAACAGAAGCATTCTCAGAACCTTCTTCGTGATGTTTGCATTCAACTCACAGTGTTGAACCTTCCTCTGATAGTTCAGGTTTGAAACACTCTTTCTGTAGAATCTGCAAGTGGAGATTTGGACCTCTTTGAGGCCTATCGTAGTAAAGGAAATATCTTCATCTAAAAAGAAGACAGATGCATTCTCAGAAAATTCTTTGTGATGATTGAGTTTAACTCACAGAGCTGAGCATTCCTTTTGATGGAGCAGTTTCGAAACACACTTTTTTTAGAATATGCAAGTGGATATTTGGACTTCTCTGAGGATTTCATTGGAAACGGGATAAACCTCACTTAACTAAACAGAAGCATTCTCAGAAACTTCTTTGTGATGTTGGCATTCAACTCACAGATTTGAACCTTCCTTTGTGAGTTGAGGTTGAGACACTCTTTTTGTAGAATCTGCAAGTGGAGATTTGGACCGCTTTGGGGCCTACGGTAGTAAAGGAAATAGCTTCCTGTAAAAACTGGACAGAAGCATTCTCAGAAAATACTTTGTGACGATTGAGTTTAACTCATAGAGCTGAACATTCCTTTGCATGGAGCAGTTTTGAAACACACTTTTTGTAGAATCTGCAAGTGGATATTTCGACCTCTCTGAGGATTTCGTTGGAAATGGGATAACGTCACCTAACTAAACAGAAGCATTGGCAGAAACTTCTTTGGGATGTTTGCATTTTATGTTTGTTGAAATAGAGAGTTGATGACTGGAGCTCATTCAGGCATTTCAGTTCCTGAGGCGGAAGTCCTAGTCTGAGTATGATTGAACAGAAAGAGAGAGGAGCTTTGGTCCCTGATAATTTTATGAATTTCAACAGGATGCCTTTATCTTGATGTCTTTATATGAAAGCGAATCAATCTGTATCTTTCCTGGAAAGAGACAGAGAGAGACGGAGAGGGAGAGAGGGAGAGAGAGAGAAAGAGGGAGGGACCGAGAATATACATATATATGTTCTAGTGCTTCTGCTTACATTCCATTGAATGGACTTCTGCTTACACTTCTGATTACATTCCATTAAATAGAATTTAATCTTGTGGCTAACTCTAGCTCTGAGATAAATAAGAAAATGTAGTTTTTATTCTAATTATTTGTGAATACATCAGGGGTGCAATTTCCCAAAAAGAATAATTACTATGCTTTGGAGGAATATGAGTAGACTCCAACATAAGAAGCCATTGGGTGGTGTTGAGCACAGGCATGACACAAACTGATTTAGATCATGAAAGGATCCCTTGGACTGCTGCGTGACGAATGGAGGAGTCTAGAGTTGAAGCAGGTAGACCAGCTAGAAGTCTATGATAGCAATCTAAATTCTATGAAGGTCATCTTAGTAGTGGTTTAATAGACATGTAATTAGAAGATATTTGTTATAATGTTTACTTTGGAACTGGCCAAATATCAGTTACTGACCCTAGTTCCTGAAGTTTTTATTGCCTTGATTATTCACTTAATATTTACTTCAAAAAACAGTCAATAAAAAATGTAGAAATATTTTTCTGTACCCGTACTCTAATGAGATACTCATAGAAAGATAGAAGATTCATTCACTTCCATATATGTGTGTGTGTGCACACGCATGTGTGCGTTGGTATACATATATATTTCATTGATGCCTAATTCTAACTTTTCACAAAATTGAGAGGGAAATTTAAAATCTTCATGGCTTGTATGTTCCTACATGACTCAGCCCTTGGCTTTCTCTGTTATTTCCTAACCTTCATCCTCATTCATTCTAGTACAGCTATGCCAAACTTCTTGCTGCTCCTTAGAGCACACCACACCATAAGGTTGTCCTTTCTGCCCTTCAGACTGTAATGCTATTTCCCCAGATACTCACATAACTTTAGTCTGATCTCTGCTTGGATCTTTTCCAGAAATGCCTTCAAGTCATCAGATATTAAATAAAAGCACAAGTTAGTCTTTCTTTGCCTGTTACTTCTTTTGTGGTACTTATTAATCTCAGCTAATATATTATATATTTTATTTTTTACTTTATCTGTCTTCTCTGTTAGAAGGTAAGTTCCATGAGGGTAGGCACTTCAATTTGTTTACCATGCTATCTCTTAGACCAATAAGTGTTCCAGGTACAGGTGTCCAATATATATTTATTGGCTGTATAAATGCATCAATAATTGATTATACATTAACTTACCCACAAAATGTTCTTATACTATTCTTAGAATATCATAAATTATATATTCTATGTACTATACCCAGGACATCCAGGATACAGTTAGGCTGGTAAACTGATAAGACACTGATCGTCATTTGGATGGTCAGTTTGTTAAAGGACCCCTGAAGAATCTTCAGAGTGTTACTTGGTGAATTCTTATGTTGTTCTGTGAGTTTTACATACAGAAAACAGGAAGAATTTTGCTGATATTAGACCTTAAGTTCAGTTTTTTTAATGGGAAAAGAGTAGAAAATAAATTCAGTGACTGTTACACCACAACCTGACCTGGACAATTTTTGACTCAACATGATACTATCTAACATTATATAATTCAAAATTCTGGAAATATACTGATTTCACACTACTGTGGGATTGTTTGGATACAAGTGTGTTATGGATGGGAGTAGAACTTTCCTTCATGAATATTCCCACAGTCAATTATACTGGACAAATTGTCAATCCTGGGGAAGAAAATTCCTCAAGAGCCTCAAGAGGCGCACCACAGCTGAGAAGTGTGAACATCTTTCATTTTCTCTAAATGTTTTGGACATTTGGCCTAGATTCAGTGAGACACAGGTAGTTCTCACATTGGTGGAGGCAACCTGGGTGTAAACAGGAAGAAGTAGGGCTGATAAAAACTCTGCGGTAAAGGGCTGCAACTGTGTAATAATTGTGAATTATTTTCTATGCTGTATTTTCTTCTAGTGTGGTCAAGCCTTTGGTAAAATCTTCATAAATGTTCTCTATGTCATGAAGAAGTAAGGAAAAGGGACTATTCTACATATTAGGGTAAAGCAGTCAGAGAGAAAGTAGAGTCCCTTTCCAAAAATTCAGAGAGCTGGTCTCTTGGTATGGATGTGCCCAAAATAGTGGTAATTAACCCAGGTGACATAGCTGAGACAACAGTACCATATAATAATAACAAAATTGGAGGGGCAAATCAGAAGGACCTGACACAAGAGCCAGAACTATGAAAAAAATTTAGAAATTGTTACGCTTGAGAATTTGATAAAGTGTTCATTTCTGCACTAAAGCGTGTAGGAACTCATTCCATTTTAAAGAAGGCTACCTAAGTAAGATCTCCTTTATATATTCTTTTCTATTTATATACCAGAGATCATTCATTTCAAAAAAAAATAGCATTTTTCACATTATACTGAAAATTGTTGCTTTTAACCCAAGACTAGCCAGTACATTCTTTAAAGACAGGAACTGCCTCATTTATCCATGTATTCCCAGTAACCAGCACATTGCTAAGCAAAGGGAGCCCTCCATAAATATTTGTGGAAGGCAGAAACAAATCTTTTAAATAGCATTTACCATCATTCCCATGATTTGAATGAAATAACATATACAAAATATGTGTCTTAATAATGTTAATTGAATCTTAAGTTGTGTCAAGGGCCTTGTACAAACAAAAACTGAAAACAATAAAGTCAGCAAGGAATATTTTAGAATACCTTTATTGCAAAAACACTTGTGCATTGTTATAGAATAAGAGGTTAAATGACATGAAAATAAAGCTCTACATCATTAAAATTCAATAATTTTCTTCTTCACATTTTTACAATTCCTACCCTGTCTTTCAAAATTACAAAACAAGAATTTGGAGTAGAGAAAAGCCTGTGGAAGAAACATGAGAATAAAAAGGTATTTTTCTCTCAATCCAACTATGACCTAATTCTAAGAAAACACACTAGCTCTAAATTATGTTCTCTCTAAATACTTAACTTCCTTCCTCAAGTGTAAGTTCTTGGTTTTTTTTTTTTTTTTTTTGAGACAGAGTCTCTCTCTGCCTCCTGGGCTCAAGCGATTCTCCTGGCTCAGCCTCCCAAGTAGCTGGGACTACAGGCACATGCTACCGTGCCCAGCTGATTTTTGTATTATTAGTAGAGACAGGGTTTCACTATGTTGCCTAGGTTGGTCTTGAACTCCTGACCTCAGGTGATCCACCCACCTCGGCCTCCCAAAATGCTGGGATTAAAAGCGTGAGCCACCACACCAGGCCAGTTCTTGGTATTTCTAAGGCTAAAGCAAATGAACATGGTGGCTGATGCCCGATCCCTCACTAGATACTGGTTAGCAACAGTTCTGGCATATATAACATACCAAATGCAACCACATTCTATTGTGTGTAGTGTAAAAGGAAAATTGGTAAAAAAAACATCTAAGTTCTTATTTATGATCTTAGCAGTTCAAAGGTTATGAAAGGAAAACATTTTGCCACAGTTCTCAGGAATTTGCAAAAATTCAATCATGTCATAGTTCATTCGTTTGGCATCCTTCTTTCTTAAGTCCGCCAAATGCAAGGACATTCAGCTCCTGTATTCTTTTAACGGCAGTCATTTGGACTGAGAAGCTTCCAGCTTAAGCTCAATCTTATGGATACTGATTGCTTTTCTGAAACATTCCATTATATTAATTGAAGCCCATTTACTCTGTGTGCACAGGGATACACAGACATAAACATTTAGCACTTTGGCAAATTGATATGATTAAAACAGAAAAGTAAGAATGACAGATTAATTTCATATGTTTTAGAGTGAGATTAATAGCCAAAAATGAAATAATGCCTGTTCCCGTTATATAAGGGAACATCATTGTTTCTTTCTACAACCGATTTGAATGAACAAGTTTTGGGATCTGAGCTCAAATTGTACTTCACCAGGAATTATTAAGCTCAGAATAACAGAAAATAGTAAGGCACTACTTAATAACTGTAAGAACAGAAATTGATGTTTCATTGCTGAGGTTTAATTTTCTTAACTGTGGTTTCCTCTGTATAAGTAGATTTACAGTTTCTATCACCTCCGTGTGCTTTCATAACATTAAAAAATAAACTTTGAAAGAGTGATGCCCACAAAATGGAAGAATAGGAAGTCCCAGCATTTAGTTCCCCCAGAGAAACAGCAAACAATAATATATACATGAAAATACCATTATGAGAAGTCTACAATGTAGGTAAAGAGGTGCAGCACAACACATGAGCACAAAACCAAGAACAGCCACACTGAAATGGATATGAGTAATTTCACTTTATCCACATCAGCCTTTCCCTGAAACTGGCACAGCTCAGCACAGAGAGAGATTGCCTGGCCCGTGACTTCTACAAAGGGAGTAAAGAGAGGGTGAACCATAAGCCTAGCTTCCCAGCTTTTCAATATGCTCCACAAGAGGCTAGTTTCTGTGTTACCACAAACAAAGTGCTGAAGGAAGCAGCATAGCTCAGATTACTGGGATAGCTTGGAACAAAGACAAAGGGGCGGGCACCCCCCCTACAGGTAGCACAGAGCTGCAAGATTGGAAACAGTACAGAACTGAGACTTCTCCCTCAGGAAAGAAGATGAGTGGAATGTGACTCCAATGTCCCTGGCCTTTCAGCACACTTCTCAAGGAGTCAGTGCCTGTCTTGCCTTACACGGAGCACTAAAGGAACTGACACAGTCTAACACCAGCAGGAGCAAGAAACCATGAGTTTTAAAAACAAAAAGACTAGATACCCGGGCAACTAGGAACACAGGCCTGGAATCCCTAGCCAGGCTGATCAGGAAATTTTTTTCTGTCAAAGCCACTTTATGGAGAATTGCTAGAAGAGTTAGTTGTTTCTTCAAATCTCCAGACATCAATACAAAGCTACAAAAAATAGGAAAAGATCAGGAAAGCATGATACAATCAAATAAAGAAAACAAATCTCTAGTAATGGATCCTAAAGAAAGGGAGATATAAAAACTATTTGACAAAGAATTCAAGATAGTCATCTTCAAGAGGCTCAGGAGTTGCAAGAGAACACAGACAATTAAACAAATTCTGAAAAATGTTGCGTAAGTAAACTAAGAATGTAAACAAATAGAAATTTTTTTTTAAAGAACCAAACAAAAATTCTGGAACTGAAGAATATAACTGAACTAAGATATTCAATGTAAGTGTTCAGGAGCATATTTAATCAAGCAGAAGAAAGAATTAGTGAACTCGGAGGGGTGGGGCCAAGATGGCTGAATAGGAACAGCTCCAGTCTACAGCTCCCAGCATGAACAATGCAGAAGACGGGTTATTTCTGCATTTCCAACTGAGGTACTGGGTTCATCTCACTGGGGAGTGTCAGAAAGTGGGCAGAGGACAGAGGGAGCAGTGCACCAAGACCAAGAGTGAGCCAAAGCAGGGCAAGACATCGACACACCTGGGAAGTGCAAGGGGTCAGGGAATTCCCTTTCCTAGACAAAGGGATGACAGACGGCAACTGGAAAATCGGGTCACTCCCACCCTAATACTGCACTTTTCCAGTGGTCTTAGCAAACGGCACACCAGGAAATTATATCCCGCACATGGCTCAGAGGGTCCTATGCCCACGGAGCTTCACTCCTTACTAGCACAGCAGCCTGAGATCAAACTGCAAGGTGGCAGTGAGGCTGGGGAAGGGGCGCCCGCCATTGCCAAGGCTTGAGTAGGTAAACAAAGCGGCCAGCAGCTCAACCTGGGTGGAGCCCACAGCAGCTCAAGGAGGCCTGCCTGCCTCTGTAGACTTCACCTCTCGGGGCAGGGCATAGCCAAACAAAAAGCAGCAGAATCCTCTACAGACTTAAATGTCCCTGTCTGACAGCTTTGAAGACAGTAGTGGTTCTCCGAGCATGCAGCTGGAGATCTGAGAACAGACAGACTGCCTCCTCAAGTGGGTCCCTGACCCCCAAGTAGCCTAACTGGGAGGCACCCCCCAGTAGGGGCAGACTGACACCTCACATGGCCGGGTACTCCTCTGAGACAAAACTTCCAGAGGAACAATCAGGCAGCAACATTTGCTGTTCACCAATATCTGCTGTTCTGCAGCCTCCGCTGCTGATACCCAGGCAAATGGGGTCTGGAGTGGACCTCCAGAAAACTCCAACAGACCTGCAGCTGAGGGTCCTGACTGTTAGAGGAAAACTAACAAACAGAAAGGACGTCCACACCAAAACCCCATCGGTACGTCAACATCATCAAAGACCAAAGGTAGATAAAACCACAAAGATGGGGGAGAAACAGATCAGAAAAACTGGAAACTCTAATAATTGGAGTGCCTCTCCTCCTCCAAAGGAATGAAGCTCCTCACTAGCAATGAAACAAAGCTGGACAGAGAATGACTTTGATGAGTTGAGAGAAGGTTTCAGACAATCAAACTACCCCAAGCTAAAGGAGGAAGTTTGAACCCATGACAAAGAACTTAAAAAGCTTGAAAAAAAAATTAGATGAATGCCTAACTAGAAGTCCTTAAAGGACCTGATGGAGCTGAAAACAAAGGCACGAGAACTATGTGATGAATGCACAAGCCTCAGTAGCCCATTCGATCAACTGGAAGAAAGGGTATCAGTGATGGAAAACCAAATGAATGAAATAAAGTGAGAAGAGAAGTTTAGAGAAAAAAGAATAAAAAGAAACAAACAAAGCCTCCAAGAAATATGGGACTATGTGAAAACACCAAATCTACATCTGATTGGTGTACCTGAAAGTGACAGGGAGAATGGAACCAACTTGGAAAACACTCTGCAGGTTATTATCCAGGAGAACTTCCCCAATCTAGCAAGGCAGGCCAACATTCAAATTCAGGAAATACAGAGAATGCCACAAAGATACTCCTCGAGAAGAGCAACTCCAAGACACATAATTGTCAGATTCACCAAAGTTGAAATGAAGGAAAAAATGTTAAGGGAAGCCAGAGAGAAAGCTCTGGTTACCCACAAAGGGAAGCCCATCAGACTAACATCTGATCTCTCAGCAGAAACTCTACAAGCCAGAAGAGAGTGGGGGCCAATATTCAACATTCTTAAAGAAAAGAATTTTCAACCCAGAATTTCATATCCAGCCAAACTAACTTCATAAGTGAAGGAGAAATAAAATCCTTTACAGACAAGCAAATGCTGAGAGATTTTGTCACCAACAGGCCTGCCCTACAAGAGCTCCTGAGGGAAGCACTAAACTTGGAAAAGAACAACTGGGACCAGCCACTGCAAAAACATGCCAAATCATAAAGACCATCGAGGCTAGGAAGAAACAGCATCAACTAACGAGCAAAATAACCAGCTAACATCATAATGACAGGATCAAATTCACACATAACAATATTAACCTTCGATGTAAATGGGCTAAATGCTCCAATTAAAAGACACAGAATGGCAAATTCGATAAAGAGTCAAGACCCATCAGTGTGCTGTATTCAGGAAACACATCTCATCTGCAGAGACACACATAGGCTCAAAATAAAGGGATGGAGGAAGATCTACCAAGGAAATGGAAAACAAAAAGAAGCAGGGGTTGCAAACCTAGTCTGTGATAAAAAAAAGACTTTAAACCAGCAAAGATCAAAAGAGACAAAGCAGGCCATTACAGAATGGTAAAGGGATCAATTCAACAAGAAGAGCTAACTATCCTAAATATATATGCACCCAATACAGGAGCAGCCAGATTCATAAAGCAAGTCCTTAGAGACCTAGAAAGAGACTTAGGCTCCCACACAATAATAATGGGAGACTTTAACACCCCACTGTCAACATTAGACAGATCAATGAGACAGAAAGTTAACAAGGATATCCAAGAATTGAACTCACCTCTGCACCAAGCCAACCTAATAGACATCTACAGAACTCTCCACCCCAAATCAACAGAATATACATTCCTTTCAGTACCACACCACACTTATTCCAAAATTGACCACATAGTTGGAAGTAAAGGACTCCTCAACAAATGTAAAAGAACAGAAATTATACCAAACTGTCTCCCAGACCACAGTGTAATTAAACTAAAACTCAGGATTAAGAAACTCACTCAAAACCACTCAACTACATGGAAACTGAACAACCTGCTCCTGAATGATTACTGGGTACATAATGAAATGAAGGCAGAAATAAAGATGTTCTTTGAAACCAATGAGAACAAATACACAACATACAAGAATCTCTGGGACACATTCAAAGCAGTGTGTAGAGGGAAATTTATAACACTACATGCCCACAAGAGAAAGCAGCAAAATCTAAAACTGACACCCTAACATCACAATTAAAAGAACTAGAAAAGCAAGAGCAAACACATTCAAAAGCTAGCAGAAGGCAAGAAATAACTAAGATCAGAGCAGAACTGAGGGAGAGACAAAAAACCCTTCAAAAAATCAATGAATCCAGGAGGTGGTTTTTTGAAAAGATCAACAAAATTGATAGACCACTAGCAAGACTAATAAAGAAGAAAAAAGAGATGAATCAAAGAGAAGCAATAAAAAATGGTAAAGGGGATATCACCACTGATCCCACAGAAATACAAACTACCATCAGAGAATACTATAAACACCTCTATGTAAATAAACTAGAAAACGTAGAAGAAATGGATAAATTCCTTGACACATATACCCTCCCAAGACTAAACCAGGAAGAAGTTGAATCTCTGAATAGACCAATAACAGGCTCTGCAATTGAAGCAATATTTAATGGCTTACCAACCAAAAAAAGTCCAGGACAAGACGGATTCACAGCTGAATTCTACCAGAGCTACAAGGAGGAGCTGGTACCATTCCTTCTGAAACTATTCCAATCAATAGAAAAAGAGGGAATCCTCCCTAACTGATTTCATGAGGCCAGCATCATCCTGATACCAAAGCCTGGCAGAGGCACAACAAAAAAAGAGAATTTTAGACCAATACCCTGATGAACATCAATGCAAAAATCCTCAATAAAACACTGGCAAACTGAATCTGGCAGCACATCAAAAAGCTTATCCACCATGATCAAGTGGGCTTCATCCCTGGGATGCAAGGCTGGTTCAACATATGAAAATCAATAAACATAATCCAGCATATAAACAGAACCAATGACAAAAACCGTATGATTATCTGAATAGATGCAGAAAAGGCCTTTGACAAAATTCAACAACTCTTCATGCTAAAAACTCTCAATAAATTAGGTATTGATGGGACGTATTTCAAAATAATAAGAGCTATCTATGACAAACCCACAGCCAATATCATACTAAATGGGCAAACACTGGAAGCATTCCCTTTGAAAACTGGCACAAGACAGGGATGCCCTCTGTCACCACTCCTATTCAACATAGTGTTGGAAGTTCTGGCCGGGGAAATCAGGCAGGAGAAGGAAATAAAGGGTATTCAATTAGGAAAAGAGGAAGTCAAATTGTCCCTGTTTGCAGATGAAATGATTGTATATTTAGAAAACCCCATCGTCTCAGCCCAACATCTCCTTAAGCTGATAAGCAACTTCAGCAAAGTCTCAGGATACAAAATCAAGGTACAAAAATCACAAGCATTCTTATACACCAATAACAGACAAACAGAGAGCCAAATCATGAGTAAACTCCCATTCACAATTGCTTCAAAGAGAATAAAATACATAGGAATCCAACTTACAAGGGACATGAAGGACCTCTTGAAGGAGAACTACAAACCACTGCTCAAGGAAATAAAAGAGGATACAAACAAATGGAAGAAAATTCCATGCTCATGGGTAGGAAGAATCAATATCGTGAAAATGGCCATACTGCCCAAGGTAATTTATAGATTCAATGCCATCCCCATCAAGTTACCAATGACTTTCTTTACAGAATTGGAAAAAACTACTTTAAAGTTCATATGGAACCAAAAAAGAGTCCGCATTGCCAAGTCAATCCTAAGTCAAAAGAACAAAGCTGGATGCATCACCCTACCTGACTTCAAACTATACTACAAGGCTGCAGTAACCAAAACAGCATGGTACTGGTACCAAAACAGAGATATAGACCAATGGAACAGAACAGAGCCCTCAGAAATAATGCCGCATATCTACAACCATCTGATCTTTGACAAACCTGAGAAAAACAAGAAATGGGGAAAGGATTCCCTATTTAGTAAATGGTGCTGGGAAAACTGGCTAGCCATATGTAGAAAGCTGAAACTGGATCCCTTCCTTATGCCTTATACAAAACTTAATTCAAGATGGATTAAAGACTTAGATGTTAGACCTAAAACCATAAAAACCCTAGAAGAATACCTAGGCAATACCATTCAGGAGATAGGCATGGCAAGGAATTCATGTCTAAAACACCAAAAGCAATGGCCACAAAAGCCAAAATTGACAAATGGGATCTAATTAAACTAAAGAGCTTCTGCACAGCAAAAGAAACTATCATCAGAGTGAACAGGCAACCCACAGAATGGGAGAAAATGTTTGCAATCTACTCATCTGACAAAGGGCTAATATCCAGAATCTAAAAAGAACTCAAACAAATTTACAAGAAAAAAACAAAAAAATCCCATCAAAAAGTGGGTGGAGGATATGAACAGAGACTTCTTGAAAGAAGACATTTATGCAGCCAAAAGACACATGAAAAAATGCTCATCATCACTGGCCATCAGAGAAATGCAAATCAAAACCACAATGAGATACCATCTCACACCAGTTAGAATGGCAATCATTAAAAAGTCAGGAAACAACAGGTGCTGGAGAGGATGTGGAGAAATAGGAACATTTTACACTGTTGGTGGGACTGCAAACTAGTTCAACCATTGTGGCAGTCAGTGTGGCGATTCCTCAGGGATCTAGAACTAGAAATACCATTTGACCTGGCAATCTCATTACCAGGTATGTACCCAAAAGGTTATAAATCATGCTGCTATAAAGACACATGCACACGTATGTTTATTGTGGCACTATTCACAATAGCAAAGACTTGGAACCAAGCCAAATGTCCAACAATGATAGACTGGATTAAGAATATGTGGCACATATACACCATGGATACTACGCAGCAATAAAAAATGATGAGTTCATGTCTTTGTAGGGACGTGGATGAAGCTGGAAACCGTCATTCTCAGCAAACTATCACAAGGACAGAAAACCAAACATCACTTGTTCTCATTCATAGGTGGGAATTCAACAATGAGAACAGATGGAAAAAGGAAGGGGAACATCACACAGTGGGGCCTGTTGTGGGTTGGTGGGAGGGTGGAGGGATAGCATTAGGAGATATACCTATTGTTAAATGACAAGTTAATGGGTACAGCACACCAACATGGCACATGTATACATATGTAACTAACATGTACATTGTGCATATGTAACCTAAAAGTATAATAAAAAAATGGAAAAATATTTTCATTTAAATGATAATAAGAAAACATAATGTATTAAAATTTATAGGATTCCACTAAAACATTCCTTAGAGGGAAATTTATGACATTAAATGAATATGTGTTCTTGATGAGTATTGATGCAAAAATCCTCCACAAAATGTTGGTGAACCAAATCCAGCAGCACATAATAAAGCTGATACACCACAACCAACTCAGCTTTATCCCTAGGATGCAAGGTTGGTTCAACATACCCAAATCAATAAATGTGATTCATCACATAGAGATAACTAAAGACAGAAACCACATTTTAATCCCAATAGATGCAGAAAAGGCTTTCAATAAAATTCAATACTTCTTCAAAAAAAAAAAAAAAAGAAAGGAAAGAATTAGTGAACTCAAAGATAAGAAAACAACAGACTTGAACAATGCTACAGGCCAAATTTACCTCACAGATGTGTAACAAACATTCCTCTCACTGGTAGCAGAATATGCATTCTTCTCAAGTAAACAGGGAATATTCTACAGGATATGTCACAAAACAAGTTTTAACAAATTTAAGAAGGTTGAAATTAAACCAAGTATCTTTTCTAAGCACCATGAAATTAAACTACATACTATAAACGGTAATAAAATAAATGGGACACACACAAAAAATGAAGTTATCCAGTGCTCTTGAGTTGGAAGAATTAATAGTGTTAACTTGTCCGTACTACCCAAAGTGTTCAACAGATTCAATGCAATCCCCATCAAAATTCCAGCTGAATTAATTATATTTCTTTACTGAAGTTAAAACAGAAATATAGATCAATGGAACAGAATAGACAGCCCAGAAATAAAATCATGCATATACAACCAACCAATCTTCAAAAAGTGTGCCAAGAATACACAATGGGGTAAAAAATGTCTCTTCCACAAATAGTGTTAGGAAAACCAGATACTCACATGCAGAAGAATAAATTGGACTCTCCTCTCACACCATATATAAAAATCACCTCAAAATAAAGACTTAAATGTAAGACCCCAGACTGTAAAACTCTTAGTACACATAGGGGGAAAGCTTCTGGATGTCGGTCTTGACAATGATTTCTTGTATATGACAAAAGCCCAGGCAATAACAACAAAAATGAACAAGTGAAACTCCTTTAGACTAAATAGCTTCTGTATAGCAAAAGAACCAATCAACAGAGTGAAAAGGCAGCCTATAGAATGGGTTAAAATATTTGCAAACCACATATCCAATAATGGGTTAATCTCCAAATATATAAGGAACTTCTACAACTCATTATCAAAAAATAATTTTTAATGGGCAAAGGATTTGAATAGACATTTCTCCAAAGATGACATACAAATGGCCAAAAAATATATAAAAAAGCATTCAAACTGGGCTCAGTGGCTCACACCTATAATCCAACACTTTGGAAAGCTGAGGTGAGAGGATCACTTGAGCCCACGAGTTCGAGACCAGTCTGGGCAACATAGTGAGACCCTATCTCCACAAAACACTTAAAAATTAGCCAAGCATGGTGGTACATGCCTGTAGTCCCAGTTACCCAGGAGGCTGAGGCAGAAGGATCACTCGAGTCCAGGAGATTGAGGCTGCAGCAAGCTGTGTTTGCACCACTATACTCCAGCTGGGTGGCACAGTGAGACCCTGTCTCAAAAAAAAAAAAAAAATTCAACATCACTAGTCATCAGAGAAATGTCAATCACCTCACACCTTTAGGATGACTCTTAAAAAACAAGTGCTGTTGAGGATATGGAAAAGTTTGAACTCTTATACACTGTTGATGGGAATAGTTGATGCAGCCACTATGGAAAGCAATATGGAGGTTCCTCACAAAAGTAAAAATAGAACAACTATATGATCCAGCAATCCCACTTCTGGGTATATATCCAATAGAATTAAAATCAGGAACTCAAAAGAATTTCTGCATTCTTATGTTCACTGCAGCATTATTAGCAACACCCAAGATTTCAAAACAATCTAAATGTCCCTCAATAGATGAATGGATAAAGAAAATGTGATATATACATACAATGAAATATTACTTAGCTCTTAAAAAAATTCTACCATATGTAAGAACATGGATAAACCTGAAGGATATTGTGCTAAGTGAGTTAGCCAGAACAAATGCTGTATGATGCCACTTATCTGAGCTATCTAACGTTAAGTCAATCTCATAGAAAGTAAAATGGTGGTCGCTAGGAGCTGGGGGAAGGGTAAATGGGAGGTTGTTGACCAAAGGTCATAAAGTTTTACTTATGTAAGACAAATAAGGTGAGACTCTGTCTCTACAAAATATTGTAAAAATTAGCCACATGTGGTGGCATGCACCTGTGGTCGAAACTACTCAGGAGACTGAAGTGGGAGGATTGCTTGAGCCCTGGAGATTGAGCCTGCAGTGAGTTGTGTTCACTCCACTGCACTCCAGCCTGGGCAACAGAGCAAGACCCTGTCTCAAAAAAAAAAAAAAAAAAAAAAGAGAGAGAGAGATCTGGTGTAAAACATTGTGCCTATACATTTGTTAAGAAGGTAAATCTCAAGTTCAGTGTTTCTGCCACAATAAAAAAAATAACTAAAAATTAAAAACAAACTTTGGTTTCTCTTTAGATAAACATACTTACGTTTACGTTTTAAATTACCATGTTTTATATTTAGGCTAAAGGTTTTTGTTTGCCCCAATACAAGAGACTTCAGAACATAAAGCATAATTAGAGTATCATTTGATAATTGTTTTCAGAATCTCAAAAGTTTTAGAAGCATAACATTTTTTCACTGCACAGAATTTTAATGCTTTCAGCACTACATGCCTCAGCAAAGCACACAGGCTGGCTCATGGTACTATCAGACAGGTGTCTGTCTCACTCATAAACATGTGCTGCTGAATGTTATCTCTAGCCACAAACTGTCTCCTGCCACTGCAAATCATTGTGAACCTTGATTAAACACTCTTATCTCCTGCACCACATTTTAGCTACTATAATGGATCCAGAACACCTATTCACAGAAAGAAATATATGAGTAAATGTAGTTATTATAGGGAGGTGACATGAATATGAATATTTACTCTGGTGTTTTGTGTGTACAGATATTTTTTAGTAAGTGTGAAAGGTTTTGATTCATACTTGAAAATGTACTTATTTCCAAAATAAAATAACCTTTTTTTCCCACTATAAAGCGGCTATTGTAACTATGGCTAGATACAATGAGAGATTTAATATATATAATTTCTTTCTCTTATGTAGCTACAGTAACACAAAACAAAGATTCTTCTCAAATGATCTTTATCAAGTTTATACATAAATATTGTCAATCATTCAATGATGAAAGGACATTTTAAATCCTGTATTGTCATTTAAATAGAAATAAGAAAGACTTTTCTCTTTTTTTCTTGCAAGGACTATCTGGTAAGACATCTGAGCACATGGGCTTGTAACAGACTCTGTACTTTGCTTTTATGCCAATAGTTTGAGCTGATAGTTTAGGTTGATTTTCTACCTAAACCAATAATAAAAAAGTAAAAAACGTCCATATTCTTTTCTAATACTAATCATTTAATGCTTAGACTAATGAATTGATTCAAACATTTTAAAATATTTTGTTTTGAGAAAATTACAGATTCATAGAAAGTTGCAAAGATATTACAGAGAGGTCTCATTTTCACCTAATTCAGTTTCTCCCCATGCTTATATCTTAAGTAATTATAGTACAATATCAAAAGAAGGAAATTGACATTGGTTATAATGTATATGTATTAGTTCTATGTCTTTTATCACATTTGCAGATTCACACAACCACCAAGATACAGAACTAACCCATTCCCACAAAGATCTCCCTATTATAACCTCTTTATAGTCACATCTACTCCCACTTCCCTGCCCCCCCCCTCAGCATTCCTAACCCATGGTAACCACTAATTTGTTTTCCATCTCAGTAATTTTGTCCTTTCAAGGACATCCCATCAATGGACTCAGATCTTTTGACATGGGCTTTTTTTTCACTTAGCATAACGTCCTTGAAATCCATCCAAATTGTTGCATGTATCAACAATTCATTCCTCTTTATTACGGAGCAATATTCCACGATATGGATGTACCACAGTTTGTTTAAATATACTCCTACTTTAAGATATTTTGTTTACTTATAGCTTTAAGCTTTTGTAACTAATGCCGTTATGAACAATCATGTACAATTCTTTGTGTGGACCTAAGTTTTCATTCCTCTGAGATAAATGCCCAGGAATGAGATTTATTGGCCATATATGTTTATCCCTTTAAGAAACTGCTGCGGCTGGGCGCAGTGGCTTAAGCCTGTAATCTCAGCACTTTGGGAGGGTGAGGCGGGTGGATCACCTGAGAGCAGGAGTTCGAGACCAGCCTGGCCAACATGGTGAACTCCATCTCCACTAAAAATACAAAAATTAGTCGGGCCTGGTGGCAGGTGCCTGTAATCCCCGCTACTAGGGAGGCCGAGGTAGCAGAATCACTTGAACCAGGGAGGCAGAGGTTGCAATGAGCCGAGATCGCACCACTACACTTCAGCCTGGGTGAAAAAGCAAGACTCTGCCTCAAAAATAAATTAAGCAGGGAGGCAGAGGTTGCCATGAGCCGAGATCGCACCACTACACTTCAGCCTGGGTGAAAAAGCAAGACTCTGCCTCAAAAATAAATTAAGCAGGGAGGCAGAGGTTGCCATGAGCCGAGATCGCACCACTGCACTTCAGCCTGGGTGAAAAAGCAAGACTCTGCCTCAAAAATAAACTAAGAAAAAAAAAAGAAAAAGAAACTGCTGCACTGCTTTTCAGAGTGTCTGTGCATTTCCTCAATGTATGGGAGAGATAATTCCTGTGTATACTTACCAACATTTGATATTGTCAGTAGTTTTAAGCTATTCTCATATGTATGTAGTGATACTGATTGTGGTCTTCATTTGCTGTTTTTAATCGCTAGTGATGAACATCTTTGCATGTGCTTATTTGCCATCTATATATCCTCTTTGGCCTGTTCATGTCTCTTGCTCATTTTCTAGCTAGAATTTTTGTTTTGTTGTTATTGTTGAGTTTTGAGAGTTCTTTAAATATTCTAAATGAATCATCTATAAGATATACGGTTCCCAAATATTTTCTCCCAGTGTGTAGATTGTCTTTTCATCCTCTTAACAAGGTCCTTCAGAGTAAAAGTTTTAAATTTTGATGAAGTGTAATTTACCAATTTTATTTTTATGGCTTTTTTTGATGTCAAGCACTCTTTATCAAGCCCTAGATCTTAAAGATTGCATTTTTCTTCTGAAAGATTTATAGGATTTTTTATCCTACCACTTTTTAAATTATAATTTTAAAAACCATAAAACTTGCCATGGTTAAGATGAACTATTTTTAAGTGTACTGTTTAGTAATGTTAAGTATATTTGCATTGTTGTGAAACAGATCTCCAGAACATTTTCTTGCAGAACTTAAACTCTATACCCATTAACCAATTACTCTTCTTCCCTCCCCCATCCCCTAGTAACCATTATTCTACTTTATATTTCTATAAATTTGATGACTTTAGATACCTCATATAAGTGGAACCATACAGATTTTTTTGTGACTGGCTTATTTCACCAAGCATAGTGTCCTTCAGGTTCATCCATGTTGTAGCATGTGACAGGATTCCCTCCACTTTAAAGACTGAATAATGTTCCATTGTATGAATATACCACATTTTGCTTATCCACTCATCTGTCAATGACATTTGGACATTTGCATTGCTTCCACCTCTTGGCTTTGTGAGAAGTGCTTCTATAAACATGGGTGGAACAGGTTTACAGTTTGCTTTATCATTAAATCTATAATCCAGTTTGAGATGATTTTTGGCTAATGTGTGAGATTTAAGGTGAGGGTCATCTTTCTGGATATACAATTTTTCCAGCAACATTTGTTGAAAAGACTCTTTGGCAATACTTGCGTGGAACTATTTCTGGTTTCTTTTTCTATTTCATTGATCTGTTTTTCTATCCTTCAGCTAGTATCACACAGTCTTGATTAAGGTAGTTACATAATAACTCTTAAAATAAGATGAAGTGATTTCTCCAACTTCATTTCTATTTTTCAAAAATTGTTTCAGCTCTTCTATTTCCTTTTCCTTTCCTAATAAATTTTAAAATAACTTTAGTTTTGTCTTTAAAAATTCTTGCTAAGATTTTTATAATAAGTGTATAAAGTATGTGTATTACCTTGGGGAGAAATGACATTTTTACTCTGTTGAGTGTTCCAATCCATGAACACTGGATGTCTATTTATTTAAACCTTCTTTCTTTCATCACTGTTTTGTAGTTTACATCATAGTAGTCCTGTATATATTTTGTTAGATTTCTACCTAAGTACTTCAGTTTTTTAAAAAGATTATACATACTATTGTATTCTTAATTTTAGTTTCCACAGGGCCATTGCTCTCATGTAGGAATACAATTAATTTTATATGTTTTACTTAGAACTTTTGGCATCGCTGAACTCATCAGTTCTAGGAGTATTTTTATAGGTCCCTTATTTTTTTTGTAAACCATTGTGGCATCTGCAAGTAGGAACAGCTTTATATTTTCCTTTCTAATTGATGTCTTTTATTTCCTTTTCTTACCTTATTGAGCTTCCTAGAACTTCCTGTAATATGTTGACTAGCAGTGGGACTGGAAAACACCACTGCATTGTTCTCATCTTAAGAGGAAAGCATTCTACTTTCACCACTAGGTAAGATATTAGCTATAAGATTTTTGTAAATATTCTTCATCAAGTTGAGGGTGTTTCTTTTCCTTATTTTCTGGGCTTTTATCATAAATGAGTGTCAAATTTTGTCAAATGCTTATTTTGCCTCAGTTGATATGAAAGTGTGATTTATCTCCTTTATATTGGTAATATGGTGAATTACAATAATTGTTTTGAAATATTGGACCAATTTTACATCTCTAGGATGAACTCCCAATGGGCATTATGTATAACTCTGTTTATATATTGCTGAATGCTATTTTCTAATAATTTATAAAGGATTTTTGCTCTGTATTCATGAGAGATATTAGTTTATACTTTTCTTCATTTTGTACTTTTATTTGGGTATAAAAGTAACATTGTTTCATAAAGTGATTTGCAAAATGTTCCCCCCTTTCATTTTCTGGAAGAAATTGTGCAGATCTTGTGTTATTTCTTTTTTAAATGTTTAATGGTATTCTCCTGTGAACCGATCCAGACTCAGATATTTCTTTTTTAGTAGTTTTTAAATGATGAATTGAATTTCCTTAATAGTTGTAGAGCTATGCAATTATCTTTTTCATACTGAATAATCCTTGGTACTTTATGTGGTAGTTGTATAGCCCATTTCATCTAAATTGTCAAACTTATGTGTGTAGAGTTGTTCATACAATTTCTTTATTATCCTTTTGATATCTATAGGGTCTATAATTATATTGCCTGTTTCATTTCTGGTATTGGTAATTTGTCTCTCTGTCTTTTTTTGCTGTCAGTTTTGTTGGAGCTTTGCCAATTTTATCGTTATTTCCAAAGAACCATCTTTTTGTTTCATTGATTTTCCCTGCTGTTTGTGTATTTAATTTCATTGACTTCTGCTGTTATATTCATAATTCTCTTCCTTTAGCTTGCTTTGGATTTTTGTTCTTCATTTTCTAGTTTCTTGGTGTGGGAGCTTAGGTGGATTTGAGGCTCTTTCTCTTTTTTAACATAAGAATTTAACACTATAAATGTCAGCATTGCTTTAGCTGCATGCCCAAATTTTTGATGTGTTAAATTTTCATTTTCTTTCTATCCCATTTACTTTTAAAATTTCCCCTAAGACTTCCGCCTTGACTCAAGAGTTATTTACAGGTGTGTCTTTTAACACCCAAGTGTGGATATATTTCTGTTATCTCTATTACTAATGTATAGTTTGATTCCATTTTTGTCACAAAACATACTCTATGATTTCAATTCTTTTATATTTTTTGGTGTTAAAGTCCAGGATATAGTCTATCTTGGTAAATGTTCTATATGTATGTGTGTATTCTGCTGTTTTTAGTATTCTAAACATATAAATTAGATGATGTTCATTGATGGTGTTGTTTTATATACTTGCTCTGTTCCTGTCTAGTTGTTCTAACAGTTGTTGGAAAAGGCTTGTTGATGTCTCCAAACATAATTGTAAATTTGTCTATTTATTATTTCAGTTCTATCAGTTTTTGCTGATGGTCTACCACATATTTTGCAACTCTATTGTTTAGTCTATATTTTCTTGGTGGGTCCTTTTATTATGTAATGTCCCTTTTTGTTCCTGGTAATTTTCTTTGCTCTGACATCCATTTTATGAGATATCAATATAGTCACTCTTGCTTGCTTTTGATTAATGCTTATATGGCAAATACATTTCCATCCTTTTACATTCAACCTACCTATATTGTTCCATTTGAATTGAGTTTCTTGTAGGCAGCACATAGTGGGGTTCTTTTTCATCCACTCTACCAATCTCTGTCTTATTGGTATAAGAAGCCTATTTAGATTTAGGGTAATTATTAATTTATTAGAACCTAAGTCCACGATTACTTTTATTTTCCATTTCTTCTGTTTTTCCTTACTGTTTTCCCTTCATTCCTGTGAGTTACTAGAACTTTTTTAGAATTCCATTTTGATTTATCCATACTTTCTTAGTGGTTGTTCTGGGTATTATATAACTGATTATGTAACTTTAAATATAATTTGTTACAATTTATTGATATTAAAATTTTACCAATTTGAGTGAAGCTTAAAAACCTTACCTACTTTTATGTCCCTTTATCTTGCTCCTTTATAAGTATCTTCAATATGTCCTTTACATTTACATTACATTGAGAACCAGATCAGTGTTGTAACTTTTGCTTTAATAGTTAAAAATTAGAGAAAAATTAAGAAGGGAAGACTGTCTATTATATTTGATGCTTCTACTCCCTCAAGAAAGTGTTATTTCTCCCTTCCTGATGTTCTCCAAATCCTTCTTTTATGATTCCCTCCCTCTTTGAAGAACCTTCTTTAACCATTTTTTTAAGGTAGGTCTGCCAGTTTCTTAGCTGTTTTTATTAAGGATATCCTGATTTCTATTTCATTATTCAGAGATTCTTTCATCAGATATAGAACTTTGGACTGCCTACTCTACTTTTCTAGGAGCATTTGGAAAATGTGATACTTCTTTTGTCTTCCATAGTTTCTGATGTGAAATCCACTGTCATCATTTGGTTTTCCCCAGTAGGTGAGGTATTGTTTCTCTATCTCTGCTTTTAAGGTTCTCTATCTTTAGTTTTCATAATTTTGATTATGGTGTGTTTTGACCTGGATTTCCTTCAGTTTATTCTGTTTGGGGTTTGCTCAGTTTCTTCAATGTGTAGGTTAATGGCACTTGTTAAAGTTGGGGAAATTTTCAATCGTTATTACTTTGAATATCTTTTCAGCCCAACATTTTATCCTCTCCTTCTGCAATACCAATAATACAAATGGTATATCATTTGTTACAAGTCTCACAGGGCCTGAGGCTCTGTGCATTTTGCATTTTTTTTCCAGTCTATATTACCTCTGTTATTCAGAATAGATAACCTTTATTTTCTTTATCTCTTACATCATCTATTTGTTTTCTGTCACTTTCTATTCGCTGAGGTTATTTTTCATTTGTTCCTAGCTGCTCATGATGCATTTTGATGATGGCTGCTTTAAATAATTGTTAGGTAATTCTAACATTTGATTCATTTTGGTTTTGGCATCTATTGGTTTTTTTCTTAATCAAGTTGAGAATTTCATGACTCTTGGTATGTTTTTTATTGAAACCTAATATTTTAGATATTATGAGATTCTAGATCTTATCTAAATTGGTTTAGTAGGCCTCCTCTGACACCACATTACTGGGGAAAGAGATACTCACTTCACCTTATTACTGTCAGGTAGAGTTAGAAATCTAAATTCCTCATTTTGCCTCCATTAAAAATCCAGGGTAAGAGGGGTACCTGGTTCCTCCACATCCAGAGTGGGAGTTCAGGCTTCTTAATAGGAATGAAAGGGGTTCCTTATCACCAGTTCAGGTGACAGTCTTGGCTCCCAGCTCCCTACTTGGGGAGGCTTTGCTGCTGGAGGTGGAGGTGGGGCCACAGTAGCTGTGTAAGTCAGAATCTTTTACTGTTTGTTTTATAAGACCTAATGTTGTTAGCTGTGCTTACCAGGAGTGGGGGAAAGCATATCTACTCAGTCTTTCCAGAAGTTGATCTCCCAATAATTGTTTTCTAATGCAGTCACCAAAAAACACAATTACTCACTTCCTTTAAGCTGGCCTCACATGCTTTAGAACACACACACTTATTTACCAGTCATTAATCATTTTAGCATATAAGTATTTCAAATAAGAGTCAAATAAAATACATAGTGAAATATTGTATATTCCCCTTAATATTTTTTCCTCTTAACTGTTAGAAACATTAAAATGCCCTACTTGGAATATTGATTCTCTTTTGTAGAAGTAGACATTTTCATAGAATATAAATTTTGAAATATTTTGCAAGCATTTGTGCTGAATCAACCTAAACTAACATGGCAAAATTAAAAAAAAAAAAAATTACCCAGAACAGCGGGAGTCTGGCAATATGGCCAAATAGGAAGAGCTTTGGTCTGCAGCTCCCAATAAGATCAATGCAGAAGGTGGGTGATTTCTGCATTTCCAACTGAGTTACAAGGTTCATCTCACTGGGACTGGTTGGACTGTGGGTGTAGCCAAAGAAGGGCGAGGTGAAGCAGGGTGGGCCATCACCTCACCTGGGAAGTGCAAGGTGTTGGGGAACCCCCTCTCCTAGACAAGGGAAGCCATTAAGGACTGTACTGAGCACTCTGGCCCAGATACTGCGCTATTACCACAGTCTTCACAACCCGCAGACCAGGAGATTCCCTTCGGTGCCTACACCACCAGGGACCCTGGGTTTCCAGCACAAAACTGGGTGGCCATTTGGGCAGACACCGAGCTAGCCGCAGGAGTCTATTTCTCATACCACAGTGGCACCTGGAAAGCCAGTGAGACAGAACTGTTCACTCCGCTGGCAAGGGAGCTGAAGCCAGGGAGCCAAGTGCTCTGGCTCAGCGAGTCCCACCCCCACGGAGCCCAGCAAGCTAAAATCCACTGGCTTGAAAGTCTCGCAGCCAGCACAACACAAGAGTCTGAGCTCGACCTGGGACACTCCAGCTTGGTGGGGGGAGGGGCATCCACCATTGCTGAGGCTTGAGTAGGCAGTTTTCCCTCACAGTGTAAACAAAGCCACCAGGAAGTTCAAACTGGGTGGAGCCCACCACAGCTCAGCAAGGCCTCTGAGGCCAGACTGCATCCTCTACATTCCCTCTCTGAAAAAAAGGCAGCAGCCCCAGTCAGTGTCTTATAGATAAAACCCCCAACTCCCTGGGACAGAGCAACTCTGGGAAGGGGCAGTTGTAGGCGCAGCTTCAGCTGACTTAAACGTCCCTGCCTGGTAGCTCTGAAGAGAGCAGCAGATCTACCAACAAAGCGTTCAACCTTTGTTTGAACTTCGTTCAAACTTTGTTTGAAAGTGGCTTTGTTTACACTCTGATAAGGGACAGACTGCCTCCTGATTGGGAGACACTTCCCGGTAGGGGCCGACAGACACCTCATACAGGAGAGCTCTGGCTGGCATCTGCTGGGTGCCCCTCTGGGACGAAGCTTCAAAAGGAAGAAACAGTTAGCAATCTTTGCTTTTCTGCAGCCTCCACCGGTGATACCCAGGCAAACAGGGTCTGGAGTGGACCTTGAGCAAACTCCAGCAGACCTGCCGCACAGGGGCCTGACTGTTAGAAGGAAAACTAACAAGCAGAAAGGAATAGTATTAACATCAACAAAAACGACGTCCACTCAGAGACACCATCCGAAGGTCACCGACTTCAAAGACCAAAGGTAGATAAAATCCAGGAAGGACAAAAAGGCTGAATATTCCAAAAATCTGAACGCCTCTTCTCCTTCAAAGGATAATAACTCCTCACCAGCAAAGGAACAAAACTGGATGAAGAATGAGTTTGATGAATTAGTAGAAGGAGGCTTCAGAAGGTGAGTAATAACAAACTCCTCCAAGCTAAAGGAGCATGTTCTAACCCAATGCAAGGAAGCTAAGAACCCTGAAAGAAAGCTAAATGAATTGTTAACTAAAATAAACAGTTTAGAGAGGAACATAAATGAACTGAAGGAGACGAAAAACACAGCATTGTAACTTCCTGGAGCATAAACAAGTATCAATAGCCAAATCAATCAAATGGAAGAAAGGATAACAGAAATTGAAGATCAATTCAATGAAATAAAGTGAGAAGACAAGATTAAACACACTGAAAAGAACAAAGCCTCCAAGAAATATGGGACTACGTGAAAAGACCAAATGTACATTTGATTGTTGTACCTGAAAGTGATGGGGAGAATGGAACCAAGTTAGAAAATACTCTTCAGGATATTATCCAGGAGAATTTCCCCAACCTAGAAAGACAGGTCAACATTAAAATTCAGGAAATACAGAGAACACCACAAAGATAATTCTCGAGAAGAGCAACTCTAAGACCCATAATTGTCAGATTTACCAAGGTTGAAATGAAGGAAAAAATATTAAGGCCAGCAGAGAGAAAGGTTGGGTTACCCACAAAGGGAAGCCCATCACACTAACAGCAGATCTCTCAGCAGAAACCCTACAAGCCAGAAGAGAGTGGGGGCCAATATTCAACATTCTTAAAGAAAAGAATTTTCAACCCAGAATTTCATATCCAGCCAAACTAAGCTTCATAAGTGAAGGAGAAATAAAATACTTTACAGACAAGCAAATGCTGAGAGATTTTGTCACCACCAGGCCTGCCTTAAAAGAGCTCCTGCAGGAAGCACTAAACATGGAAAGGAACAACTGATACCAGCCACTGGAAAAACATACCAAATTGTAAAGACCACCGGTGCTATGAAGAAACTGCATCAACTAACAGGCAAAATAACCAGCTAGCATCATAATGGCAGGATCAAATTCACACATAACAATATTAACCTTAAATGTAAATGGGCTAAATGCCCCAAATAAAAGACACAGACTGACAAACTGTATAAAGAGTCAAGACCCATTGGTGTGCTGTATTCAGGAGAGCCATCTCACATGCAGAGACACACATAGGCTCAAAATCAAGGGATGGAGGAATATTTACCAAGCAAATGGAAAGCAAAAAAAAAAAAAAAAAAGCAGGGGTTGAAATCCTAGTCTCGATAAAACAGACTTTAAACCAACAAAGATCAACAAAGACAAAGAAGGGCACTACATAATGGTAAAGGGATCAATGCAACAAGAAAAGCTAACTATCCTAAATATATATGCGCCCAATACAGGGGAACTCAGATTCATAAAGCAAGTTCTTAGAGACCTACAAAGAGACTTAGACTCCCACACAATAATAGTGGGAGACTTTAACACCCCACTGTCAATATTAGACAGATCAATGAGACAGAAAATTAACAACAATATCCAGGACTTGAACCAAGCTCTGGACCAAGCTGACCTAATAGATATCTACAAAACTCTCCACCCAAATCAACAGAATATACATTCTTCTCAGCACTACATCACAATTATTCTAAAACTGACCACGTAATTGGAAGTTAAACACTCCTCAGCAAATCCAAAAGAACAGAAATCATAACAAACAGTCTCTCAGACCACAGTGCAACCAAACTAGAACTCAGGATTAAGAAACTCACTCAAAACTCCACAATTACATGGAAACTGTACAACCTACTCCTGAATGACTACTGGGTAAATAACAAAATGAAGGCAGAAATTAATATGTTCTTTGAAACCAATGAGAACAAAGACACAACATACCAGAATCTCTGGGACACATTTAAAGCGGTGTGGAGAGGGAAATTTATAGCACTAAATGCCCAGGAGAGAAAGCAGGAAAGATCTGAAATCGACATCCTAACATCACAATGAAAAGAACTAGAGAACCAAGAGAAAACAAATTCAAAAGCTAGAAGAAGACGAGAAATAACCAAGATCAGAGCAGAACTGAAGGAGAGATATGAAAAACCCTTCAAAAAAATCAATGAATTCAGGAGCTGGTTTTTTGAAAAGATCAACAAAATTGATAGACCGCTAGCAAGACTAATGAAGAAGAAAAGAGAGAAGAATCAAATAGATGCAATATAAAATGATAAAGGGGATACCACCACCAATCCCAAAGAAATACAAGCTACCATCAGAGCATACTATACACATCTCTATGCAAATAAAGCAGAAAATCTAGAAGAAATGGATAAATTCCTGGACACATACACCCTCCCAAGACTAAACCAGGAAGAAGTTGAGTCCCCGAATAGACCAATGACAAGTTCTGAAATTGAGGCAGCAATTAATAGCCTACCAACCAAAAAAAGCCCAGGACCAGACAGATTCACAGCCAAATTCTACCAGAGGTACAAAGAGGAACTGGTACCATTCCTTCCTAAACTATTCCAAACAATAGAAAAGAAGGAATCCTCCCTAACTCATTTTATGAATCCAGTGTAATCCTGATACCAAAACCTGGCAGAGACAAAACGAAAAAGAAAATTTCAGGCCAATATCCCCGATGAACATCTATGCAAAAATCCTTGATAAAATACTGGCAAACCAAATCCAGCAGCACATCAAAAAGCTTATCCACCACCATCAAGCCAGCTTCATCCCTGGGATGCAAGGCTGGTTGAACATACACAAATCAATAAACATAATCCATCACATAAACAGAATCAATGACAAAAACCACATGATTATCTCAATAGATGCAGAAAAGTTCTTCAACAAAATTCAACACCCCTTCATGCTAAAAACTCTCAATAAACTAGGTATTGATGGAACATATCTCCAAATAATAAGAGCTATTTATGACAAACCCACAGCCAAATTCATACTGAATGGGCAAAAACTGGAAGCATTCCCTTTGAAAACTGGCACAAGAAAAGAATGCCCTCTCTCATCACTCCTATTCAGTACAGTATAGGAAGATCTGGCCAAGGCAATCAGGCAAGAGAAAGAAAAAAGGGTATTCAATTAGGAAAAGAGGAAGTCAAATTGTCTCTGTTTGCAGATTACATGATTCTATATTTAGAAAGCTCCATTGTCTCAGCCCAAAATCTCCTTAAGCTGATAAGCAACTTCAGCAAAGGCTGAGGATACAAAATCAGTGTGCAAAAATCACAAGCATTCTTATACACTAATAACAGACAAACAGAGATCTCAATCATGAGTGAACTCCCATTCACAATTGCTACAAAGGGAATGAAATACCTAGGAATACAACTTACAAGGGATGTGAAAGACCTCTTCAAGGAGAACTACAAACCACTGCTCAAGGAAAAGAGAGGACACAAACAAATGGAAAAACATTCCATGTTCATGGATAGGAAGAATCAATATCATGAAAATGGCCATACTGCCCCAAGTAATTTATAGATTCAATGCTGTCCCCATCAAGCTACCATTGACTTTCTCACAGAATTGGAAAAAACTACTTTAAATTTCATATGGAATCAAAAAAGAGCCCACATAGTCAAGCCAATCCTAAGCAAAAAGAACAAAGCTGGAGGCATCACGCTACTTGACTTCAAACTATACTACAAGACTACAGTAACCAAAACAGCATGGTACTGGTACCAAAACAGAGATAGACCAATGGAACAGAACAGAGGCCTCAGAAATAATGCCATGTATCTACAATCATCTGATCTTTGACAAACCTGACAAAAACAAGAAATGAGGAAAGGATTCCCTATTTTATAAATGGTGTTGGGAAAACTAGCCATATGCAGAAAGCTGAAACTGGATCCCTTCCTTACACCTTACACAAAAATTAATTCAAGATGCATTAAAGACTTAAATGTTAGATCTAAAACCATAAAAGCCCTAGAAGAAAACCTAGGCAATACCATTCAGGACACAGGCACAGGCAAAGATTTCATGATTAAAACACCAAAAGCAATGGCAACAAAAGACAAAATTGACAAATGGGATCTAATTAAACTAAAGAGCTTCTGCACAGCAAAAGAAACTATCATCAGAGTGAACAGGCAAACCTACAGAACGGGAGAAAATTTTTGCAATGTGTCTATCTGGCAAAGGGCTAATATCCAGAATCCACAAAGAATTTCAACAAATTTACAAGAAAAAAAACAACCCCATCAAAAAGTGGGCAAAGGATATGAACAGACACTTCTCAAAAGAAGACATTTATGCAGCCAACAGGTACATGAAAAAATGCTCATCATCACTGGCCATCAGAGAAATGCAAATCAAAACCACAATGAGATACCACCTCACGCCAGTTAGAATGGCAATCATTAAAAAGTCAGGGAACAACAGGTCTGGAGAGGATGTGGAGAAATAGGAACACTTTTACACTGTTGGTGGGACTGCAAACTAGTTCAACCATCGTGGAAGTCAGTGTGGTGATTCCTCAGGGATCTAGAACTAGAAATACCATTTGACCTGGCAATCTCATCACTGGGTATATACCCAAAGGATTATAAATCATTCTAGTATAAAGACACATGCATATGTATGATTATTGTGACAGTGTTCAGAATAACAAAGACTTGGAACCAACCCAAATGCCCAATGATAGACTGGATAAAGAAAATGTGGCACATATACACCATAGAATACTATACAGCCATAAAAATGGATGAGTTTATATCCTTTGCAGGGGCATGGATGACAACTGGAAACCATCATTCTCAGCAAACTATCACAAGAACAGAAAACCAAACACTGGCATGTTTTCACCCATAAGTGGGAACTGAACAATGAGAACATACGGACACAGGGAGGGGAATATCACACACCAGGGCCTGTTGCAGGGTGGGAGCTAGGGGACGGATAGCATTAGGAGAAATACCCAACGTATATGATAGGTTGATGGGTGCAGCAAACCACCATGGTACGTGTATACCTATGCAACAAACCTGCATGTTCTGCACCCCAGAACTTAAAATATAATGAAAAAAATTTAACAAGAACAACAAGAAAATTTGTTCTCTGCATCATTTTAACTTAAAATATCTATTTTTATGAAGTTCATTACTGCCTTTTAAATTGTTCAAATATATTTTGGGACATTTTGAAAATTCCTTTCTGAAAGACTTCTGGTTTGATGTGTTAAACTAGAGTCCCAGGTCTAGGTGCACTTTTTCACTAGGCTTGAGAAGGACATATTGTTCAACATGATTTAAATTACTTGTGAGTATACACAAAGAAAAACAAAACTAGTGTTTTCTGTTTAGTGCCTTTATATTCTCTTTTAAACCACTATTAAAAACAAAAAGCATGACAATGTTTTCCAATACTTAAATTTTTAATTCACAAAGTACTATTTTATTCAATTTAACTGCATATTAGATGTATCTTTTGAGTTACATGCAACAGAAAATGTTTTTTAAACATTCCTATATAGACATTTTCTGTGCTATTTACACAGTATAGAAAGCCCTCAGTGAGAATTTAGGCACACATGCTTACAAAGGAAAACATTATAATTATTAGAAAGTATGTCAAAACAAATCCATGATCCTTCACTTAAATAAAACTAAAGATTATGATATTTCTTTCTTTAAAAGCACAAAGACAGTTCATAAAATGCTATAGTTATAAACATTATGTGCTATGATTGTGCAGCATTAAATAGTATTGTTACATATGTAATAAATCTAACATTGTGCTACATTATTTTCTAAAGTAAATTAAAAATTAAATAGCAAAATCAGGTTTTTTTTGTTTTTTTATTATTATTATACTTTAAGTTTTAGGGTACATGTGCACAATGTGCAGTTTAGTTACATATGTATGCATGTGCCATGCCGGTGTGCTGCACCCATTAACTCGTCATTTAGCATTAGGTATATCTCCTAATGCTATCCCTCCACCCTCCCCCCACCCCACAACAGTCCCCAGAGTGTGATGTTCCCCTTCCTGTGTCCATGTGTTCTCATTATTCAATTCCCATCTATGAATGAGAACATGGGGTGTTTGGTTTTTGTCCTTCTGATAGTTTACTGAGAATGATGACTTCCAATTTCATCCATGTCCCTACAAAGGACGTGAACTCATCATTTTTTATGGCTGCATAGTATTCCATGGTGTATATGTACCACATTTTCTTAATCCAGTCTATCATTGTTGGACACTTGGGTTAATTCCAAGTCTTTGCTATTGTGAATAGTGCCACAATAAACGTACGTGTGCATGTGTCTTTATAACAGCATGATTTATAGTCCTTTGGGTATATACCCAGTAATGGGATGGCTGGGTCAAATGGTATTTCTAGTTCTAGATCCCTGAGGAATCGCCACACTGACTTCCACAATGGTTGAACTAGTTTACAGTCCCACCAACAGTGTAAAAGTGTTTCTATTTCTCCACATCCTCTCCAGCACCTGTTGTTTCCTGACTTTTTAATGATTGCCATTCTATTTGGTGTGAGATGGTATCTCATTGTGGTTTTGACTTTCATTTCTCTGATGGCCAGTGATGATGAGCATTTTTTCATGTGTCTTTTGGCTGCATACATGTCTTCTTTTGAGAAGTGTCTGTTCATATCCTTTGCCCACTTTTTGATGGGGTTGTTTGTTTTTTTCTTCGAAATTTGAGTTCATTGTAGATTCTGGATATTAGCCCTTTGTCAGATGAGTAGGTTGTGAAAATTTTCTCCCATTTTGTAGGTTGCCTGTTCACTCTGATGGTAGTTTCTTTTGCTGTGCAGAAGCTCTTTAGTTTAATTAGATCCCATTTGTCAATTTTGTCTTTTGTTGCCATTGCTTTTGGTGTTTTAGACATAAAGTCCTTGCCCATGCCTATGTCCTGAATGGTAATGCCTAGGTTTTCTTCTAGGGCTTTTATGGTTTTAGGTCTAACGTTTAAGTCTTTAATCCATCTTGAATTAATTTTTGTGTAAGGTGTAAGGAAGGGATCCCATTTCAGCTTTCTACATATGGCTAGCCAGTTTTCCCAGCACCATTTATTAAATAGGGAATCCCTTCCCCACTGCTTGTTTTTCTCAGGTTTGTCAAAGATCAGATAGTTGTAGATATGCAGCGTTATTTCTGAGGGCTGTGCTCTGTTCCATTGATCTATATCTCTGTTTTGGTACCAGTACCATGCTGTTTTGGTTACTGTAGCCTTGTAGTATAGTTTGAAGTCAGGTAGTATGATGCCTCCAGCTTTGTTCTTTTGGCTTAGGATTGACTTGGTGATGCAGGCTCTTTCTTGGTTCCATATGAACTTTAAAGTAGTTTTTTCCAATTCTGTGAAGAAAGTCATTGGTAACTTGATGGGGATGGCATTGAATCTATAAATTACCTTGGGCAGTATGGCCATTTTCACGATATTGATTCTTCCTACCCTTGAGCATGGAATGTTCTTCCATTTGTTTCTATCCTCTTTTATTTCCTTGAGCAGTGGTTTGTAGTTCTCCTTGAAGAAGTCCTTCACGTCCCTTGGAAGTTGGATTCCTAGGTATTTTCTTCTCTTTGAAGCAATTGTGTATGGGAGTTCACTCATGATTTGGCTCTCTGTTTGTCTGTTATTGGTGTATAAGAATGCCTGTGATTTTTGCACATTGATTTTGTATCCTGAGACTTTGTTGAAGTTGCTTATCAGCTTAAGGAGATTTTGGGCTGAGACAACGGGGTTTTCTACATATACAATCATTTCGTCTGAAAACAGGGACAATTTGACTTCCTCTTTTCCTAATTGAATACCCTTTATTTTCTTCTCCTGCCTAATTGCCCTGGCCAGAACTTCCAACACTATGTTGAATAGGAGTGATGAGAGAGGGCATCCCTGTCTTTTGCCAGTTTTCAAAGAGAATGCTTCCAGTTTTTGCCCATTCAGTGTGATATTGGCTGTGGGTTTGTCATAGATAGCTCTAATTATTTTTAGATACGTCCCATCAATACCTGATTTATTGACAGTTTTTAGCATGAAGGTTGTTGAATTTTGTCAAAGGACTTTTCTGCACCTATTGAGATAATCATATGGTTTTTGTCATTGGTTCTGTTTATATGCTGGATTACGTTTATTGATTTTCATATGCTGAACCAGCCTTGCATCCCAGGGATGAAGCCCACTTGATCATGGTGGATAAGCTTTTTGATGTGCTGCTAGATTCGGTTTGCCAGTGTTTTATTGAGGATTTTGCATCAATGTTCATCAAGGATATTGGTCTAAAATTCTCTTTTTTAGTTGTGTCTCTGCCCGGCTTTGGTATCAGGATGATGCTGGCCTCATAAAATGAGTTAGGGAGGATTCCCTCTTTTTCTATTGATTGGAATAGTTTCAGAAGGAATGGTACCAGCTCCTCCTTGTACCTCTGGTAGAATTCGGCTGTGAATCCAGCTGGTCCTGTACTCTTTTTGGTTGGTAAGCTATTGATTATTGCCACAATTTCAGAGCCTGTTATTGGTCTATTCAGAGATTCAACTTCTTCCTGGTTTAGTCTTGGGAGAGTGTATGTGTCGAAGAATTTATCTATTTCTTCTAGATTTTCTAGTTTATTTCCGTAGAGGTGTTTGTAGTATTCTCTGATGGTAGTTTGTATTTCTGTGGGATCGGTGGTGATATCCCCTTTATCATTTTTTATTGTGTCTATTTGATTCTTCTTTTTTTCTTTATTAGTCTTGCTAGCGGTCTATCAATTTTTTTGATCCTTTCAAAAAACCAGCTCCTGGATTCATTAATTTTTTGAAGGGTTTTTTGTCTCTATTGCCCTCAGTTCTGCTCTGATTTTAGTTATTTCTTGCCTTCTGCTAGCTTTTCAATGTGTTTGCTCTTGCTTTTCTAGTTCTTTTAATTGTGATGTTAGGGTGTCAATTTTGGATCTTTCCTGCTTCCTCTTGTGGGCATTTAGTGCTATAAATTTCCCTCTACACACTGCTTTGAATGTGTCCCAGAGATTCTGGTATGTTGTGTCTTTATTCTCATTGGTTTCAAACAACATCTTTATTTCTGCCTTCATTTCATTATGTACCCAGTAATCATTCAGGAGCAGGTTGTTCTGTTTCCATGTAGTTGAGCGGTTTTGAGTGAGTTTCTTAATCCTGAGTTCTAGTTTGATTGCACTTTGGTCTGAAAGACAGTTTGTTATAATTTCTGTTCTTTTACATTTGCTGAGGAGAGCTTTACTTCCAACTATGTGGTCATTTTTGGAATAAGTGTGGTGTGGTGCTGAAAAAAATGTATACTGTTGATTTGGGGTGGAGAGTTCTGTAGATGTCTATTAGGTCCGCTTGGTGCAGAGCTGAGTTCAATTCCTGGGTATCCTTGCTGACTTTCTGTCTCGTAGATCTGTCTAATGTTGACAGTGGGGTGTTAAAGTCTCCCATTATTATTGTGTGGGAGTCTAAGTCTCTTTGTAGGTCACTCAGGACTTGCTTTATGAAACTGGGTGCTCCTGTATTGGGTGCATGTATATTTAGGATAGTTAGCTCTTCTTGTTGAGTTGATCCCTTTACCATTATGTAATGGCCTGCTTTGTCTCTTTTGATCTTTGTTGGTTTAAAGTCTATCAGAGACTAGGATTTCAACCCGCCTTTTTTTGTTTTCCATTTGATTGATAGATCTTCCTCCATCCTTTTATTTTGAGCCTATGTGTGTCTCTGCACGTGAGATGGGTTTCCCGAATACAGCACACTGATGGGTCTTGACTCTTTATCCAATTTGCCAGTCTGTGTCTTTTAATTGGAGCATTTAGTCCATTTACATTTAAAGTTAATATTGTTATGTGTGAATTTGATCCTGTCATTATGATGTTAGCTGGTGATTTTGCTCATTAGTTGATGCAGTTTCTTCCTAGTCTTGATGGACTTTACATTTTGGCATGATTTTCCAGTGGCTGGTACCAGTTGTTCCTTTCCATGTTTAGTGCTTCCTTCAGGAGCTCTTTTAGGGCAGGCCTGGTGGTAACAAAATCTCTCACCATTTGCTTGTCTGTGAAGTATTTTATTTCTCCTTCACTTATGAAGCTTAGTTTGGCTGGATATGAAATTCTGGGGTGTAAATTCTTTTCTTTAAGAATGTTGAATATTGGCCCCCACCCTCTTCTGGCTTGTAGAGTTTCTGCCGAGAGATCAGCTATGAGTCTGACGGGCTTCCCTTTGTGGGTAACCTGAGCTTTCTCTCTGGCTGCCCTTAACATTTTTTCCTTCATTTCAACTTTGGTGAATCTGACAATTATGTGTCTTGGAGTTGCTCCTCCCGAGGAGTATCTTTGTGGCGTTCTCTGTATTTCCTGAATCTGAATGTTGGCCTGCCTTGCTAGATTGGGGAAGTTCTCCTGGATAATATCCTGCTGAGTGTTTTCCAACTTGGTTCCATTCTCCCCGTCACTTTCAGGTACACCAATCAGATGTAGATTTGGTCTTTTCACATAGTCCCATATTTCTTGGAGGCTTTGTTAGTTTCTTTTTATTCTTTTTTCTCTAAACTTCCCTTCCTGCTTCATTTCATTTATTTCATCTTCCACCACTGATACCCTTTCTTCCAGTTGACCGCATCGGCTCCTGAGGCTTCTGCATTCTTCACGTAGTTCTCGAGCCTTGGCTTTCAGCTCCATCAGCTCCTTTAAGCACTTCTCTGTATTGGTTATTCTAGTTATATATTCGTCTAAATTTTTTTCAAAGTTTTCAACTTCTTTGTCTTTGGTTCAAATTTCCTCCTGTAGCTTGCAGTAGTTTGATTGTCTGAAGCCTTCTCTCAACTCATCAAAGTCATTCTCCATCCAACTTTGTTCCGTTGCTGGTGAGGAACTGCGTTCCTTTGGAGGAGGAACTCTGCTTTTTAGAGTTTTCAGTTTTTCTGCTCTGTTTTTTCCCCATCTTTGTGGTTTTATCTACCTCTGGTCTTTGATGATGGTGATGTACAGAAGGGTTTTGGGTGTGGATGTCCTTTCTGTTTGTTAGTTTTCCTTCTAACAGACAGGACCCTCAGCTGCAGGTCTGTTGGGGTTTGCTAGAGGTCCACTCCAGACCTTCTTTGCCTGGGTGTCAGCAGCGGTGTCTACAGAACAGCGGATTTTCATGAACCACAAATGCTGCTGTCTGATTGTTCCTCTGGAAGTTTTGTCCCAGAGGAGTACCTGGCCATGTGAGGTGTCAGTCTGCCCCTACTGGGGGGTGCCTCCCAGTTAGGCTGCTCAGGGGTCAGGGGTCAGGGACCCACTTGAGGAGGCAGTCTGCCCGTTCTCAGATCTCCAGCTGCATGCTGGGAGAACCACTGCTCTCCTCAAAGCTGTCAGACAGGGACATTTAAGTCTGCAGAGGTTACTGCTGTCTTTTTATTTGTCTGTGCCCTGCCCCCAGAGGTGGAGCCTAGAGAGGCCGGCAGGCCTCCTTGAGCTGTGGTGGGCTCCATCCAGTTCGAGCTTACTGGCTGCTTTGTTTACCTAAGCAAGCCTGGGCAATGGCGGGCGCCCCTCCCCCAGCCTCGCTGCTGCCTTGTAGTTTGATCTCAGACTGCTGTGCTAGCAATCAGTGAGACTCTGTGGTCGTAGGACCCTCCGAGCCAGGTGCGGGATACAATCTCCTGGTGTGCCGTTTCCTAAGCCCATTGGAAAAGTGCAGTATTCGGGTGGGAGTGACCCGATTTTCCAGGTGCCGTCTGTCACCCCTTTCCTTGACCAGGAAAGGGAACTCCCTGACCCCTTGCGCTTCCAGAGTGAGGCAATGTGTCGCCCTGCTTTGGCTCACGCACAGTGCACTGCACCCACTGACCTGCGCCCACTGTCTGGCACTCCCTAGTGAGATGAACCCGGTACCTCAGATGGAAATGCAGAAATCACCCGTCTTCTGCATTGCTCACGCTGGGAGCTGTAGACCGGAGCTGTTCCTGTTCGGCCATCTTGGCTCCTCCCTCTGCAAAATCAGTTTTTATAAACAAAGTTTTTGAACATAATAAGCCAACACATAAAAAATAATATACATAGTTGTTGCAGGTTAATCATGTGATTAAAAGTAATTTTGACAATGTTATTCATGAATTATCTTCACTGACTTCATAAACAAATTTTATTGTAAAAGCATAATCACGCATTCATGATTCACTGAGAATCACACAGACATTATTATTATGACACATGAATCAGAAGATATGCAAGTCCAAAGAATTCTCCGGTGCATTCCATAGGCCAGCAAAAACATGACTTTGCCAGCTTCTCTTACAATTTGTGAATCATACTTTTGAATGCCAATAAATCTCAACCTATTAGATGCTTTTGGGAATTAATAAAACTTTAAGCTTACTAAACTGTCTCATTATAGGCAGTTTATAGTGAGACTCACCTGACATTTACTTAAAATGGCTATTTCCCTATGTTTTCTAAAAATGGCTATTTCCCTGAAAGTTGATTGTTTTATTTTTATTATTATTATACTTTAAGTTTTAGGGTACATGTGCACAATGTGCAGGTTAGTTACATATGTATACATATTTATCATTCACTTGTTGCAGATGCTACTGCTGTGTCTATGGCAGACTATCCATAATGTACTTAAATTCTCTCTGCAGGCTAAATGTATGACCAGAGAGTATTTTCTGCCTGTTGTCCTGGGGAAATCATAAATAGCACCTTCTTTCACTTTCAGTGGTTGGATGATAAATTTTATGGCCACCCTCCCAATTTATAAGTAAAATTACAAAAAAAAAAAAAAGAAAGAAAGAGTGCTAAGGCAAATAAATGTGTCTTTATTCCCCAGCACCACTATAGGGATACAAGAGTGGCAAAGCATGGGTTCTATAAAAATTCCGTGGAATTTATGATATAACTGACCAGTTGAAAGGAATAAAATTGATATTAAAAAATACAGATTATAGATAATAGCCTCATTTTCTAAGAAGCATGTAATTTGCAGGCCAAAGCTGTTCAACATAGTGGTTAATCCTAGGTTCTTCAGGAGGACTCCGTGAATGTGAATCTCAGCTCTAAACACTTACAGGCAGGGTGACTTTAGACAGCTTACCTAATCTCTCTAAGCTGGAGTTTCCTCATCTATAAAAAAGTAGATATTAACTGTTTTTATAGCATAGGACCATTGTGTGGATTAAATGAACACAACATGTCAAAGCATTTTGCACAGTGCCCATCATGTGCCATGCACTCAATGTCAGTTATTATTATCCTTAGTGAAGCAGAATTCAATTGGTAACAGGGCATGTAACTGACCTTCTGGATACAGTGCAGATACATTCCTAAGTATCATTTGAAAGAAGGGCCCATAGTTCCATTTTCTTTTTCTCAATACTAGAGTAGGATAAATTCATGGTTAATTAATAAAAATCAAAATAGACATTACATAAATCTGTATAACTTAAGAGTCTAAAATAACTGAGTCATTCTTCTATTTTTCATTCATTATTTATTCAGAATATAATACAAGTAGGTCACTTTGCCTTTAATTAATACTGCAACACATACTTGAACTTATTTCCACCTGTAGATGAACAATACTAATGAGGAATAAGTCCCCAATTCTTTGCATAAATTTGTTCAATTAGACAAAATGAAAGAAATGCTTTCAGTAATCAAAACTAAACTGTGAAACTGTGAAAATAATTCTACCTTTTAAGATGAAATTTTGAATTGGATCTGAGATATTCTGAAGTATACTGGCAGGGGAACGTGGAATGAGGTTAGTGGAGTGAACACAAACATCAACTCTCTACTGTATGATGTAAAGGAATACAATCGCTAAATTTCGGGGGGAACAGATACAGGGTCTTCCTCTGTCTCCCAGGCTGAAGTGCAGTGGCAATCATAGCTCAGTGCAGCATCAAACTCCTGGGCTCAAGTAATCCTCCCGCCTCAGCCACCCAAGTAGCTGGAGCTACAGGCAAGTACCATGCCTGGCTAATTTCTTTTTTATTTTTTGTACAGACAGAGTCTTACTATGTTGCCCAGGCTGGTCTCAAGTTCCTATCCTCATGTGATCCATCCTCCTTGGCCTCCCAAAGTTCTGAGATTATAGGTGTGAGCCACCATGCCTGGCCTAAAATTCCTTACATTTAAAAATCAATGCATTATCTTATTAGAATAAAGGATAAAAATAAGGTTTGCATTTGTACTGTCCATGAAACATGAAGAACAAAGGAAATTTAAATAAGTTGAAAGCAACACAATCTGTGTAATAGTTAGTAATAGTTTAGAATTAGAACTCGTTTTGCTCACAAGACACTAATTCATTATTACAGAAAATATGACTAGACCTTTATACTATTCTATGTGTTTTTCAAAGTAAAAGAAGCAAATACTGAAGCTATAAAAGCTTGTTTTTCTTTATTAGAATATTTTTTTCAATTCTGATTTGTCACAATTTAGATTGTTTTTCTAAGAATAAGTAGAAATTTACAAAATTTCATTTTTATTTATATATTCATCCATTCAACACACATTTCAAGACATCTGTATTGCACCCTTTCAGTGGTAGTTACAGGACAAAGAAAGAAAATAATCCAAGAGAGAGACCAACAAATGTATATTTATAACACAGAGTAATAAACACAAATAAATGTGGAGTTACTTAAGCATGTAAGATGGTACATGCTCTACTAGGTATGGGGGCTTCTCTAAGACACAAGATCAGATTAAAGTCTTGAAAGATAATCTGGGGTTAGTCAAGCAGGTAGAAGTGTGAAGAGCACTTTCTGAGCGGAATCTCCATGTACCAAGTCTAGTTCAAGAGACTGGATAGAGATTAGCAATTTGGAGAATGCAATATTAAGAAATGGCAAAGGTAAGCCTACAGAGATTCCAAAGTTGCATAGTGAGGTTTGTGTTTGAGAAAGTGGACTCAAGCAGCCATGCAAAAGAGGGATTAATAGAAAAGGAGACTGAGGTAGGAAAATCAAGGCATTAGCTGTTGCAGCTGGTGTGGGCAGAGTTGGGGAGGCAATGGGGTGGATTCATGAGCTATTAAAAAGGTCAAAGGAGCAGGGATTCATGACCCATAAGTATTAATTAATACAGAAGAAGAAAATATCAGAATGAGTTCTAGATTGGGGCCTGAGCAGCTAGATGTTGGGATAATAAAAAGACTGCAAAAGGAGAAGATTTACACTTTGGCAAAAAATGTATATGAAAGTATCTGGGAATTTTATGCCATCATTAAATCTACTTATTATGCTGAAAATCCTTGTTAGCTGGAAAGACTAAGAGAATTCCCCAAGGTGCCTAATATATAAACTTGGAGTAGTTTTCCTACTTCAGCTTTTATGTGGCTTATTATTTGCAGTCAATTTATAGTTGGTCAGTATTAATCCATTTATCATCTCTGTAAGATTGGTTAATGGAAGCAGATTAAAATCCAACAGTGGTAATTTTCTAGAAGACCTCTAGAGAGACTACAAAAAGCCAAAAAATCAACTTTAATTTTTGAGTACTTTTCCTATTTAAGGTTACTGAAATAAATTGTCTTTGCTAGAAAAAAATAAGCAGTATTGCCAATTAAAAATTCAATTTACTATAGAAATATTTCTGATTATTTTACCTTTGGGAAGCAATGCTTCTTGCTTGAAAATTGTATCAGCCTCAATGGTTAGTGGTTGTAAAATGGAAGAATGCATACTGCAGATGGGCTACGCATTTGTTTCCTTGTGTTCTATATTCCCAGTCACAAATATATTGCTTTGAATTGTATTTAGTCAAACAGCAGATTTGACTAATATTTCCCTGAATTCAAATAGTTTAGATTAATTAAGCTAACTGATTGGTTATCTACCATTATATAGATATCACCCGAGTAATGTTGTCAAAATAATAATTAATTAAACTAAAATAAATGTATGGCCCTGAGACCAGAATAAAATGAAAACCAAGAATAAAATAAAGTTTGCCATTACTGGGATGTATTCAAGTTCAGCAAACTTATATGTGTAGTTAAGATGCTTTACAACAAAATATTGCATTTTGTTATAGCAACGAAGTATTGAGCAGCTTCCAAGTCACTACCTTATGTGTATTATTCATACTAGTAATACTGGTAAACATTAGCGATATAATTTTCACTACCAAATTTTATTATATTTTTCTTAGCCAATACATGGAGCAAATTTTTATAAAGTATTTCTTTTCAAATCATTGAATTCCTCCTCCCCAACCTTTAAATCCCCTAGTCGCCAAGAATCTTGGGTTCCACACCACCACTTTTTGCTTCTGTTATTAAAGTTGTTGCCCTGTGAGCAGTGGGACACTACACCCATCAGCTCCAAGGACACATCATGGTCATTTACATTATCTAGTATCCTGTGGCATGATTTTAGTATTTCATTCAAGCACTGACAACTTTTCGTGTCGATTCAGATTTTATAAGATTTGATTACAGTGAGTTTATAAAATATTTCAGTTATATATGCAATAGAAATGAAGTATCCTACTTTTGAAGGTAAGTCTAAGGCATTCACAGCAATAAAAAAGAAGTACTTTAGTACTTCTGGACTTCAGTCAAGGGAATTATTATTGTAAAGCACTAATAATGCAGGTTTAGATATTTAACCAGTCATAGATACCAGGAAGCCAGGTGTTAAATCAAAGACAGCAGGAAACCATGAGCCACAAAAGCATCAGTATAGCAGTATTTTAAGTATTACAACTATACAGACCTGCACCCTAAAACATGAACAACGGTGTACCTTATGAAGTTCAAAACCCTACCTAAAGACTAAGAAGCACTTTAGCCTGGTGGGGAAAGCAGTGGTTATGAGTGGAATAAAGACTGGAAAATTTGCTTTTGTAGTGCAGAGCTTTAGAGCAAGCACAGTTTTATTTATTTGCCTTAAACCAATATTTCTGGATAAAAGGTATGTTTTTCTTGTGGAGATTATAGAATAACTATCATTAGCAAAGGCAGAAAGTATTCATTTCAACTTAGTAAAGACATATTTTTTCACTATCACAGAAAGATGACCTTTACATAAAAATTGTTACATATACTTCCATAGATACTAATAGTAAGCATGATTTTTTTAAAAAATAACTTTCTAAGACAAATGACAAAGGCTTTTTCATGAATTCTTTGGTTATAGACAGGTTTTGAGTGATTTTTGTTCTATGAAATATTAAGTGATTCTGCTGATATCTGTTCTGTGTGTCCTTTGGAGACCAGAATATAATTAATTTTATTCTGGTCTAACATATTTATTCTGATTTACATTGCTTTTATGTAACATAATTATAGAATGAAAATATACCTTTAGATCTGAGATAGCATATATCATTGATGAAGCTCCTGCTGAGCATGTTGCATAAGCTTTTCATCCTTTTAAAACTAAAAACTCAGAGGCTCTTAATAGGAAGGATAAACAAAGCTGAAATACGAACTCTGTATATCTTCCAATGATTCTCGACATGATGTTTTGTATTCACTGGCCCAGAGACTCCTGAGTTAAATAAAGCATAATCAAATATAATTAGTATGTTCTGGTTATTTTACAGTAACTTACTATCACTTTAGCAAAGCAAAAAATACTGGGAAGTGAGGGATCCAATCTACTACCAAAACAAAGAGCTCCTACTGTAATGTTGATGAACTAAAAATTTTGAATCTAATCAGCAAAGAAAGTTAGCTTATATGCATAAGTTTACACCCCCAAATACATGGGAATACATGAAACTAAAATAACAGAAAATCCAGAAAATTTGGGAGGAAAACAAATAAAGCTACATGAAAAATTGTAAAAGAAACTAGTCCATGGTGATAAAATAAAATATGTAGCCACTGCAAAAGATTTACTTCTAGATTGGTTGCTATGTGTCCTCTGGTGGAAAAGGAAAGTATTTATTTTTGTATAACTATACTGCATATTTTCCCCTATAATAGTGTAAACAAGCATATTTGAGCACATCATAAATGACCAGATCTTTTATGGAACTAAAAAAAGTAATTGATTAATAGATAGCCTATGTATATTGAATTTTACCTTTTATTTGGAATATCATTCAGAAGTAACTTACATTTTTTCTATGCCTGGGGACATTATTTTCTATACCATTGCTATCATCTGATTTCCTGTACAGAAAACAAAAAAGAAAATTACTAAATGCTTATATTATATAAAATTAAGTCAGTACATCACTGATATGGCTATCAGGTTAAAATGTAAAATGTCAATACAGACAGAATTCTTTCTTCCTAAAAATGTTTTACTTACAATGTTGAATTTATTTTTATGGCATTGCTTGAAGAGGAGCTGTTACCACAAATGATAGTGACAAAGGCTTGTTGATTTTATGCACAGGGAGAATTGCTTCTCCCCAAGCATAAGTGAGGACTTGGGCATAAAGACCATAACTTATGTGTGGTTTTGGAAACATGCAAGCTAATAGCCAATTAGGAGGTCAACCAACATGTGTGATATTGGTGCTATACATTTGTATGCTTATTACACTGAAATAGAGGTTTTAAAAATGGTTCTTTTTCCACCCAAAGTTTATCAGAGCAGGACTACAAATGTGGGCCTCAGATTCTAAAGATTGACGAAAACTAAATAACCAGTACGCATAATGAATACCTTGCCCTTCAAGGTCTTGGGGGCAGGCTTCAATTATCACATCATAATGCATATCATAAGACAGTGTTACTTATAATTAACTGATAATATTTTCTAAAAAAAAGAAATCCCACCTGAGTGCTTTTTTCTTTTGTGTGTACTCTTCAAAAGCAGAATAATGGCCACTAAGAAAACACCTCAGCAACTATTGCAAGAAATGGTTTGAGGGGCACCAAAAAGCTCATTGTTCTGAATGAGTTCAAGTGTCCTTGATATCTGTATACAATCTAAAGATAGTGAAATAACCTAAAGAAAAACTAAACACCTTCAGTGATCCTTATGGTGCTGTACAAGATGAGCAAAATGATGTACATTAACCCAATTTTCAGAAAAATAATTCATCTTTTACACTATAGATTGAATCCATTTTACATTGTTCAGAAGTGATGGTCCATTCCACACTGTTCTGGCACCATCCTTTCAGAGTGTGTTTTAAATCAGAATGCAACTTCCAAATGTGAGCTCAGAGGAATGGTTAGAGACAGTGGGAGGCACAGCTCAGAGAATAGAGGAATCCGAGCAAGGTATGTCAATGACTGTCACGTTTGTTATATGATGCTAAGAACAAGAAAAAGGCCAATACATGGAAACAGGAAAGATTAGAAGTTCAAATCAACATAAATAAGATGTCTACATTCTCCAGAAAGAGAAGGGATTCCCTTGGGAGAGATACAATTCCCTTCCAACTATGCGAGTCTATGATTCTAAGACAACACTGCTTTTCTCTATCTGGTGTTATAGGATTTCTGACGTAGTTATTTTGTGCCCTTAACTTGGAAGCTCATATCATATTGGTTTATTTTACCAGCCTATGTGAACAGAGTGAACATGATTATTTGAATAATGTCTACAAACATCTAAATGACAACTGTCTGCTCCACTCCTGCTATCCGTGCCTATAACACTCACTCCATAGAGCTCCTGTTGGCTGATAAACTCTAAGTGCCATTTTGTGTTAGTTATACTTGCTCAGGCCTTCCACGTCTCAGGTTTCTTGCAGCAACTTTAATCTAGCCTCGTTTTCCTGGCCCCCAGCCCTTGGCTCTATTGCTCAGGCTTTAATCCCAGTCTTAGACACCTCTGTCACTAGCCTCCATACTCAGTTCTCTGGCTTGGAGGAATCCGGAACTCCCATCTTTGCCAAACTAAATTACATCCCTGGTGATTTTATTTCCAGACCTACTCATGCTTAACTCTAAACAAAGGCTGTGTAAGAGAACCTGTGACATAATTTGTGTTCTCTGAATAATAATAACTAATAGAATTCTAGGCCAGTGATTTTCAACAGACAGAGGATCAAAACCATTTGTAGATGTCTTCAAGAAATACAGATGCCACAGACCCAACCCAAGAGGTTCTGGTCCAGGAGATTCAGCAAGGTCTGAGCAACTGTATTTTTAAAGAGACTCTTAAGTGATCAAAAATTGCCAGGCTTGAGAACTATTGCTTTAAAAAAATAATATTAAATACTTCCTGATGGTTACTGCACACCTGTGCACCATAACCTATGCTATGCATTTACACATATATAATATTCATTCCATCCAACAACCTCATATGGTGAGTACTATTATTAAATCCATTTTGTAGAGAAGAAAGCTGAAGTACAGAGAAGTGCAGGTAGTAAGTGATGAAGAAGAATTCTCACGCAGGCAGGCAGACTTGGAATGCCACTTTCCACCACCACGTGGGCATATACAGAAAATACTCCTCTGCCTTTTTTCCCCCAACTGCAAACATTTCATTCAATTTTATATTTCCCTGTATTTTACTCAAGCGAAAATTAATCTGTAAAAAATAATACTTACAGCTGTTCAATCTGCTCAAATTCTTTCCCCTCATCTGTGTAACAAAAGAAGAATTTGACTATGAAGTTGGTTTGTCATTTTTATGGAACGTATATGCTCAATTAAACCTCCTTCCTAAGTAAGAAAGTACTATGCTGTTTCTCTTGTTTGGAATGAAGGAGAGACATGCTACCTTAAACACCTACACCTCCTTTAGTTGCACTACAGACCTTATCTGCATTTCTGATCAAACATAGTTTAGTGGCCTGATATTTTCAAAAACATGACTGCTTAGTTTGTCATTATTTAAATCATTAAAAATTTAGTATAAAATCAGGAAAGAACACAGGATGTAAGGTCAATTTTCTCTAGGATTACTGCTTTATCAACCTGTAACCCATCAGGCACAGGCTGCAAAAATAGGAAATGACAGGATGGTCTCTCTTTAATGAGAACTCTGGAATGGTTAATAAAATATTTTTTAAATGATAATCTAAGTGAAAGAAAAATTGTTTCTTTGAGACTTTTTATATTAAGCTATCATAGATTTTCCGAATATTCCAGTGCCAGAATACATATCACCTAATTGGTACTTAGGTACCAGTAGCACCAAAAAAAAAAGGTGGGGGGTTGGGCAGGGGGCAGGGAAGAGAAAGAAAAAAGGCATTTTTAATACTAAGTTTTTTCAGGAATTGAAACAGGAAGACCATTGATATGTTTCCAGCTCACTGTCACCATTGTTGTAAACCTAAATACTGCTCCAAATAAGAAAATGAAGATTTTCCCCAAAAATCCTAAAGTCATTGCAATGTATCAAATCATAATCCATATCATAAGTAAATAATACTTATAATTAACTGATAATACTTTCGAAAAAAACAAAACAAAAAAAAAAGAAATCCCACCTGAGTGCTTCTTTTTCTTTTGTGTGTACTTTTCACAAAGCAGAATGGTGGCCACTAAAAGAATCACCTCAGCCACTATTGCAAGAAATGGTTTGAGGGGCACCAAATAGCTCAGCACCACAAGCTCAATGTGTTCTTCACTCTCGTCTAATTGGAATAGTGCATGGCACCAGTAAAATCCCCCATCTTCCTCCAAAAGTTGTGTTATCTTCAGCTTTGTTTCATTAGCATATGTTCCATTGATCACATATTTATTCATTTGAACACCAACAGGAACCTAATGTGAGGAGACATTAAAATCCATTCCTATCATAGTACATAAAAGATACATGATATAGTTTTTCAGTGAAAGCTATAAGATAATGCCAACAACATTGCTTACTAGAGAAAGGCATATTAAAATTTGTGAGAGGTTATCTATAACACACTTAAGTCTTATCAGAGTTTGATCTCCCAGGGAGCAAACAAAGAAAAAATGTATACATTGCGATAAGGATTTAGCACTGAATGTTTAAAACTACAAAGAAGCAAATAGGTCATCATAGCTAAGTATTATAGAAGAATTAAAAACAGAAAAATCCCAGTCATCTGAGTCTCACATTCCTATCCCTGCCTAGTGCTTTAGTCAAAGTACTTTTTCCTTCACAAGCACAGGCACATATTCAAACAACTACCACCCTGGAAGCTACTATTTCTGATCATTTCTATACAGGAAAATCGCTCACTCAGACAATGTGATTTCCCCAGGCTAGAAATGAAGATGAAACTTTCAGGCCTTTTGGAGCTGATGTAGATAGAATGGAGGGGACCCTCTGTGAGCCTGGGGTCTGAAGTGAACTGCACACCTTCTGTCTTTTCATATCTGAATTTCTTTCTCTCTCAGATAAGCTGGCTTCTAAGATTTGCAGGGTTTTCCACAGACTCACAAGGTGCCATACTAAGCTATTTGGGGCTGTTTTATTTAATCTATTTAAATTAAATTTTATTCCCAAGCCATTTGATGCTTTCCCTGCTCCATCACTCAACCGTACTATTCAATAAATGCTAATCTGCATACAAATATTCTCAGAGCTTATCCAAGGAAGAACTATCTGTGAGTATATTATTTGTGCAAAAAACAAAAAAATTACAGCAACCTGGCACCATGTGCACAACACTGCCTGGAATGTTTGGTACCGATTGGTCAGAGCTAATCAATCAAAGTACCATATTTTTAATAAGTACCCAGCTGATTCTGATGCACCTGGTTGGTCTACATTTTGAAAACGCATTTGTGCTCAAGTTTTGACCTGCGCCCTGTTCCCCAAACTTTTCTCACACTCTAATACGACTCATGCTTAGAGTTAAATTAAGAGGATAATGACTAGTATAGCAATGGACAAAAGCACCAGTATGTCTAAAATGACATTTTCAACATCTGATATAATTAGATGAAGGCTAATGTTTTTCACGTATTGTTGTACCACATACACATCAATAAATAAAGCTGTGTATTTCAAATACCACAGTTGACATTTGTTTTTACAAAATTATACTTTTTGAAAAAAAATTACATATACACAATGATTGCCTTTCCTCATCATCCATCAGAAGACAAGCAGGAGTAGGAATGGCTTCAGTCTGCATCTGTGGGATTTGGTTGGAACTATTTCATTGAAAAACTAAACCTGTTAGCACAGAGTAAGTCACACTCCCTTCTGAGTCATCTATCATCCTTCAATAGTCTATAATAACGCCAATTTTGTCTAAGAAGGAATTTAATATTTCATTGTAACATCTACACTGTCTCATATGTTCCTTCTACAATTATAGCTTGCCTTTAACAGGACTTTAATTGTAATGCTTATTAGTGCCAGGGCAGAGGAAGGGTGTCTCCTAAAGGACAATGTCCTAAATTTTCCTGCCATTAGAGGCGATTTGGGGAGAAGAAAGGAAACCAGGAATTATTTATAAAATACTCATGTTTTTCTTAATGTCAGCTCTTTGAATAGCGATTTATCTTAGTAAAAAAGCAATTAAAAGTATTAGGCTTCTCTCAGGTAGCTTGAAAAGGCCAATAACACTTACTGATAGAACCTAAGAGGTAAGATTAAGTTACAAAGTTTTCATTATTTTCTCAAATAGTGCCATTATTTTGCATTCTATCACAGATGTTTCAGGAGACAGAAGCCCAAAAAAGGTGTCTAGCATTTTTTCTAGTTACTTTCATGGAATGATTTTCAAAAGAGTATTTTCTAATGGGGTTATTCCTAAACTAGGCAACTATACACAAAATGTAATTTCTTTTCAAAGAATGTAATTAAATTGTTAAACCTAAAAAACAAAGTACAAGCTAATGAAAAGTTACGAGTATCTTCATATGTATAATGCAAACATGCCAAAAACCATCAAATGACAACTCCGTTTGTCACTGCTCTTTCTTTATGAACATAAGCTAAACAACAAGGTAACAAAAGTATAAATCATCTTAGGAATGCTGAGTCTGTTACAATCTTGTTATTTATTAAATAAATGTTTTTTGTTGTTGTTGTTTTCTTCAAATCAAGGAAATATCTTACCTTTACACTCCCATTACTACTGTACCAGGTCCAATTTAAAGGAAAACAATTTTGACATTTACATGTCAAGACAGTAGAATCCCCTACGTAAGAGATCAATGGCTTGTTTTTCCCATGAAGTTCAGGGACTGAGAATAAAATAGAGAAATGTATGTTACTGAAAGAATTTAGGTAAAGGAAATGTATTAAATGTGCAGATATTGTCTCCTTTCATTTTTTCATTACATTATTTTACATACTTTCAGTTATATATAAATGAAACTAATTTATAGTAGTTAGGGTGTAGTTAGTAGTAATAATAATAGTAGAGAGATTCAATATAATTGTCTCCAATGTATAGAAATGGAAGGTCTTCTATTATTGAGCCTAACAACAAAAGTATTGTTTCTTTTTGGATAAGTTACATGTTTTGGGTAAGAAAGAAGCTTCATATTTTCAAACCCCTGTTCTTTCTTCCCGCCTACTAAGCTACCTTAGAGTAATTACTTTCTTCAAAGTTTTGACCTCAGGTAGCATTTGAGTGAGAAGATAAAATTTCCAGGATAGGAAATCTTTAGTTGATACGAATTTATGAAAGGCCAGCAAAGAGTTAGAGAAAGTGGGAACAAGGAACAAAGGAAAATTAACAGAAAGAGAACAGTGTAAGAAAGAAAATAAGATTTAAAAATGCTTTCATGTGGTTTTGTAAAAAATATATATATACTAATATCCATTATGATAAATTTCCTAGTCAAGGAAGTTTGAAGTAGATTCCATTAGAAACAGAATACAAATGGGCACTGAATTTAGAAAAAAAATGTTTTAAGGATGTAAATAACTTGGTATATTAAAAGATAAGAGCATAAACAGTACAATGAAAAGCCTACAGGTGCAATCAGTTCCTTCTGATTGACCTTGAAGGATGTATTATAGAAGGTACACTTACACTGAAGATGTAGACTCAGCAACTAAGATTATTTTGCTAATTTTTTCTTTTACTTTTTGGAATTTTAGCAGGTTTTATGCTTCTTTTGGTTTTGTGTGTCCGTGTGTGTGCACATGCGTGTGTTTGTGTGTTTACTTTTTTCATTTATATGTTTAGTTTGCCAGTAGGGAAAGAATAGATGAAATCATGTCAACTAAAGACCTGCAGATAAGCAGAGATTGGAGCTTGGCTAAAATAGGGAATCTTTGCTGAAGCCACAAGGTTCCCTACAACCCGAGAGGAAGAGCAGCCACACTTCCTGAGTTCCATCTGAAGAGGCACAAGATGCATTAGTGCATTACTAGGGCAATGACCTCTACAGCCCTGTTAGGCTCACCTTAAAACAAACGCTGCTTTGGAGTGCAGGTTTTGCATTAGACACTAAGTAGTTAAGGACACAGTTTCCGCTTTCCCAGGTTGTTTATCTCTCAGATATCCCATTTCTCAATCTCTACATGTTTCGTTCTGGCAATTGGGTCACGCTTTAGCAGGAAAATATCCTTCCTTGACTAGGAAATTTATCATAATGGATATTAGTATATATATATTTTTTACAAAACCACATGAAAGCATTTTTAAATCTTATTTTCTTTCTTACGCTGTTCTCTTTCTGTTAATTTTCCTTTGTTCCTTGTTCCCACTTTCTCTAACTCTTTGCTGGCCTTTCATAAATTCGTATCAACTAAAGATTTCCTATCCTGGAAATTTTATCCAGGATAAATAGGTTCAAAATACCAAAATTTAGCCACAGGCTAAGAATAAAATGTGGAAGAAAGGTAATTCTTGGGGGAAAACCCGGCAGAATATACACTGCTTTTCAGTATTCCTCGAAGAGCCACCTGCTTGGGAAGCATACTGGAAGCTGCAAGGGGCTTTTCAAGAAAGTTGAGTATTCTATGAGATTTGATGAGGAACACATGACTATGTTATTAAACCATCCCAACTAAATATTAAGATCAGGCTGTAAATTGCAGGTAGCTGACAATGACTGAGTGACAACATGGAAAAGCTGAAACCAAAATTCTGTTTTCTTGCCATCTCTTCAGTTTTCTTGATTATCCCCTAGACTAACGACTAAAATACCATAAACCATGCTTTTGTTCTGCTATATATGGCTAATAACAGCAGTGTGGATTTAAATTATAAAATGCACTATGTTCAGGGAACATGACATTTGTTTGAACTATTCTGGGGTTTGGGGCCACAGCTTATATTTTGAAATATTTATTAATATAAGGACAGTGAGACAGTATTCTAATGTGCCCTGTTGACCTTTTAAGACTTTGCATAAAGTCGGATGCATAAGAGTGCTAGGGTTGGAATAAACCAGGTTTGAAGGTGGTGAAATTGCTGATTCAGGCTAGTTTCTAGGAAGATGGGGTTTGGATATACCCAGTGAAAGTAACAGCTCTCTGGAGTTGTAAAATTGGAGACTATATTTGTATATTCATGCACTAGAACAAATTGGCCTAAATGTCATACTGGTTCAAAGACTTTTAGGTATCACCAAATTAGGAAAAAAGATTACTCCATGTAGTAAAAGAATGCTAACTATACTTCAACACTGGGATCCAGGGCTGAAGTCCCAGCTGATTCTACTATGCTACCTTTCCATACTTTGAATTTTTAGATACTTCCAGGAGAAGACAGATAGTTGAGCTATGACAGGCTTCACTACATTTGGTAGTATCAAAATCTCATCATGACTTCCAAAAAGTTCTTGTTCTTTACCAATTAAATTTCTTCATACTTTCTACTAAGATATTTTAACATTGATAAATATTATGGAAGCTTTCAGCAACCACTCAGAATGTTTGATCCACTACTGAGAAACACTATAGACCATCACTCATCTTTCTCCTTCTCGGGTGGCAAGTTATCAGCAATATATTAGCAGTCACAAACTTCCAGTGTACACTTTTGCTGTCTCCTCTGTCCTAGCATCAACAGTGAAACACATAAAGTCAGCAGGTTTTTGTGCATTGAACTAATCAGTAATCTTGAGGGCCTTTTACAACCTTGTAGTAGTAAATCAACCAGCACCCTTAAAGACAGCAGCAGGGACTTTGCTGATGAATTGTTCTGAAGACTCAGGCTCATGCACTATAGGTGGCTCATGTAGTCAATGGCAGAAAAATTTATCTTTGGCTCAATTTAAAATAGAGAATAAAACAGCCTTTTCATCTACATGCAGTTGTAAGTATTCTAAGAAAAGATAATTCTTCTTCTTAGGAAAAACCATTAAGTAAACCATAAGGAGAAATAATATAATAGGACATTTATAAAAATATACACCATTTTATAAGCCTTTCAGAACTATTAAATAACTATAATATGAATAATGTACAGATGTCTTTAAATACTACTCAAGTAAAATTATTTCTCTAAGCAATATTCAATTTAGATGAATTATAGAGAATTTTTATTTTACCAAGGAAGATTTGAAAGGACCCAACTTATTAATTTTATAAATATCTTCAAGATATAATACATACTTAAAAGTTACGTTAATGTTAAATGGGCATTAAAAACAAATTAGCTAACCTACACTGCTTCAAGACAACTAGAAAAGAAAAAAAAGGAAGTATTCAGTGATTCTTTGCTTTCCTTAAAGCCTTGATTTAAATCCTAGGCCTTGAGTCAATGCTGCTGACACCAGCCAAAATCAGCTTAGTCATCTCAAAACAGCTGGAGAATCAAGAGGCCTTCCGTGTGAATACTTGCAATTCAGTGTATTGGTATGTTGAAAAGTAAAATGCTTGTTAATCTTCACATTAGACACAAGAATGATCACTTCCACATAATAATTTAAGTAATTATCAAAACTAATGAGAAAAATGTGTTATCTTCAATATTGAAAGCAGGTATTGCTAGTATATATTTCCAGAGCACAATGTCTTAGAAAAAAAAAAAATGAAAACAGTGTTTAAAGTTGAATATCTTGGGAGCATTTTAAGTCACAAGATTCTGTGAGCATTTCCTCAGAATTTGTAGGCCTTCTTTACATATTTTTTGAAAACTCAATAAAACATGTTCACTGAAATTTTGTGTGTTTAATATTTTTTGCTCACTGGGAAGAAAAAGAAAGAGAAAGGGAGGAAAAAAGGAAGGAAATGAACTCAAAAGGTGGGAGGGAAGAAAGGACAGAAAAAAGGAAAGGAAAAGAGAGATTAAGGAAAGAGGAGGGGAAGGGCAGATGGGGCAGGGGAGGGAAAAATGAAATGCGAAAGGAAAAGGAAACTGAAAGGAAATGTATATGGTGTTATCCAGTCCTTCACTAAGTTAAAGGCAAATGGAGGGAAAAAAGTTAAGAAAGAATATACATGACTAAAATAATCAAAGAATGATACTAGTTTCTGCTTTTGGAGAGACCAAGATATATAAATACAAGAATTTATTATATTCACCACACTGGAACAATTACAAAGCCATAAAAATAAAATGACTCTGTGAGTGCAGAAGGGATGCAATGAGGGACAAAGGAGTGAACCATTAGATCATGGCAATGGTGAAGCAAGCCATTCTGCTGTTGATGGAGCCTTGAGAATAGCATCCACATTCTGTCACAGCAGACAGTCGGGCTTTAGGAGTTTTAGGAAAAGTTACAATTTTCATGTTTCCTGGGAAATTAGTGCAAAGCAGAGTCCAACGTAGTTAATAGGGCAACAGATTGCATTTCCCAAATACCAGAATGATATTATGGTTCACTAATCACCACAAAATACTGGGTTTTTCAAAATGATAATTATCTAACTCAAACAACTAGTCTTTATTATGAGATTGAGACCTCCTTGAGTTTTGGTTTAATGATGGTAACAGTAAAATATTTTAATTCGTTTGTTTCCAAGGAAAAGAAATGTGGATGATATTCTGGGGCTTGTATATATCTTTAAACCTCCTTACTTTGTGAAATAAAAAGTAGGCAACCCTTTGTGCATCTCCATATTATTTTTAAGTTTTATGGATCCTAAAATCCCATGTCCTGGAGCTATGGATATAGAACATCAACCCACACTCTCAGAGGCTGGGACCACAATAACTTAGAGATGTGGAAGACTATTATAAAAGCTAGGAATTTAGAGGGATAAATAAAGAAATTCAGGCGACTGATATAATTCACTAATAATGTGGTAGGCTGGCCTTTTGAACTAAAACCTGTGCTTTAAATTGAGGAATAGAAGCAGGAAGGAAGTGGACTTGCGGGATACAAGACCATTTTCAAGGCTGCCTCTTGTGGCTCTGGAAAGCATATGACTTTCTTTCAGCTATATTATGTTTACTATTGTAAAAATAATTTAAAAATTACAGGATTGAGAAATCTAAGAACATAATGCTGAAGTTATTAACTATTCCTCAAGTTATTAATACTGACCTTTGAAATTAAATGTTCCCCTTCGTTCTTTTTCCTCTCAGAAGAAACAAGAATAACTTCCCATTTGTTTGCTGTTAATGATGGTGAACCTAAAGATAATTCAAGTTATTAATATAGGCTTAGTTCTCAAAACCTTCTTAATGAAAATGAAAAGACTTAGCCATTAATCAAAATTTAAAAAGAGAAATAATTCTGTAAATATGCAAATTAGAATATTAGCATAACATTCAAGTGGCTGCAGAGGAAAGAATGCTCAGTCAGCAAAAGTATTTAGAATTAAGCTACTTTTGGTGAGCAAGGTAGGTTAAAATTTGTATACTCACCTGTATTGGGTATATAAGGTGCTTCCTGTTGCACTGACAAGATAATTATTCTCAAGTTGTTCACTATCTTTTTTCCAAGTCACATTTACTGCATTCAAATCCCCGGATGTTGTGAACTGGCATGTGAGATTTACATCAGAAGGCCTTTCTAAAGTGATGTTTTTTTCTACTGGCATACTAGAATGTTCTATTAGCACAAAAGAGGACAAAATGTGAAAGTTATATTCAGAGGGATCTAATATATAAAACCTTTTAAATTATTAACAGTAGTGTTTTATTGACAATTTCTTAATGTAACATTCATTTGAAGAATTATTCCTCTATCAACATAGTTGGTTCCCTTTCTTATTCCCTTTTATATGCACACCTAAAGTTTTGATCCAACATTAACACAATTTAAAAAAAACCTAAAGCTGTGATAGTTATCTCCTTAAGCTCTGTACTGAGCAGAATATAGGGTAGAGAGTACCCTATAACATGTGCCATATGCTCTGACAATGTAAAAACAGCATAACTGTAAATACAAACACACACTCATGGGTGAGAATGGAATGCCTGTTTCAATAATTTTGAGTAATCATGTTGTTGGTAGTTATTATGAGAATGTTTTGTGTGTAACATGGATTTGAGTGATATATTATATTCTAACCATTCCTAGTCTTCTTCAGAACCTGTAGGGACTGGATATAGACATAGGTACAGGACAGAGAATTTAAATAAGCATCCAGTAGTTCTGAATTTTAACTGAATTTCAGTATCAGTATGAATTCATGAGGTGTTTATCTTTTTTTCTGACTTTCAAAATAGATATTTATTTTGGATTGATTAATTGATTATCATAAGAACACTTAACATTAGATCTTCCCTCTTAGCAAATTTTTTAAACTTGTACCTAAAAAGTAGTCTGAAAGGTCCTCAATTTCTCTTCCCATCTACAGGTGGGAAGAGAAGGAGCTAACCCTTAGAGAAGCTTTAGGGAAGTTGAGGTGTTTATCTTGAAAACAATACACACACACACACACCAAACACACACACGCACACACACACACACACTGAAGGGGTCCAGAATATGCCAGGATAGCATACAAATTATTTTGAGCAGAAGGCATTCGAGTTCCCAAAATAGCTACTCTGACTAAAAGCAGAGCCTTTCAAAGGAACTCCAAAAAACCTCCACTGTCATAAATCCCCTCCCTAGGAGCAATAGGGAGAATGGACACTGAAGATGAGAAGTCTTCACACCATACCTAAACAGACACTGTCACAAAACTATCATATCTTCCACCTGTTATCTAAAGGGCTCATTTATCTTTCCTAAAACTCATTTCACTTTTCCATAAGTGGCCTTTCTCCTCCTCTCCTTACCCTACTAAGATGGTATATAAGCCCCCACTTTTAACTGCCCCTTTGAGCTACATGTTTTTCTAACTTTTGTCCATATGTGATTAAATAAGCTTTTTGTTTTGCTAATCTATCTTTTGTCAGTTTAATTCACTGAGCCTGAAATTGCCGAGAATTATAGAGAAAAGGTTCCTCCCTGACAGTTTGGCAAGGAATATGGAATGGTTAAGGACTCCCCACCCTTCCACTCCAACCCCACTTCCAAAGCCTGAGATTTCAGGACCTCTGACCCAGCAGGTAAGTACAAGCTTTTTTTGCTTGCAGTCTGAAAAGTTTTGCCTATTTTATTTCATTAATTTCTTGGTATTTTATGGCATAATTAACATGTTAGTATTATTTTTAAAAACTCTATATCTTTTTATCTCTGTTCTTTTTAAAAAAACAGATTTTCTTTCTTGGACTTTCATTCTTTCACATGCACTTCTTTTTATTATTATACTTTAAGTTTTAGGGTACATGTGCACAACGTGCAGGTTTGTGCAAGGGTGCACTAGAGCAAGAGCAGTAAGAGTCTCTACTTGTCTTTTCTTTCTTCAGTTTAACCCTCAGGTTCCCAACCACTAACTCTCTAACAATACACACACACACACACACATACATACTTAGGGAAAATACAAAAAAGTTAACTTTAATTTTGAACAGTGGCAAATAAAGAAAAAATATTAAGCACGTACCTTGTTTGTCCTACACTAACTGTATCACTGGCTAACCAAACAGTAGAGAAAGTAAACGTTCTCTTTATAGAAAAATTCCAGCAAATGAATAAAAAAGAAATCATACAAATATACCATAATGATGCTGCAACCCCTAGTGAATCATGGATCTAGGCATTTTGCATCAACTGCTGCAATAATTTCAAAAACAGAATTATGTCTCTCTTGAGGAAGAATACCCCACTACCTAAGATATAGTCTTGTCAAAAAGGGTGCTGGAGGAGGTTCTTGAAACTGGTTAAGTCTCTGGATCCAATTCCCAGTTTACAGGAAATACAGATTATGGAGGAACACATTAACCTACATTTCATGAAAGTAATCAACAAAATCCAGATTCTGGGAAAATTCTACAAAATAAATGATCCGGTTTTTTCTTTTTCTTTTTTTTTTTTTTGAGATGGAGTTTCATTCTTGTTGCCCAGGCTGGAGTGCAATGGTGCTGTCTCAGCTCACTGCAACCCCTATCTCCCGGATTCAAGAGATTCTCCTGTCTCAGCCTCCCAAGTAGCTGGGATTACAGGTGCCTGCCACCATGCCTGGCTAATTTTTCTGTATTTTTAGCAGAGATGGGGTTTCACCATGTTGGCCAGGCTAGTCTCAAACTCCTGACCTCAGGTGATCTGCCTGCCTTGGCCTCCCATAGTGCTGAGATTACAGCCATGAGCCACCGCACCTGGCCTGGTTTTTTCAATAGATAAATTTTAAAAGGGAGAGAGATGTCTTTGTATTGGACGTCAGGTGCTATGTTTGGGGCACCTGAAGATTATAAGATACTCAAAAAACACCATTAAAAGAAAAGCAAAACTGAACTGTAACATTTAGGGATGCATATCTGGGTAATAAAACAATATAGAAAAGCCAGAAAGTGACTGCATAAAAATCAGAATAGTGGTAATTACTCTTAAGGGGAAGAGAAGGAGTTGTGTTTGGAAGATGGCAGTGCATCATATAAACAAATTTCTCAAGCTCTTCTCATTCTCAATAATGGAATAGTATGATTAAATGTAGAATGCAGAGCTAAAATGTAGAAAGAAAAATAATATAACTCAAATAAAATGGTCAGGTGCAGTGGTTCATGCCTGTAATCCCAGTAATTTGGGAGGCTGAGGTGTGTGGGATTGCTTGAGCACAGGCATTCCAGACCAGCCTGGGCAACATGGTGAGACCTCGTCTCTACAAAAAAAAAAAAAAAATGAAAAAGTTAGCCAGGCTTGGTAGTGCATGCCTGTGGTCCCATCTAGTCGTAGGCAGAGATGGGAGGATCTCTTGAGCCCGAGAGTTGAGGCTGCAGTGAGCTAAGGTGGCACCACTGCACTCCAGGCAGGGTGATAAAGCAGGGCCCTGTCTCAGGAAAAAAAAAAAAAAAAAAATTCTATCACTTTTAACTACATTTGAAACTTTACAAAATGCTTCCATAAGCAAGGACCAGATGCAAGGTTTGCAGATAGTGAAGTACAGCTCGTGCAAAGTGCTTTGTGAGCACATGCTTGAAATAACTGCTGGTATAATTGCAAAATTGCTGAATTGAATTTAATGCTCAAAAAGAAAAATAACATTTGATGTCTCTAGAATACATATATTACCAGAGACTACCTTATTCCTTGCAGTTCCCTTTACTGTGCTCTATTTCACTATCATAGCATATTTTAAACATTCTGCTAGCCACACCAAATAATTCCAACTACCTTTTAAATGTTGGGTGCCCATCAGGATTTTGCTCTCTGGTCTCTTTACTTCTCAATTTGGCACTCCTTTGTTGGATTCAACTATTAACTCTAATGCTCTTTACTTACAAAATTAGAATCTCCACTGAAGTCTTTTTTTTTTATTTTACAGCTCCAGGTGTCTACGGAGCATCTAAATCTGGATATCCCATGGGAACTTCAAACTCAAAATATCCAAGAGAGATCCATTAATATTCCCTTGCGCTGACCTGTAACACCGAATCACATGCAGTAGTATTTAGTTGATTCTACTGCTAAAATGTCAAAAAAATTTGCCCAGTTTTATCCAACCCTCCTATTATTGGCCTTCATTATCTTTCACCAAGACCAGGCAAATTACCTAATTTCTCTTGGCCAGCCTTTCTTGCTCCAACCAAAGCAAAACTCAAATTGTTTAACTGCCTTGATTCTATACCTTGCATTTCCAAATCAAAGTATCTTTGTATTAGACATCAGTTTCCTTATTTGTAAGGTGGGACAATAATATTTCATGAGATTGTAAAAAGTTCTTATCATAAGAAACGCCAACAGTAATATAATATAGCAATTAATAAAAGCCCGCTTACTTCTTCTCACCATTATCTCACTGGGGAATATTATAAAAACTATCATATATGGTGCTAAGGGTTATATGTTGATTAAATCATTTAATCTTCACAACAGCTTTATGAAGTAAGTATCAATGTTACAATTCCAACTTTAGAGATGGGGCAAAGAGAAGCTGACTATCTTGTCTAAGATCACACATCAAGACAAAGGCAACACTGAATCTCAGATTAGGTATGCCTGAGTCCAGATGGTGATAACCAACAGAATATACCAACTCTGAAACATATTAAATTCTCATTACAATGGAATTAACTTCATTACCTTCAAACTGTTGAACCAAGATTTTAAATAAAAGAAACTATTAATAGAAGATTAAAGAAATGTACAGTGTAGCTATATACCAATGTGAATGTAATGATAAATGAACAGTGCAATCAAAATATTTTAAAAATACACATTTTCAACTAAACATAGTTTTACATAACTTAAAATGCAACACAGTTTTTCTTAATGGTGCCATCCTCCAAGCCCTAATCGTTGTCTCACTGTTTCCTATAACACTTTGCAGGTGCTTCTGCAGTTTGCTTTCCTTCCTGTCTAGAAATCACAGCATCAAAAACATGCAAAAAGCTCTATCTTTTTACATATTTTGTGGTTAGCCAACAAACTAATGTGAGCTCAGTCAACAATGTTTCAACTTCCTTAATACTGCACAACTGCAATGCATTTTTGCTGCTTTAGAGTGCTGCAAAAACATATATGACATCTGCATTTCTAAAACGATAACAATTTGTTGTTTCTGCAACATATATTTAAGACTGTTCTTAAAACCATGTAGTAATTTATACCTGTCTAAATAATTTCTTATTTTCATAGATAACATTTTTAAAGTATATGGGCCTTTCAGCAATTTGCAGTCTTCAGAGAAATGACATTTAGATTTTCTTGGGTCTATTCAGGACCCAATCTTGTAAACCATTTCACTAGAAATAAAAATCTGTTTTGTTCTTTATTAAGAAAAAGAAAATATGGAAGAAGCCAATTAAAATTTATTGCATAGGACAGTGTTTCCAAACATGCTTTAAAGACAGAAAGTCTTACTAAAAACAGTTAAGTGAACTGTGACATACAGGACGGATCAGGTGGGACAACTCTGATAGAAGCCAAGATAGAAAATACAGAGCCCTATCAGCCTGACTTTTCATTATTCATAATGAGGTAGGAGGTGGAATGTGACTCTGGACCAGATTGAAGACTGACAGAAACAAGGAAGAGGAAACGAAAGCTCCTCCCCATAAGACACGCCCACCAGCACCATGACATTTTACCATTGCCATGGCTATACCCAGAAGTTACCATCCCTTTCCATGGCAATGATCCAGAAGTTACCTTCTGTTTTCTAGAAATTTCTGAATAGCCTGCCCCTTAATTTGCACATAATTAAAAGTAGTATAAACATGGCTGCAGAACTGCCCCTGAGCTGCTACTCTTGACACACTGCCCAGGGGGTACCCCTGCTCTGAAGGAGAAGTCACAGAGCTGTAACACCCCTGCCTCAATAAAGCTGATTTTTCTACCACCAGCTCGCTCTTGAATTCTTTCCTGAGCCAACCTTCTCAGGCTAAACCCCACTGTTGGGATTCACCTGCCCTGTAACAATTTCACCATAAAAGTCAATAAAGCTTCATGATGCAACCCAAAATGTCTATTAAACATCCAGAATCCTTACAGAAACAGAAGGCCACACTAACATGAGGCCAACACCCCTATATAAAAAGGATACAATGGATCTTATTTTTATCATTAATGTTGTGCGTCTTAAACATATGGGGTTAACTTATGAATAAGAATTATCAAAGTTTATATCCAAAATTTATAAAACATAATACTATTCCCTTGATTCTTGTAATTTCACTTCTCTCCCAAATAAGTCTCATATTGATTGAAGAATCATGATAGTTTATTAAGTGATCCTATCAACAAGTTATTTACATGCCATCTGATTAGTGCCACACCAATGTGATACAGCCTAAAACACATGTGCTTCCTGAATCCCATACACTTAAAATGTGAAATCACCAATGTGCACAGAGAAACCTGAAATTATATAAACCCAACTTGAGTAAAATGTAGTACTTATACACTTTGATACACGTTTTTATATGTATATAAAATCTCGAAGTAATCCCTGGAGACTCCCTCAAGACCTATGAACTATGTGGCTGGTGTTATATGAGCTGAGCCTATTTTCAAACTTTTAGAATTTTTTTTTTACACATACATCCTCAAAAGAAAGAGAAATACCAGAAAACGTGAATGGTTTCTACACAAATGAAGCCAGGTTTTCCAAAATAATTCATCAAAGATTTGGCAATATTTTGGAAAATGTGTTAAAATTATTTAAGAGGAGATGCTAGTTGAATTTCACTAAACAAAGCTTCTATCAGTCACTGTTTTCCTCCACTTCAATTAGTAACAGAAATTAAGGCATGTAATGGTTATTTCTCTACTTTCTAAACTGATTTAACATCATTTCAAAGAAAAACAAAAACAATTCTATTTGAATTCCAGAATTGCATGTCTCTTGTTTCAACAATGTAGTATTTAATTTGAGACAATAACATTGGGTAATAATCCAATAATTAAATATATTTTTCTACAGCACAGAGAACAACACTGCAACTATTGCGTACATCAGTTACAGGAAAACTATAGTAAATGGTTACATTGCTTTAGTAACCAAATACATTTGTTGCCACTGTTTCCAAATAATTAACATGAAGTTAATCCAACACTATAGCGGGGACCACTGATCATATTTTTGGACAACCAGAATCCGAACACCCTTCCCATCCGTGTAAGGTTTGGTGATAGGCAAAGTACTCACTCACTTCGGAAACCTAAGAACAGATATTTCTTCTCTCTGCCCAGCTGAGCACTAGGGTTTGGCCACTGTAATTATAACCTTCTACTCATGGCTTTAAAGTTAGAGGGAGGGAGTTAGGGACCTAGGCAGAACTGAAAATTAATCACAACAGCAATGGCAAGTGTCTAGCAGTGATTGTGCCTCATTATTCTTTCACTCACTCATTTAACACTTATTTACTGAACACCTACCACATGCTTTTCATTTATCCACTCGTTCAACAATTTTACTAAAAATATATTCCGTGCCTTTATTCTAGGCCCTAGTAACAAGAGTCCAGTGCCCGCAGAAATATCTTAAGCAGACTCTTCCAGTAATCCTTGCTGTCTGTCATCCTGAGGTCCTTGGCATTGCCAGAACTTGATTTCCAGTTTTCTCATCAATTCTGCTAGCCAAAATCCTTTATTCAACAAATTATTTCCTGCTTAACTGGCTATAGACTGTGTCTGGGCTTGAGATCATTAACCTAATCCATATACACCTATCAAGATTTACACTAGATACTTCATCTATGCACTCCTTCCATTCGATTAAAATTACATAGCACTGATGTCACTTGTCAGCTCACAAATATCTAGAACATATGATAATATTTGGTCCCCAGAATAAATTCTGCGAAGTGGTAATCATAGTACCAGTTCAGCACATCTGAAAGACAATACCTGAGGTTACACAGGGGACAAGATCCAGGCTGAGGTAGCAGTTCAGGACTCAGATCAGCCAGTCCCTGGCCCTGTATGCTCCCCTCCATGGCAAGTCCTGCCCTTTTGTTCTTGTAGCTATAAATCACACTTTAGTATTTTTTCCATCTCTTCTACATTTACAAATCAAAATCATCTCAAGCCATAACAACTTGCCTCCAATCCTTATATCTAATTTCTGCCTTCTCTACCCCAATAAAAAGCTTTCATTTATTCTGAACCATTTTGCACATATCCACTTCAACACAATGGAAGAAAGGAACAGCAAATGACAATGTCATATCATTTGATTCCCCAGTACAAGAACCATTTAAATTTTGAAATGGATTATTCTAATGGATTTCAAAATTATTTTAGTAGCAGAATTGTTTCAGAAATAAATCAGAGGAAAACGTAAGCAGAACCCCCACCTACACCACCTACACACACACACACACACACACACACACACAGATAACTGTATAAAACTGATAAAAAATGTTGCTACAATTAGTGAAGACTGGAGAGGGTGTGGAAAGCATTCAAGATTGGCCTCCTCATCCCTTCATCTTCTTTCCCCATCATGGTTACATCGCATGGAACAAAGGATTTAAAAGTGACACATGCACACGTATGTTCATTGCAGCACTATTCACAACAGCAAAGACACAGAATTAACCCAAATGTCCATCAATGATAGACTGGATAAAGAAAATGTGGTGCATATACACCATGGAATACTATGCAGCCACAAAAAGGAACAAGATCATGTCCTTTGCAAGGACATGGACAAAGCTGGAAGCCATTATCCTCAGCAAACTAACACAGGAACAGAAAACCAAACACCACATGTTCCCACTTATAAGTGAGAGCTGAACAATAAGAACACATGGACACAGGGAGGGGAACAAACACATTGGGGCCTGTTGAGGGAGGGCAGGGGGTGCAGAGCATTAGGGAAAAGAGCTAATGCATGCTGGGCTTACTGCCTAAGTGATGGTTTGATAGGTACAGCAAACCACCATGGCACATGTTTCTCTATGTAACAAACCTGCACATCCTGCACATGTACCCCAGAATTTAAAAAATAAAATACAATAAAAGTAACTGGATTTCATCAAAGGAGAGGTAAACACAAGCCTCAGTACACACCAGATCAAGATAAGGGCTCATAAATACCTAATGTAAACTGAAAAGCATGGCCTGCTACCTTGGTAATGAATTTCTCTAAACTGCAGGTGTTTACACCCTGATGCCAGTCCTTGACATTTAGTCTTACAATGGTTTATGTCTCATGGTATCAACTTCTAAGGTGCTAGCCATGCAGACACTCAGGGAGGCAGTACATATATTTTGTACACACCCCAAGTGACTGACTGTCTCAGGTCACATGCCTCCTTTGCAGAAAGGGCTCCTCTAACCTTACAACACTGCTAACAACAGACTCTCTCTATCACACTTCCTTTATATACTTCCTAGCATTTGGCACTGTCCAGTTTTGCCTTTCATATTAATTTGTTTACTTACTTATTCATTGCCTTTCCCACTGAAACATATACTGTATGACATGGGAGAAGGAGGGCAGAAAGGGAAGTCTGCCACGTTCAACACTGTAAACCAGGCTTTCAATAAATTTTTGTTGAAGTGGTTGTAGCTCCTGGAATATAGTACTTAAAACATGAATCACTTCTTTAGACAGATAAGGCACCTTGCCTTAGACTGAAAGTTGAAGCATATTAAAGTTCTGCCTCATGATTTATATGAGGAATTCTAGGCGGAAAGTACTTTACGGGATATGCAAGAAATGCATGAGAAGTTCTTGTCTCACACAGTTGACTCATCAATTGGCCAAAACAAATGTGTTTAGTACTTTTATATGCTGTATGTGATACGGAGGGGATTTAAAAATTACTAATCTAGCAGGGGACATATAACTCGAACATAAATAACTACAATTAACTACAACAGATAATCTAAATCAAATGAGATCTAAATCACAGATGGCAATACAATAGTATAAAAACATTAATTTTCCCCAAAATAAATCTACAGAGTCAGTGAAGAATCAGTCAAATTCCAAAAGTACTTTTTACAGAACCCAATTTTAAGAAGTGCAGCCATCAAAAAGTGGGCGAAGGATACGAACAGACACTTCTCAAAAGAAAACATTTATGCAGCCAAAAGACACATGAAAAAATGCTCATCATCACTGGCCATCAGAGAAATGAAAATCAAAACCACAGTGAGATACCATCTCACATCAGTTAGAAAGGCGATCATTAAAAAGTCAGGAAACAACAGGTGCTAGAGAAGATGTGGAGAAATAGGAACACTTTTACACTGTTGGTGGGACTGTAAACTAGTTCAACCATTGTGGAAGTCAGTGTGGCGATTCCTCAGGGATCTAGAACTAGAAATACCATTTGACCCAGCCATCCCATTACTGGGTATATACCCAAAAGACTATAAATCATGCTGCTATAAAGACACATGCACACATATGTTTATTGTGGCACTATTCACAATAGCAAAGACTTGGAACCAACCCAAATGTCCATCAATGACAGACTGGATTAAGAAAATGTGGCACATATACACCATGGAATACTATGCAGCCATAAAAAAGGATGAGTTCACGTCCTTTGTAGGGACATGGATGAAGCTGGAAACCATCATTCTCAGCAAACTATGGCAAGGACAAAAAACCAAACACCGCATGTTCTCACTCATAGGTGGGAATTGAACAATGAGAACACATGGACACAGGAAGGGAAACATCACACACCGGGGCCTGTTGTGGGGTGGGGGGAGGGGGGAGGGATAGCATTAGGAGATATACCTAATGTTAAATGACAAGTTAATGGGTGCAGCACACCAACATGGCACATGTGTACATATGTAACAAACCTGCACGTTGTGCACATGTACCCTAAAACTTAAAGTATAATAAAAAAAAGAAATGCATGTGAAAGAATGAAAGTCCAAGAAAGAAAATCTGTTTTTCTAAAAAGAACAGAGATAAAAAGATGTTTTTAAAAATAATACTAACGTGTTAATTATGCCATAAAATACCAAGAAATTAATGAAATAAAATAGGCAGAACTTTTCAGACTGCAAGCAAAAATCTATTAGTGGATCAGGAAATCAATTTAATAGTTATCACCAGATTTGTTTTTTAATAGATTGGAGTAAAAGAGAAATTATCAGAGTATAACAAGCCTATTAGGTGTAGGTGTAGGTGTTATTGGATGAATATTTTGTTTCATATGTGTGTGAACATGCAGTTGGTGCATCAGGTTACAAAGTAAAATGTACTTCTTACTTTGGGGAGTACTTTAATCACTTTGTAAAACAATGTAACAGTAGAGAAACAGAACAGAGTTTAGGAACTGAAATATGATTAGAGTGCTATTTCAAAGCTATCAGGAAAAGGAGAACGATTCAGTTAAGAGCATTGAGACGCTGGCTAACAGTACAAAATAATAACCATAAAATTAGTTCCTTCTCACATGCAAAACAAAACTATATCATAAATGGGTTAAAAAGTGAAAGGTGGAAAAGTATGCAAATAATAGGAAACATATAATGAAACTTCTTCACTATTAAAAAAACCACCTAAAAGTTTAAAGTGGGAAAAAATATTTGCAACTTCTATAAAAAGTAAAAATTCAGTATCCAAAATTTCTGCCTACCTCATTTAAATTAATTCAAAAAATAAAATATAAGCCTAGTATGTGGGTCAGGGGAAGGGGCCAACTGTCAAGATGTTTTGAAGACCAATCTGGAAGTATATATTAAAATAAAGATGTGCATAATTTCTAACTGAGCAATTCTACTTTGTGGTATTTATCACAGAGAAACATTCACAATTATGCCCAGAGAGATATATGTAGGGTGTCCCTTGCTACATGGTTTATAACAAAAAATATATTAGCCAACTAGGGTCCGTTAGGAAAAAAATGTGTAAGTAAGCTGGTGTATTTATACTGTGCATACAAGTTTTAAAAAAAACAAGCTAGATTCATATGCAATATGACTAGATCGCCAAAAGCTAATGTTGAATGACAAAAAAAAAAAATTTCAGAACAATACATATGGACTAATACCACTAAAACTAAAGAATACAAACAATACTACATAGTTTTTATGGATGCACACATACACACACACACACACACACACAGAGCATGGGAAAAAACACATTGAATAGAGTATACCACTGGAAAAGAGGAGAGAGAAGAGAGATAGAAATGGTGGGTAATTCAATGAGACTTGAACCTCATCAGTCAAGTTTTTTATTTCACCTCCTGAAGTTCTATTTGGATATTTTTCGAACCTGCTTTGGTCTTTTTAAAAAACAGTATAATATTCATTCTCATGTTTTTAATATTTCTTTTATTTCTCTACCTAGTATTTCTATAATCTGAAGCTCTGGAATGTCTAATCCTACTGCTCCTTAGCTCTGTTAGGGACTGTGTGTTTGTTTTTTATATTTTTGTTTTGTGACATGTTGAGACATGTAACAGCAGGGATTATGTCACCAGGATGGACAATGCATTCTTCCACAGAGGGTTTTTCATTGTTTTCCTGCGGAAGTACTACCTGCCAGGGTCATTTTTGTGTTATTTCTCAGCTCGGAGGCTCCTGTACAGTATAATGCAGGTAATGTAAATTTGCAATTTAAACTGTGTTGAGGACAGGCCCACGTCTTTAAATAATAAGGGAAATCTTTGGGGGTTTGGAGGTTTTCTTAAAAAATTATTTTTATTCATATTATTTTTAATTGGCAGATAACACTGGGAATCTTTTGGTTTAAATGCCTAACAAAACTTTAAAAGAAAGAAGCCAACTTGTCATCTTGTGCTGTCGGCTGATTTTCTTCCCTAAATCAAACCTTTCCCTACATTTACAGCCTAGGAAGGATAGTTTCCTGCAGGTTTTCAGTTCCAACTCTCCTCCTTGCATGAACTCAAGGCTTTCTTTTTTATATTTTTGTAGCTCTTAAAACTCAAATATATTGGCAACAAACACAGGAAACCTAACACAATATCAGTTAACGGGTTTCATGCCCTGATCACCAATTTTGATCAGTAGAAACTTCTTTACTTTTGTGTACATAGCTATATATTTAAAAGAATGTTTACTGTATTTTAGATATTCGTAGGTGTGGCAGGAGGGTTTTCAGATTTTCTAATTTACTCTAATGCTGAAAATAATGTTTTAATATTTTCAAAATGGAACTCATTTTTACTTACAGAATTAAAAATTAACAAAAATACAGTAAATACATATCAGAGAAGCAGGAACATATGTGCTTCTCTGATACGTGCTTTATTGAAGATGGGATCTTGGCTCCATTCTTAAAGAGAGGAAGGATTTGAACACCAGTAGGAGGGAGGGAAGAGACAGGTCCCACTTACAGAGTGTGAGGTCCTATGCCTGTGATTCAGCACCATTACCTAACTTTATGGTGAGATTCTTTACTAAATGTTAATCACAGGATCATTAAATCATGTGTATTCCCACGATAAGGGGATGGGAAACATGTGCAGGACTCTCATTTTTAATGTATAGAACAGTTGGGATAATTTTCAAATGGGGAAAATTTTGTCCCCCAGGGAATGTTTAGACAATATCTGGAGACATATCCAGCTGTCATAACTTAGCAGGTGTTACTCACATCTAGTGGGTAATGGCTAGGAATGCTGTTAAACAACCTACAATTCTGAAGACAACCTCCTACAACCAAGAATCTTCCAGCCCCAAACATCAATACCTCTGTTAATAAACACAAAAACAAAAACAAAAAAAAACTGATATAGAACAAAAGTTGATCACAGCCACTGCCACTTGTGGTGCTATGGGTAGATCCCTCTTCCATCTTCGCTTTCTCTGACTCTCTATGAATGTTAGGTCTCAATTTTTTTCTCTGTACATCAACAGTGTACATATCAAGTTTGATGAGTGCCTCTGAAAAATATCATAACATTTGCAGCATTGGAGTCATGCTAGAATCTTTTCTGCAACAAAGTATTTTCACTTCTTTTCTTCTTCTCAATCTTCTCAATCACCTGCCCCTAGAATCTGAGTGGTCCTAACCTAGACCTCTTGCTGGACGAGATTTAGACAATGTGGTTGGTTTTCCTTATCTTGACTAATCTTCCCGAATCTTACATTGTGCCTTAATTTGCACATCTGCACCTCTAATGTCTACTTATATTATCTCCTTAGCTCACAAGGACCTTGTGGGACAGCTGATCACATCTCAACATGTAAATAAAATGTGCCATTGGGTCAACACAGGAGAGCTGATTCCAGTGTTAACAAGTTGGTCAAGGGAACTCTCAGCTGTTTATTTTTATTTCAGTCTCTTCCATTAAACTATAACACACTGATTGAGAAACTAAACACTAATATGCAGAGAGGAAAAAACAAAAATAAAAATATATTGTGGCAATACAAACAATATAATGAATTCCAAATACCATGGGCATTGGAAAACTAAGTACAGTGATATAAAAATAGTCCATTATCAAAAAATCTGTTTTAAAACCCCTGAGAGCAGAAAAAATACTTTTAGTTTCAGTCAAGTCAATTACTTTCACAAATTTATGATTAAGCAAGTGCAATTTCTTTTTTTCTGTGGGGCAGGGGAGATGGACTCTTGCTCTGTCACCCAGGCTGGAGTGCAGTGGCACAATCTCGGCTCACTGCAACCTCCACCTCCCAGATTCAAGCGATTCTCCTGCCTCAGCCTCCCAGGTAGAAGGGAATACAGGTGCCCGCCACCACACTTAGCTAATTTTTGTATTTTTGGTAGAGATGGGGTTTCACTATGTTGGCCAGACTGGTCTCAAACTCCTGGCCTCAGGTGATCTGCCTGCCTCGGCCTCCCAAAGTGCTGGGATTGCAGGCAGCAAATGCAACTTCTAAAACAATAGCTTTATTACTAAATAAACCTAGAAATAGCAATAAACCTAGAAAACAGCTTTATTTTCATAGTTTACTACATCATTTCAAAACTAATGTCATTCTTCTTAAAATAAATATAATTGACTTAGTAATGCTGTTAAAAGAAACAAGTAACTGGGCATTATGCCCAGAAAGAAAGGCTGCAAAGCATAATGGTTAATAGCACAGACTGGGCACCAAGCTGCCTGAATTTAAAACCATAAGCTCCAACTCAGGAACTGTGATCCTGGTCAGTTCACTTAGTCTCTTTGTGCCTCTCTTTCCTCACCTGCAAATTACAAATAGTAACAGTACCCACCTCATTGAGCTGTTACAAGAATTAAGTTATTTAGAAATACAAACATGGTACATAGTCAACATCGAGTTTGTTAAGTAAATAATTAGCAATATTTTAAAAATATTAAATAAATAAGCTTTTATGAATCAAAGGCCATGTTTTCATTCTCCCAGGCACAAGAATCCATATGTTTTCCAGTCTCAAGAATCTTTGGATAAGTATGTATGTCAAGAGCCAGACCAAAATCTTTCTGGTCCAAAATTTACAATTAACGTATTGTATTTGAATCTCTCTACAAGACACATTTTATCCTAACAGACAGATTAACTTCAACAATGGCCAGAGGGAAAGAGAAAATAATAAGTAACAACATAGAAATGTTATAAGTATTGTTTATAGACAACAATGAATGAATAATGATAAAATCAATATTGATACATATCAATGTTATGAAAATATGAAAACACTCCATTTACAAATAGTAGGTTAAAAATCTTAACAGCAGTAAGAAGAAAGTCTATGGTTCATAAGGTAAAAATTGATAATCAGGAATTGGAGTTATCTTGTCATATTCAACTAAATTACAGTCCAGAGACCCAGTAAAAAAAAAAAAAAAAAAAAAAAAAAAAAAAAAAAAAAAAAAAAAAAAAACACTTGGGACACAAAGCACCTGCCCGGGGCTAATAATGCAAGCTAGCTGCTGAAATGACCTGGTATAACTTTAAGACCAGTTTTACCTAGCAGCTTCTGAAACAAACCGCCATGACTCTAAGACTAATTTACCCACCACCATCACTCACCATTCAGAGCTCGTCAGCTCCTAAAAACTTTGCTAGTGCTAATGAGTTTTCTTCCAAAACAATATATAACATTTCTCTCTAATAAAACCTCTAAGCTTCTCCTTGTTTTTCAGTCATACTGAAGACCATTCCACTCTCTGTGTATGCCCTGAACTCCAATTCTGTTCTACCAAATAAAGCATTTTGTTTAGAGATTCATCTTGATATTCTTATTTTACATTGACACTAAAAATTATAAATATATCTTCAAATTTAAATTCTGTAGTTCAGTAAAGGTAGTTTCTAAGACCAAACTTTTCGATGGGAAGGAACTAGAGCAACAACCTATATGGAAATGTAACCATTCAGAGCCCAACTCTGATATCTAATGTTTCTAAATTAATGTCAAATCTTTTCGTCAAAAACAAATCCAAAGTTAAATGAAGACATTATTATTATTATTATTATTATTATTACTATTATTATTTGACAGAGTCTCACTCTGTCCCCCAGGCTGGAGTGCAGTGGCTCACTGAAACCTCCAACTCCTGGGTTCAAGCGATTCTCCTGCCTCAGCCTCCCAAGTAGCTGGGACTACAGGTGTCCGCCACCATGCCCAGCTAATTTTTGTATTTGTAGTAGAGACAGAGTTTTGCCATGTTGGCCAGGCCGGTCTTGAACTCCTGACCTCAAGTGATCCACCCACCTTGGCCTCTCAAATTGCTGGGATTACAGATGTGAGCCACCCTGCCCAGAATGAAGACATTATTTTTAAAAAGACTATTGCAATAGAGGAAAAACCTCCAAACTTAAGATCTTCAAGCATCCCAAAAGTAAACAGAAAAGGCTATTTTTTAATATGAAGAGGGATAAGCAGTAAAGCAGGAACTTTTTTAGGGAAACTGGGCAAATGAAGGAGTGTACACAGACAGCATGATCGGGCTGCAGTCAGCCAATTATCAAGATGTTCTTCATTTTAATGCTTGCTCAGTCTTAGGGCAAGCCACGTTTCAGGGGTCTGTAAGGAAGAAAAAAGACAGACTAAAGTTTAATCAAGCCAAGGCAGAGGTAAGTAATGGATAATTGCAAACAATTAGTCTCTTTATAACAGTGGGAATATGGCTTTAAATAGCACTATTTAGAATAAAAGAATAGGAGTTAAACCCTCCAAACAGGTTAATTAAATAACCAGCCTAATAACAATTAAAAAGTCCATTTTTTGCTCCTGCCCTGAGCATTGACTGTTTCGTTTCCAGGCCCCAGCTGTACTGGTTGAGTAAGCGGTGCCCTGCTGCCAACATTGCCAGGCTGGTTAAAGAATGTGTAGATTGCTTTCTCACATGAGTCTCTTAAAGAAACATTTCATCTTAACAGAGGCAACCAACAACTACAACTTGCAAAAAGTAAAAGAACACAGGAAAGTTATAATAATTATTTTTTACAAGAATGAACTCCATACATTGGAATGGGGACATTTGGGAACAAACAAAAGCTGCACAAAGTCACAAAAATGCTCCCCCAAAAAGCTCAATGCAAACATTCCATTGTTATCAGATTGGGAAACACACAGCTGCACACACACACACACACACACACACACACACCTTCTATTCATATTAAACAGAAATAGAGAAACAGTTCATAAGACTAGAGGACAGTTAAACACTAGATGTGTATTTGGAAAAACCTAACTATTGATTTAATAATAGTTTGTGATGTTTTAAATTCTAATTATACAATTTTAATATTGTTCCTAAAACAGATTAATGACTCTTAGGAATTTAAAAGACTAAGATTACTTTGGAAACATGGAATCCAAAACTGTGAAAGAAAAAGCAGAGAAAGCAGGGCTGGGTTTAATTTTGGAGTTCCTTGGTTGCTTCTCCTTAGCACAGTGACTCATTTGATATCATCTTTAATTTCTCTGGCTAAAGGTTTTCCAACAGATATACAAATTCTCTTCTTGACCTAGAGTTATGTAATGGATGTACCAGCAGGAATTAATGAAAACATAAGAGTATCTGCAAATCAAAATTGATTCTCCCTTTTCTCAGGTATCCGTTTTCTGGGGAGCCATTCTTAGCCTTAGCATGTCTGGAATATTTTCCTCCTTTGTGCGCCCCCAGTAAAACGTTCTCACCACATTAGATTCCCAGCACGCTACTGGTATGTTTTCCCACCGGGCCAGGAACAGGGATTACCACTTCACAAAGCAAAGAGCAGTAGCTTTGTTTAAGAAAAATTGTGACACTCACCTCGGAAGTGGTTGAGCCTGTCCACCAGTCCTGTGATGCGCCCTGTAGTGAGCTCTGGATTCACAGGCTGGGGCATGTGCAGCAGCACGGACTCACTCCTGCAAGGAAGTAGGTTGAGTTGGTTAAGCTTCTGATGTCTGTGTTTAAGAAATAGATTCCGAGGGAGGAGCCAAGATGGCCGAATAGGAACAGCTCCGGTCTACAGCTCCCAGCGTGAGCGACGCAGAAGACGGGTGATTTCTGCATTTCCATCTGAGGTACCGGGTTCATCTCACTAGGGAGTGCCAGACAGTGGGCGCAGGCCAGTGTGTGTGCGCACCGTGCGCAAGCCGAAGCAGGGCGAGGCATTGCCTCACCTGGGAAGCGCAAGGGGTCAGGGAGTTCCCTTTCCGAGTCAAAGAAAGGGGTGACAGACGCACCTGGAAAATCGGGTCACTCCCACCCGAATATTGCGCTTTTCAGACCGGCTTAAGAAACGGCGCACCACGAGACTATATCCCACACCTGGCTCAGAGGGTCCTACGCCCACGGAATCTCGCTGATTGCTAGCACAGCAGTCTGAGATCAAACTGCAAGGCGGCAACGAGGCTGGGGGAGGGGCGCCCGCCATTGCCCAGGCTTGCTTAGGTAAACAAAGGAGCCAGGAAGCTCGAACTGGGTGGAGCCCACCACAGCTCAAGGAGGCCTGCCTGCCTCTGTAGGCTCCACCTCTGGGGGCAGGGCACAGACAAACAAAAAGACAGCAGTAACCTCTGCAGACTTAAATGTCCCTGTCTGACAGCTTTGAAGAGAGCAGTGGTTCTCCCAGCAAGCAGCTGGAGATCTGAGAACGGGCAGACTGCCTCCTCAAGTGGGTCCCTGACCCCTGACCCCCGAGCAGCCTAACTGGGAGGCACCCCCCAGCAGGGGCACACTGACACCTCACATGGCAGGGTATTCCAACAGACCTGCAGCTGAGGGTCCTGTCTGTTAGAAGGAAAACTAACAACCAGAAAGGACATCTACACCGAAAACCCATCTGTACATCACCATCATCAAAGACCAAAAGTAGAGAAAACCACAAAGATGGGGAAAAAACAGAACAGAAAAACTGGAAACTCTAAAACGCAGAGCGCCTCTCCTCCTCCAAAGGAACGCAGTTCCTCACCAGCAACAGAACAAAGCTGGATGGAGAATGATTTTGACGAGCTGAGAGAAGAAGGCTTCAGACGATCAAATTACTCTGAGCTACGGGAGGACATTCAAACCAAAGGCAAAGAAGTTGAAAACTTTGAAAAAAATTTAGAAGAATGTATAACTAGAATAACCAATACAGAGAAGTGCTTAAAGGAGCTGATGGAGCTGAAAACCAAGGCTCGAGAACTACGTGAAGAATGCAGAAGCCTCAGGAGCCGATGCGATCAACTGGAAGAAAGGGTATCAGCGATGGAAGATGAAATGAATGAAATGAAGCGAGAAGGGAAGTTTAGAGGAAAAAGAATAAAAAGAAATGAGCAAAGCCTCCAAGAAATATGGGACTATGTGAAAAGACCAAATCTACGTCTGATTGGTGTACCTGAAAGTGATGTGGAGAATGGAACCAAGTTGGAAAACACTCTGCAGGATATTATCCAGGAGAACTTCCCCAATCTAGCAAGGCAGGCCAACGTTCAGATTCAGGAAATACAGAGAACGCCACAAAGATACTCCTCGAGAAGAGCAACTCCAAGACACATAATTGTCAGATTCACCAAAGTTGAAATGAAGGAAAAAATGTTAAGGGCAGCCAGAGAGAAAGGTCGGGTTACCCTCAAAGGAAAGCCCATCAGACTAACAGCGGATCTCTCGGCAGAAACCCTACAAGCCAGAAGAGAGTGGGGGCCAATATTCAACATTCTTAAAGAAAAGAATTTTCAACCCAGAATTTCATATCCAGCCAAACTAAGCTTCATAAGTGAAGGAGAAATAAAATACTTTATAGACAAGCAAATGCTGAGAGATTTTGTCACCACCAGGCCTGCCCTAAAAGAGCTCCTGAAGGAAGCGCTAAACATGGAAAGGAACAACCGGTACCAGCCGCTGCAAAATCATGCCAAAATGTAAAGACCATCGAGACTAGGAAGAAACTGCATCAACTAATGAGCAAAATCACCAGCTAACATCATAATGACAGGATCAAATTCACACATAACAATATTAACTTTAAATGTAAATGGACTAAATTCTGCAATTAAAAGACACAGACTGGCAAGTTGGATAAAGAGTCAAGACCCATCAGTGTGCTGTATTCAGGAAACCCATCTCACGTGCAGAGACACACATAGGCTCAAAATAAAAGGATGGAGGAAGATCTACCAAGCCAATGGAAAACAAAAAAAGGCAGGGGTTGCAATCCTAGTCTCTGATAAAACAGACTTTAAACCAACAAAGATCAAAAGAGACAAAGAAGGCCATTACATAATGGTAAAGGGATCAATTCAACATGAGGAGCTAACTATCCTAAATATATATGCACCCAATACAGGAGCACCCAGATTCATAAAGCAAGTCCTGAGTGACCTACAAAGAGACTTAGACTCCCACACATTAATAATGGGAGACTTTAACACCACACTGTCAACATTAGACAGATCAACGAGACAGAAAGTCAACAAGGATACCCAGGAATTGAACTCAGCTCTGCACCAAGTGGACCTAATAGACATCTACAGAACTCTCCACCCCAAATCAACAGAATATACATTTTTTTCAGCACCACACCACACCTATTCCAAAATTGACCACATAGTTGGAAGTAAAGCTCTCCTCAGCAAATGTAAAAGAACAGAAATTATAACAAACTATCTCTCAGACCACAGTGCAATCAAACTAGAACTCAGGATTAAGAATCTCACTCAAAGCCGCTCAACTACATGGAAACTGAACAACCTGCTCCTGAATGACTACTGGGTACATAACAAAATGAAGGCAGAAATAAAGATGTTCTTTGAAACCAACGAGAACAAAGACACCACATACCAGAATCTCTGGGACGCATTCAAAGCAGTGTGTAGAGGGAAATTTATAGCACTAAATGCCTACAAGAGAAAGCAGGAAAGATCCAAAATTGACACCCTAACATCACAATTAAAAGAACTAGAAAAGCAAGAGCAAACACATTCAAAAGCTAGCAGAAGGCAAGAAATAACTAAAATCAGAGCAGTACTGAAGGAAATAGAGACACAAAAAACCCTTCAAAAAATCAATGAATCCAGGAGCTGGTTTTTTTGAAAGGATCAACAAAATTGATAGACCGCTAGCAAGACTAATAAAGAAAAAAAGAGAGAAGAATCAAATAGACACAATAAAAAATGATAAAAGGGATATCACCACCGATCCCACAGAAATACAAACTACCATCAGAGAATACTACAAACACCTCTACGCAAATAAACTAGAAAATCTAGAAGAAATGGATACATTCCTCGACACATACACTCTCCCAAGACTAAACCAGGAAGAAGTTGAATCTCTGAATAGACCAATAACAGGCTCTGAAATTGTGGCAATAATCAATAGTTTACCAACCAAAAAGAGTCCAGGACCAGATGGATTCACAGCCGAATTCTACCAGAGGTACAAGGAGGAACTGGTACCATTCCTTCTGAAACTATTCCAATCAATAGAAAAAGAAGGAATCCTCCCTAACTCATTTTATGAGGCCAGCATCATTCTGATACCAAAGCCGGGCAGAGACACAACCAAAAAAGAGAATTTTAGACCAATATCCTTGATGAACATTGATGCAAAAATCCTCAATAAAATACTGGCAAACCAAATCCAGCAGCACATCAAAAAGCTTATCCACCATGATCAAGTGGGCTTCATCCCTGGGATGCAAGGCTGGTTCAATATACGCAAATCAATAAATGTAATCCAGCATATAAACAGAGCCAAAGACAAAAACCACATGATTATCTCAATAGATGCAGAAAAAGCCTTTGACAAAATTCAACAACCCTTCATGCTAAAAACTCTCAATAAATTAGGTATTGATGGGACGTATTTCAAAATAATAAGAGCTATCTGTGACAAACCCACAGCCAATATCATACTGAATGGGCAAAAACTGGAAGCATTCCCTTTGAAAACTGGCACAAGACAGGGATGCCCTCTCTCACCGCTCTTATTCAACATAGTGTTGGAAGTTCTGGCCAGGGCAATCAGGCAGGAGAAGGAAATAAAGGGTATTCAATTAGGAAAAGAGGAAGTCAAATTGTCCCTGTTTGCAGACGACATGATTGTTTATCTAGAAAACCCCATCGTCTCAGCCCAAAATCTCCTTAAGCTGATAAGCAACTTCAGCAAAGTCTCAGGATACAAAATCAATGTACAAAAATCACAAGCATTCTTATACAGCAACAACAGACAAACAGAGAGCCAAATCATGAGTGAACTCCCATTCACAATTGCTTCAAAGAGAATAAAATACCTAGGAATCCAACTTAAAAGGGATGTGAAGGACCTCTTCAAGGAGAACTACAAACCACTGCTCAAGGAAATAAAAGAGGACACAAACAAATGGAAGAACATTCCATGCTCATGGGTAGGAAGAATCAATATCGTGAAAATGGCCATACTGCCCAAGGTAATTTACAGATTCAATGCCATCCCCATCAAGCTACCAATGACTTTCTTCCCAGAATTGGAAAAAACTACTTTAAAGTTCATATGGAACCAAATAAGAGCCCGCATCGCCAAGTCAATCCTAAGCCAAAAGAACAAAGCTGGAGGCATCACACTACCTGACTTCAAACTATACTACAAGGCTACAGTAACCAAAACAGCCTGGTACTGGTACCAAAACAGAGATATAGATCAATGGAACAGAACAGAGCCCTCAGAAATAATGCCGCATATCTACAACTATCTGATCTTTGACAAACCTGAGAAAAGCAATGGGGAAAGGATTCCCTATTTAATAAATGGTGCTGGGAAAACTGGCTAGCCATATGTAGAAAGCTGAAACTGGATCCCTTCCTTACACCTTATACAAAAATCAATTCAAGATGGATTAAAGATTTAAACGTTAGACCTAAAACCATAAAAACCCTAGAAGAAAACCTAGGCATTACCATTCAGGACATAGGCGTGGGCAAGGACTTCATGTCCAAAACACCAAAAGCAATGGCAACAAAAGCCAAAATTGACAAATGGGATCTAATTAAACTAAAGAGCTTCTGCACAGCAAAAGAAACTACCATCAGAGTGAACAGGCAACCTACAACATGGGAGAAAATTTTCGCAACCTACTCATCTGACAAAGGGCTAATATCCAGAATCTACAATGAACTCAAACAAATTTACAAGAAAAAAACAAACAACCCCATCAAAAAGTGGGCGAAGGACATGAACAGACACTTCTCAAAAGAAGACATTTATGCAGCCAAAAAACACATGAAAAAATGCTCATCATCACTGGCCATCAGAGAAATGCAAATCAAAACCACTATGAGATATCATCTCACACCAGTTAGAATGGCAATCATTAAAAAGTCAGGAAACAACAGGTGCTGGAGAGGATGTGGAGAAATAGGAACACTTTTACACTGTTGGTGGGACTGTAAACTAGTTCAACCATTGTGGAAGTCAGTGTGGCGATTCCTCAGGGATCTAGAACTAGAAATACCATTTGACCCAGCCATCCCATTACTGGGTATATACCCAAAGGACTATAAATCATGCTGCTATAAAGACACATGCACACGTATGTTTATTGCGGCACTATTCACAATAGCAAAGACTTGGAACCAACCCAAATGTCCAACAATGATAGACTGGATTAACAAAATGTGGCACATATACGCCATGGAATACTATGCAGCCATAAAAAATGATGAGTTCATGTCCTTTGTAGGGACATGGATGAAATTGGAAACCATCATTCTCAGTAAACTATCGCAAGAACAAAAAACCAAACACCGCATATTCTCACTCATAGGTGGGAATTGAACAATGAGATCACATGGACACAGGAAGGGGAATATCACACTCTGGGGACTGTGGTGGGTTCGGGGGAGGGGGGAGGGATAGCATTGGGAGATATACCTAATGCTAGATGACACGTTAGTGGGTGCAGCGCACCAGCATGGCACATGTATACATATGTAACTAACCTGCACAATGTGCACATGTACCCTAAAACTTAGAGTATAATAAAAAAAAAAATTAAAAACAAAAAACAAACAAACAAAAAAAACAGGTTGAGTTGAAAAGACCAGGCTAAGTGTAGTGGCTCACACCTGTAATCCCAGCATTTTGGGAGTCCGAGGCAGGAGGATCACTTGAGCCCAGAAGTTCAAGAGCAGCCTGGGTGACATAGTGGGACCTCATCTCTATTTACAAATAAATAAATAAATAAATGAAAATTTAAAAAAGAAAAAAAAAAAAATGGCTGACGGGCCACTTTGGGTTGCTATTTGTTTTCCAGCTACGGTTACCAAGAGGCATGCCCTCTATCACCTGACTTTCAGTTTCCTCTGCCTCTGTCACTTCTCTCTCCTTTTGAAAACTTTCATTAAAAAAACAAGGTTTCTATTTTCACCTCTCTCACTCTCCTCGAAGTTACTTTATTTGTTTATTTTATTTTTGTTTTTTTTTTTTTTGAGACGGAGTCTCACTCTGTTGCCCAGGCTGGAGTGCAGTAGCATGGTCTCGGATCTCTGCAACCTCCGCCTCCCCAATTCAAGCAATTCTCCTGCCTCAGCCTCCCGAGTAGCTGGGACTACAGGCGCCCGCCACCACGCCCAGCTAATTTTTGTATTTTTAGTAGAGATGGGGTTTCACCATGTTGGCCAGGATGGTCTCAATCTCTTAACCTCGTGATCTGCCCTCCTCAGCCTCCCAAAGTACTGGGATTACAGGTGTGAGCCACCGTGCCCGGCAGACGACATGGCCTACTGTTCCTTTTATTTTAGAGTACCAGACCTTACCTTCCAGGAAACTACTCAAATATATCAAAAAAGTCAGAGAAGGGGGAAAAAAGGCTTATTATTGTAAACTTGGCTGCATGATTTAAATTAAATCCCATTCAATTTAAATGAAACCTGAGCCATTTTTATTACACTTTTTAAAAATAATCTGCTCAGAAAGTTATTTCTAGTACAAGATTAGATTTCCAGTTCATTTTCTTATATGTATGAAAAATGTTATCATAGTGATCACTTTTGTTACTTTAGCTTTAGAACATTGCTTTTACAATATTGCCTAATAAAATAACGTACCTAGCAGAACCTAACTCTCCAATAGGCTGTGTTCCAAAGGTTTAATCACTTCTAAAACAGCTTTCGAAGTTTAATGCACTTTCTAAACGACCAGGGCACATGTATATCTATGTAACAAACCTGCACATTCTGCACATGTATCTCAGAACTTATAATAATTTCTAAAAAAAGAAAAAAAGTGGCCGGGCGCGGTGGCTCACGCCTGTAATCCCAGCACTTTGGGAGGCCGAGGCGGGTGGGTCATGAGGTCAGGAGATCGAGACCACGGTGAAACCCTGTCTCTACTAAAAATACAAAAAAAAATTAGCTGGGGGTGGTGGCAGGCGCCTGTAGTCCCAGCTACTCAGGAGGCTGAGGCAGGAGAATGGCGTGAAGCCGGGAGGTGGAGCTTGCAGTGAGCCAAGATCGCGCCACTGCACTCCAACCTGGACCAAAGAGCAAGACTCTGTCTCAAAAAAAAAAAAAAAAGTCCTTAAATAACATATTAAATCAGACTACCCTCTCACAATGATTATATAGGAAAATATGTCCTGAGTTTCTCACTGGGCTATCAAGTATACAAAACCTTTCCTCCAGTCACATCTAGTATTCATTCATTCATTCACTCATTCATTCATATTCATACCCATATTCTCCCATTCTCCCTCTCCTCCCATCACCCTCCTTCTCTGTCTTTTCCCCCTTTTCTCTCTTCCTCTTCCCTCCCACCCTCCCCAACTCTCTCTTTCTCTCTCTCACACACACACACACACACAAACACACATATACACACTGCTTAAAAGAAAAGCTCCCATAAATGTTATTTTCCTAATGAAAAATCCTTGTTTCTATTCTTGGGGCTAGCATACTTAGAGGTTAAAGACAAAATATTTCAGGAAGATCAAGGCAGATGCTATTCACTTATGGACAGGAAGCCAGGCGGGGGTGGATGAGAAGGAAACAGCTATTCTACTATATCATCTGTTCTGTGAAGCCTGCAAAACGTAAGCTTTGATATCTTTGCTTTCCTCTCCAGGGATACCCCACTGTACAGCAGAATACAATCTTAAGGGTTCTTATTATACTCTTTATCCCTGAAACAAGCCCATAACCTTTTTGAGATTTCCAGCATCATTTATTATTATGGTTCACAGTATCAGTAACAATAAGAGTGACATAAACTAATGAAAAAATTGCTGTCATTCTTATTCCTATTCCACTTAAGTAAATGAATATACACAGTATCTGATGCACACTTGGTACTGTTGGGGAATATGAAGCTGGGCAAGCTTGGTCCTTAAGGGGTTATATGGATCATAATAGTAGGGATTTGGGCCCACAATTTGAAATTGAGAGTCATTAAAATTTTGAGCAGCACCCATTAATGCATAGTATTGACTAAAACTAGCCAGTATATTTTATACAAATTGGCACATGAGATAGAGTGTGAAGCCTGAGCCTGGAGGTGGAAGGAGGGTGAAGATAATTCCAGGAAGATGAGCTCCAATGCTGGGGCTATTCTCCCTTACCGATCACTAGGACTTGTCTTGGATGGGCTCAACAGGGACCTGTGTCAGAATAAGGAGAGAAAATGAGTCTAAGTTTGGCTTTGGCAGAATCTAAGCTGATGACAGTTGAAGGATAGGAAAGGAAGGAAACACCAAGTTTCCAGAGGTAGGGAAGTCTGGGTATTTCCAGAATATACTAGCTGTTGAGGCCATTTCCAATTGCTGGCTCACATATTAAAAATACAATCAGACATCCATAAACCAAACACCACCAGTACCTTAACTTCATATTCCCTTTAAGGCATTAATCTTGATCAAGCTTCAGGTTCCACTGAAAAAGCCCCAAGTGCAAAAGAACACATATAACTGCTGTGTGGCTTCTGCCTTGGGAAAAGTCCCTTAAAGAGGCAATATACAGAAATGCCTTAAGTGGAAAAGCAGGACAGCCTACAGAAGGTATTAGGACAGTAAAAGAAGTTCTTTGTTTAGGCAAGCTATTTTTTAACCAAAAAAAGTGAGAATGTAAACCTTATTGCTTTTAGTTGGAGGACAGCTGGCAGGAGGCTGATTCAGCTAACATTGGGGTTTAAAGGAAATTGGCAGGAGACTCAGGCAGATGTGGTTTGAATACTTCCCTAAAAGGATTAGGCTGAGTCACAAAAAGAAGTATAAAATGAAGATGAAGGAATTTGGGGTCTTAATCCAAATTCTGTCACTGACTGTTACTTAGGGTTTCCAAACGCCATATGCCCAGCTCAGTGCTTTGAAAATATGCCTCCACTGTAAACCTCATCTGATAGGGAAAAAAATGAGGATCAGAAAAGTTGTATAAATATGAGTGATGATGCCAAGATCATAACATGCATTTCTCAAGTTATCAAACTCACCCTTTCTTAATCATTGCTAGAAAATTTCCATATAGCATTCTATATGCTATATGGAAGAGACAAAAATATCAACATGAAAGAGTAACATCAAATAGTTGCTCAAGAGATTAAAAGACTTTTTTCTCTCTTTGCAGGGCAGATGAAGCATGAGACTACTGCATCAAAGAATTGAGTAACATCTTAATTTTCACCTGTTATAATTTTCTGTGAAATAGCAAAATGGCCTCTACTTAAATGTTTTTCACATATTATATTTTAAAATATGTGTTTCTAGAAGGGCTTATAATTTATTCTATTAACACTTTCAAGTGAAATAAACATGCTATAATTCTACTTAAAGGTATTAAGGTAACATTTTCACATATTTCATTTTGAGGGCTTCATTTAATTGAAGTTGGGAAGAAAAATAAGTAACACTAGAAAACTGCATTGGGTCTTATGATTTGCTTTTTTAAATCAGGAAATAAATGCAACTACATCTCTGATTAAGAATAAACATTCTCTCTAAAGCCCCCAAAATCCCTTTATTATATGTTAAAATCTTGGAAGGGTCTGAACTTCATTAAGAAAAAAGTGTAAGAAGGAACTACTATTAAAATAAATATTATTCTTTATCTTTCTCATCTCTATACTGATTGCTATCAACATGCAGTACTTAATAAATCTTAATTTTAACATTCTGATATACAGCATTATAAATGTGCAACCCAATTACAGAAACACTGATAGGAATGAATATTATATATTATTCATAAAATAGAGATTTGGAAATAAGAATATATTTCTTCATGGAAGCAATATTATATATAACCATGTGATCCCATGCCACATTGTAAAGGCCACTTAAGCCATGATATAGTTAAACCTTATCTTTAAAATACCTAATTACTAAGTAGAATACTGATTATACACAACACATGGAGAATTATGAGTTTTAGGAACAGAGTAGCCTTATCCCCTGTCCATAAATGCAGCAGAAGGAGGAAAAAGGAAATAAGGCATCTCTGAGTCCTGGAAATTATACTCCAGAGCGATTCATCCAAAAAACAAGATAAACAAGGGGAAAAAAAAAAAAGCTTGTCAAAAAATTCTAGTTATCGGGGCCAGGTGCGGTGGCTCACGCTTCTAATGTCAGCACTTTGAGAGGCTGAGGTGGGCAGATCATGAGGTCAGGAGCTCGAGACCAGCCTAGCCAGCATGGTGAAACCCCGTCTCTACTAAAAATACAAAAAATTAGCCAGGCATGATGGATGTGCCTGTGGTCCCAGCTACTTGGGAGGCTGAGACAGGAGAATTGCTTGAACCCGGCAGTCGGAGGTTGCAGTGAGCTGAGATCACATCACTGCACTCCAGCCTGGATTACAGAGTGAGACTCCATCTCCAAAAAAAAAAATATATATATATATATATATATATATATAGTAATCCTGATGTAGACATTTATAAGTCAGACTTTCTAAGTCAGGGACAGATAATACTCCACATAGAGAACTCTTGAGCTCTTGATATTTTCTGCATAGTATGGAAGCTATTGGACAAGAAGCCTTTATAGACAAGGTTTTTTAAGGCTTACTGACAAGTACAATGTACACTTTTACCAGTCTTGTAAAACTATTTTAAAAACCAGATGGTATAGGAATGGAAATAAATTGATCTTTTTAAAAATATATAATTTTGGCAATAATATACATTTCAAAGGGCAGCATAAAAATTCTGTTTCAAATCACCTCTACATGGGTCACTAAGATACTTTAACAGTAACTTATGCCAAATAAAAACTTATTAAGAAATAAAACCCCAAAAGTTAATAACTAAGATTTCTATTCTTTCTAAAGACTATAGATTTGTTAAATGTTTCAATTGTTAGTCTATTCGATAAGAGTTGGGATTTTGTTCAGTGGCTCTCAACTAAGGGTAGTTTTGCCCCACAGGAGACATTTGGCAATGTCTGAAAGCATTTTGCTTGTCACAATTGGGGGATGATTACTACATTTATTTAGTAGGTTATATAAGTTTCCATAACAAATTACCACAAATTAGGTGTCATAACAAATGACTACAAATTTGGTGGCAAAAACAACAGAAGTGTAATCTTTCACAGTTCTGGAGGCCAGGAGTCTGAAATCAAGGTGTTGGCAGGGCCTTCCTCCTCTGAACTCTCCAGTGAAGAATCCTTCCTTGCCTCTGCCTAGCATCTGGGAGTTGCTGGCAACCTTGGCATTCCTCGGCTGGTGGTAGCTGCATTAGTCCAACACCTGCCTCTGTCTTCACATGATGATCTTCCCTCTGTATATGTCTCTGTCTCTATGTTCAAATCTCCCTCCCCCGCCTTTTTTTTTTATAAAGACCACAGTCATTAGGTTTAGGGCTTACTCTAATTTAGTATGACCTTATTTTAGTTCATTACATCTGCAAAGACCCTACTCCCAAATAAGGTCACTTTCACAGGTACCAAAGATCAGGGATTAAACATATCTTTTGGGGGTGTACAATTCACCCACCACATATATAGAGGCCAGGGATACTGTTAAATGTTTTAGGATAACAACTTTCCACGAAAAAGAATTATCCAGTGGAAAATGCCAATAGTACCAAAGTTGAAAACCTTGATTTTGAACAGATACATCGGCAACCCTGATTCTTCAATGTGATGATTCTTAATAATCTTCCAATGGCCCTGTGGCCCTAAATTCCTGTTCTGCATAGTTTAGGTGCAGACATTTTTAAAGTGTGAACATTTTTTGCCACCCTTCCCTCCCAAGAACACCCTCCTGCCAGGGGCCTATTTTGAGGACTTTTTATGAAGAAAAACCACATGCTGGATGGACGCTGAAATACAACCCAGGAAAACAGTTATAGCTGTTAGCTATCTCATTGTTTTTGGCTAAGTTACAAAAGCACTTTGAGCTTCAAGATCAATCAAACGAGGTATCTAAATTCCCTTTCAGGTTCTCAGAAGTATATAATTGTAAGGCTATTAAAAGCTTCTGGCTTGGGATTAGGGACACATTAGTACAATAACCTCAATAACTTCAAAAATGCCAGGAAAAATGCTATTTTCAAAGAAAAGAATAACAACTCTTTAAAGGTAACATTCTTTATTTCGATTCTAACATTATTTGAGATATTCTATGTTTAAATAGCGGCAATTTTTATTAGGAATAGAGCTTATTTTTAGCAAAGTGTTGTGAGGTTTGTTATCTTACATCAGCATGTATGTGATAAGTTGTTAATTTCTAACGTTCACCTTATATTGCGCAATATGTGAGACCAGCTATACAAAGTTAATGTCAAAAGATTACACTTTAGAACAAATAGCCTCAACACATGTGATTTGTTTCTGTTGGAGGGCATATACACCTTTGGAAAATGATACCTAAGAACCTTAACAGATTTCTCAACTATTGTTTTAGTTTAATGCCTATGTAAACTGAAGCTTTCTCAGGTAAACTAATTCTTTTTGTTTCTTTTCAAACAATCTCAAAGTAGCAGAAACATTTCAAGAACAGAACATTTTCTCCTCTGAACCATGTGAGAGTAAGTTTCTGACCTGATGCTTCATGCCCCACTTAAACATTACCATCTATTTCCTACAAAGGACATTCCCCATACCATCCCAATACAGCCATTAAAATCAAGAAATGAATATATACGAAGCACCATCTGGTCCCCATACCCCATCTAAGTTTCAGAAAAAAAGTCCCTACAATGGACTTGGTAGCAAAATGTTCCAGCTCAGAATCACCCATTGCCATTGGCTGTCACTTCTCTCTAATGTGGCTTCACTCTGGAACTGCAACAGTCTCTTCTGACTTTTCCATAACCTTGACACTTTTTAAAATTCCAAGACAGTTCTGCTGTAATATGATTATATTTGAGGCAGGCACCTTTGGCAGGAACATCATAGAAGTGATGCTGTGCTCTTCTCACCATATCGTCTCAGATGGCACACCATTTTTTTGGTCTTTGATCATCTGATCAAAGTGCTATCTGCCAAGCTTCTCCACTATAAAGTTACTCTTTTCCCCTTGATATTAATAAGCATATTCTGAAGAGTTACTTTGAATCTTTAGTACATTGTACCCCATCAAAGTTTTCATTGATTCATTTTTTAATTTGCATCAGTTGGTACTCATGAATCCCCATATTATTAAATGGGTTACAATCCACTAATATTATTATTTATTTTGATGCTCAGTTTTGTCCCAGATTTGTCCAGTGGGAACCCCTTCATGTTGGCCTCTGTATCTTTTTGACATGACTCATTATCCTTTGAGCACTCCATTGCTTTCTGGCACAAGATGTTCTAGGCTTATCTGCTACTTTCCCACACTAGCCCTGAAATCAGCCATTTCTCCAAGAAGCCTTGGTTACTGTTAGTAAAGAATGGTATTTAGAATCCAAGATCTGGGTGCTAAATATACTCATCACTACTGGAAATCACTGCTAAGAATACATGTGCACATATTCATATACACATACAACTTATAATGTATATCATATATATTTATGTATATGATATGCATGATATGTATTCATGATACATATATTTACACATATACTTGTTTAAATCTATATACCTATATAGACATAGGTAAAGAGATAGGGATTTAATGTCATGGATTCCCATGGATACTGCCAACTGCAATCCAACACCACAGGGTTCATTCTACTTTTTCTCTATCTTTATTTCATTCTTCTCTAGTGAAAAACCTAGATCCTATTATCTTTCCTAGATTTAATTATTTGATCAGTCACCCTGTATATTGCTAAACTCTCATTGCCACTGCCACACCTGTCCCCACAGAGATGTCTCCTTACCCACTCAGGCTCCAACCTCCATCGCTGGTCTGACCCTCCTACATGCTTTCCTCCACATCGTGTTTGGGATCAAACATCACCCATCTGCTGCTCCTGCACAAAAGCCTTGTTAACTTGCTGAACTCTGGGACCCTGTGTCAAGCTGCCCGCTGCAGGAGCACCCATTCACTGTGCTCAGGCCCTAATACTCCATACCAGGCTGCCCTCTTGCCTGGATGCCATCCTTACCAAGGTCAGCCTCAGATATCCTGATCTGGGCCCCTTGGGCTCCACCCACTTAGTGAGGATGTCTCCTTGCTCTTCCCCACCAAATAACTATAGGATCTATCGAGGGAAAGATGAGAGGGAGGAGGGAAGAGAATGAGGGTGACAGAAGATGAGGAAGAGTCAGTTGCCCTAATTCTTAACAAATGTTTTAAACATATGATTTTTTTGTGATGATAAATTTAGGGTAAAGATGTTCATGCATCACAAACATCACTATTAAACGTAGGCTTAGGCTGGGCACAGTAGCTCTTGCCTATAATCCCAACACTTTGGGAGGCCAAGGCAGGAAGATCGCTTGTGCCTAGGAGTTCAAGGCCAGCCTAGGCAACGTAGTGAAACCCCATCTCTACAAAAAATACAAAAATTATCCGGGTGTGGTGGCATATGCCTGTAGTCCCAGCCATGTGGGAGGCTGAAGTGGGAGGATCCCTTGAGTCCAGAAGGTCAAGGCTGTAGTGAGCCATGAGTGTGCCTTGGTACTCCAGCCTGAATGACAGAGTGAGACCCTGTCTCAAAAATTAAATGAATGAATGAATGAATAAATAAATAAATAAAGGTAGGCTTATGGTTAATCTGTTCCCTTTAAACAGATTTTGGTCTTTGATCATTTGATCAAAGTGTTGTCTGCCAAGCTTCTCCACCATAAAGTTACTCTTTTGCCCTTGATACTAATAAGCACATTCTGAAGAGTTACTTTGAATCTTCAGTACTTTGTATCCCATCAAACTTTTCATTGACTCCTTTTTTAGTTTACATCAGTTGGTACTCATGAATTCCCATATTATTAAATGAGTTGCAATCCACTAATATTATTATTTATTTGATGCTCAATTTGTCCCAGATTTGTCCAGTGGGAACCCCTTTAAATGTCCTTAAAGGTAAAAAACTGCTAGCATGTTCTACTGAGATATGGGCTAACAATGTCAGACATATGTGGGTGCTAGAATAATATTTGCTTCAAAAATATTTATTACTAGAAAGCTACTGTGTTTGGGGTGAGGGTTTAGTAGGGAAGGGGGTTCATAAAGGGAATGCAAAAGCCACGTCCTATGGAAGTTAAAAGGATCATTTAAAATGATTCTACTGCAAACATTTTTCAAAAGATAAACATGACCCATTTCTCCAATTTGTGCCATGTAATAGTAATAATAATGATATTTAAAAATTCCCACTGATGTATCCTTTACAAAGATATATTACATGTCTTATTTAATCAAAAAACCTTAGAAGAGTCCCTGTACCTAATTTTATTCCAGGACTCAAACCGTGTCAGCATGTCATTCAGTGCAAATCAGACATTTAAATGCGTAGGCTATGCTGTCAGTAGTTCTGAACTTTCACAGACATTTCCAATTAACTCAGAGAGACAACTGGATATTGTGTTTAAGCACTGTGTTTAAGCAAACAGGTACTGGATGGACCAATGCCAAATTTCCCGCTCTGCTGCTTAACTAAGTATGTGTACTTGGGCAATTATTAAACTAAGCCCCGATTTCTTCATCTTGAGCCCAGAAGGTCAAGGCTGCAGTGAGCTGTGAATGTGCCTCTGCCCTCCAGCCTGAGCAAAAGAGTGAGAATTCCCCAGGAGTGCAGAGGTTCTCAGAACTGCAATACTCTGAGATGAATTTTGAAAGGTGAATCAGGGATAGAAGAATTGGGGATACCCAGAACGGAGAAAAATGTCCTGGACAATTCTATTTTTTTTCAGCTGGAACTAAAAAAAATGCTAACTCGTAGGGCTATACATTTATAACTATTCTTATTATTAAAATTTGACTCAAAGTCTTAGGTTAACAGAAAACCTATGTCCAAGTGTGTAGGTCTATACATCTAGGTAAAAAATATCCAGTAAACCTCACAATATCCTTTTGCAAAGAGAAAACTGAATTTTGCAGAGATCAATACCGAATCTAGAAAACAAGCTGAGAGTGCCTGACAATTTTTAATTCTGGCTTAAATTCGATGCTAACTTCATAACTTTTGTCTTGTACATTGTTCCACAATTTTAGCTTAAGTGGAGCTAAAAGGACAGAACTTATACCATATACATAGAGGGACATCCCCTCCCCCATTCATCTTATTGATATACACCTTCATTTATTCCACTTTCATTTGTTTCCTACCTTTTTTTCTCTCTCTCTTTAGAGATCTTCTCTGCATATCAACTTAACCGTGATGCCTATGGAATAAGTATTTATCTAACAGTGCACTCTCTAGGCCATATCATTTTAAAGCTGTGGTTTTTAACCAGCTCAAAATCACATTTAAAGCTACATGGGGAGCTGATAAAACTTCTTAATGCCCACACTGAATCCCAAGCCAAACGAACCAGAGTTTTGTAGGGAAAGATCCAGGTATCAGGATTTTTCAAGCTCTCTGGTGATTCTGACATACAGTCAAGTAGAGAATCAAAGTTCTACAATGAATCCAGAATGCACTGGTTCTCAGAACCGCAATACTCTGAGATGAACCAGGGATAGAAGAATTGGAGATACCCAGAAGGGGGAAAAATGAACTGGGCAATTCTGTTTCTTTTTCTTTTTTTTTTCTTTTTTTTTTTTTTTTTTTTGAGACAGTTTTGCGCTGTCACCCAGGCTGGAGCTTACTGGCACCATCATCATCATAGCTCACTGCAGCCTCAAACTTTGGGCTGAAGCAATCTTTCTGCCTTGGCGTCCCAAGCACCTGGGACTACAGGTGTACATCACCACAACCGCACTTTAAAAATTTTTTTTAAATAAATAAGGGACCTTGCTATTTTGCCCAGGGTGGTCTTGAACTCCTGGATTCCAGCCATCCTCCCACCTCAGCACCCCAAAGTGCTGGGATTACAGGCCTGGACCATTCTTTATAAGTGGTATTATGGAAAAGAGATATGGCACAAGGAAATTTAGAACTGAAGCAACCCAAGATGTTCTGTCCAAGTTGTTAACAACTAGACCTTTTAAAAGGCATTTATAAAAATTAATAGTCTTACCTTTTGATTATCCTTCTTTCTCTATGGTGTGTTACAAAAATTCCACATATTACAAGCCCATGAAAATAAATTCCCATGAGAGTTTGAAAACTTTTTGCAGAATAATGTCCCAATTTTAGTTACTGGTGGCCAATATTTACCAACTTGAGAGGTGGTGTTTTATTACCCTTACTGGCTGTTAACAGTTATGACACAGAAACTTGCAATAGGTTGGATGGAATCCTTTCAATATGAAAAGTAATTATAAACAGGTGAAGGTACAATGGCAAATTTCGTGTTGGCTTTGGTAATGTTTTGCATATAATCCCTCTGTCAAAGTGTCTTAAATAATAAAACAAGCAAAAATCACACACACACACGCACACACACATTTTGTTTTCAAAGACCACGGTGTAAAATGAAGATACACACACGTTATCCTTTAAGTTGTGGATCTTTGGTTGGCTAGTTGGTTATGATGTTTTTTCCCCCGCTCAGCTCTAAAAAAACATCCTCGGCAAGGTGAGGTGGCTCACACCTGTAATCCCAGCACTTTGCGAGGCCGAAGCGGGCGGATCACCTGAGGTTGGGAGTTAGAGACCAGACTGACCAATGTGGAGAAACCCCGTCTCTACTAAAAATGTAAAATTAGCCGGGCTTGGTGGCGCATGCCTGTAATCCCAGCTACTCTGGAGGCTGAGAGAGAAGAATCGCTTGAACTCGGGAGGAGGAGGTTGCGGTGAGCCGACATCACGCCATTGCACTCCAGCCTGAGCAACAAGAGCAAAACTCCGTCTCAAAAAGAAAAAAGAAAAAAAAAATTCCTCAAAGCCAACCCACCTGACAAAAGGAGGGAAGGAGCTGATACTCGAGCCTCACTCTCGAATCAAGAAAAGGGAGTAGGCCTTGGGGAAATGTGGCTTTCAAAATTCATGCCACATTTGCACAAGCCAAATCGCTATCTGGTCCCTGCATCCACCCACACACCCCACTGCCGTCTTCCTAGGAAACACCAGACTCTGCCCTGATACCTACGCGCCCGACTCGCGGGGCGCTGTTTGTTTAAGACTCGCCCCCAAAGAGCGCGGGAGCGCGAGCGGCACCAGTTCCAGGGTTCAGCTCAGGTGACACAAACGTAGCCAATGGGAGGCTGCCGCCGACTCTCGCCACCCGCCCTCACCAGCATCCCCGCGCCTCTCCCCGCCAACCCTGCCCGGAGCGCCAGCGATGCCCTCTGCCCGCGGGGACCCGAGCCTCGCGCGCCCTCCGCCCTCCCTACCCTGGCCCCTGTACCCATCACACCTGGGGCACTGCCGTCCGCCGAGCTTGGGCGCGCGGCGGCGAGAAGGCACTGGAGGAGGAGAAGCAGCCGGGGCGTAGGCGCCCTCGCCCCCAGCAGGCCGGGGAGGGCGCGCATGGCGCCAGAGGGTCCGCCTCAGTTCTCGTGGAGACTGCTCCCTCAGCTCGCCGCCGCGGGTGTCCGGAATCCCTCCGCACACTCGCAGGTGGCCCGGCACCCGCAGCCAGTGCCGCGGGCAGGACGCTGAAGAAAAGGCGGAATGGGAGGGGCCCGGCCGCCTTGCCCTACTCCCCGAGACGCTCTTACCGCGCCCGGCCTTCCATCAGTTATGCAGCCCTCAGCCCGCTGCTGGCGTTCCCGGATGTGCGGTGCTACTCCCGGCTGCAGCCTCTCCGGCCTCCGCCCTCTAGGCTCTAGCAGGTCGGGAGAGAGCTTGGGCAGGTGATGTGTAGCCCATCGCGTGGGGAGAGGTTGAAACTATCCCTGCAGACTGGCCTTTGCACTTCATCTGAGGCAGATTTCACTAATTTTCGTTGATGGGACAGATGAGAGACACTTTCCTCCTCCCCGACCCCGGACATCTTTGGGCTTTCTTATGAGGGAGGCTTATTTTTGCGCAGGTGTAAGGTTTTATCCAGCTGCCAGACAACTTGTACTGATCTTTCTTTGCTTTGCCTACTAATCACACACACCCTCTCTTCTAGCCTGTGAAGACTTAACTGATTTTCTACGGATGAAGGTTTCAGTGTCCCAAGGCCCCATACCGTATCTGATTTTACTTTATTTTTGTTTGTTAAGCCTAACAGCTTCTGAGGAGCCACGTAGAGCTCAAGAAGCAAAAGCTACTGAGAGTAGATGCTATGTAAACTGCACAAGACGTTGACCTTTGTTAAATCCGAACACTGTTTAAGATAATGCTATCTCTTACCCACGAGGCTGTAGCTTGGAATATTCAGTGCTCTGAACCAAATTAAATAAATTAGTGCTTTATCCGGGAGGGGAGGAGAAATCTATGTTGTAACATTGAAACACATTGATTTGATTTCTCTCCAGGATGTTATAACGCATTAAAAGATATTTTAAATATTTTTCACGAGCTTTGTTTCCTCTCCCTTTATTTTTTGAAGTTCAGCTTTCACATTCGTAAATTCAAAATATATCAGCGTTAAAAAAAAAAAAAAGGATTGGAAATAACATAAGAGACAAATTTTGAAAATTGAACTATTTAACAAAACCTATGCTTATTCCAGGCAGGAATGGTTAATTTGTAATTGGTACGTATTACTAAAACATGTCCGTTTTTGTTTTAGTATTATATGCGCAAAACTTTGGAAACAGATGTAGATTCTTCAAGTTGGCAGTGAGAGAATATGAATAATACAATTCATTCAACCATATTATCTACCAGGTGCCAGTCATTGTGTTCAAAAAAGGCTAGATAGGCACGCATGCACGAATGCACGCATGCACACATGTACACACACACACACACAAATTAGACAACTATTTATCTGTGAATAACAAATCTTAGAAAAGCCTCTTCTCAGAAAATTATGGTCACAATGATTAAAATCTTTTGAATGAAACTTTAAAAGATGCCTTCAAGGACTAAATTGTATACACTGTTGACCCTCTGAGGGCATTGACTGGGCTTGCTAAACCCAAATTGCCTAATCAATGGCTGCTACATCACGCCTCTTTCTTTCTACCCTGCATCTGGTCTCAGGACTAACTGCACACGTTTCCCTATAATTAGGTAGAGTGTCAACACTAAGCACTTCTCACCTCAAACTAAACTCTGACTGACTTTTCCCAGTTAGTCTCATAAAATCCTTAGACACAGTATTCACCCGTCTTCAAATGAGCTGAACTTACTTAAACATTTTTTTTTCAGTTGAATCAGCCTATTTATGACAAGAAAAACTTACTTGCCCAAGTTGATGCTGATCCCCACTGTTGCTTTTGCTGTTAGAACAAAAAAGTTGAGAAAGAAATATAATTCTCATTTTGCTAAGCATTTTGAAAGTCTTTTCATCATTGTTCCTGTTCTATATTTAGATATTTGATATTTCCAGCCTTATGCACATTCCACTTTTTCAAATGCTCCATATCCTTTAAAACCAGCTTATCAACTGCCTTCCCTATATAACTTTTTCTGACCTTTCTGGTCCAAACTGACCTTTTCCTCCTTGGTGAAATAAATATTGCAACAAGCACTTTGATACTCTCATCATCATGAAGTGTATAAAGGGGGAATAAGGGTCCTTTGTTTTCTCCCCTTGAGTTGGGTGGGCTCTGTGACTCCCCTAACCTACTGAATATTGCTGAAGAGATATTGTGTGGGCTGGCCAGGCCTGGTGGCTCGCGCCTGTAATTCCAGCACTTTGGGAGGCTGAGGCAGGCAGATGACAAGGTCAGGAGCTCGAAACCAGCCTGGCCAATATGGTGAAACCCCATCTCTACTAAAAATGCAAAAAAAAAAAAAAAAAAAAATTAACTGGGCGTGGTGGCACATGCCTATAATCCCAGCTACTTGGGAAGCTAAGGCAGGAGAATTGCTTGAACCCAGGAGGCAGAGCTTGCGGTAAGCCAAGATTGCGCCACTGCACTCCAGCCAGGGCAACAGAGCAAAACTCTGTCTCAAAAAAAAAAAGAGAGAGCGAGAGAGAAAGATTGTGTGGGCTTTCTGTTCCAGACCACAAGAGCTTCCACTTCCTTTCTCTTGGAGACCTTGCTCATAGAAGACAGCTGCCTGGTGAAAAGTACTACGGTATTATCCTGAGACTGCCACACTGTGAGAAACCCAAACACCATGGAGGACCGCGTAAAAATAAAGTCAGATCAAGTAAAAAAGGAATATGCAGGTTATCATACATACAAAAGAATAGTTCACAAACCGGAAGACTTCAAATCAAAAGTAGTAAGAAACTTGACATGAGAGTTACAGTGCAGCTTATAAAGCATCAATGAGGAAGTGCATTGACCTCTATTGTGACTGGCTGTTAAAAACTTATATTCCTTTTTGGGCAAGTAGAGCTGTATAAGCTTATTTGTCTGTAACAAATTGGTTCAATTTCATCATACTAACAAGAAAGGAAAGCTTAACTTTTGTTAATGGTTAGAAATTGCATTTCAGGGAAGTCAGGATAGCTTAAATTTTGGTCATGTGGCTATGAGTGGTTAACCTAAGGATATACTGTGGCCTCCATTTTGATTATACTTTAACAAATCCCCCATACAGGACCTTAAATCATTGTTGATTGTTTCTTTTGCTGTGCAGAAGCTTTTTAGCCTGATTCAATCCCATTTGTCTATTCTTTCTTGGTTGCCTGTGCTTTAGAGGTCTTACACAAAGTATCATTGCTCAGACTAATGTCCTGGAACACTTCCCCAAAGTTTTCATCTAATTGTTTCATAGTCATAGTTCTAGGTCTTAGATTTAAACCTTTAATCCATTTTAATTTTATTTTTGTGTATGGTGAGATATAGGGGTCTGGTTTCATCCTTCTACATGTAATTACCTAGTTTTCCCAGCACCATTTATTAAACAGACACTCCTTTTCCTGTTGTATGCTCTTGGTGCTGTTGTTGAAGATGAGTTGGCTGTCAATGCATCGGTTTATTTCTGGGTTCTCTATTCTGTTTCATTGGTCTATGTGTCTGTTTTCTTGCCAGTTCTAGGCTAATTGGGTTACTATAGCTTTTTTTTTAATGTTTAATTTTTGTTTTAAGTTCCAGGGTACATGTGCAGAATATGCAGGTTTCTTACGTAGGTAAGTATGTGCCATGGTGGTTTGCTTCACAGATCATCCCATCACCTAGGTATTAAGCCCAGCATGCATTAGCTATTCTTCCTGATGCTCTCCTTCCTGCAACACCCCACCCCCAACAGGCCCAGTATGTGTCCATGCGGTCTCATCATTAAGCTCATTCAGCTGAGAATATGTGGTGTTTGGTTTTCTGTCCCTGCATTAGTTTGCTGAGGATAACAGCTTCCAGCTCCGTCTATGTCCCTACAAAGGATATGATCTTGTTCCTTTTTATGGCTGCATAGTATTCCATGGTGTATATGTACAACATTTTCTTTATCCAGTCTACCATTGATGGGCATTTGGATAGATTCCATGTCTTTACTATTGTGAATAGTTGGTTATTATATCTTTGCAGTAAATTTTGAAGCCAGGTAATGTGATGCCTCCAGCCTTTTTTTTTTTTTTTTCTTTTTTTGCTCCAAATTGCTTTGGGTCTTCAGGGTCTTTGTGGTTTCATATAAATTTTAGCATTTGTCCTATTTCTGTGAAGAATGGCATTGGTTTTTTAATAAGGATTGCATTAAATCTGTAAATTGCTTTGGATAGTATTGTTATTTTAGCAATATTAATTCTTCCAATCCATGACATAGAATATCCTTATTTAAATGTTTCGTTCAATTACTTTAATCAGTTTTTTATACTTATATTTGTATAGACCTATCAGTGTTGGTTCATAGATGTATATAATGGTTACATTTTCTTACTGAATTGACCTTTTAATCATTATGTAGTAAACTTCTTTATCCCTTTTTACAATCTTTGATTTGTAGTCTATTTCCTCTAATATAAGTATAGTTACTCCCACTCTTTTTTAGTTTCCAGTTGCATGCAATATCTTTTTTCACCCCTTCACTTTCAGTCTATCTATATGTTTAGAGGTGAAGTGGGTTTCTTATAGGCAGCATGTAGTTAGGTATTGTTTCTTTATCCATTCAGCCACCCTATGCCTTTTAATTGGAGAATCAAGTCCATGTAAATCCAGTGTTATTATTGATAAGTAGGGAATTGCTACTGCCGTTATGTTGCTTGTTTTCTGGTATTTTGAAACTCCTCTCTTCCTTTCTTCTTTTCTGACTCTCCTTTTGTGGTTAAGTGATTTTCTGTGGTAGTATGTTTTAATTTGCTGCTTTTTAATTTTTGTGAATCTATTATAGGTTTTTGCATTATGGTTACTATGAGGTTTACAAAAAACGTCTTGTAGATATAACAAGTTATTTTAAAGAGATGACAATTTATCTTAGATCACAAAGAATAGAAACAAACAAAGAAAAAACAAAACTTCCACATTTTAACTTCATTTCTCTCTCATTTTGAATTTTAATTGACTTTACATATCTTTATATTACCTATCTCTTAACAAGTTTCTGTAGCTATGATTGTTTTTGATAGATTTGCTTTTTGAGGCTTCATATTTGATTTATAAGTGGATTGCACACTACAATTATAGTATTAGAGTATTCTGAGTTTGTGTCCGGAATTTATTCCTTCTGGTGGGCTCTTGGTCTCGCTGACTTCAAGAATGAAGCTGCAGACCTCGTGGTGAGTGTTACAGCCCTTAAAGGTGGCACATACGGAGTTTGTTCCTTCTGGTGGGTTCATGGTCTCACTGACTTCAGGAATGAAGCCACAGACCCTCATGGTGTTACAGCTCATAAAGGTAGTGTAGACCCAAAGAGTGAGCAGCAGCAAGATTTATTATGAAGAATGAAAGAATAACGCTTCCACAGCATGGAAGGGGACCCAAGCAGGTTGCCACTACTGGCTCTGGTGGCCAGCTTTTATTCCCTTATTTGGCCCCACCCATGTCCTGCTGATTGGTCCATTTTACAGAGTGCTGATTGGTCCATTTTACAGAGTGCTGATTGGTTCATTTTTACAGAATGCTGACTGGTGTGTTTACAATCCTCTAGCTAGACACAGAGCTTTGGTGCGTTTACAATCCTCTAGCTAGACAGAAAAGTTCTCCAAGTCCCCACCTGACCCAGAAGCCCAGCTGGCTTCACCTGTCAATCCCCCCTCCAAATAGGACACCTCAACTGCTGTGGGAATTGGGCGATGACTACTTTAGCTACTTCCTGCTGGATAGGGGTGAAGAAGGGGGCCTGCAGTGGTAGCGTCCTCCAGAGGAGAACTCTCTAGGCCAGACAAAGGGCCAGTGAGTTGATCCAGGGGCCTCAGTAGAAGTTGTTAGTTGACCTCATTTAGGGTTCCATTTGTAAGACCTCTATAGCTTGATGGCATCCATCCTGGAGGTAACAAATTTGACAAGGAGGTTAAAAACACAGGGCCCAAAGGTAATAGCAAGATGGCTGAAACAGGACCTAGAAATGGGAGAAGCCATGTTGCCCAACTCCAGAGGTTGGTATGAGTTTGAAAGGCGTTGTCTGATTTCAGAAGCCTTTTCCTGTAAATGCCAGGCAGCATCTTCTTCTATCCCTGGCTGGTTATTGTAAAAACAACAGTCTTCCCCTAAGAAAGTGCAGAGTCCTCCTTTCTCAGCAGTGAGGAGGTCTAGGCCTTGGCGGTTTTGGAGAGTCACTGCTACCAGAGTCTATTTGGGATTGTAGAGTAAGGATAGATTTTGTTATTTTTTGCGAACTGTCTGAGAAATCCTTTGAGAGCATGTGGTAGTAGGATAATACATGTTACACTGTTAACTTTTAGCAAACTTTACTATTGTTGAAAACCTTGTAAGTTTGGGATTTCAATTATTCTTTGCTATTAATAAGACCTCGTTCAGTCCATATTAACTTAGAATTGGTATAGATGGCTCCTTCCTGATTCTGTAAGTACTATAAGGTTTGGCTGAGTGCAAACAACTGGCACGTTTGAGCAGACCAGTTATTAGGCAATTTTCCTAAATCTGCTTCTACAAGAGTTTCTTTATCACTTGCTGAATACCCATTGTGTCTTTTTCCCTTAATCACCTGGGAGGAACCATCTATCATCCACTTCTGAAGGGAGTACTTCCTAGGTCTGATAGGACCTTTGTATAGTAATTAAGATTTAGATCCCCTGTTAGGAAACCTGCTGGGTTAAGGATTTTTGATAGGAAGGCTACGGTTTTGATAGGAAGGCTATGGGTTGTCAGTGGCCTCAGTGTTTTTGGGCTACACCCTTGTTTACACTGACAACACGGTGGTTAGGAGTGTTATAGGGTTATGGAGAAGACCTTCAATTATCAATTATAGGTTTAAAATTTACCCTGGCTTTTAAAGGAATAGCATACACTGTTTTTTCTTTACTACTTCCATCTCTCTTTCTCTTTGACTTCTTCTTTGTCTCTCTCTTTCTCTCTTTCTGACTCCCTCTTTGTCTCTTCCTCTCTCTCTTTGGCTTTCTATCTCTCTCTTTCTCTCTCTCTCTGACTCCCTCTTTGTCTCTGTCTCCTCCTCTCTCTCTCTCTCTCTCTGACTTTCTGTCTCTTTCTCTCTTTCATTTCTGCTGGTCTTTGCCTGCCTCTGCCAGCTGCTTATGCTGCTGCTCTCCCCTCTCCTTCCCCTTTTTGATGGCTTCAGCAGTGTAAGACTGCCACCTCCTTGGGTTTTTGCACTGCATGCAATAACTCCATGATTTCCTTGTGGTATTTAATGGGGCTTCCCCAGAGGTTAGGAACTCCCTTTCTTTCCATATTGCAGCATAGGCATGTAGGATTAGATAAGCATACTTACCATCTGTAGCAAAGTCTCCCAGTTAGAACTGAGGAGGTGGGAGAAGTACCTGTTTACTGGCTGTCCCAGGATTCCTCAGATGGTAACGGACCTTGAGGACAGCTGTCTGGGACAGGAGATTAACACTGAGAAAGATGCACCAGTGTCCAGGAGGAAGTTAATTTCGTGGCACTCAATAGTTAAATGTACCCGGGGCTCAGTGAGGGTGATGACATGAGCTGGCGCTTGCCCTGGGCACCCTCAATCCTGTTGTTGCATCATCTGGTTGGGGATTTCTGACACAGAGAACCTTTGTCCTCTGGGGCAATGATTGCATAGGCATAATGGACATGGGCGAGGGGGCGGCTTGTTTCTCATTGGACAATCTTTTTTAAAATATCCTTGCAAACCACACTGATAACAAGCCCTACTGGGTGATTGGCCTGCTCCATTCTCTGTCCTGTCTGAACCACCAAGGTTTGTTTTTCTGAGGGCCATGACTAAGGCTGTGGCCTTTCTCTGATTTCACTTTTCCTTTTCAGCCTGTTCCTCTTGGTCCTGATTATAGAACACTAAGGTTGCCAGGTTTAATAATGCCTCCAGATTTTGTTTAGGGCTCAGGGCTCGCTTTTGGGCTTTCTCCCGATGTCTGTGGCTGATTGGGTAATAAACTTATCTTTTAGGATCAATTGATCCTTGAAGGAGTCAGGTGACAGGGGAGTATATTTTCTTAGGGTCCCCTGTAGCCTCTCGAGGAAGTCAGGATTTTCTTCTTTTCCCTGAGTTATGGTGGACATCATTGAATAATTCATGGGCTTTTTCCTAATTCTCCTTAGTCCTTCTAGAACACAGATCAACAGATGTTTGTGACTCCAGTTCCCATGATCTGAGTCTAGGTCCCAGTGAGGATCCATACTGGGGATGGCTTGCTGACTGGTAGAGAACTTGTCCCTTTATTCAGCTGTTATTCTATCATTTTCTTGACTAAGATACCAGGTATCTCCAAACTCTCAGGCTGCAGCTAAAGCCACATTCTTTTCATTAAAGGCCAGGGTTTGATCTAATAGCATGACATCTCTCCAAGTGAGATCAAAGATTTGCCCTAGACCCTGTAGGACATCTATATACCTATCAGGATCATCTGAAAACTTCCCCAGGTGTGCCTTGATCTGCTTTAAATCAGAGGGAGAAGGGGACATGTACCCAGGTTGGGCCAAATTCCCCTCCCCCTACAGCTTAAAGGGGACATAACCCATAGCCCGGGGGTTTTTGTGGTCCCTTGGAGATTTCTTTCCTTGTTTCCTTCTAGGCAGGGATAATAGAGGAGGCTTATCATTAATAGGAAGGGGAGTTATAGGGAGGCTAGGATATGGGGGTAAGCTGAGAGGTCCTCTTGTGGGATGTAAATTAGAAGCTTTGAATAGTTGTGGATTCTCCTTCAATGAAAAGAAAGCTTGGACATAAGGTATTTCACTCCATTTGCCTTCCCTCTTACAGAAAAGGTCAAGCTCGCTGACTTCAAGAATGAAGCTGCGGGCCTCACAGTGAGTGTTACAGCTCTTAAAGGTGGTGCATCCGCAGTTTGTTCCTTCCAGTGGGTTCATGGTCACGCAGACTTCAGGAATGAAGCCGCAGACACTCGCAGTGAGTGTTACAGCTCATAAAGGTAGTGCGGACACAAACAATGAGCAGCAGCAAGATTTATTATGAAGAGTGAAAGAACAAAGCTTGCACAGCATGGAAGGGAACCTGAGTGGGTTGCCACTGCTGGCTCAGGTGGCCAACTTTTATTCCCTTATTTGGCCCCACCCATGTCCTACTGATTGGTCCATTTTACAGAGTGCTGATTGGTCCATTTTTACAGAATGCTGATTGGTGCATTTACAATCCTCCAGCTAGACAGAAAAGTTCTCCAAGTCCCCACCTGACCCAGAAGCCCAGCTGGCTTCACCTCTCAAGTTTATTCATGAACATAATTTTACCAACATGCTTTATACCTTAATTTTTTTTGCACATTAATGGTTTTTTCTTTCAGAATGAAGAACTCCCTTTAGCATTTCTTGTAAGATGAGTCAGGTAGTGGTGAATTCTCTCAGGTTTCCTTTGCCTGGAAAACATTTTATATCATCTTCACAATAAGTTTGCTGGATACACTATTCTTGTATGACAGTTTTGTTTTTTAACTTTTATTTTAGGTTTGAGGATACATGTGAAATTCCTGTCATGGGATTTTGTTGTACAGATTATTTCATCACTCAGGTATAAAGCCTAGTACCCAGTAGTTATTTTTTCTGCCCCTTTCCCTTCCTCCCACCCTCCACACTCCAATAGGCCCCAGTGTCTGTTGTTATCTTCTTTGTGTTCATGAGTTCTCATCATTTAGCTCCCACTTATAAGTGAGAACATGCAGTATTTTCTTTTCTGTTCCTGTGTTAGTTTACTAAGGATAATAGCTTCTAGCTCCATCCATGTTCCCACAAAAGACATGATCTCATTGTTTTTTATGGCTGCATAGTATCCCATGGTATATATGTAGCACAATTTCTTTATTCAGTCTGTCATTGTTGGGCATTTAGGTTGATTTCATATCTTTGCTATCATGAATAATGTTGCAGTAAACATTTGTGTACATATATCTTTATGGTAGAACTATTTATATTCCCCTGGGTATGTACCCAGTAATGTGATTGCTAGGTCTAATTGTAGTTCTGCTTTTAGCTCTTTAAGGAATCACCATACTGCTTTTCACAATGGTTGAACTAATTTATGCTCCCACAACAGTGTATAAGTGTTCCCTTTGCTCTGCAACCTCACCAGCATCTGTTATTTTTGACTTTTTAGTAATAGCCATTCTGACTGGTGTGAGATGGTATCTCATTGTGATTTTGATTTGCATTTTTCTAATGATCAGTGATATTGAGCTTTTTTTCACATGCTTCTTGGACACATGTATCCCTTCTTTTGAGAAGTGTTTGTTCATGCTCTTGGCCCACTTTTAAATGGGATTGTTTTTCTCTTGTAAGTTTGTTTAAGTTTGCTATAGATGCTGGATATTAGACCTTTGTCAGATATATAGTTTGCAAAATTTTCTCCCATTCTGTAGGTTGTCTGTTTACTCTGTTGATAGTTTCTTCAGCTATGCAGAAGCTCTTTAGTTTAATTTGATCCCATTTGTCAATTTTTGCTGTTGTTGCAATTGCTTTCAGTGTCTTCATCATGAAATCTTTACCCATTCCTATGTCCAGGATGATGTGGTCTAAGTTATCTTCCAGGATATTTACAGTTTTGGGTTTTACATTTAAGTCTTTAATCCATCTTGAGTTGATATTTGTATATGGTATAAGGAAGGGATCTTCTCATATGACTAGTGAGTTATCCCAGCACCATTTATTGAATAGGGAGTCTTTTTCCCATTTTTTATTATTTTGAACTTTATTGGTTTTATACATTTCTTATGTAATTGTTTTACTCATATAACATTGTGTTTTTTTTTCCTCTGTGCATATTGCTTTTTTCTAACCTTTATTTTAAGTTCAAGGGTACGTGCACAGGATATGCAGATTTGTTACACAGGTAAACGTGTCATGGGGGTTTATTACACAGATTATTTGATCACCTTAGGTATTAAGCCTAGTATCCATTAGTTATTTTCCCTGATCCTCTTTCTCCTGCCGCCTTCTACCCTCCAATAGGCCCCAGTGTGTGTTTTTCTCCTCTGTGTGTCATGTGTTCTCATCATTTAGTTACACTTATAAGTGAGACCATGCCATATATGGTTTTCTGTTCCTGTTTTAGTTTGATAAGGATAATGGCCTCCAGCTCCATCCATGTTCCCACAAAAGGCATGATCTCATCCCTTTTTATGGATGCACAGTATTCCATGGTGTGTATGTACAACATTTTACTTAACCAGTCTGTAGTTGATGGTCTTTGCCATTGTGAATGTGTTTGCTATTGTGAATAGTGCTACAATGAACATACACATGCATGTGTCTTTATAATAGAATGATTTCTATTTCTATGGGTATATACCCAGTAATGAGATTGCCGAGTCAAATGGTATTTCTATCTTTAGGTCTTTAAGGAATTGCCACACTCTCTTCCACAATGGTTAAACTAATTTACACTCTCACCAAAAGGGTAAAAGTGTTCCTTTTTCTCCATAACCTCACCAGCATCTGTCATTTTTTGACTTGATAATAATGGCCATTTTAACTGGTGTGAGATGATATCTCACTGTGGTTTTGATTTGCATTTCTCTAATAATCAGTGATGTTGAGCTTTTTTTCATATGTTTGTTGTCCACATAAATGTCTTCTTTTGAAGTGTCTGTTTATGTCCTTTGCTCACTTTTTAATGGGGTTTTTCTTTTTCTTGTAAATTTGTTTAAGTTTCTTATAGATGCTGGATATTATATCTTTGTCAGATGCATAATTTACAAAAATTTTCTCCCATTCTGTAGGTTTTTTGTTTATTCTGTTGATAGTTTATTTTGCTGTGTAGGAGATATTTAGTTTAATTAGGTCTCATTTGTCAATTTTTGTTTTTGTTGCCATTGCTTTTGGTGCTTTCTTCACGAAATCTTTCCCTGTGCCTATGTCCTGAATGTTATTGCCTAGGTTGTTTTCCAAGGTTTGGTTTTTACATTTAAGTATTTACTCCATCTTGAGTTAATTTTTGTATATAGTGTAAAGAAGGGGCCCAGTTTTAATTTTCTGCATATGGCTAGCCAGTTATTGAATAGGGAATCTTTTCCCCATTGCTTGTTTTCATCAGGTTTGTCAAAGATCAGATAGTTGTAGGTGTGCAGCTTTATTTCTGAGTTCACCGTTCTGTTCCACTAGTCTGTGTGCCTGTCCTTATACCAGCACCATGCTATTTTGGTTACTGTGTCCCTGTAGTATAAAGTCAGGTAGTGTGACGCCTCCTGCTTTTGTTGTTGTTGTTGTTGTTCATTTGTTTGTTTGTTTTTTGTTTTTCTTAGAATTGTCTTGGCTATTCAGGCTCCTTTTTGGTTCCACACGAATTTTAAAATAGTTTTCTCTAATTCTGTGAAGAATGTCAATGGTAGTTTAGTGGGAATAGTACATTCTTCATGATAATGATTCTTCCTATCCATGAACATAGAATCTTTTTCCATTTGTTCATGTCACCTCAGATTTATATGAGCAGTGGTTTGTGATTCTCCTTGTAGAAATCTTTCACCTGCCTTATTAGCTGTATTCCTAGGTATTTTATTCTTTTTGTGGCAATTGTGAATGGAATTTCATTCATGATTTGGCTCTTGCCTTGACTGTTTTTGGTGTATAGGAATGCTGGTGATTTTTTGCACATTGATTTTGGATCCTGTGACTTTGCTCAAGTTGTTTATCACCTTAAGAAGCTTTTGGGCTGAGATAATGGAGTTCTCAAGATATAGGATCATGTCATCCACAATGAGAGATAGTTTGACTTCCTTCCTCTCTTCCTATTTGAATGCCCTTTATTTCTTTCTCTTGACTAATTGCCCTGGCCAGAAATTCCAATGCTATATTGAATAGGAGTGGTGAGAGAGGGAATCCTTGTTTTATGCCAGTTTTCAAGGGGAATGCTTCCAGCTTTTTCCAATTCAGCATGATGCCTGCTGTAGATTTGTCATAGGTGGCTCTCATTATTTTGAGGTATGTTCCTTCAATACCTAGCTTATTGGAGGTTCTTTACATGAAGGAATGTTGAATTTTATCAAGTCTTTTCTGCATCTATTGTGACAATCATGTGGTTGTTTGTCTTTAGTTCTGTTTATGTGATTAATCACACTTATTGATTTGAGTATGTTGAACCAACCTAGCATCCCAGGGCCTACTTGATTGTGGTGGATAAGCTTTTTGATGTGCTGCTGCTGGATTTGGCTTTCAAGTATTTTGTTGAGGATTTTTGCATCAATGTATATCAAGAATATTGGCCTGAAGTTTTCTTTTTTGTTGTATCTCTGCCAGATTTTGATATCAGGATGATGCTGGCCTCATAGAATGAGTTAAGGAGGAGTCCCTTCGTTTCAATTTTTTGGAATAGTTTCAGGAGGCCCATTACTTGTTTTTGTCAGCTTTTTCAAAGGTTAGATGGTCATAGTTTGCTACCTTTTTTCTGGGCTCTATATTCTGTTCCATTGGTCTATGTGACTGTTTTTATACCAGTACCATGCTGAAGGAGTTTTCTGGCTGAGACTATGGGGTTTTCTAGATTTAGAATAATGTCATCTACAAACAGAGATATTTAGACTTTCTCTCTTTCCATTTGGATGCCCTTTATTTCTTTCTCTTGCCTGACTGATCTGGCCAGGACTTCCAATGATATGTTGAATAGGAGTGGTAAGAGAGAGCATTCTTTTCTTGTGCCAATATTCAAAAGGAATGCTTCCAGCTTTTGACCATTCAGTATGATGTTGGCTGTGGATTTGTCACAGATGGCTCTTATTATTTTGAAGTATGTTCCTTGCACACTTAGTTTATTGAGTTTTTACATGAAGGGGTGTTGAATTTTATTGAAAGCCTCTTCTGCCTCTATTGAGATGAGCATGTGGCTTTTGTCTTTAGTTTTGTTTATGTGATTAATCATATTTATTGATTTGCATACGTTGAACCAACCTTGCATCCCAGGTATGAAGCCTATTTGAACATGATGAAATAGCTTTTTGATGTGCTGCTGGATTTGGTTTGCAAATGTTTTTGTTTTTTGTTTTGTGGGGATTCTTTCATAGATACTCATCAAGGATATTATTGGCCTGAGGTTTTCTTTTTTTGTTGTATCTGTACCTGGTTTGGGTGTCAGGATGTTGCTTCATGGGATGAGTTGGGGAGAAGTCCTTCCTCCTTAATTTTTGGAATAGTTTCAGTAGAAATGGTACCAGTTCTTCTTTGTACAGCCGGTAGAATTCAGCTGTGAATTCATCTGGTGCTGGGCTTTTTTGGTTGGTAGGCTATTTATTACTGATCCGATTTTGGACCTTGTAATTGGTCTGTTCAGGAATATTGTCTATTCCTAGTTTTGTCTTGGGAGGGTGTATGTGTCCAGGAATTTATTCTTTTCTAGGTTTTCTAGTTTGTGTACATAGTGGTGTTTTTCATAGTTTCTGATATCTGTTTTTATTTCTGTGGGGTCAGTGGTAACATCCCCATCATCTTTTCTAATTGTGTTTATTTGGATCTTCTCTCTTTTCTTCTTTATCAATCTAGCTAGTGGCCAGTCTGTCATAACTTTTTCAAAAAACCAACTCCTGCATTCATTGATCTTTTGAATGGTCTTTCATGTCTCTATTTCCTTCAATTCAGCTCTGATTTTGGTTATTTCTTGTTTTCTGCTGAATTTGGTGTTGATTTGTTTTTGCTTCTTTGGTTCTTTCAGTTATGATGTTAGATTATTAATTTAAGATTTTTCTGCCTTTTTGATGTGGACACCTGGTGCTATGAAATTCCCTTTTAACACTGTCTTAGCTGTGTCCCAGGGATACTGGTATGTTGTATCTTTGTTCTCGTTTGTTTAGAAGGACTTCTTGACCTCTGCTTTAATTTAATTATTTACCCAGAAGTGATTCGGGATCATGTTGTTTAATTTCCATGTAATTGCATGGTTTTGAGCAATTTTCTTAGTCTTAACTTCTATTTTTATTGCACTGTCATCCAAGAGTGTGTTTGGGATGGTTTTGGTTCTTTTTCATTTGTGGAAGATTGCTTTATGTCCAATTATGTGGTCAGTTTTAGAGTATGAACCATTTGGTGATGAAAAGAACGTATATTCTGTTGTTTTGGGGTAGAAAGTTCTGTAGAGGTCTATCAGGTCCATTTGGTCCATTGCTGAGTTCAGGTCCTGCATATCTTTGTTAATTTTCTGCCTCAATGATCTATCTAATACTCTCAGTGGAGTGGTGAAGTCTCCCACTATTATTATGTGGGAATCTACACCTCTTTGTAGGTCTCTAAGAACTTGCCTTGTGAATCTGATTGCTCCTGTGTTAGGTGCATATATATTTAGGGTATTTAGGTCTTCTCCTTGAATTGAATTATTTACTATTATGTAATGCCCCTCTTTGTCTTTTTTTTTTGTTTTGTTATTTACATTTTTAATGTAATTTTAAAATCCTGGATCCCAAAAAGTCTTGGCTCAAATTTGCTTTTCTTTATAACAAACAATTTTATTTCCCACCTTAAATTCTATATTTTCTTCATCTAAATTGATACCACAATCCATTCCAGTTTTGACAATTGAAACGTCATCTTTATGGTGTTTCAGTGAGGTTAATGATCCCTTCCAAATTACATGTCCTTTACAGGCTAATTTAATTTTTTTTTCTAACTGTCCCTTTTGGACTCTGCAGCAATCCACAGGAACTTTTTTCTTCCCTTCTGTTATAAAGAAGGTAGCTAGTATAGACGCTTCACCTACTGGGTGCTCTTCCACAGCGCAGGGTAATCTGCTGCTCACTTCCTCTTGCAAATCTCCAGCAAGACGGTAAATTATTTTGTGAAGTTTAATTTTTACTCCTTTTTTGCAGTTGACTGTTGGATAACATTGCCTGTATTCACATTAAAGCCATATATAACACCATCAAATCTTTCAGCAAGGTTAACATCATTTGCACTTATATCACCCACTCCAAAATGTACTAATTCTAGTTCACACTCGTGTGATGCATCATAGGTATCTATAATGTTCAAAATGGCCCCAACAGATCATCAACATCACTTTTAATAATCACTGGGAAGTACATTTGAATCTCTTTCCATTTTCTCTTTTGGCTTTAAGGATGTTTGTTCTTTTCTTTCTAAATACTTTAGAAATGATCTCTCCTTCCACTGCACACAGCCATACTTCTCACGGGCTTTCCAATGTGTTTCTTGATGTTCCTTTGACTTTTCTTCTATTATTTTCAGATCCTGTTGACTTTTCTCCTGTTCTTGTTCATACTTCCTCCAGTCAAAACTTCACATGCCCTTAGCTCAGGTTCTACTTCAAGAATTTCATCTCCTGCAGAAGGAAGGTCTCTCCAGCCTATAATTCCCTCTGCCATGCTGGGATAGGGCTCACAGATTGTTTTTCCATTTTCATCAAACATTAAGTGTACTTTTGCCCAACTTTTTCCAGCAACCAGAACAGAGTCTTCTCTTAAAATTCCTCTTTGAATTATAGCTGTAGTAACAGGACCTCTTCCTTTGTGACTCTATTACTGTTCCTTACACTGGACCAGTGGGGCTCTGCTTTCAATTCCAACATTTCTGCAGTTGTTCTTCTGCCAAAGCCATTAGATTATCGCCTGCAAGTGCAGAGACAGGCAGTGTTTGAACATCACCTCCATAATCTTCACACAGCACATCATAAGCCAATAGCTTTTTTTACACTTTCTCAGAATCAGCCTCAGCTTTGTCACATTTATTTATGTCAAGGACAATAGGAACTTGAGCATCCTTGGCATGCTGAATAGATTCTACACCCCATTATCTGCAGCTACAACCAAGATGACAATGTCAGTGACTTGAGCCCCTCTGCTCTCATTGCTGAGAAAGTAGCATGTCCCGGAGTATCAAGAAAAGTTATCTTTTCCCCCGAAGGCAGAGACACAAGAAAGGCACCAATGTGCTGAGTGGTACCTCCAGCTTCCATTGCTGCCACTTGAGTTTTTCTTTTTTCTTTTTGTTTCTTTTTATTATACTTTAAGTTCTAGGGTACATGTACACAACGTGCAGGTTTGTTACATATGTATACATGTGCCGTGTTGGTTTGCTGCACCCATTAACTCGTCATTTACATTAGGTATTTCTCCTAATGCTATCCCTCCCCTATCCCTCCACCCCACGACAGGCCCCAGTGTGTGATATTCCCTGCCCTGTGTCCAAGTGTTCTCATTGTTCAGTTCCCACCTATGAGTGAAAACATGCAGTTTTTGATTTTCTGTCCTTACAATGGTTTGCTCAGAATGATGGTTTCCAGCTTCATCCATGACCCTAAAAACGACATGAACTTATCCTTTTTTGTGGCTGCATAGTATTCCATGGTGTATATGTGCCACATTTTCTCAATCCAGTCTATTATTGATGGACATTTGGGTTGGTTCCAAGTCTTTACTATTGTGAATAGTGCTGCAATAAACATTCATGTGCATGTGTCTTTATAGCCACATGATTTAAAATCTTTTGGGTACATACCCAGTAATGGGATGGCTGGGTCAAATGGTATTTCTAGTTGTAGATCCTTGAGGAATCACCACACTGTCTTCCACAATGGTTGAACTAGTTTACACTCCCACCAACAGTGTAAAAGCATTCCTATTTCACCGCATCCTCTCCAGCACCTGTCGTTTCCTAACTTTTTAAAGATTGCCATTCTAAATAGTGTGAAATGGTGTCTCATTGTGATTTTGATTTGCATTTCTCTATGACCAGTTCTGATAAGCATTTTTCAGGTGTCTGTTGGCTGCATAAATGTCTTCTTTTGAAAAGTGTCTGTTCATATCCTTTGCCCACTTCTTGATGGGCTTGTTTGATTTTTGTCTTGTAATTTTGTTTAAGTTCTTTGTAGATTCTGGATGTTAGCCCTTTGTCAGATGAGTAGATTGCAAAAATTTTCTCCTATTCTGTAGGTTGCCTGTTCACTCTGATGGTAGTTTCTTTTGTTGTGCAGAAGCTCTTTAGTTTAATTAGATCCCATTTGTCAATTTTGGCTTTTGTTGCCATTGCTTTTGGTGGTTTAGTCATGAAGTCCGTGCCCATGCCTATGTCCTGAATGGTATTGCCTAGGTTTTCTTTTAGGGCTTTTATGGTTTTAGGTCTAACATATAAGTCTTTAATCCATCTTGAATTAATTTTTGTATAAGGTGTAAGGAAGGAATCCAGTTTCAGCTTTCTACATATGGCTAGTCAGTTTTTCCAGCACCATTTATTAAATAGGGCATCCTTTCCCCATTTCTTGTTTTTGTCAGGTTTGTCAAAGATCAGACGGTTGTAGACGTGTGGTGTTATTTCTGAGACCTCTGTTCTGTTCCATTGGTCTATACCTCTATTTTGGTACAGTACCATGCTGTTTTGTTTACTGTAGCCTTGTAGTATAGTTTGAAGTCAGGTAGTGTGATGCCTCTAGCTTTGTTCTTTTGGCTTAGGATTGACTTCGAAATGTGGCTCTTTTTTGTTTTCATATGAACTTTAAAGTTTTTTTCAATTCTGTGAAGAAAGTCATTGGTAGCTTGATGGGGATGGCATTGAATCTATAAATTACCTTGGGAAGTATGGCCATTTTCACGATATTCATTCTTCCTACCCATGAGCATGGAATGTTCGTCAATTTGTTTGTGTTCTCTTTTATTTCATTAAACAGTGGTTTGTAGTTCTCCTTGAAGAAGACCTTCATATCCCTTGTAAGTTGGATTCCTATGTATTTTATTCTCTTTGTAGCAATTGTGAACGGGAGTTCACTCATGATTTGGCTCTCTGTTTGTCTGTTATTGGTGTACAAGAATGCTGGTGATTTTTGTACATCGATTTTGTATCCTGAGACTTTGCTGAAGTTGCTTATCAGCTTAAGGAGATTTTGGGCTGAGACGATGGGGTTTTCTAAATATACAATCATGTCATTTGCAAACAGGGACAATTTGACTTCCTCTTTTCCTAATTTAATGCCCTTTATTTCTTTCTCTTGCCTGATTGCCCCGGCCGGAACTCCCAACACTATGTTGAATAGGAGTGGTGAGATAGGGCATCCCTGCCTTGTGCCAGTTTTCAAAGGGAATGCTTCCTGTTTTTGCCCACTCAGTATGATATTGGCTGGGGTTTGTCATAAGTAGCTCTTTTTATTTTAACAGATACTTCCCACCAATATCTAGTTTATTGCGAGTTTTTAGTATGAAGGACTGTTGAATTTTGTCGAAGGCCTTTTCTGCATCCATTGAGCTAATCATGTGGTTTTTGTCTTTGGTTCTATGTATGTGATGGATTACATTTATTGATTTGTGTATGTTGAACTAGCCTTGCATCTCAGGGATGAAGCCAACTTGATCTTGGTGGATAAGCTTTTTGATGTGTTGCTGGATTCGATTTGCCAGTATTTTATTGAAGATTTTTGCATCGATGTTCATCAGGGATATTGATCTAAAATTCTCTTTTTTTGTTGTGTCTCTGCCAGGCTTTGGTATCAGGATGATGCTGGGCCTCATAAAATGAGTTAGGGAGGAATCTCTCTCTTCTATTGATTGGAAGTTACTGGTTCCTTGTTTTGTTCATTTGAGGAGAACATGGTTTCCTGTTTGCTATTGTTTTTTGTGGATGTATGTCTGTGTCTTTGCACTGAAGGATTGGTTATGTATTCGTCTTCCTTGTCTGACTTGTTTAGGTTTTTACTGGATATATTTGCTTAGAGGTTGTTTATTGCCACGCCATTGCCTCCTTTTCAGTTCTAGATGGCACCTTAATCCCAGGTTCACCTCAGTTCTAATAAACAATCAGAGTGCTGCCCTTTGCTAATGGGAGAGGTCCAAAAGGGGATGTCCCAGCAATGTAGGAAGTCTAGTTAGGGGATCATGCCCAGGGGACATGTGGGACAAATTTCTGACAGTGTTGTGCTGCTGAATAGCCAATCTGATTTGGCATCTCCTTTGGCTGAGTGACACAGCAGAGTTTCCAGGGCTGGGGATGGTAGACATCGCTAAGCTCCTTTTGAAAAGTCTGCCCACCAATACTTCACCAGGGCTTGAATCATTTTATCAACTCCATGGTAAGTAAAAGAATGAAAATCTCAGAAGAATGACAACTTTAGGGATCCAGAAAGTACTAAACAGCTATCTGGGTGCCCCCAGAACCTCTCAAGGATTTCACAACCTGTATTAATCCAATCGTTTTTTTCTAAGACATATTTTTACCATTCTTGTAAGTTCTGAATTTTTTTTTTATGTCCTTTGGATGGATTTCACTCAAGGTGCATAGTTTATTAGTTGAGACAGTTTTGAAGTTTTTTTTGTTTTGTTTTTTGTTTGTTTGTTTGTTTGTTTGGTGGCAGCTTTAGCATGAAAATCAGCCCTGTAATTTCTCTGATATTCAGGGTCTCTTTTATAAGCAGGAGTTTTAATTTTTATGATAGCTACTTATGATGGCAGCAATAATGCAGAGATTAGCAACCTGAGACTCATTTTTGTAGGCATATCATTTGACGTTAAGGATCCCCTCTGTTTCTACAACACACTAAAATCACGGACTACTGCAAAAGCATACCTGACATCAGTCTAGATATTTACAATCTTATCTTTTGCTCTTTTACAATCTCAAGTGAGGGCAAATAATTCTGCAGATTAGACTGAATTAAAATGGGGAGATCTCCTTTTTATCATAGTTCATGTTGAATTGTAACAGCATGCCCAGCTTAGTATTTTCCTTCAAAATTTTTGGCATAGGAACCATCAGCATAGAGCAACAGTTCTGGATTGGTGAATAGAATTTCTTGTAAATCCAATCTCGGAGTCAAATTTTGAGAAATCAGTTTAACACAATTATACATCTCACTTTTGTTGGGTAAAGGTAAGATGGTAGCAGAGTTTAAATAAAGAATTGCAGCAAAGAATATGCAGATTTGAAGGTGATAGGAGCAGAATCACATAAAATGTTATCCTGCTGGCTGAGAAATGCTGGGCACAGTCACGATTTAGCAAGCTTTCTACAGCATGTGAAAGGTGTAGGCATAAGTTATTGCTTTGAACAAGTTCTGAGAAAAATTGTATAATTTGGCACCTGCAACTACTGCCTTTAAACAATTTGGATATGCTGTAGCAACCAGACATAACTGTACACTATACTAATCTACGGGCCTATTTTTTCCTACAAGTTTTTGAATGAGGACCCCTAGAGTCTGATTGTTTCATTCATGAATAAACAATGTGAATGGTTTAGAATAATTGGAGAGTCATAACACAGGAGGATTTTGCAAAACCTGTTTTAGTTCAGTAAGGGCCTCCTACTATTTTTCTTTCCAAAGAAAAGGGTCCCGATTGCTATTTTTAGTTAGTTCATGGAGTGGAGACGCCAACGTTGTGACCTGGTCTATCGTGAAATTCTGAGGAATCCTCTGAGTTGCCTTTTAGTCACAGGTCTAGGATAATTTTGAATAATATTTATTTTTTCTGGAGACAGAAAGATTACTTTTGCAGAGAAGTCGTGACCTAGATAATGTGCCACTTCTTGTGAGAATTGAAGCTTATCTCAAGAGGTCTTATGGCTCTTATAAGCTGGTTGTTATACGTATTTGGTCAATTTGTACGTCCTCTTTAGATGAAGAACAAAGAAGCAAATTACCTACATATTGAATCAAGGTAGAATGTCTGGGAAACTGCAGTGTTCAAATCTTGATATAAAATTCGTGAGAAATATGAAAGAGCCTTTAATCCTTAAGGTGTTACTGTCAAAGTACATTGTTGATTTTTCCAAGTGAAAACAAACAAATACTAACACTCTTTTTGTCTACTGGAATGCTAAAATATATATACAAAGTATAAGTCTACTATTGTGAACCACTCAGATTCAGTTGATCCCTTTGACAACGAAGTGTTTGGATTTGGTATCACTGGGAATCTTTTTTTTTTTTTTTTTTTTTTTGAGACAGAGTCTCACTCTGTCGCCCAGGCTGGAGTGCAGTGGCGCCATCTCGGCTCACTGCAAGCTCCGCCTCCTGGGTTCATGCCATTCTCCTGCCTCAGCCTCCCGAGTAGCTGGGGACTACAGGCGCCCACCACCATGCCCGGCTAATTGTCTTTTTGTATTTTTAGTAGAGACAGGTTTCACTGTGTTAGCCAGGATGGTCTTGATCTCCTGACCTCGTGATCCACCCGCCTCGGCCTCCCAGAGTGCTGGGATTACAAGCGTGAGCCACAGCGCCTGGCCGGGAATCTTGACATATAATTTTATTTGTAGCTCTAAAGCCCTGTACAAATCTCGGTCCCTGTCCATGGGATTTCTTGACAGGTAAGATAAGAAGGTCACAAGGACTAGTACACGAAATAATTACTCCTTGATTTATTAGGTCCTCTACTCTTAAAGTGAGTCCCTGATTTGCTTCAGGTTTCAGAGGGTATTGGGGTAACTTACAAAGCAGTTTAGGCCGGGTGCGGTGGTTCACGCCTGTAATCCCAGCACTTTGGGAGGCCAAGGTGGGAAGATCACCTGAGGCTAGGCGTTTGAGACCAGCCTGGCCAACATGGTGAAACCCCATCTCTACTAAAAGTACAAAAATTAGCCAGGCATGGTGGCGCATACCTGTAATCCCAGCTACCCAGGAGGCTGAGGCAGGAAAATCACTTGAACTCGGGAGGCAGAGGTTGCAGTGAGCCGAGATCACACCACTGCACTCCAGCCTGGGCAACAGAGTGAGACTTCATCTCGAAAAAGAAAATAAAGCAATTTAAAAGGGTCAATCACAATTTTAATGGATCTGATGTGTTTGATCTTTCCCACATCTGTAGAGTAGAAGCCCATAGAGTATCAGGAATTTCAGAAAGATGTATGTCTATACATTTATGGAACTTAATAGTTTCCTTAGGACAGCCAATTTGGGCCTGGAGAACCCACAAGGTTTTATTGTCTGATAAATCTTAGATTTGTAGGGTCATTTCTCCAGAGGATAACTTTATTGAGCCTCCTATTTAGGAAAACAGGTCTTTATGTAGGAGATTCAAAGGAGCAATATCACATAAAAGGAAGGCATGATTCTCAGAAAAAGGGCCAAGGGTGACAGTTGAGAATTCTGTTAAAGGAACCCTTTGAACTTGATTTGAAACTCCTGCCATTGAGATAACTTTTATTATCCTGAGAAAGTTCTTGATATATCATGGTGGACTCTAAAGTAGAAAGAGTTGTTCTGGTGTCACAGTACAAATTTCTTCAGTTAAGTTTGTTTTCTCCTCATTGATTTAAAGGAATTATTGGAAGCAGCTTACTGGGCAATTCCTTGGAACCCTATCAACATTAAGAGTTGTTAAAAGGATGTGGGGGTTGTTCCAATTTCCCCTTATTTAGCAACAGGCAGTCTTTTTGCCAATGCCCCTTCTGCTTCCAGTAACCCTAAGCATCTTTATCAATGGAGGCAAAATTGGGAACAAGATTTTTTAAAGATAGGCCAAATTCCCTGCAACTGTTGTAATTGTAGAGTCATTGGTTTGTTTACCTGATGGCTTCTTTTTTTTTAATCTAATATCCCTTCAACATGCTCTACTAGATGTTGCAGTTCTGTGAGAATTACCTCTCATTTTAGTTTAGATTTCTTCAGTAAGTCACTTATTTCTGTATGCAATCCAGGAACAAAATGGGCTAGTATAGCCACTTTATCGTCCTGGCCTTTAAAGCCAGTATTATGTGAAAACTGTCTACAGATGGGCATGATAATCTGCAGCAGATTCATTTTTTATAAGGTTAGATTATGACCCAGCCTATTCTCATTGGAAGTGCTTCAGTAATAGCGTCTAACAGTTGTTGGCCCATTTTTCTGTCCATCTGCGTTTCTTATTTAAAAGCATGCTTAGCAGGAGCCTCAGTATATCCAGATGTATTATCTCAATGGGGTTTTTCTAGCCATTTTCAGTTACTTCCTGTGCATACTATCACATGGAAAAATTGGTACAAATTAAAAGCATGGATTATAGACCCCCTAAAAAATTTTAAATTCTTCTATAAATTTGGTTGTATTTTTTTAATATCACAAAATCTTTTATAATGGCTCAGAGTTCTGTGTAAGATCAAGGTTTAAATTCAGCTGTAACAGGTACTCCTGGCTCATTTGAGTGTCTAATTTTTTAAAGGAAGCTGGTGTGAAGAGGTTTAGGTGGAAAAGCCAAAACATTAAAGGAGGTTCAGAAAAATCAATTACTGGAGGATAAAATGAAGCAGAGGGATTCACAGAAGGGTCTATAGAGTCAGGCTGAGTTTTAGCTTTTAAATTATTATTTGCACACTGGTAGACATTATTTTGGAGAGGTTATTGTGAGTCATTCTGTCTATTAAAAGCCTCTGCCTACCAGTCCAAGACTGCATTCCATTGTCTTTGAGAGCTTCTGGGTCATTTCTTTTCAAGAGTGCTTTCAGAATGAACTATTTTGTCTAAGTTGAAGATCACCCAAAGCAGCCACTGCAGCCTCACATTGACCTTTATAAAGGTCACCAATTTTTCACACACACAAAAAAGACACAAGATCCTGATCCATAGCTGTTATAAATATAGGAAGCAGGGGGTTCAGACAGATGTAAGGAAGGGATTATGGACCAGGTGGAAAGTATCTTTGCCTTGGATTTCCTCAAATGAATGTATCTATAGGGAACCTTGTACTTGTACTGCTGTCCAGAAACCCAACGGAATGGCAGGTTGTCTCCTGTTACAGACACAGGGAATAATGGGTTTTCTCCTCTTGCAGATGTAAGGATGACTTATCAAGAAACTTTCACACAGCACAGGTATGCACAACAGAGTTGAAGAGCTTGAAATGCAGAGAGTACATCTTGGATCTGAGAGTACCCTTGAGCTCCGTGTTCAGCAAGAAAGCAGTGAGCGCCATGGGCTCTGTGGTACTGGCATCAGGTTACTCACCTGTCTTGGAGCTTATCAACGATCTACTTTACATCTCATATTTGATACCAGAAACTGCTAAAAATAAAATCAGATCAAGTAAAACAGGAATAAAGGGGTTTATTGTGCCTACGGCATCAGGTTACTCACCTGCCTTGGAGCTTATCAAGGATCTAGTTTACATCTCATATTTGACACCAGAAACTGTTAAAAATAAAATAAATAAATAAATAAATAAATAAAAATAAAAAATGAGAAAATAAAGTCAGATCAAGTAAAACAGGAAGATAGGAGTTTATTGTGCCTACCAAAGAACATTTCAAAAACCAAGAGATTTCAAACTGAACGTGTTAAGAAGCTCATCTCACAAGTGTTACAGCACAGCTTATAGGTTTATAGCATCTGTGAGAAAGACATTGAACTCTATTGTAATTGGCTACGATAAATTTGTACCCCTTTTAGGGCACATAGAGCTGTAGGAGCTTATTTTTCTGTAGCTGATTGACTCAACTTTATCATACTGACATGGAAGAAAGGCTTATGGTTTGTTTACGGTTAGAGCTTGCATTTCAGAGAGATCAACATAGCTCACATTTTGTTATGGTTATGGTTGGTTGTTCTGAGTGTATATCCAAACTGTGGCCTTCGTTTTCAATTTTTTTTTAACATCCCTTAACAATGAGATGCCATGCAGAGAGAGAAAGAGAGAGGCCAAGGAGCAGTGAGGTGCCAGATTTGTGAGGGACCCTTCTTGGAGCTTTCAGGCAAGGCAAGCCTCCAGCTGAGTACCACACAGTGATCCAGTTGATGCCACTTGGAGCAGAAAAACTGCCCAGCTAAGGTCTGCCCAAACTTCTGGCCCACGTAACTGTGAGGTATAATAAAATTGCTGTTGTTGTAAGCCACTAAGCTTTGGGGTAGCTTATGTCACCACAGTAAATAATCCAAACATTCTCCTCTAAACTTAGATTGTCTATAGGATTAATGTGACAAGTAATAAGTTATAGCCTTGTGACTTGACCTCCACTGTTGGCTTAAATTTCAATTTAAATATTTTATTGTTATTCAGTTTGTTGTATGAGTACATCTTCTGTCCCAGTGAGATTACAATACTTTTTTATTACCTACAAATAGTCTTATATATAGTATTTTTGGTGAACTCTGCTTTTATTCTTTAGAAAATTAGTATAGGAAAAACTCACCTTTTTTTAACCGAAATTTGTGTTGTGTTTATATAATGCTACAAACATCTTTATTTATTTTTCCTTTTAGTATATGAGCCATCATTGAATAAAAGTGAGTGACAAGGTGATGGGAAAATGTGGAAATGAGAGTGGGAATGTGGATGTAGGTTATCTCTTATTAAAAATAATATTTGATTAAAAATCACTAGAGAAAAACATATGTCGGCCACTGAGTGGTATATAAAGTAATAAAATAAAGGTGAGAATTTACAAATGATCCATTAGTAGAAAACAAACAATAAAAAAAACCAAAAATACAAACACAAGTCCTGGGATAGTATAGCCAAAATTCTGTGATGACCCCCAAGATTACTGACTTATATAATATATATCATATTTTATAATATATATCATAACTTATATAATTCATTCCCCTTGAGCATGGAAAGGCCTGTGAATATATTGGGGTAGTCACTCCTTGATTAGGTTATATTTGATAAGGTTCCATTTTAGCCAGCTGGATGGAGAAATTCCTAGTGAGAGAGATGCCCTCATGCTTGTCTGGAAGAAGTAAATACCCACATTGTGAAATGCCTATGAAAAGGGGTAACCTTCAAAAGCTGAGCACCTTAGTCCTACAACCCCAAGGAACTGAATTCTGCCAACAACTAATGAACTTAGAAGAGGCCCCCAAAGTCTCAGATGAGATCACAGCCTGAGCTAACACCTTGATTGCAGTCTGTTGAGACTCGAGCATAACACCCAGTAACTGTGCCTGAACTCTTTACTCATAAAAACTGTCAGATCATAAATTTCTGTTGTCTAAAGCCACTAAGTTAGTGATAATTTGTGACACAGCAATAGAAAACTAATAGAGTATGATTCTACTTATACTGTAAAAAAAAAAAAAAAAAAACTAAAAAATGGTTCTATACTTGAACAACTTCAAGAATGAGTGTGGAAGGAAAAGAAGAAACCAGGTTCCTTGATGACATTATTGAACTGAGCTGCCAGCCCTGAGATGCTTACTTCCAGACCTTCTGTAAAACAATAATAATAATACCAGTAACTGTTAGTTACAGCATTGTTATTTGGATTTTTGAATAACGGACAACTGAATGCATTCATATTTGCTCTAGGACTTTCTGTGGCCTGCCTTAATTTAAATAAATATAAAGCCTTGTGCTATGCCTTAGAATTGCCATTTGAAGTCTCCACACGGAATTCTCTTTCTACCTTCTAGCTTTAATGGCTCATTCTTGCTATAAGAATAATATCCAGTATCTAAGGTCTTTCATTATGTGGGCCTTAAATAACTCTTTAACTTACCTTTCAACGTCTTCCTGCACCCAAACTCGAATTATCAAGAGATACTTGAAGTTCCTGCAAAGTCGGCTGTCCTATGTACCTCATTGATTTTACCTCTGATTATTTTGTTTCGTCTTCTTTTTTACATTTTGGCATAGCTTTGCCTGAAGCTCTGATGACTAGTTCTCAGTTCAATTCCTGTGCACCCTTCCCTTTGGAAAACTTTTCTGATTGTCCTTCTTCAAGAGCTTCTTCTCTGGCTTCCCCCAGCATCTTGCATACATCCTTATCCCAGCTCTTAACCCATTATGCTATAGTCATTTTTATCTCTATCAATTAACCCCCAAATGCTGAGGCAGTGTCTGGGTTACCTTTGTGTCCTATGTGCCATGGTATCCAGCACACAGCTGTCATTCCATTGTTATTTCTTACACAGAAGGAAATAATGAAATTCAAAAGCCACAAACAGGTATACTTTGAAAAGCAACCATCTCCTGGAGTATCTTTCATCGAGCTTCCCTGCCTAAGAGATAACAGTTATCAGTTGCACCTTCTTCCAGAGATCTTCCAAATCTATGCATACATTTTTGTTTTTCTTACCCTTCTCCACAGATGGCAGCATTCTGTGATTGCTGCCCCACACCCAGCTTTTCTACTTTAACAATATGTCTACTGTATATGTAACAAAATGTCACATATACAGCATTCCTCTTTACACAGCTGAATATTACTCCATTCTGTGGATGTTCAACTATGTATTAATCTGTTCTCAATTGACTACATTAACATTAAAACTCCCCACTTACAAATAATTCAAAAATAATTATTGTATATTTCTTGACTGGTTCTTATGAATGCATATGTAGAATATAATTGTAGCAATATTTCTTTGTCAAAAGATATTTGTGCTATACATTTTTTTTTTTTTTTTTTTTGAGACAGAGTCTTGCTCTGTCACCCAGGCTGGAGTGCAGTGGTGCGATCTTGGCTCACCGCAAACTCCTCCTCCTGGGTTCACACCACTCTCTTGCCTCAGCCTCCCGAGTAGCTGGGAGTACAGGTGCCTGCCACCACACTCGGCTAATTTTTTGTATTTTTAGTAGAGACGGGGTTTCACCATGTTAGCCAGGATGGTCTGGATCTCCTGACCTCGTGATTTGCCGGCCTCGGCCTCCCAGAGTGCTGGGATTACAGGCGTGAGCCACCGTGCCCGGCCTGTGCTATACATTTTCATAGATATTGCCATATCATTTTCCTTCAACACTGTAATTCATTTGCATTCTCACCAATGAGAGGGTTTGTTTTCCTATACCAATGACTACAGATCAAATTTTTAATCTTTATCAATCTGACAGATGAAAAATGGCATGAATTTACGGTTTACTTTGTATTTGTTTTATTATGAGCCAGGGTGAGCACTATTTATATATTAAAATGGGATGTAAAATCTTGCTGCAATCAACAAATCCAGTCTGGCTAGTTCAGCCAGAAATATAATACTTTTGGGAACACAAAAAACCATGCAATAAATGGCCTGACATGGATACCACTGGGGTCTCTTTCATCACACATGAAATGCCAGGTCTTAGTGCTCCTACATTCACTATTGCACCATCACTGACACTACCTGTGATCAGGTACTTGCCCTTGCAATTCCTGCTGCCACCTACACTAGCAAAATGGGAACACTGTTTTGCTCATCTCTAAATCAGTCTCATAGGGGTGTGTCTGTTGGTCGAAGTCTAGGTCAGCTGCCTGAGTGCTAGTCGCAAGAGAGGCTGGGTATCTGAGTTCTGGTTTTGATGGGAAAGACAGGATTCATGATATTAACATTTCCCCCAATATGCAAATGTTTTTCAAAATATGTAAAGAAGCCCTGAACATGTCAAATATCCACTCCAGAACTCCAAACCATTCTTCATACTCAGTCTTTGAAACAAAAGCAGATATTCCCCCAACATAGTACACCTTCCACTCATTTCCAATGCAAACATTCCCATTCCCAGCATCCCCCAGAAAAGGATGTCTCCTGTCTCTAACTTGTACAGGTGCATTCTAAGATCCTGGGAGAGAAGTTAGTAATATGTTTATTTCCCATATGCTTTTGTAAAATTTGCTGAAATAAACTACTTTAACTGAAATTGTTTAATACTACTATTTATTTCTACTACAAATTTTTCATTGCACTTAGTCACATGTCAGATGGTGTGCTAAGAAGAAGTTAAGGGTACATTTGTTAGGGATTTTTTATAATATAGTTTGTGTTTTGCAGTCACTTCTGTGTAGAGACAGGTTATTGCTAACCACCACAGTGTAGAAATAGCTTCAAGGCATACAGAACTTCTGCTGTGTAACTCACCCAGCACTGGGATTGAGTATTCCAACATGAAGGTGCAGTGTCACAAACCAGGTCCTGATATCCTGGTGTCACTTGCCACCAGAAGTAAGTACGGAGTGCAGGAGATACCAGGTTACAAATGTATGGAGCCAGGAGCTGGTTTGTCAAAAATTCTTCCAATCATCAGACCAGTTAAATTTAAGGGAAAGTTTCAATTCTCATCCACATTTAGACAGAACCGAAGTTTGTCCTATCAGGGATATATTTCACAATACAACATAAACAATTACAAATGGACCGTAGGTTATTTTTTCTTTTATGATGGTAATTGTGTGAAATAGAATGCTTCAGAAATGGAAGGTTAGTGGGAAGAACTAGAGCACCTGCCACACTGCAGCTGGTCTTGGCAGCATACTCAACACTTACAGTCTTCTTTTTATTCTGTTGGGGCTCAGAAACCAATACCCTAGAATATGGCACTTTGACATGCTGAACTGAAAAAGAAAGCTCTCGAGCTCTCTCTGGCCTTCCTTTGCCCTCCTGTCTCTCAATCCTCCTTCCCAAAGCACAGGAAAAAGTTGTTCTCTGAAGATCCCTTATCTGCCTAAAGTTCGAACCTGCCAAAAACAAAGAAACAAAACCAATTACTTTTGGTTTCTTCCCTGAGTTTTCATTAGCTAAATTCACATCACAGAAAGAAAGACTAAAGTCTTTAAACACATCTGGACAGACTTTTGTCACAAAACATTTTCTGTTCTGTGGGCCCAGTAGACTTTGTCCCAGGCCATTATATGTTCTTTGCGCCCATTAAATTCCCCTCAAAATTATTTTCTACCTCTTTAAAATCATCCACGCTTCTCCATCTCACTCTCCTCTTTAAAAAAAAAAAAAGAGATAGAAACTTCTATACCCCATTTAAATATTGATCAATCAGTCTATAATTCTTCCCTGTATGTGCTAATAAATTATATGCCATTTTCCTAGTAATCTGGCTTTTATAAATTAATTTTTTAGCAAAAATTCAAAGGGCAAATGGAAAGTTTTCGCTTCACTTCTACACAACTATCCAACCTGCTAGAACCTATCTGGCTTCAGTTTCTTACTTGGATGCATAACACAGACCCTCATTCCAGAGGAGCCAGAGCTCCTGGCCACTGTGCCCTTCTCAGTCCCTTTACTGTGTGTGGGTCATTCGAGTGCCAACCTTGCCAACATGCTGACTCCTTTTCTTTTTTCCATTCCTTGGTGATGATGAGGACAAAGTACTCAAGTGGCACTGATGTCTCAATGTTAATGAGACTCTTCCTGTTTTCCCTAGTGGAAGTATTTTCTCCTTGAGAACCAGGAACTTTAATTCCGCAGAAGCCTGAGTTGCAAGGGAAAGAAACACGAATTCTCTAATTTCCACTGCTTAGTTCCTGGGTTTATAAAAATTTGTTGTTTTAAATTATGCACTATATTGCAAGATAGCCTTCTATCCTCTCAAAGTCCTGTTTCTGAATTGTCACTTCAGCCATGTCTTCATAGGCAGCTCTGTACCTCCATCAAACTGACAACTTCTGGATGATGAAAATGTGATGTGACTGGTGGACCCCATGGTCATGTGCCCACTCTTACGCTTCCTTTGCTAGAAAATGAATCCCCTCGTCTGTCACAATGTTGTGCGGGACTCTAAGTCAATGCATCAAGCGTGTAGTAAGCCATGGGTGAGATGTGCAGGCTGAGATTCTGCAACCTGGAAAGACAAACCTTCACCAAAAGTACATGTCTATTTCTGTTAAAATGAATTACTGTCCTTCCCAAGGGTTGAAAGGGTCAAAGTGATCAAGCTAGTTAGCTCCATCAGAAATGCAGCACTGGCCTCTGCTATTGACAATTTGGAAATTCAGCATCAGCCAAAACTAGACCATCCTTGGTGTTGTAGGTTGAATTACGTCTTGCCAAAATTGATAGGTTGAAGTCCTAACCTCAGGAACTCGAATATGGTCTTATTTAAAAATAGGATTGTTGCAGATGTAGCTAAGATGAGGTTATACTGGAATAAGGTGGGTTCCTAATCCAATATGACTGTTGTCCTTATAAAAAAAAGAATGCTATATGAATGAAAAGACAGAGAAACAAACAGAACGACGATGATGTGAAGCCTTCAGAACTGGGAGACAATACATTTCTGTTGTGAGAGCCACCCAGTTTGTAGCAATTTGTTGTTGCAAACTAAGGAAACTAATATACTTGGCAAGTAGAGACTCATGCTGTTAACATCATTCTTAGCTTCCATCTCTTCCACCAAGTTTATTCATTTCAAATGAGCATTGTCCCAACACTGAGCCCACCCACCTGATGTCAACTGGCTGAGTGGGCATTAACAAGAAGTACAAAGACTTCACTCTGTGTGCCCATTCAGAAACGTTCATCGTCAGGCATTTTCCTGAGACCTCCTTTTTCTCAAATATTCAGTGTTTTCTATTCCAGGTTCCTGACAAATTGACCAAGCTATTTTCCACTGTCTGTGAGTTTGTTCATATGCTAATCTTGGGTTCCTTCTTTCTCCTTAAAGTTGGATGATCAAGTGAACCTCCTGAGGCTCTGCCCATTGGGAGTATTTCTCCTCACCACTGACTTACAAGGTCATCTCTGAGTGGGCCTGAGTGCAGCTGCCATCCAGGAAGCAAGCTCAGATTTATCCCTCCTCCATCAGCTAGTTATCTGGGCTTCTCAATATAACTATAATGAGTGCTGAGAGAGGTACTGTTGCAAATGCGGTGGGTGCCATGAGGCCCAATCTATCTTCTCATTCAGGTTATTGGGCCCTCTGACTCTGCTTATGCACCATCCTAGATACATCACTTCCATCCTCATTGCTGCTGGTTCTGCTCAACTTTAACACTTTGTGAGTCTTACAGTACTAATGGACTACTCTGGCCTCATGGTCTCTTACTGCACCCATCTAGAACTCCAGTGGAAACAAAAGAAGCTCTTTTTTGAAAAGTATGTAATCCTTTGGTGCAGATAACATGGCATTGCTCCAGTTCCCAAAATGTCAGCTATGTTTTTCCTATTTGGGCTTGCCATAAACCCCATGTAGCAACTTTTCCTACCAATAATACCTCTAATATCATAGGTTCTGCTCAGTTTTGTGGCCCAAGCAGCATGGCAGCCCATGAGTCTGCCTGGATATGTTGTAGAGACCTTCCCTGTTCTGGACAGTATTTCATGTCAACTACTATATGGGTCAGAGAAGTATTCTCAGCTATGGAAAATGCTGCACCTAACCTGAAAGGAACTACCAGACCTGTGCTTACTTCTGCATAGTGGACAACGAAGAATAAATGTTTCTTTTATTTCAGAAGGGTAATTCTAGCAGGCCATACATACTGGAGACCTAAAAATCAAACTGAAGTGATGAGCCCCTGAATCTCCATAGGATTTATTTCTCACCCTCTGGAGTTTAAATGTCTTACCACGGACCTTAATATACTAGCTGGTTCTTGCACATCCAATCTGATTAGCACGGTGTCATTGAAATAGACATTGATATAGACTCATGTGATAGTCATGGTGTCATTGAAATAGATATTGATATAGACCCATGTGATAGTCATGGTGTCATTGAAATAGATATTGATATAGACCCATGTGATATTCTGCAGGAGTTTGAGTTAGTCTGGGTATCTTCAGAATATATTATGACAGAAGGGAGAGAAGACAAACCTAGACTCAAGGTAAGATAGGAAAAGTACTGTTGTCTATTCCAAGTAAATATAAACTATTTCTGATTTTTTTTTGATAAGGAGGGAAAAAGATGCATTAGCTAGGTCCTGGAATTCATATGTTGAAGCTTAATCCCAGTACCTTTCAATATGGCCATATTTGGAGATAGGGCCTTTAAAAGGTAACTAAGGTTAAATGAAGACATAAGGTTAAATGAAGCCATAATGACACAAAATACACATCTATTATGCCCTCATAAAAACAGGAAGAGACACCAAGGATGTGCATATACAGAGCAAAGTCCATGTGAGAACACAAAGAGAAGGTGGTCATCCACAGACCAAGGAGAAACCAAACCTGCTGAAATCTTGATCTTGGATTTCCAGCCTCCAGAAATGTAAAATAGATAAATTTTTATGTTCTTTAAGCCACTCCATCTGTGATATTTTGTTATGGCAGCTCCAGCAGACTAACACAAATGTCTGTATTCCTGAGGCTGTGTTAATCTACTCTAGCAAGGGTACCACATCTGGCATAGCAGCTGCAACTAGGACTACTGCTTAGTTAAGTTTGCAATACTGCACTGTCATAGCACAGGAATTATATACATATTTGGGGGTGGAAAGGGTGGGCAGACTGATGAGTTAAATGGGATATGTTAGAGATCACCATTTCTCCATGCTTTAGGTGTTTAAGAATGGCAGTAATTCCTGCATGACCTTGAGACATAATATTAGTTTTGATTAACTATCTTGGTTGGGATTAGGGGAATTTTCAGAAGTTTCCACTTAGCCTTCCCTATTATAATAACTCTTGTTCTGGAGTCTAAGAATCTAACATATATATTATGCCAAAACCAAATATTTTTTTAATTATGCAATCAGAGACTAGATGAGTGATTGCCAAATGGGTCTCCAGACCCAGGGAACCCCAATGAAGCAAATTTGAACCAAGATTTTATTTACTACACAATCCTAAGTAATAATTCCTAGACAAAGGGCCTTGAGTTTTATTGGGGTAATTTCCTTTAGCCTCCTGGTTATCCATCCTTGCTTTCTTTTTATTGTACAGTTGAATACCCTTGTTGACTGCCTATTTATTTTGTTCTAAGGGTGTTATGTTCTAACTGTTTCCATAGACCTCTGTGGGTCAAGACCCTTGGCTGTCCCTCTAAGCTTTCCATTCATTACAGTAATTGTGTCCATTTAGCTTCTTTTGGTTAAGTGCCATAACCCATCTAGCCTCTATTATTTCTAATCACCACTGTTATTATCAATGAGCCTAGTTCTGTAACAACCGCTCTTACTTTGTTAGGGAGGAGAGTCACCACTGAACACTTTACTGTTGCTGTTTCTCCTCTCCCCAGGACATTTTAATTGCTGCCATAAATGGTATCCTCAGAGCCCTCCCAAGGAAGAATTGGAAAATTGTGGGTTTTTCTGGCCCTCACTAATATTTGACTCTAGCACACCTAAACCTCTGAAACTTTTATTTTTTTTCCACTACTAGATATGATAATTTATGCATGGGGCATAATTCATATTTCTAGGGACTATCCTGGTAGTGAATTTGTGCCATCTGCTTGAGTCCTGGACATTACATTAGTCCTTTATCCCAGAAGAGTGTTTTCCCAACCTAAACTCTCCTTTCACAGCCTTGTGTTCTCCCACTTGACATCCCTAATCAAGAATTCTCAGAATCCACCCTCATGTGTGCTTCTGCAGGCATATGCTGGAAATGTGAGTCATTTGCTGATGCAATACACTTGCATCTTGCTTGAGAGCTCATGCTTGATTATCTTTATTTTATCTCCAATTCATGAAAGTATGCTGCTGAACACTCATGATTTTATGACTTGATAGTTCAGATGATACTGTGTTCATGATGGGCTCAGCCTCACTCAAACCTGGTGTTTACTGAATACCTATATGTGTATGTGTTGTCACGCAAGTGAAAAGACACTCAATGATTTTCATGTTTGTATCTTAGTGAAAAGCAATGGCATTGTAGCATGTTTTCTTCATTTTGGTGAAGAAAGTCCAACATACCCCAGACTATGGTTGGCATGAAGCTCCTAAAGTTTGACTGAGGTGAAGCCACTTGTATTTAGGGAAGAGGTTATTTATCTTCTATCCTCTGGTGTGAATAATTTTACCACAGCATTTGAATACCTGCTACTTTCAGCTCACCAGATTCTATCAGCATAATGTAATTAGTATAGTAAACTACTGCAATGTCCTATTACAGTGATCGAAATTGTTACTCCTTCAGAGACCATTCCCACAAATATTCCCAGGCAGTTACTGTATTAAAAAATCACATTCTTGCAATTTGGTAGGGGACATGCTGGGATTCAACTGTGGTCATAGGTACAATATGGGTGAGGATTAAGGAGGATTAAGTTCTTTTTGTAAGGTTAAGTGCCTCACATAACTTTGTAACCAGATCTTTTTGCAAGTAAGAATCTGCTTTTTCATGAGGAGAAATAGGAGCTGCTTCTGCTAGTAAAGGATATTTCATTAAATTGGAGGATTTTAGAAATGCTCAGTCATCTGAATCTTCTCATATGTCCCCATTCTTTTTTATTTTAATGCATGAACTTCCCTCTCCCCCTCCCCCCTCTTTTTTTTCTTTTTTTAAATTATACTTTAAGTTCTAGGGTACATATGCACATCGTGCAGGTTTGTTACATATGTATACATGTGCCATGTTGGTGTGCTGCATCCATTAACTGATCATCTACATTAGGTATATCTCCTAATGCTTTCCCTCCCCCCTCCCCCTACCCCATGACAGGCCCGGGTGCATGATGTTCCCCTTCCTGTGTCCAAGTGTTCTCATTGATCAATTCCCACCTATGAGTGAGAACATGTGGGGTTTGGATTTTTGTTCTTGCGATAATTTGCTAAGAATGATGGTTCCCAGCTTCATCCATGTCCCTACAAAGGACATGAACTCATCCTTTTTTATGGCTGCATAGTATTCCATGGTGTATAAGTGCCACATTTTTTAAATTCAGTTTATCATTCATGGACATTTGGGTTGGTTCCAAGTCTTTGCTATTGTGAATAGTGCCACAATAAACATACGTGTGCATGTGCCTTTATAGCAGCATGATTTATAATCCTTTGGGTATATACCCAGTAATGGGATGGCTGGGTCAAATGGTATTTCTAGTACTAGATCCTTGAGGAATCACCACATTGTCTTCCAGAACAGTTGAACTAGTTTACACTCCCACCAACACTGTAAAAGCATTCATATTTCTCCACATCCTCTCTAGCATCTGTTGTTTCCTGGCTTTTTAATGACCGCCATTGTAACTGGTGTGAGATGGTATCTCATTGTGGTTTTGATTTGCATTTCTCTGATGGCCAGTGATGATGAGAATTTTATCATGTGTCTTTTGGATGCATAAATGTCTTCTTTTGAGAAGTGTCTGTTCATATCCTTTGCCCACTTTTTGATGGGGTTGTTTGTTTTTTCTTCTAAATTTGTTTGAGTTCTTTCTAGATTCTGGATATTAGCCCTTTGTCAGACAAGTAGATTGCAAAAATTTTCTCCTATTCTGTAGGTTGCCTGTTCACTCTGATGGCAGTTTCTTTTGTTGTGCAGAAGCTCTTTAGTTTAATTAGATCCCATTTGTCAATTTTGGCTTTTGTTGCCATGGCTTTTGTTGTTTTAGACATGAAGTCCTTACCCATGCCTATGTCCTGAATGGTATTGCCTAGGTTTTCTTCTAGGGCTTTTATGGTTTTAGGTCTAACATTTAAGTCTTTAATCCATCTTGAATTAATTTTTGTGTAAGGTGTAAGGAAGGGATCCAGCTTCAGTTTTCTACATATGACTAGCCAGTTTTCCCAGCACCATTTATTAAATAGGGAATCCTTTCCCCATTGCTTGTTTTTCTCAGGTTTGTCAAAGATCAGATAGTTGTAGATATGTGACATTATTTCTGAGGGCTCTGTTCTGTTCCATTGGTCTATATCTCTGTTTTGATACCAGTACCATGCTGTTTTGGTTACTGTAGCCTTGTAGTATAGTTTGAAGTCAGGTAGTGTGATGCCTCCAGCTTTGCTTTTTTGGCTTAGGATTGACTTGGCAATGTGGGCTCTTTTTTGGTTCCATATGAACTTCAAAGTAGTTTTTTCCAATTCTGTGAAGAAAGTCATTGGTAGCTTGATGGCGATGGCATTGAATCTATAAATTACCTTGGGCAGTATGGCCATTTTCACGATATTGATTCTTCCTACTCATGAGCATGGAATGTTCTTCCATTTGTTTGTATCCTTTTTTATTTCATTGAGCAGTGGTTTGTAGTTCTCCTTGAAGAGGTCATTCCCATCCCTTGTAAGTTGGATTCCTATGTATTTTATTCTGTTTGTAGCAATTGTGAATGGAAGTTCACTCATGATTTGGCTCTCTGTTTGTCTGTTATTGGTGTATAAGAAAGCTGGTGATTTTTGCACATTGATTTTGTATCCTGAGACTTTGCTGAAGTGGCTTATCAGCTTAAGGAGATTTTGGGTTGAAATGATGAGGTTTTATAATATACAATCCTGTCATCTGCAAACAGGGACAATTTGACTTCCTCTTTTCCTAATTGAATACGTTTTATTTCCTACTCCTGCCTGATTGCCCTGGCCAGAACTTCCAACACTATGTTGAATAGGAGTGGTGAGAGAGGGCATCCCTGTCTTGTGCCAATTTTCAAAGGGAATGCTTCCAGTTTTTGCCCATTCAGTATGATATTGGCTCTGGGTTTGTCATACATAGCTCTTATTATTTTGAGTTATGTCCCATCAATACCTAATTTATTGAGAGTTTTTAGCATGAAGGGTTGTTGAATTTTGTCAAAGGCCTTTTCTGCATCTATTGAGATAATCATATGGTTTTTGTCTTTGATTCTGTTTATATGTTGGATTACATTTATTGATTTTCATATGTTGAACCAGCCTTGCATCCCAGGGATGAAGCCCACTTGATCATGGTGGATAAGCTTTTTGATGTTTTGCCAGATTCGGTTTGCCAATATTTTATTGAGGATTTTTGCATCGATGTTCATCAGGTTATTGGTCTAAAATTCTCTTTTTTTGTTGTGCCTCTGCCAGGCTTTGGTATCAGGAATCATCCTGATCATGCTGGCCTCATGAAATCAGTTAGGGAGGATTCCCTCTTTTTCTGTTGGCTGGAATAGTTTCAGAAGGAATGGTACCAGCTCCTCCTTGTAGCTCTGATAGAATTCAGCTGTGAATCTGCCTTATCCTGGACTTTTTTTTGGTTGGTAAGCTATTAATTATTGCCTCAATTGCAGAACCTGTTATTGGTCTATACAGAGATTCAACTTCTTCCTGGTTTAGTTTTGGGAGGGTGTATATGTCAAGGAATTTATCCGTTTCTTCTACATTTTCTAGTTTATTTGCATAGAGGTGTTTATAGTATTCTCTGATGGTAGTTTGTATTTCTTTGGGATTGTATTTCTGTATTTCTGTGGGATTGATATCCTGTTTATCATTTTTTATTGCATCTATTTGATTCTTCTCTCTTTTCCTCTTTATTAGTCTTGCTAGCAGTCTATCAATTTTGTTGATCTTTTCAAAAAACCAGTTCCTGGATTCATTGATTTTTGAAGGGTTTTTTTGTGTCTCTATCTCCTTCAGTTCTTCTCTGATCTTAGTTATTTCTTGCCTTCTGCTGGCTTTTGAATGTGTTTGCTCTTGCTTTTCTAGTTCTTTTGTGATGTTAGGGTGTCAATTTTAGATCTTTCCTGCTTTCTCTTGTGGGCATTTAGTGGTATAAATTTCCCTCTACACACTGCTTTAAATGTGTCTCAGAGATTCTGGTATGTTGTGTCTTTGTTCTCATTGGTTTCAAAGAACATCTTTATTTCTGCTTTCATTTTATTATGTATCCAGTAGTCATTCAGGAGCAGGTTGTTCAGTTTCCATGTAGTTGAGCTGTTTTGAGTGAGTTTCTTAATCCTGAGTTCTAGTTTGATTGCACTGTGGCCTGAGAGACAGTTTGTTATAATTTCTGTTCTTTCACATTTGCTGAAGAGTGCTTTACTTCCCAGTATGTGGTCAATTTTGGAATAAGTGTGATGTGGTGCTGAGAAGAATGTATATTCTGTTGATTTGGGGTGGAGAGTTCTGTAGATGTCTGTTAGATCTGCTTGATGCAGCGCTGAGTTCAGTTCGTGGATATCCTTGTTAACTTTCTGTTTCGTGGATCTGTCTAATGTTGGCAGTGGGGTGTTAAAGTCTCCCATTATTATTGTGTGGGAGTCTAAGTCTCTTTGTAGGTCTCTAAGGCCTTGCTTTATGAATCTGGATGCTCCTGTATTGGTTGCATATATATTTAACATAGTTAGATCTTCTTGTTGAATTGATCCCTTTACCATTATGTAATGGCCTGCTTTGTCTCTTTTGATCTTTGTTGGTTTAAAGTCTGCTTTATCAGAGACTAGGATTGCAACCCCTGCCTATTTTTTGTTTTCCATTTGCTTGGTAGATCTTCCTCCATCCCTTTATTTTGGGCCTGTGTGTCTCTGCACGTGAAATGGGTCTCCTGAATACAGCATACTGATAGGTCTTGACTCTTTATCCAATTTGCCAGTCTGTGTCTTTTAATTGGAGCATTTAGCCCATTTACTTTGAAGGTTAATATTGTTATGTGTGAATTTGATCCTGCCATTATGATGTTAGCTGGTTAATTTGCCTGTTAGTTGATGTCATTTCTTCCTAGCATCAATGGACTTTACAATTTGTCATGTTTTTGCAGTGGCTGGTACCAGTTGTTCCTTTCCATGTTTAGTGCTTCCTTCAGGAGCTCTTGTAGGGCAGGCCTGGTGGTGACAAAATCTCTCAGCATTTGCTTGTCTGTAAAGGATTTTATTTCTCCTTCACTTATGAAGCTTAGTTTGGCTGGATATGAAATTCTGGGTTGAAAATTCTTTTCTTGAAGAATGTTGAATGTTGGCCCCCACTCTCTTCTGACTTGTAGAGTTTCTGCCGAGAGACCTGCTGTTAGTCTGATGGGCTTCCCTTTGTGGGTAACCCGACCTTTCTCTCTGGCTGCCCTTAATATTTTTTCCTTCATTTCAACTTTGGTGAATCTGACAATTATGGGTCTTGGAGTTGCTCGTCTCGAGGAGTATCTTTGTGGCATTCTCTGTATTTCCTGAATTTGAATGTTGGCCTTCCTTGCTAGATTGGGGAAGTTCTCCTGGATAATATCCTGCAGAGTGTTTTCCAACTTGTTTTCATTCTCCCCATCATTTTTAGGTACACCAAACAGATGAAGGTTTGGTCTTTTCACATAGTCCCATATTTCTTGGAGGCTTTGTTTGCTTCTTTTTACTTTTTTCTCTAAACTTCTCTCTTCATTTCATTCATTTGATCTTCAATCACTGATACCCTTTCTTCCAGTTCATCGAATCAGCTACTGAAGCTTGTGTATTCATCATGTAGTTCTCATGCCATGATTTTCAGCTCCATCAGGTCATTTAAGGACTTCTCTACACTGGTTATTCTATTTAGCCATTTGTCTAATCTTTTTAAAAATTTTTAGCTTCTTTGCATTGGGTTTGAACTTCCTCCTTTAGCTCGGAGCAGTTTGATCATCTGAAGCCTTCTTCTCTCAGTCTCCATCCAGCTTTGCTCTATTGCTGGAGAGGAGCAGCGTTCCTTTGGAGGGGGAGAGGTGCTCTGATTTTTAGAATTTTCAGCTTTTCTGCTCTGTTTTTTCCCCATCTTTGTGGTTTTATCTACCTTTGGTCTTTGATGATGGTGACATACAGATGGGAATTTGGTGTGGATGTCCTTTCAGTTTGTTGGTTTTCCTTCTGACAGTCAGGACCCTCAGCTGCAGGTCTGTTGGAATTTGCTGGAGGTCTACTCCAGACCCTGTTTGCCTGGGTATCAGCAGTGGAGGCTGTAGAACAGCGAATATTCCTGAACAGCAAATGTTGCTGCCTGATCGTTCCTCTGGAAGCTTCATCTCAGAGGGGTACCCGGCTGTGTGAGGTGTCAATCTGCCCCTACTGGGTGGTGCCTCCCAGTTAGGCTACTCAGGGGTCAGGGACCCATTGAGGAGGCAGTCTGTCCATTCTCAGGTCTCAAACTCTGTGCTGGGAGAACCACTACTCTCTTCAAAGCTATCAGACAGGGACATTTAAGTCTGCAGAGGTTTCTGCTGCCTTTTGTTCGTCTATGCCCTGCCCCCAGAGGTGGAGTCTACAGAGGCAGGCAGGCCTCCTTGAGCTGTGGTGGGTTCCACCCAGTTCAAGCTTCCCCACCACTTTATTTACCTATTCAAGCCTCAGCAATGGTGGGCACCCCTCCCCCAGCCTCACTGCCACTTTGCAGTTCGATCTCAGACTGCAGTGCTAGCAATGAGTGAGGCACCATGGGCATGGGACCCTCTGAGCCAGGTGCAGGATATAATCTCCTGGTGTGCCATTTGCTAAGACTGCTGGAAAAGCACAGTATTAAGTTGGGAGTGACCCGATTTTCCAGGTGCCTTCTGTCACTCCCTCCCTTGGCTAGGAAAGGGAATTCCCTGACCGCTTGCACTTCCCAGATGAGGCAATGTCTCGTCCTGCTTTGGCTCACACTCGATGGGCTGCACCCACTGTCCTGCCCCGACAGTTGAATGAGCCCCAGTGACATGAACCTGGTACCTCAGTTGGAAATGCAGAAATCACCTGTCTTCTGCATTGTTCAAGCTGGGGGCTGTAGACTAAAGCTGTTCCTATTCAGCCGTCTTGGAGCCACCTCCCATATGCCCCCATTCTAATTTTCACAGCCCAACTCTCTTTCAGTAAATACATTTCCTTTCACATAAGAGAACTACAGAGTATTCAAATTCAACTCTCTATAATGCAAAAACTCCAAAGTTAAACATTTTAGTTTGATTTTTAGTTACTTTAAGTTTTGAAGCTGCAAATGATGAAGTATTATTTTGCATTAAATAGAAACTTTTGCTTTTCTAACACTGACTTCAGCCAAGATTTCAGAACTTTACATGATCATTCTCTTTCTTTAGGCTCTCCAGCACAGTTGGAAATAAGCAGACAATCTCACAGTCCTTGAATTCTCAAGCTTAGCAAATTCCACACTTAGCAACACTTGATATCTAAGGCCTTCCCATCAATGACACTTCATTCTAAATGATATTTGAATCAGTTGCCTGGTCATTACATGCTTTCAAATGCCATTTGCTGTATCTTCCCAGCCTTTCTCCTTGATGAAGAAATTCCACTATGCCCCTGGAATAATCCCACTTTTTAATTTTTTGGATGTCCTTTTTCTTTGAGTACCTACATATTACCATGTCACTTGTGACTGTTAATAGAAAAGAAAAGAATCCATTCTGGCAAGTTTAGCCAGACAAGAAAACAAATCATCCTATGGGCTAGAGAAGAGCACAATTCTACCCAGCCAAGATCAACATTGTAAAACTACATTTTAAAAAACAAACAAACAAATGAAAAACTGACCTAAAGAGTATATTGCCTCTGTAGCCATTGCCTCCACCAAGCATAAGATGCCAGGAATCCAAAATATTAAAATTATCAGCTGGGTGCATTGGCTCATGCCTGTAATCCCAGCACTTTAGGAGGCCAAGGTGGGAGGATCACGATGTTAAGAGATTGATACCATCCTGGCCAACATGGTGAAACCCCATCTCTACTAAAAATACAAAAATTAGCTGGGCATGGTGGCACACACCTGTAGTCCCAGCTACTCTGGAGGCTGAGGCAGGATAATTGCTTGAACCCAGGAGGCAGAGGTTGTAGTGAGCCGAGATCATGCCACTGCACTCCATCCTGGCAACAGAGTGAGACTCCATCACAAAAAAATAAAATAAAAATAAAAATTAAAAAATTATCCTACAGCAAGCACCAATGCCTTTTTGTATCAGGAAGTGAACCTTGAAATCACTGCAACTCGCAAAAATCAGAGGCCTTTATTATCATCTATATTAGCAAAACTGGAAAATCCTCAGAGCCCATTTTCTCTTCATGTTAACTGATGAATCAGGGTGTTAAATGGGTGCTTGTGTGACTGTCAGAGGCTAGCTTACATAGTTGTGTTATACATGGGTGGGAAGACATAACACATAATTCAGTTAATTTCCCAAATATAAAAATAGGACAAATGCACATAATAGCATATGTATTTCTTTTTTAATGAACTAGCTGTTCAGGTCATTGATTTCCATTGTCTATTTAGTGTTCCATAGTAACATTTCCCAATTTGCCTTTTGTCTTGTGACATTGTTTATAACCAAAAATCATTTTGGTTTTTAGATTAACCAGTCTTAAAAAAAAATCTTATGCTTTTGTTTAAAAAATATAAAAAATAAAGATATCTTATGTTTTCTTCTAGTATTTTTTTGCTTTGTCTTCTTATGTTTGAATCTTTGATGCATTTGCAAACTTAATCTGATAATTATGACTCACTTTCCTTTCAAATTTAACCATCCTTTATTTCAGAATTTCACATTGCTTCCACATTTTTGTCAATAAAGTAATCCAGTCATTTAAATGAATTACTCATGTATTATTTTTAAATATTCTGTACTGTTTCTCTTATTTCAAACTGCCTCAAAGAAGTGACAATGTCTAATTAAAGCTATGTGGAAGGGTGGCTAACCAAACACACAAACAGAAAAGGAAAATTAAGTAATCTGAATATTTAGCCTGATGGAAGTAAAGGTTTCATAGCTGAACTGAATCTAACGAGAATCAGTTTGTGTTTGCATTTTAGAGACAAAGCAATTTATATAAGGTGAAATCAGAGATATAAAAGTCCTTATACATGAAATTTTATCTCAAGCTTTACAAGGAGGGAGTGGGGAAGGGATGAGGAAGGACATTTTTCACAATAATGATGTAAAAGTCTTAATTTGTATTCAAGTGTTTGAATTTATGCAGTTTTATCTCCAAATAGAGTCAATATATTATGTTACATGGCATTTTAACTGTTTTATTTAAACATTTAAAGGAATAAATTTTAAAAGTTATATAAAACTTGGCCAGGTGTGGTGGCTCACACCTGTAATCCCAGCACTTTGGGAGGCTGAGGCAGGTGGGTCACCTGAGGTCAGGAGTTTGAGTCCAGCCTGGCCAACATGGTGAAACCCTGTCTCTACTAAAAATACAAAAATTAGCTGGGTGTGGCAGTGCATGCCTGTAGTCCCAGCTACTAGGGAGTTTGAGACATGAGAATCATTTGAACCTGGGAGGTGGGGGTTTCAGTGAACACCACTGCACACTAGCCTGGGTGACAGATAAAGATTCTGACTCAAAAAAAAAAAAGTTATATAAAAGTAACTAGTCTCTATAATATAGTTTGGCTGTGTCCTCACCCATATCTCATCTTGAATTGTAGCTCCCATAATTCCCACATCATGGGAGGGACCCAGTGGGAGGTAATTAAATCATGGGGGTGGGTCTTTCCCATGTTGTTCTCATGAAAGTGAATAAGTCTCATGAAATCTGATGGTTTTACAAAAGGAAATTCCCCAGCACACACTCTGTTGCCCACTGCCATGTAAGACATCCCTTTGCTCTTTCTTCATTTTCTGCCATGATTGTGAGGCCTCTCCAGCTATGTGGAACTGTGAGTCCATTAAAATTCTTTCCTTTATAAATCACCCAGTCTTAGGTATCTTTATCAGAAGCATGAGAACAGACTAATACAATAAATTGGTACCAGTAGAGTGGGATGCTGTTGTAAAGATACCAAAAATGTGGAAGTGCCTTTGGAACTGGGTAACAGGAAAAGGTTGGAACAGTTTGGAGGGCTCAGAAGAAGACAGGAAAACATGGCAAAGTTTGGAACTTCCTAGAGACTTGCAGGACACAGAAGACAGGAAACTGTGGGAAAGTTTGGAATTTCCTAGAGATTTGTTCAATGGCTTTGATCAAAATGCTAATAGTGATATGAACAATAATGTCCAGGCTAAGGTGGTCTCAGATGGAGATGAGGAATTTGTTAGGAACTGGAGTACAGGTGACTCTTGCTGTACTTTAGCAAAGAGACTGGCAACATTTTGCCCCTTCCCTAGATATTTGTGGGCCCTTGAACTTGAAAAAGATGATTTAGGGGATCTGGCAGAAGAAATTTCTAAGCAGCAAAGCATTCAAGAGGTGACTTGGATGTTATTAAAAGCATTCAGCTTTATGTATTTACAAAGATATGGTTTGGAATTGAAACATGTTTAAAAGGGAAGCAGAACATAAAAGTTTGGAAAATTTGCAGCCTGATGATGCAGTAGAAAAACAAACAAACAAACAAACAAAAACATTTTCTGAGGAGAATTTCAAGCCAGCTGCAAAAACTTGCATAAGTAATGGGAAGCCAAATGTTAATCACCAAGACAATGGACAAAATGTCTCCAGAGCATGTCAGAGACCATCCCAGCAGCCCCTCCCATCACAGGACTGGAGGCCAAGGAAGAAAAAATGGTTTCGTGGGCTGAGTCAAGGGACCCCTTCTCTGTGCAGCCTGGGAACTTGGTGTCCTGCATCCCAGCTGCTCCAGCCATGTCTAAAACAGGCCAAGGTACAGCTTGGGCTATGGCTTCAGAGGGTGCAAGCCCTAAGCCTTGGCAGCTTCCATGTGGTGTTGAGCCTGCAGGTGCACAGATTCAAGAACTGAGGTTTGGGAACCTCTGCCTAGATTCCAGAGGATGTATGGGAACGCCTGCGTTTACACGCAGAAGTTTGTGGCAGGTAGGAGCCCTCATGGAGAACCTCTGCTAGGGCAGTGTGGAAGGAAAATGTGGGGTTGAAGCCCCCACAGAGTCCCTGCTGGGACACTGCCTGGTGGAACCGTAAGAAGAAGGCCAGCGTCCTCCAGACCCCAGAATGGTAGATCCACTGACAGCTTTGCACCATGTTTCTGGAAAAGCCACAGACACTCAACACCAGCCCGTGAAAGCAGCCAGGAGTGGGGCTATACCTTGCAAAGCCACAGGGGCAGAGCTGCCCAAGACCATGGGAACCCACCTCTTGCATCAGTGTGACCTGGATGTAAGAGGTCAGGAGTCAAAGGAGATCATTTCAGAGCTTTAAGATTTGACTGCCCTGTTGCAATTTTGTCTTGCATGGGGCCTGTAGCCTCTTCATTTTGGCCAATTTCTCCCATTTGGAACAGGTGTATTTACCCAATGCCTACACCCCCATTGTATCTAGGAAGTAACTAACTCCCTTTTGATTTTACAGGCTCATAGGTGGAAGGGACTTGCCTTATCTCAGATGAGACTTTAAACTGTGGACTTTCGAGTTAATGCTGAAATGAGTTAAAACTGGGGGACTGTTGGGAAGACATGATTGGTTTTGAAATGTGAGGGCATGAGGTTTGAGAGGGGCCAAGGGTGGAATGATATGGTTTGGCTGTGTCCCCACCCAAATCTCATTTTGAATTGTAGCTCTCATAATTTTCACGTGTCATGGAAGGGACCCCCTGGGAGGTAACTGAATCATGGGGGCGAGTCTTTCCCATGCTGTTCTTGTGACAGTAAATAAGTCTCATGAAACCTGATGGTTTTATAAAGGGGAGTTCCCTGCACATGCTCTCTTGCCTGCCTCCATGTAAGACTTCCCTTTGCTCTTCCTTCGTATTCCAACATGATTGTGATGCCTCCAGCCATGTGGAACTGTGAGTCCATTAAACTTCTTTTCTTTGTAAATTACCCAGTCTCGGGTGTGTCTCTATTAGCAGCCGGAGAACAGAGTAACACACTCTAAAATTAGATATTTATCCATTTATAGTGTTACTAATATCCTCATTTCTGTTTCATTAACTGTTGCAGAGAAAACATACTTTAGTTTTACCAGCATGGTGGGTGCTCTATATGTCTTCTTGAAGATGTGGCAAAATAAAGAAATAAATAGCAACATTGTTCTAGGTTCTGATACAAAGCAGCTTTGTTTTTATTCTGGACAATTAATGGTTGCTAAACAAAGTGGTTAAGTAATAAACCCAGGCATAGTTATTTATGGAAACTGATAACCAAAAGGGAAAGGCAGATAGATTAGCTTCCCTCAATGAAGAAAATTAGCAAAAGTAAAGAGGTCATGAAAAACAAAAACAGAAAAACTTCTGCCTGGAGATGAGACAGCTTTGCATATTCACACTGGTAAGAGGATGTTTGGAGGCAGCAGTTTTGAGACTCAGCACTATCACTTACTCTTTTGTGAAACCGAGAATAATCACTTAACCATTTACTTACTTTACAGGAGTTTCCTTTCCTGTAAAGTAGGTAAATAATACAGTCTGCTGGTGTTGTACAGTTCAAAAGAAAAGTTTTGGCAGTGCTACAAACTGTAAAATAAAATATGTGAATATTTGTTGTAAAGATTGTTGTTGGTGTTGTTACTATTGTTATATATTATATGAAAGTAATATTTTTTCCTTGACTAAAATGTGCAAAATGAATCCATTTGGAGCTGTGTCTTATTGTAAAGCGCAGCTCAGGAAGGACATTACCAAGTCACTCTAATGAGTTAATGAACAGATTTTAATGGCAAAACTTACAAGGTATGTGTTCACAAAAAAGAAAAGCATGCATTTCCCAATGCCTCCCTTGATTACACAAAGAGGCATGGAAAGTCAAAGTGCTCTATTAGACACCCAGTGTGGGGTCACCATTCAAGGACCCCATCCCACGGTTGATAGAGATGAACATTTTTCACAGGAGAATCAAAGATGGCTTACCAGCAGGCAGTCTGGATTTCAGCCACCAGCCACATTTTGGAGTGGTAGAGAAAACTATCCAGGTTGTGACCTTGGTATCCATGGAAAGCTAGATTTAGGCACAGCCGCCTTATTGGAAAGGCGAGGAAAGAAGAGTGAAATTCAGTGCTAGAATAAGGAAAATTGTGTGAAGTTCAAATTACAAACAGTGGAGTCCCTACCTTCATTTTATGCTGTTGGACAAATATTCCTCTCCCACCCTCAGAGAAAACTGGAGAGGGTAAAACCAAGGGTCTTTAGTCTTAGAACTTCAGACTTGATGATACGGGTACCCAGGACTGGATACATAATTTGTGGAACCCAGTGCAAAATTAAAATGTGAGTCCATCATTCAAAAATTACTAACAATTTCAAGATGGCAGTAGCAGATAATGAAATTAAGCATGAGGCCCTTCCCAGCATAGGGCCCAGTGTGACATCATGGGGGACTGACCATATAGGAAATGTACTGAAAATAAAAAGACTAGTGTTTACACACGCAATGAATGCTGAGTACTGAAGCCTTTATTAAATGACCATTACCTTTACTCTTGAGAGAGGACGTTGAAGGAATATTTTCAAGTGCTTATGAGCAGCCCAAGGGTCCTCAAAAGCATGTTACTTAAGATAACCTTCAAGTGAAGTTCAAAGTCAAAAAGTCCCACACACTTGCTCAGAATGATTAAAATAAACTTTTAATCTCCTTAATCATAAACAAAATGAACAACTAAAGATTGCCAAACACCCCAAACAATTATTTAATATGGAAAGAGAAACCAAAACAGAAGACATGATTTGTTAGTAATAAATATACAGAGAGAAGAAATTTTACAAGAAATTATAATAAAAATCCTGACAGTAAAAGATTGCATTGCAACTATGAAAAGAACTATGATGAGGACATCCAGGAGAAAAAAGGAGATCAGATTTTAAAACATCATAAGATAAATGAAATAGACATTTCAGAAAATAAAGTTGAGGAAGTCTCACCGAAATTAGAACAGAAAGGCAAAGAGATGGCTATGAGAACAGAAAAAAGGCAGTATCAATGGGTTAGTCCAGGAGGACCAACATCCAAATAACAGAAATTCCAGAAAGATAAAGAAAATGGAGGGACAAAAATCAACAATGAATAACTCAAAAATTCACTAAACTGAAGGCAATTCAAAGTGAGGCCTTCTGCAAGATTCTCAGCAAAATGGATAGAAATTAAAATGGCTTCAATTTCCTTAATGGAAAAGAAACACCTCCAACATTCTGAAAGAAAATGTTTCCAACCTAGGCCCTATTGAAATGTCAGTTAAATATGAGGATAGAATAAAAACATATTAAAGTATAAACTGTCTCAAAAAAAAATTCCCATGCATCTTTTTTCTCAGCAAGCTCCTGGGGAATGTATTCCCCAAACCTGAGAGAGTAAATCAAATTAAAGAGAAGGCTATGGGAATAGGAATCATCTTATGTTGAAGAGAGATGCCAGGATGATAAATAGGCTCCAGAAAATAGGGCACATTCAGCTCACATTGGAGCCATGTGACTTGCTGAGGGCTCCCCTGTGCATGCCTCTGCCTTTGTCCCTTGAACCTGACCTCATGATTCGCTAGGACAAAACAAGGCAAAACATCAGATAAGAGGATGGGGCCAGAAGCAACAGATCCAAGCCAGAAGAGAGGCAGAGGGAATTCAAAGCATAACAGAAAAGGAAAGTCCTAGAATGACAGCTCCATTTCTGGCCTAGAATGCAATCAGTCCAGACCCTCAGAAAGGGGCTTTCCAAGAGACTGTTTCCAAGAAAATAATTGAAATGTCTGTTTAGCTGATGTGATTGACCTTATTGAAAAGTGTACTTAAAGGCTGTTGAATGATTGGGGGTGTGCAGAGGAAATAGCAATAGAAGTACACAATAAGAAAAAGCATGAAGATAAATAAAAGGGGGGAACAAAAATATTCATAATAAACTAAAATTATCAGCTGTGAAAAATAGTTCCATAGGCCAAATACTGTAAACATTGAATATTGACTTAACAATAGAGCATAAGGTCAAGTGGAATATATTTTATAATACAAGGAAATAATTCAACATTAAGAAATATATTCATGCAATTTGCTATTTTATATTAATAGAGAAAATGTGTAATTATCTCCATATATGCTGGAAATATATTTGATAAAAATTTAACATCCACTTTTTATTAAGGTTACAACAAAAACTATTCAGTAAGCTAAAAATAAAAGGAAAGTTCTGTCATATTATTATAGTATCAATCAACAACAAAAACATATTTAAGGGTAAAATACAAGAGAAATTCCAATGAAAGTAAGATACAAAATGAATCATACTGTTACTGTTCAATATATTTTAAAGGGTATGAAATATTCTTGTTAATTTTTTTTTCTACTCAACATGTAAACCTTGATCCTATGATTTGGAAAATTTCCCACAAATAGAAGAACTCTGAATTGTGGAAAAACACACTTTTCCCAATTTCCCTTGCCACTTTGGCATGTGCATACGACCTGGGCTTAGCCAGTCAGATATTCAAACACAACCTTGAATTGGAAATAGTGCAATGGAGCAAGGACAGAAGAGAAGCCACTATGGCTTCCCAAGGAACAAAAAGGCAGTATTGTGGTGCTGGGAATGCCAGCTGTTGTTCAATAGCAATAGCAGTAATATGTTCACCAGATGGATTCATTTTGCATTTGGTTCTGACTGCTTAGTGTACTTGTTTTCCAAATGTGGTTCAATAGTTTTCCTTTGAACTACTTTTTATGTTTTGTCAAAATTAACCAGAGTCTGACTTATCCTATTGTTTAAAATCAAGTACTATGATCATTACATGGAAGTCCTGACAAATAAGAACTTAAATAAGATATTAGAAAGAAACCTAAATCTTCATTAATTGCAACTTATGTGATTTCCTACATAGAAAAGCCTGGAATATCAGTAGAAAAACTATTGGAATAAATGAAATAATTTAAGAAAGTGGCCAGTTATAAGATAAATTTACATCTTTTTAATTTACAGAAATAAATGACAAATACTTATTTTAAAATTCCTCTAACAAAGACAAAATAAGGGTATACTTATGAATTTGTTTAACTAAAGTTGTGAAGGAAAAGTTAAAATTTTCTAAGATCCAATAAAATGGAAAGATATTACAAGATGGAAACTATTCAACATTACAAAGATGCCAAATCTCCCCAAGTAAATCTTTAAATTTAATACAATTTCTATTTAAATTCTAAAAGAATTTTATTATAAAAATTGATTTTAAAATATCTGTAAAATGTAAATCAAGACAATAACCAGGGAATTTTTGAAGAACACTGAAGGAGAATTTGTCCTACTAGGTATCATAATATACTACATAGTTATAATAACTTCAACAGTGTGATATAAGTACAGGAAAAGGCAAATAGTCTAATGAAAGAGACTAGAGAGAAAAAGAAGGCACATATACACATAAGAATTTGGCATATAGCAAATAAAATATTTCAAAGCAGTTAAAAAGAGTTAGATTATCCATTAAGTGGCTGTTTATTTAAAAATCTATCTAGTTTGATAAATAAATTTAGATGTTTGTCTTATACATTTATCAGACAATAAATTCTAATTCATTAGAGTTCAAAGGATAAAACTACAACATTGTTCAAATGCTATAGAAGAATTTTAAAGTTATTTTTGGGATAGAAAAGCCTTCAGAGGCATAAAATTTAAGAATACAGAGGCCTGGCACAGTGGCTCACACCTGTAATCCCAGCACTTTGGGAGGCTGAGGCAGGTGGATCCCCTGAGGTCAGGAGTTCAAGAACAGTCTGGCCAACATGGTGAAACCCTGTCTCTACTAAAAATACAAAAATATCTGGGCGTGTTGGCGGGCACCTGTAATCCCAGCTGCTCGGGAGGCTGAGGCAAGAGAATTGCTTAAACCCAGGAGGCAGAGGTTGCAGACAGTGGAGATCGCACCATTGCACTCTAGCCTGGGTGACAGAGTGAGACTCAGTCTCTAAATAAATAAATACAGAAAAAGACTAAACGTTTTCATTACACAAAATTTAAAAGAAAGTTTATACATGATGAAAGATGCCACAAAGTAACAACAAAATGCAGATTAGGAGAAAATAGGTGCAATGTATCACTTATAAGGGGTTAATCAGCACAAAATATAAAACACCCACTTGAAAAAAAAATGTGGGATGGGGTGCAGTTGGAACAATACATAAATGAATTAAGGTTAGTCTTAAAAATTTGGATAATTAAGTAGTCTATTGCAATTTCATAGCTCTCTTTGCTAGGTTCCAAACACCACAAATCTAATTTTATAACTACCATAATGAGCTCCCGTGTGAACCAGAAATAAAAGGACAAATAGACCCATCAGCAAAATCACTGGCACAAAGACACCCAAAAAGTGACCTGTAAGTTCATTTGGATGATCGGGACCATAGGAGAGCCAGGTGCAGAGCAAATGCTGTGGGACTCAGTATCTTCCAGATCTTTGAGGGGATGAATTATATTTTCCATCTGTTTGTGGCTCGGCAGGACTCCGTAGCCAAGAAAAAAGAGTTCTATTGTCCTGGTGATGCTTTGAAAAGCATTTTGGAAATGCTGAGTCCTTTCTTGGAGAAACAAGTTCAACAGCATAAGTTTGGGGTAGGCCAGGGGAACGGTACTGAGGGTGAATGAGTTGGCCTCAAAAGCTCTGAGAGAATCTGGAGAAGTTTGTCGCAATGAGGGAGTCAAGAAACATGGTCAAACAAAAACACCTGCAGCAACATCTAGAACTTGTCACCGAGCTCTCTGCCATTGAGGGATCCTCTCCAGGACATCAATCAACTGGGCTGAGACAGCTCCGTTATCTGCAGGACCCAGTGCAAAATGTAAACGTGGGACCCCTTATTCAAAAAGCACAAAAAAATTTCCACTAAACGTACTAAACTATCAAGCTGTTACCTTTCTCCCACAGTCTCCACGTTGTTTTGTCATGTCTCTTTTATTTGCTATCTAATGTCATTCTAAGAAAAAAATTTTGATTATTACAAGGAATTTTACCATTCATCTTTGTATTGTGTAATACAAGATTTAGAATATAAGAGCATTTAATTTATATGTATAATTACTGAAATTATACAATTTATATTTCATAGTTCATATATGCATGTGTATTTTGCTCTTACCAAATTAAGAAGAAATTTTGCACCAAAGCAGTGGCACAGTTTTTATTTTACTTTTCGATACATGCACATTCTACCAACACTCTCTACCTTTTGCTACAGGCAAGTAAGAAAAGACTGAAAGGAAAAGGAACTATGGGCTGTCCTGTTTTTCCCTTTCCTTCTGTGTCATCATTTTTTATGTAAGTACTTGGCCAATATAAGAATGTAACTTAAGTAAGAAAGGGTGTAATAGGCTTCTTTGGGTATTCAGATGTCATGAAAGGCCACTGCTTTCTTTCTGCATTTGAAGCAAGGTTGTGTTCAAAGGAATGCACTGTCTCTAAAAGCCGTCAGTGTCCTGTTTCATCGCCCTCCTCTTACTCAGCCCCATATATAAAATGCTTACCTTTTATTTACTTTAAGTCTTACTGAATTTCCAAGCCTAGTGGTCCACTGAAATTCTGTGCATATGGCGCATTGCAAAGGCAATCTGCAAGTGGAGTGTCAAGGAAGCACAGCGTACATGTGCCCTGAATGTATCTCCTCTGCTCACGTGCATGTTCCATTATCCCATTAAACTCCGCTTAGAAAGCACAGTTTAAAGCAAAAGTTGTTAAGAATGTTCAGATAATAACAGCAGAGTTAAACCAGACTCAGCATCTTTCTGAGCATAGGGCTCTGTGTAACTGCACTGGTCAAATGCTCATCAGGCCTACTCTGATTTGCAGGATGAAGTCTGAAGACTGAAGTTTCTCCACACCCTGCATGTCAAAGTGCCTTGTACCACTTGACATATCAAGGCTGCAGCCCGGGTCCGAGAGAGCATGGCTTCTTTGTCACAGCAGCTTTTCCATATCTTAGAAGGCCTGGAGGAGCAGAGTGGTGACCACCTTCTTGATGTCTGAAATCTCTCACCTCCACTCCCCACCAGGCTGGTTCTCAAGCCACACATGAGGATAACATTGATTCCTGCCTTAGTTCTGTCTTTAGAGGGGCTTCTTGTGCCCACCTTGTTCTGTTCTCAGAAATTAGTCCTTCCTTCTATTCCTAAGACTTTCATAAACAATACAAAGTTTTTAATAGGAAAAAACAAGAAAGAGAAAAGGAAAGGATAAAAACAGTAATCTCCTGGAAGAAAAATTAATATGGTTAATAAATAAAAAATAAATAAATGGATGGATAAATAGATGATAAGTGATGTGTATCACCAGTGATAAGGGATATATAAATTAAACATCATTTGTCACTGATTTGTTAAATGTTAAAAAGATTGACAATAAACCAGCCTTTAAATTAATGCATAATTTATGATATTTGGATTCCTACATTGAAGACATGAATGTTTTTTCCTTTACTATAAAGACATTCATTTTAGAATAACAAACTTTAAACCTAAAGTCCAAGCTTTTTAGTTAGAGTCTGGAAATATAATTGACCACATTCCCGTGGTCAAATTAAAATACATCTTATTACCCAAAAAAAAAAAGAATGTAAATTCAACCCCCTGGTATGTTTCCAAACTCTCACACAATGCCATGCTGTTGAAGCATTCACAGTTGATGCTTTGCAAAATTAAAATTGTGTATTTCATCAGCGAAATTCTTTTGTTTTTATTGCTTTCAATTTTGTTTTGTTTTTGCTCTTAAGCATAAGCATGACTGGAAAGCACTAGTTACCATCTCGAGGAGTTTTCCAGGTACAGAAGTAGCAAAAGGGGATCAACCATTGAAGTCAAGTTGATATTTATTGGCTATAATTTTTTAAAAGACATATCTTACCACATTGAAGGCATGTTTTACTATAGCAAAAGCACTATCTAAAAAATATATGACAAACTAACAAAAATAACAAAAGTCTGAAAGTTTGCTGAGTAGAACCAAGACATCATATGAAAGAATTTTAAAAATTGGGATCTTGGAGAAAATGGCAGACAATACTAATAAACTAAACTCATCTGCTCCATTGAGCATTAGTAGTAATGATTTTTTTAATGAATAAAATCCTATATATTTGGTTTTTGACAAACCCTTTACAATTCAGATTCATGTAACATGACAAGAGAACACTTCTTTCCAACTTATTAGAATGCATTTTTTCTGTATTTTTTAAAGGAAATCATTCTGATATAACCTTTAATTTTACTATCCACCAATTTTCAGAGACCTGATTTTAGGAACAAATGTATCTGACATTGGCAATAGTTTAGAGAAAGGAATGCCTTCATATTTCATATTCTTTTTTTTTTTTTAAGTTTCACCATGAGGGTTTCGAATTCCTGACCTTCAGTGATCCACCCACTTCAGCCTCCCAAAATGCTGGGATTACAGGCATGAGCCACCACCACACCTAGCCAGGAATGCATTCATATTCTATTAGCATAAGTTCACATTGTTTTGACTTTTGTTAGAGGACAAAATGGAAAAAACTATCAAAATATAAAATATGCCAAATCTCTGACCCAGCAATCCACATCTATTGTTTAAAAATTGTTACAGTATATATTCATCCATTTTCATGCTGCTGATAAAGACATACCCGAGACTAGGAAGAACAAGAGGTTTAATGGACTTAACAGTTCTACAGGAGTGGGAAGTTCTCACAATCATGGCAGAAGGCAAGAAAGAGCAAGTCAACATCTTACATGGGTGGTGGCAGGCAAAGAGAGAGCTTGTGCAGAGAAACTCCTGTTTTTAAAACCATCATATCTCGTGAGACTCATTCATTATCACGAGAACAGTTCAGGAAAGACCCACCCCCATAATTCAATCACCTACCACCAGGTTCCTCCCATGACAGGTGGGAATTGTAGGAGTTACGATTTAAGATGGGATTTGGGTGGGGACACAGCCAAACCATGTCACACTAGTTTACAGAGGTTTATACAACGTTTATTGCAGTATCACATAACAGTTGACATCACAAACTCTGATGCCTGATTATCTTTGCATAATTCCAGTACCAGTTTAATAATTCTGTAAATTAGGGCACATTATTTAAACTCTCTGCTTCAGTTTCCTCATTGGGAACATATGGGAATAACAACCATTCCTAACTCATGAACGTATTGAGATTAGATGAGATTAGACTATTAGAGCTGTGCCTGACCCATAGTAAGTTCTTAGTAAATATCATCTGGCTTGTTTTTAGAGAATTAGTTACATGAATGACTGTATTATAACTACAGAATTCTAGGCAGTCTTTAAAAAGAGAAGTCCATTGCTACGTATGCTATAAAAGAATATCCACTATAACTTGCTGAATAAAGAAAAAATATGACATGCATATGAGCATTTTGCATATAAATTGTGTGTGTGTGTGTGTGTGTGTGTGTGTGTGTCTAGAAAAATTTCTAAGTAGCTAAAACCATATCTGTCAGTGCCACTTCCACAGTTGCACTGGAAATAGAGATAGAGTAGCCAAAGGCAGTCAATTTTATTATAAAGTACTGTATGGTTTGAATTTTTATAAAATTTAAATAAAGCAATGTTGTTTCATTGTAACACTGAAGAAAAATAAATAAATAGATTTCCAGCTGGGAAAAAAAAAAAAATTTAAATAAAGCCAATAAAATAAGATAAAAAATCTTTTCCAGCATACCCTGACCAATCCTGTCTGTCTTATCCTATGTAATACTAAAGCCTATCTGATATTCATTTGAAATCTCTTTCATTACCTCTCTTTCTTGACTGATGCTATAGATGCAGGCATCAGCACTTCCAAATAATGTAAAATGGTACATCGTATTATTACACAAGTATTGCTCTTGTCCCCACTTCTTGGTCTGAAATATTTCTCTTAGTTTCAGCTGAGTATAAATAAATAAAATGCTATACCTATTCCAGCCCAACCACCATGAACATTTCATGAAAAAACAAATGAACAAACAAAAACTAACCAAATGGTCAGCCAAGAAACATGGATTTAATTCTGGTCCTGTAAATAGAAAAAAGCAATGCTTTCCATCCTGACGTAGCCAAGACACATGACAAACAATGGAGGCCACGGTGAAGAAAAATTGCAATTACAGATTTAAGTTTATTCTCACTCTGTCATGATACTTTGCTTATGATTATTGCTACATATTGTAAAAGTGCAAGTACTGGTGTAAGAAAATAACAATGACTACCTTTCAAATGTGCATACTACCTTTCGGATGATTGAAAAAATAAGGTAAAAAACAGATATCATATCTTCAGATGAAAATATTGACAGATTACATTTATTTATTCAGTCATTTATTCAGCAAGTACTTATTGGGCACCAATGATATTCCAGGTACCATTCTAGGTTCAGGGGACAAAGTAATGCACTGAAGAAAGGTCCTACCCTGATGGAAGGGACAGAATGACAACAAATGGAAATATAATGTCTCTCAAACTGATAAAAACCCATACACACATTTAATCTTCGCAAGCTCATAAGTTTGGTGCTCTCATCATTGTCATTTTTCTGATTTTACAAGTGGAAAAAATAAGGAATAGAAAGGTTGTCACTTACATATAAGCAGTAATATAAATAGTTTGTGATAGAAATAATATTCAAACCCCAGAATTTGATGCCAGATCCTGAGGTCTTGATATTCCTGTTCAAAATCACATCACAAGGTTGTTCAGGGGACTAAATGAGATAATTTATGTTGAACCATTTTTTAAATTGTATTTTAAAAAAATATTGACATCATCATCACCATCAGCTATGGTATTTTTGTCTGGGCAAATTGCAAACTCCAAGGTTGGCATTGGAAAACAGCATCGGCTGTGCTAAATTTTTCTTAGGAATTTAGTGAAAGTCCTTTGGTATAAAACAGCCAAGAAAGCCTGTGTGTGATTCAAAGGTCCAAAAAATTCACTACATCATACAGAGGAGGTACAGAGAGACATACGTGTTCAGGGGCTGCAGTGAGGCCCAAAAACTTAGCATGGAGATTATTTGAGAGCACAGCAAGAATAATTCCACCTGATGCCATACCTTGTAGAAAGCTGCTTTTTAAAATGTTAATATAATAACAGTAAAACTAAATATCTTCATACCTCTATAAAGATGACCAAGAGAAATCTCTCTAAAAGAAAGAACTAGAAACTGAGCTATAATCTAGCTGTAAAATCACACCTCCCACATACAAATTATTTATTTCTCAGATACTGCAGCTTCTCTCACCATGGAGTCAAAGTGTAAATATCAATGAAGAATAGCCTTAACATTCAACATACATGTATTGTGAAACCTGAAGGATAATTATTATGAAAGATGGTAATTATCAAATTGAGAATGGAAGATGGAAAAGATGCTAAACTGGGCCAACTGAGTTAATAATTAAAAGGTTATTTTTATACAGCAATGATATACTTACCACAGGAAAAACAAACAGTGGATGATAATTGTCTTAGTGAGGGTTTTATCAGAGAAGCAGATCCACTATAAGTGATACAGAGTAAGGGATTTATTTCAAATTTAGAACGTATGCAACTGTGGCAGTGGTCAGACTGTCTATATAATGCCTCACTTGGCCTGAAATTAGCAGAGTTAGTGGTTGAAAACAACATTTCCTCCAGGAATCTCTTTCTGAGGTCCAGAACGTATTAGGTCTCTATAAAATTAGGACTTGTGTTTGTCTGCATCAGCAGAGAAAATGGAAATAATAATGGCTTTTAAAACTCAGGTTACTTCTCTTACATAAAGAGGTTCAGAGGTAGGAAGACCAACTTTCCATTGTCAATAGGATCCAAAACCCTCTTTCTACACCATCCTGGCACATGATTTTCATACTCAGATTTACCTCAGGTCACTATGTGGCTGCTAGAGATCTTGGCATCATGGTCATGCTAGAGGTCACAAAAAAATAGGATAGAAGAGAAAAATGGTGGTGGTCGTAGTGGGCTTGATCTCTAATTTGTGTCAGGTCTCATTAATCAGTTTTCATGGATGTCCCACACATCACATCTTCTTGCATCTCATAGATCAGAATATCATCACCTAGCTGCAAGGAAAGAAGATAAATTTAGTCCTTATTCCAGGTAGCAATGTGCCTAATAATAATAATAATAATAATAATAATGATTTAAGAATCATTATTTATGGATTCAAGTAATAAAGATGAAAATGTGAACATATTAAATATTAAATTAACTACTAAAGACTTACTTTGTATTTTTTAGACAAAAATACATCCAAATGCAAATTCTATTTTTTTTCTTGCACTCTAAACAACATTCTAGAACATCCCCTGAAATACATACAAATCACTTTGGAAGCCACTGATTTAGAGAATGGAAAAACGTTATTTGAAAGTGACAGATGATGACTAATAGTTCACATGTGTTGATTCCCAAGAGATGCATTATTTCATCCAGCATTTATTAATATAGATTATTTGGAACATTAATATTTAAAATATTATAATGCATATATAATAAACATGCATTGAATTTCTATATTTATTAGATACGATTCAAAAGATTTCAAAGAAAGATATTAAAGTTACTCATGTATAGAGTTAAATATGTCGCTGAATGATTCATGTCATATATTTGAGAGTGAGCACTAAAACACACAGACACTTTGGGTATACACACTGGCACACATACACAAACATATGCATACATACATCCATTTACTTATTCAACTTTTTCTCTAAAACTGAAAATGAATGCATTTTGAAAGGCTAATTTAAATTTCTCTCAGGTTGGCAGAACTAAAATTTATCTTTTGCTTATGATTACTATATATGCCATCTATAAGTTTTTTACAGAATCTTTATTTTTAGTAAATAAAACATTCTTTAAAGAATGTTTAATGTTTAATTCTTAATAGGAAAAAAGGAAAAAAGTGGGTCTTTATTTAACAAGACAATAAAATTTTAGAAACAATAAAACTATAGAATTCATAAAACTTTAGAAACTGTAAAAAATGTGATATTAAAAGTTAAACATTTTTACTTTAAAATATTACCAGAAATAGCTCCATAAATAAATAGCAAAAAAAATTCTTAATTAACCCTTATCTCATCTTAGAAGCTAAAGTTTTGCAACTTCTAGAGTAATTTCAAATAACTGATTTTACCCATTGATGGCCTTACACTACTTATGTTTCCTATTTCAACAGTCATTTATCTTTGAAGTGGCGTAGTTTGAAATGAGCTATTACTCCTTGGGGAAATTCTAGACTTCTGCCTTTCAGTTTCACTTCTCTAAACAACTCAACTTTATAGATGGGAAGATAGGCAACATCTTTTATATATAAAGGAAGAGAAAGAGAAAGGCAGAAAAGAAGATGGACTCTTGATAATCTGTTACTAAATAAGCTCTTTAGTGGAATTTGCTTTATTCCATAATTTACACTATTCTATTCACTTTCTACACCATTTCACGAGCATTGGTACCTGACTGGATTAACCTCTCTGCACTCACAATTATTGTTTATTTGACAGAAACAGCCACATTTTTCTCTGAAGTTTAAATTTCCCAAGGTTGCAAATACAGCCTGGTTCTTACACTGTGGAGGTGTGTGTGTGTGTGTGTGTGTCTGTGTGTGCACTCAAGCATGTGTGTGTCATATATGCAATTACTGATTATTCCCTATTAGGTAGGCTCTGCACTTTATATATCTACTACTAAATTTAAGGGAAGTAAATGCAAAACTATGTTATCAAAATTATAATATTTAACTTTCTATATTACATATATCCATCAAATAGCTATACTGCTACATTCTGCATTGTATATAAATGTATTTGGAATATAAAATTGTATTTTCCCTATATTCCCATCTAATGGGGAATTTCATCAACATTATATTAAGATAATCGCATACTATTGCACATCAGGTTTTAGGATTATTTGTAGTTATCTATTTTCTACCTTTTACTGGACTAAATTATAATTAGTCTCTAAAATGCTTTATTGTACTTTGTCTAGAGTATTTTCCTCAATCCCATTTTGTCTGCAGAAAAGAATATTCAGAAAATTTCAAAGAACAGAACAGTAATGCCCTCATGGCATGGAAAGCACATGAGATTGCCCTAAAATACACAAATTCATTTCAAGTCATACACAAATGCACATACATATGTATGTATATGTTCATATATATATAATTTCAAATTCATGTATATGACAAAATTTTCAATTTAATAAATATGTATACACAAAAAATGAAATTAGAAATATTAGAAATATTTGACTAAAAGTCCAGATTCCTCACAAAATAACACAATTCAGTGTGTATCACTCTTTAAAATATGAAACTATGTATACTACTTCAAAATTATCAGAACTTTTCTGCATATGAATCCTGTAGTGGTACTAAAATTGCAACATAATCCTTTCAAATAACAGTGGCTGTTCCATCTGAACTCTAACCTTCTCAGGCTAAGATCAAAACCTGAGCTTAATTCAACTCCTTTCTTAAATCAAACTATGTGCCCAAACAAGGCAAAGCAAAAATACACAATAGTTTGAAAACTACATATTAGTGAAGCACTCATATTGGTTGATTTTTAAAGATATTTTACTAGAAAATAATGTTAAACCACTGAAAATAAAGGCATCTCAAAATGTAACCACTGGAGCTAGGTATAATTTTAACATTATAACCAACTGTAATAATTTGGCTTAAAAATCAAGACTCAGAGTACATAATGTTCTTCTTAAACACTTCTACATTGTATTCAAGTCAGTATTGACTTTGAAAATTTTTGTGACTTCAGATTTTGTATAGTTGTTTTTCTTAGACTTTTCCTATCTTCTACATTTTGTTATGGAATAATTCAGAGCAATAGTCCAGGTTATTCTTGATGTGAGAAATAGTGACAAATAGCACAACTCTAAAAGCTGACAGTATCTGTGAAGATAAGCAGCCAGCAGCATTTTATCTTGGTGTTGGAACAGAGGCGAGGGTGTGAGAATATGGAAATTAACTTCCAATTTTGAGCCACCTCTATTGCCTTTGAAGAGATCCTTCTCCTCATTACTACCCCATACCTACCCAGTTTTCACAATATTCTTTTTTTTTAAGAGCAACCCTTGTTGATACATTTCTCTCATGTATACTATTGTATTTATAAGCTTATGATCTGATTAACACAGAAAATAAATGGATCAACAGCAAAATAATTGATAAATTGATAAACTCTTGGTGACTCCACATTGTTTTAATTGCAGACAAAGACATTAAGAAACTATAAAATTATAACATCAACATCTTTTCAAAAACAGCGGTTTGCTGAACACCCATCAAGTCAGAATATTTACTGGTATTTGATTTACAGGTGAAACAGAGGACAGCAGTAAAATGTGATCCAGACCAGGACAGATGTTTGTTGGTGCAATCCCAACTGTAGGTGTCACTAATATTCAAATAGTAGATTAGTGGCTTATACCAGACTCACAGATAGTATTTTTTATAGTTTTGGGCATGTTCATTTGACCATCAATTCATTACCATGTCCTCTAGTTGACAGTTCTCCAACCTGTTGCCCATCAAAATCAATTTTTGAAATGTCTTACAAGCACAGTTGTAAGTACAGTCTAATTCAGATCTACTTAATCAGAATCTTTGGGAAGAAAATGTAAAATTTTTCCCTCCTTCCTTCCCTTCATCCCTTTTTCCCTCCATCTTCTTTCCCCCGTTTTTCTCCCTCCCTCCAGGCATATTATATGACAAAAAAATTAATACTAGATAAAAGAGAGAAATAATGAAAATAAATAAATCAGTATTAAAAATATTTACTTAATAGAACAAAAGTAAATATTTGAATAATTTTTTGAATGAAAAATATGACTTATCAGCTCATATAAAAGTTGTACCAAACTGTTCAAAACCAGATATAATACCAAAGAAGATAACTCCATGTTTTTGTTTTTGCTTTTTTGAGACAAGGTCTTACTCTGTTGCCCACGCTGGAGTACAGTGGTGTGATCACAACTCATTGCAGCCTCGACCTCCGGGGCTCGAATGATCCTCCTGCCTCAGCCTCCTAAGTAGCTGGCACTACAGGCACACGCCACCATGCCTGCCTATTTTTTTCTATTTTTTGTAGAGACAGAGGTTTGCCATGTTGCCCAGGTTGGTCTCAAACTCCTGGACTCAAGCGATCCCGCCTCACCCTCCCAAATTGCTGGGATTACAGGTATAAGCCCCCACAACTGGCCAACAACAGCATTTTAGGCCTTTTAAAATAAGTATTTATTTCAAGGGTGAGAGGTTCCCACTATCATGTTTCTATGGCATTTTATTGAAACTTCTGAAGGTCCAATATGATTGGTTTAGTTGCCTACTTATATACATCTGTAATATGAATTTCTTAAAGGAAATTTAATAGTACTGAGTTTGTCTCTAATTTGGCCCAATTTTTCCTGCTCCTTCCTTGCTTCCACTGCCTAACACACATTTTCCCATCTGTAATTTGTCAGGGTTCTCCAGAGGAACAGAACCAATAGGATATATGTATATATAAAAGGGAGTTTATTAGGAAGAATTGGCTCACATGATTACAAAGTGAAATCCCACAATAGGCATTCTGCAAGCTGAAGAAGAGAGAAGTTGGTAGTGGCTCAGTCCAAGTCCAAAAGCCCCAAAACCGGGAATCCAACAGTACAGCCTTCAGTCTGTGGCAGAAGGCCTGAGAGCCCTGGGGAAGCTGCTGGTACAAGTTTCAGAGCCCAAAGACCAAAGAAATTGGAGTATGATGTCCAAGGGCAGGAAGAGCAGAAGCAAGCAACCAGCATGGAAAGAAAAAAGAGAGCTGCCTGCCTTGTCCTAGCTGGCCGGCAGCCAATTAGATGGTGCCCACCCACATTTAGTGTGAGTCTTCCTCTCCCAGTCCACTGACTGAAATGTCAGTCTCTTCTGGAAACACACTCAGACACACAGAGAAACAATACTTTACCAGCCATCTAGGCATCCCACAATCCAATCACGTTGGCACCTAATATTAACCATCATGCTATCTCATTCATCTCTTAAATTCCCTTTCTTCCTTCTAAATTAAGCTTGTACATTCAGTAAATAATTATTGAATGCCTATTTAGTGCCAAGAGTTGTGATTCCATAGAAAATACAAAATGGAATTAAGCTTTGTTTCTTCATCAAAGATATTACTGTCCTGCTGTTGGGAGTGATAGGTAAATAAATAATTACAGAAAGGTATAACGAAGATATGCCTGGAACCGATCCCCAATGAATATCAAGGGACAACTGTATATCATTACTATTTAGGCTTTAATGTGTCTACTTGACTGTGCTGAACTACATTTTCCAGCATTCCCTTAATTGTATGTTAGGGTGGACCACAAGGGAGACATTTGGCAGATCTGAAGAGCAGATAGGAAGCAACAACTTTTATTGCTAACACTTGTTGTTGCTGATCTTTGAAATGCAGCTAAAGCAGTATTGGGAGGAAAGTTTACAGTGCTAAAATCCTACATCAAGAAGTTAGAAAGATCTCAAATTAACAATTTAACAGTGTACTTAGAGGAACTAGAAAGAAAAGAATAAGCCAACCCCAAAGCTAGCAAAAGAAAGAAATTAACTAAAGTCAGAGCACTGAATGAAATTGAGATGCAAAAACTTATACAAAAGATTAATGAAACCAAAAGTCTGTTCTTTTATAGATGAAACAAGATTGATAGACCACTAGCTAGATTAACAAGAAAGAAGATCCAAATAAGCACAATCAGAAATGACAAAGATGTCATTACAGCTGATCCCACAGAAATACGAAGGATCCTCAGAGATTATTACGAACACCTCTGAGCACACAAATTAGAAAACCTAGAGGAAATGGATAAATTCCTGGACATGCATAACCACCCAAGATTGAACCAGGAAGAAAGTGAAAACTTGAACAGACCAATAACAAGTTCCAAAATTGAATCAGTAATTTAAAAAAACCTACGAACAAAAAAAAAGGCTTGGACCAGATAGATCCACAAATGAATTCTACCAGACATACAAAGAACTGGTACTAATTCTACTGAAACTACTGCAAAAAATCAAGGAGGATGTACTCCTCCCTAACTTATTCTATGAAGCCAGCATCATTCTGATACCAGAATCTGGCAGACACACAACAACAACAAAAAAGAAAACTTCACACCAATATCACTGGTGAACATAGACACAAAAATCCTCAACAAAGTACTAGCAAACCATGTTCAGCAGCACATCAAAAAGTTAATTTATCACAATCAAGTAGGCTTTATCCCTGGGATGCAGGATCGGTTTAACATATGCAAATCAATAAATGTGATTCACTCCATAAACGGAATTAAAATAAAAAACCATATGATCATCTCAAAAATGCAAAAAAAGCTTTTGATAAACTCCAACATCTTTTCATGATTAAAAACTCTCAACAAATTAGGCATCAAAGGAACATACCTCAAAATAACAAGAGCCATCTATGACGAACCCACAGCCAACATCAGACTGAATGGGCAAAAGCTGAACCATTCTCTTTGAGAAATGGAACAAGACAAAGATGTCCACTCTCACCACTCCAATTCAACATAGTACTGGAAGTCCTAGCCAGAGCAATCAGAAAACAGAAATAAAAGAAATACCCTTCTTGATATCAGCGATGGCTAATAATTTATGGCTAAGTCCTCAAAAGCAATTGCAACTAAAACAAAAATTGATTAGTGGAACCTAATTAAAGTAAAACACTCCTGCACAGCAAGAGAAACTGTAAGGAAGTAAACAGACAACCTGCAGAATGAAAGAATATACTTGCAATCTATGCATCCAACAAAAGCCTAATATCCAGAATATATAATAAACTTAAAGAAATCAACAAGTAAAAGATGAATAACCCCATTAAAAATTGGACAAAGGACATAAACAGATATTTCTCAAAAGACAACATACAAGCAGCCAACAAACATGTGAAAAAGTGCTAATCAACTCATTATCGGAGAAATACAAGTCAAAACCATAATGAGACACCAGATCACACCTGTCCAAAAGGCTTTTGTTGAAAAGTCAAAAAATAACTGATGTTGGTGAGGTTACAGAGAAAAAGGACACTCAGACACTGTTGGTGAAGATGTAAATTAGCCCAGCCACTATGCATTACAGAGAGTAGTTTGAATACTTCTCAAAGACCTAAGAGTTTAACTATCATTTGACGCAGCAATTTCATTAATGGGTATATACCCAAAGGAAAATAAATTAGTCTATCAAAGGACACATTCACCTGTATGTTCTTTGCAGCACTATTTACAATAGCAAAAACATGGAATCAACCCAGGTGCCTATCAACAGCAGTTTGGTAAAGAAAATGTGTACATATACACCATGGAATACTATGCAGCCATAAAAAATGAAATCATGTCATTTGCTGCAACATGGTTGCAGCTGGAGGCCATTATTTTAAGCAAACTAATGCAGAAACAGAAAACTAAATACTGCATATTCTAACTTATAAGCAGGGCTAGACATTGAATAAATGCTGACATAAAGATGGGAAAAACAGACACTGAGGACTACTAGAATGGGGAGAGGGGAAGGGAGTAAGAGCTAAAAAACTACCCATTGGATACTATGCCCATTACCTTAGTGAAGGGTTCAGTCATACCCCAAAACTCAGTGTCATGTAATACACGTTTTTAATAAACTTGCACATGTATTCCCTGATTCTAATATAAAAGTTGAAAAAGAAAAAAACATAAAAAAAGAATAGCATAATATTTGCATATAACCTACACACGTTCTCCCATATACTTTAAATCATCTCTAGATTAGTTATAATATCTAATGCATTGCAAATGCTACATAGTTCGCTATACTGTTGTATTATTTAGAAAATCGTGACAAATGGAAGAAGTCTGTATATGTTCAATACTGATGCAACCACTCATTTTTTAAAAAATACTTTTGATCAATGGTTGATGAAATCCATAGATGCAGAACCCATGGGTACAAGAACTGACTGTGTTGTTCACCTACCAGGCTACTTTAGAAGAAAGTATGCTACCTGTTTTCTCACATTTAATAATTTCACTGTATTTGGCAGACAATATCTACATTCAATGCTGGGTATTGCATTTTAAGAAGGTCATGGAGGAAATGAAATGTGATCTGAGGGTGCATTCATAATAGTCATATGAGGAAGATTCTGGTGACCCATGAGATTTTTAAAAAGTTCACATGTGGAAGATGTAATAGGCTTATTTGGCTTACTGCAGAGGATCAACAGTTAAAATGTCATGGAAAGGTAATTTTTTTTCTTTCATTTAAAGTCTAAAAACTCGTCTTAAATGCAAGCTCTACACAAACAGGGAATAGTGTATTTGTGTGTGTGTGTGTGTGTATGGTGTGTATTTTTAAAATTTCCAATGCTCAGTACATATCCACATATGTTGAAGTGATCAAAAATGTTTGTTGGATTAATCAATTAATTGATGGACAACTGAGACAGTTTCCTTGAAAAAAATAAAATTGAAGTAGTTAACTGTGAAATGGGCTATCCATATATTCCATAACTCCATTTTGTTACAGCATAAATGTGCCATCTCTTTATAAGCATATATTCTTGTAAAAAAGATGATGAGAAAATTTTAAAACATAAGCAATCTGCATAAAAGATTCAGAATATCTCAGATCTCTGAGAATTTACATTTTAATAAAATCATGAAAATAGCACAATGGCTAAAAATATTTTATTATTTCTCAGGCAATCTGAATTTGTCGAATTATAAAACTAGATGGAGGGTAAAAAATTATCTTAATTTTATTTTGTAGTAGTGTTTATTATTCCTGAATGATATAATTGACCAAAATATGATTTCATTTCTCATTTACTTTTATTGGCTTAGTAGTAACTCATTCTACATCAAAGACAAAAACATTGAGGATACAAAATAGTGGCTACTTAGGAATGTTTTTGGTTTCACATGTTTTTGGTTTCACATTTAGGTACCTAGCATCTTTTGAGCAACCCACTTGTATGCATATATACAACCAATGTTTGCATCACAGGTCGCCTGCACCCCTAGCAGCAACCTACAAATGCAGTGAGAATACCTATCAATTCTCCTAAAACAAAACAAAACATCCTGCCTTTTACTCATAATCCAAGGTCCCTTCTGCCCAATGCCCCAAATATGAAGTATTTTATTACAGTACGTGAGATGATTTTCTATTCAAAATACTTCCTGAACAGTAATAGATTTTCAAAATAAATTAGTAACATTCCATGTATTTGTAAGCATAACAATGTGAATTTAATGTTGTATATAAAAACAAAACTATCCTTCTAGAGCTTTCTGTATCCCTCATTTCAAACTGTTGTATTTTTCTTAGTTTTTTGAAATTTGGTTGCAGAAAATTGAGTTAGTTATACTCTGAAGAGTATCATCAGCACAATCAAGACCCTTTGCTGGTTGATATTGACTTTCCCCTTTCATCCCTGATCCCTGTACCCATCACTTTTCTCACCTCTTAGATTCATTTACAGCAAGTCCTTGAACAACATCATTTAATTCAATGTCACTTTGTAATAACCGTAATAAGAAAACAAATGGATTCCCACACAAGACCACTCTCCATGCAGAATTTGCATGTTCTCTCCATGTTTGCATGGATTTTCTCCAGATATTCCAGTTTCCTCCCACGTCCCAAAGATGTGCATGTTCTGTTAATTGGTATGTCGAAGTTGTTCCAGGATGGGCTGGCGTGGGTGTGTATGTGAGTGTGCCCTGTGATAGAATAGCATCCTGTCCAGGGTTGGATCCTGCCAGGATAGACTCTGGCCACCCATGCCCTGAATTGGAATATGCAAGTTAGAAAATAAATGAATGAATGAATGAATGAATACAAATTATTTTAAAATAAAAATTAGTAAACTATACAATAATCCTACAAATGCTCGACAATAAACAGTGAGGTACAAAAGCCCTCATGGAGCCATATTTGTGATTGTTTTTGAGCTGCATAGTGGTAGGACGTCCTGATTAAAACTTTCACTTTGCAACATTTATTCTTTGATTTAACCCATGACCGCTATGACTGCTGTAACTCACTGATTCACCAAAAATTAAGTAAATAATTACTTTACTTGTTTCTATTCATCTTTCTTATACGTATGTATAGCTCACATTTATTTCAATGTTTAATATAAGAAGTGTTTGGGGCCTTTATTTAGAAATTTGGTGATGTTTTTGTGTCCAGAAATATGCCAGAAATAGCAACTTAACTCCTGTTTATATCAATTAGCTTATGGTAAAATTGGTTCCAATATTCATCATTTTGCCTAAAGTCACAGTTTCCAAGAAGTTACCGACAACAGTAAGTGAGGACTTACTGGATATCCCCGCAAATTGTATTGAATTTTGGGAATGTCAGTGTTTTAAACTTTTTCCTTTGCCCTCTTCTTCCCCCCTGGATTTTCTGTCTTTTCCATGTTGATTTTCATGGATTCTTTCCCTAATCTAGATGTCAATCTAGAATATTTATTTATTTTATACATTGTAAATATCTTTTCTGAATTAGTCAACAACTGTTTAACTTTGTCTCTATTTCTTCATTAAAATAAACCTTTAATTGTAATGTAATCAAATCCATAATTTCTTTTTTTCTCCCTCCTTCCTCCCTCCCTCCCTCCCTCCCTCCCTCCCTTCCTTCCTTCTTTCCTTTATAGTTTATCCTCCTAGGGTCATACTCAACATGATTTTCCACTACCTCCAGGTAACACTTATATTCTCATGATTTTTTTTCCTTCTTAATAATTCTACTTTTCACTAATTTAATGTGTGGCATATGGCCTTAACTTATTTTTTCAATATTCTGATGCTATCTACCAAACTGTGTTTCCCCAAATCATTTATAGTTCAACTTTATTATAAATCAAATTAACACACATGTTTATAACTGCATGTTTGTGTCTATTTCTGAGCTCTCTGTTATGTCATCTTTCTTTCATCTGTGATGAATACCACACTGGTTTCATTATTATTATTATCATGACTTTGTACTTATATTGTGTCTAGCAAGATGTGTCCCCATTCCTTGCTTTTCTTTCTTTCTTTTTTATTTTTTTTTTGATGGAGTCTCACTCTGTCACCCAGGGCGGAGTGCAATGGTGCAATCTCGACTCACTGCAACCTCCCCCTCCCAGGTTCAAGCAATTCTCCTGCCTCAGCCTCCCAAGTAGCTGGGATTACAGGTGCGTGCCACTATGCCCAGATAATTTTTGTATTTTTAGTAGAGACGGGGTTTCACCATGTTAGTCAGGCTGGTCTCAAACTCCTGACCTCAGGTAATCCGCCCACCTCAGCCTTCCAAAGTGCTGGGATTACAGGCGTGAGCCACCACACCTGGCTGCTTTTCTTTAAATAAAAGTAACTAAACTATTCATAGACCTTTATTCTTCCATGTATATTTTTGAATACAGTGGCTAATTTCTTTAAAAAAAAAAAGGAAGTCTGAATTTTGTTTGAAAATAAGATGGCATCTTCTTGAAAATTGTGGCCATGCATATTTTAGATCCTTATCTGTGTGGTCCATTAATTCTGCTGACTAGGTTTTAGTTTATTGCCTTTCTTTTACAACACTGGAACAATCTCTGGTCTCCTCAGGGGCGGGGGTTTAAAATCCAGGCCCTAGCTTGTATACAGCTGATGAGGTTACAAATGGAGCAGGATACAGAGGGCCTCTGGTTTAACAATCAAGACTTAACCATTCTGGTTTAATTTTCTCCCTCCTCCCAACACTGCCATGTGGCTGGCTGACAGGCTGGGGTCTCTGCTCTCCCTACACCGAGTGTCTTCCAGTGCCTACCAGAAGTACTCCTTTCCGATATTAACTCTTCAGTGTTTGGCTAATGCAGCTACTCTCTCATTCTGAGTTCTGCTTCTTCTTAACATTGTTAATAATGATACCATCACAGGTCCTGTTTATTAGTTCAGATTGTCCATAAAACTTAATAGTGCTGGTAGTTTGCAGCATCAATAAAATACATTTTCAGACTTCTGTTTCCCAAGGTGTGTATATGAGACTGCTCCCAAAATTCCTGGCTTGCCACACAATGCAGTAAAAGCAAGGTAGGAAATTTATCATGCTAGAAGAAACTACTTGCTTCCTCTCACAGGTTAGAGGATGATTGTACACACTTTGTAATAAAATATGACACACAAAAAAGAGATTTTCATCCATGGGAAGAAGTAAGAATTAAGTGTGCAGACTGGGGATTTACTTACTTCACATCCTTGCACAAATTATTTAACCTCAGTTTCCTCATCTACAAAATGGAGATACTGATAGTACCTATCTATAGGATGGTTGTGAAATTAAATATGTGAGTGTGTGTGTGTGTGTGTATTCATCAATTTAATTAATATTATATATTTACAATTTCTACAACTGTGCTTGGCACATAGTAGGCACCTCATAAATGTTAACTATTGTTATTATTACAGTTGTCTTCAGAGGTTCCAGGGGCTTGAAAATTCAGATTCCTGAAATCCACTATTATTATATATTCTTTCCCCCTATTTTCTGCCCTCTAGTGGTAATTTCAAATATGATTTCTGTGCTTGATTTTATTTGGAATTCTTGTTAAATAAAGACCCACTTTTTTCCTTTTTTCCTATTAAGTGCAAGTTATTTTAAGTTCAGTCTTGTATATGCAGGACTGCAAACAATTTGTAACCGTTTCTCATGGAGTTGGTAAGGGATAGTTTGAATCTTGTAAAGGAAACTTTCTTTTAATGCCTATTTGTATTCATTTCTCTAAGACACCTCCATCCTAAAACAATCCCTTTCTCTAGAAACAAGAGCTCTTCTTTCACCTGACCTTACCTATGAGATTCCACCCCATTTTAAGTCCTGTAAAAGTAATCAGGTATTTTTACATTAAAGATATTACTTTCTGAAAAGTAAATATTTATCTCCAAAAATAACAATGTTCCAAAAATGGAATGTTAGCATCCATAGCTATTGAAAACTTTAATCGAATAATAATAACAATCCTTACTTAAGCTATTCATTGCCTCAGAAAATATGCTACGTCCTTCCATTTCTTTAACACAGCCTCTTTCCCAATATACTTATACTTACTCTGAATGTAGAGATAAAGATGAATATTCTTAACTGCTTTATAGTGAAGACAGATATTGTCAATTAGTGTAAACAACAACTGCCAAACCCCCTCCCCATTCCCCTTTTCTCCCAGTCTCAGAATATAAATAATAGCAAAGACTTAACTGGCATTCTGAAGAGCAGATTTGTGGTGCTTTTACAACATATATTTTTATACACAATTTTAAAATATCATCTTGGGCCATATAGCTTTATCAAATAGATATATAATGAAGACAGCTTTACTAAACTGTAAGAAATTAACTGAGTTATCAGGACTTGAAGTTTACATTTATAAATCAGGAAATTGAGTCATAAAGAACTGAAGAAGGACTGCACTGAGTAATAAACTATAAGATTTAGTGAGTGGATCAAGTATTCAAATATGATCTTGAACTACTTAATGTATCTACGTATTATTTTGTCCTTGATCAGGATAGGATCATAAATATGAGAGGGGGAAAGAACCCCCAGGCTATGTAAGTCTGTTCAGTTTGACTGATAACATTCGTTTCATGCTCCCTAAATCTTTCTCTAAGTAGTCTTTCCTTGAGCTTGGTGTAGAAAGATGCTTAATATAAATAAAATTTTATTACCTTCCCCTTCTGAGTTAGTGAAATAATGAAGACATGTTCTCCCGATGTCAGAAATGTAAGATGTAAGATTGCAATCACACCTTAGAATCAGAAAGCTAAAAGTGGAATAAAGGGAAAGCCTACCTACTCTCTTCAGAAAGGAGATGCTGGAGACACCCTAGGCATAGACAACAATGACTTTTCAGGAATATACCTAAACCTGATACATAAGCAGCTATTATTGAGCAACAGCACTGGTATTAGAAATTAATGTCTTGGTACCAATTCATATTAACTGTTTTAAATCCCAAATGCTTTATGCACAATCAATATAAGCTAATATAACTGTGCTAAATTTCTATTACTTATTAAGATTTATTTGATAAACTTAATTTCCTTTAATTCCATTGAATGGAAGAGCTGGCAAAGGCAAAAAAAAAAGAGGAAGAGATTTTGAGATTTTACAAGAATTCAAAGAAGGAAGTGGAAGAAACAGAAAAAAAAGGGAAAAAGCAAGTGGCCTAATCTTCTCAAAATAATAAAGCTAAAAGAAAATGTAAAAATTAATGCATTCAAACACATTTTATTAGTACCTTTTATAAGTAAGGTAATGTGCTAAGTCCCAGAGATAAAATAAGCAAAAAGACTTCAAATAACTTGCCTTGTGGAGTCAGTTAACATTTACCAGTGGTAATAACATCTGAGGTGAGTGCTGGAGAATAAGTGAGAGACAGAAAAAGAGTAGTGAAAAGAGTGTTTTAGGTAGAGGGAAATATGTGCAAATGCTGGGAAGTAAGAAAAAGAATGCACAAACACAAGTGAATGAGCAGGTTAAAGCAGCTAAAAGTAATTCAGTGTAGTTGGAGATTAGAGTTGTGGGGGCAGGGAAGAAAGTGATGGAGAAATCCAAGAATAAGGATGAAATCTGGGGCCAGATATTAAAAGATCCCCTAAGGTCTGTTGAAGAGTTTCTACCTTATCACACAGAGATGGGATGGGGTAATACACAGGGGGTTTAAATATTAGTTAACATGTCCGTGTGTGTGCATGTGCATGTGTGTGTAAAATGGATTGGAATAAACGAGACAGAAGAGAAAAAGAAATGAATGTATTCAAGTTATTTAGGAGAAGGAATATAAACAAATTGGGTATTACTTAGCATAAAGTATAAGGGAAAGAAAGGGAGAAGCTATTCATCTGGGGCATGGGCAGATGAGTGAGTGGTGCATCCCTGCCCCTAAAATACAACACACAAAGAGAAGGACAGCTGGTTCGTTGGGAAAATGGGACAGATGTGTTTGGTGATTAAACATCCACTCCACCTTAACTTACAGATGAGGAAACTGTGGTCTTTGTTTTAATTGAAAAAATTTTAAAAGTACCATGCTAAGATGCTAATACTTACAAGGCTTTGGCCTATTAATTTACAGGAAGTCAGGAGATAAAGTATAAATCCTGTCTTGTAATGCAAATCTGCCTGACAGGCCTTGCTAAATTCTTCTTTTTACACACTACTTTGCCATTTATTCATCCATAAACATGTGTTTATCTTTTACTATGGGCTGGCAGCATTTTAAGTGCTGGAGATATATGGGGAGCAAAACCAAAGACAGTCTTGCTTTATGAAGCCCATGTTCAGTCCAATGTCCTAAAGCGAAACTGTAGAATGAAAGTACAAAGGACATGGGGGAGCTGTATGAATCAAAGATTCAGTGCCATAGAGCTATGAAGCAAAATAATAGTAATAATGATACTGCAATCTATTTTTTCCCTCAAAAAGTGAGCCTTTGCTTCAGATTTTATTATAACCAAAAGACAAAAATAATGCCCCTGGGAAGGCAACACCTGAGCTCACCACTGGATGTATATTAAACTGTACAATGCAGTGGGATGGAAATGTTATATTTTAACAGTTCTAGTGAGTGATATTGCTTTTAAAAAAAATCTCAATTTAAATGTATACACTATGCACACATTTCCAAAGTTATCTTCTGGGAGAGTTGAAGGATATACAGTATATACTCATACCTTGATACACTCACCATGACTAAATGTTTGTTTTGGGCTTTGTGAAGTTGTGTGATGAGTGCCCTAACATATTTTTTCCTCTCAACTTTAAATAACATACAATATTGTGATTCATGCATATATCCAATTTTCTGGTAAGTGTTTTATGGTCTCATATATGTCCTCCTTAGAGTGTAGCTCACTTGTAAGGCTTAAAATCATGAGATTTTTATGTCTTTTTTTTTTGCTTTGTTTTTGTTTTTGTCTTTTTTTGTGGGATATTTAAAAGTGGGTTACATATTTTAAAGACCCTGACAAGAAGCATCCTAAGGGGCCCCACTGCATCAAGTATTAGAGTTCTCCAGAGAAACAGAACACATAGCATGTGTGTAGTGTGTGTGTGTATACACACACATATATAATATTGCATATAATTATCATATATCCTATTTTATATATTCTTATTGTACATATATTTTATATAAACACATTTATTATAAGGAATTGATTCACACAGTTATGGAGACTCACAAGTCTCAAGATCTGCAGGGTGAGCCAGCAAACTGGACACCCCAGAGAGCCGATGGTGTAGTTCCAGTGTGACTCCAAAGGAAAACTGGAGACTGAGGAGAGTCAGTGTTATAGATCAGCCTAAAGTGTGGTAAGATTGAGACTCAAGAAGGGTCAATATTTCAGTTCATGTTGAAGTAAAAAAAAAAAAAAATGCCAATGTCACAGTTCAAAGAGTTAGGCAGGAGGAATCTTCTCTAATCAGGGGAGAATCAGTCTTCTTATTCTATTCAAGCCTTCAGCTGATTGAAGGAGGCTCAGACACATTAAGGAGGAAAATCTGCTTTACTCAGTCTACTATTTCAAAAGTTAATCTAATCCCCAAAGACACATTCACAGAAACACGCAGAATAATGTTTCACCAAATATCCGGGAACCCCGTGGCCCAGTCAAGTTGACACATAAAATCAACCATCACAGTGACATCATTTCCTTTGGCTTCTCAAGCTAATAAAAATGCCATAAACATTAAAAGAAAAGAGAAAGAGTTGACACAAAAACCAACCCACTGACAAATATTTACTGCATATTTTCTGTGTGATCAGTGGGACTGCTTTCCAGGGTCTGGTGAGCTGGCTGTAAATCTAATCCATGCAATAGGACATTAAGGTAGGAGGACATGTTTCACTGGACAGTTGGGTAGGATTTAAAGAGGAAGACGTAAGCAGATAAAATAAACAAGAATAAAAGTAAGGATAAACATGACATCTTAGGAAGTTTATTTTACCTGGACAGAGATTGCCCATAGAACAGTGATGAGCAGTAAAGATAGATAGATGTGTGGTAGTCAATTTATAAAAAGGCTTGAAATAGGTAGTGTACAACTTTATTTGTATAATGCTTTGCACTTTTAAAATTGCTTTGACATACATCGCCTTTTTTATCCTTTTAACAATTTTGTGAGGTAAATAGTATCATTATTAATTTTATTTTAAAAAATTTACTATCATTTGTAGAGACAGGGTCTCACTATGTTGCCCAGGCTGCTCTCAAACTTCTGGGCTCAAGTGATGCTCCCACCTTGGCCTCCCAATGTGCTGGGATTACAGGCATGAGCTACCATTCCCAGCCCATTATTAATTTCATAGTGGAGAAGGCTTAATATTGTGCGGGTGTTAAAACTATCATCGGATTCCTACTTCAGGCCCTTTTCCCATTGAAGTTGCAATGGGTAACTATTACAGTTCTTGAGCAAGCGGTGCCAGTATAAAAATAGTGCTATAGAAGGTTTGAACATGGTTTATAAGTTGCATTGAACAATGAGACCTAGGAAGCCAAGAGGGCAGCAGTAATGCCTTGTACTTTTCTGGGCATTAAGCATTACCATGGAATAAAGGAACAAATGAAAATTGGCATACGTGGAGTCATGTTTAAAGGAAGAAATAATAAGCTTTAAAGTGTGAGATCTATGAAAATGCATGTAGTAAGATACAGAATACAGGCATGGAGACAAGAGGAGATAGATACCCACTTCAAAAACTTTAAAAGATATATTTTATCTATATTTAAGTTTACATTCAGCTTAGTTTTAAAGCTAACCAAAATGTTCAATTTCATTTTCCTCTTACATAGTCTTACATAGTCTTGTGGAATCCCCCACAGTTCAGGGGAAACAACTCTCAGAAGAGTTTATTCTCATATATTTATGTCATTTCATGGAACAAGGAATAGATTCAAACAATTTCAATAAAAGGAAGGGTATTTGTTTCTATCTTAGTTTGTGCTGCTATAACAAAATGCCTGAAACTGGACAATTTGTAAACAACAGAAATTTGCTTCTCACAGTTCTTAGGTTGGGAAGTTCAAGATCAAGGGGCCAGTAGGATCAGTGTCTGGTAAGGGCTGCTCTCTACTCCCCAGACGACACCTTCAACACTGTATCCTCTGGAGGGGATGAATATTGTATCCTCACATGGAGGAAGGGATGGAAAAGGGGAGGCATCTCTCTGAAGGTGTTTGTAGAAGGGTACTAATCTCATTTATGAAGGCAAAGCCCTCAGAGCCTACTCACCTCCCAAGGGTCTCATCTTTTCATACCATTACCCTGGGGGTTAAGTTCCAACATATGAATTTTGAAAGGAAACATACATTCAAACCATAGCAATTACTATGTCCAAAGCACTCCTCTTTTTCTTCTATACCTCCTTTTCTTCTTTTATTTTTAATTTTTGTGGGAACATAGGAAGTGTATATATTTTGATACAGGTATGAAATGTAAAATAAGCACATCATGGAGAAGGAATTACCCATCCCCTCAAGCATGTATCCTTTGGGTTACAAACAATCCAATTACACTCTTTAAGTTATTTTAAAACGTACAATTAAGTTATTACTGACTATAGTCACCCTGTTGTGCTATCAAATAGTAGGTCTTGCTCATTCTTACTATTTTTTTGCACCCATTAATCATCCTCCCACCCCTGAGCCCTCCACTACCATTCCCAGCCTCTGATAACCAGCCTTCTATTCTATGTGTCCATGTATTCAATTGTTTTAGTTTTTAGATACCACCAATAAGTGAGAACATGTGATGTTTGTCATTCTGTGCCTGGCTTATTTCACTTAACATAACGATCTCCAGTTCTATCATGTTTTCACAAATGATGAGATCTCATTTTTTATGGCTGAATAGTACTCCACTGTGTATAGGTACCACACTTTCTTTATCCATTCATCTACTGATGGACACTTAGTTTGGTTCCCCATCTTGGCCATTGTAAATAGCGCTGCAACAAACAGGAGCGCAGATAGCTCTTCGATATAGTGATGGTCTTTCTTTTGGATATATACCCAGCAGAGGGATTGCTGGATTGCATGGTAGCTCTATTTTTAGTTTTTTGAGAAACTTCCAAAATCTTCTCCATAGTGGTTTAGTAATTTACTTTCCCACCAGTTGTGTACGTCTGTTCCTTTTTTTTCCACATCCTTGTCAGCATTTGTTATTGCCTGTCTTTTCTAAGCCATTTTAAGTGAGGTGAGATGATACTTCATTGTAGTTTTTATTTGAATTTCTCTGATGTTTAATGATGTTCAGCACCTCATCATATGCCTATTTACATATAATTGCTTGCTATTTGTATGTCTTCTTTTGAAAAATGTCTAATCAAATCTGTTGCTTTTTTTTTTTTTTTTCTTTTGAGACAGAGTTTCTCTCTTGTTGCCCAGGCTGGAGTGCAATGGCACAATCTCAGCTCAGTGCAACCTCCGCCTCCCGGGTTCAAACAATTCTCCTGCCTCAGCCTCCCGAGTAGCTGGGATTACAGGCATGTGCCACCATGCCTGGCTAATTTTGTATTTTTAGTAGAGACGGGGTTTCTCTATGTTGGTCAGGCTGGTCTCAAACTCCCAACATCAGGTGATCCGCCCACCTAGGCCTCCCAAAACGCTGGGATTACAGGCATGAGCCAACACGCCCAGCCATCTGTTGCTTATTTTTTAAGCAGAGTATTAAGTCTTTTCTTATAGAGTTGTTAGGAATCCTTACATATTCTGGTTGTTAATCTCTTATTAGATGGATAGTTTTCAAATATTTTTTCCCATTCTGTGGGGTGCTCTTCACTTTGTGATTGTATCCTTTGTTGTGCAGAAGCTTTTTAACTTGATGTGATCTCATTTGTCCATTTTGACTTCGCTTGCCAGTGCTGTGGGGTATTACTCAAGAAATTTTGCCCAAACCAATGTCCTAGAGAGTTTCCCCAAAGTTTTCTCATAGTAGTTTCATAGCTTTAGGTCTTCGATTTAAGTCTTTAATCCATTTTTATTTGATTTTTTTATGTGGCAAGAGATAGAGATCTAGCTTCATTCTTCACCATATGGATATCTAGTGTTCCCAGTACCATTTACTGAAGAGACTGTCTCTTCCTCAATTTATATTCTTGGCACCTTTGTCAAAAACGAGTTCACTATAGGTGTGTGGATTTGTTTCTGGGTTCTCTATTCTGTTCCATTGGTGTATGTGCCTGTTTTTATGCCAATACCATGCTATTTTGGTTACTATAGCTCTGTAGTATAATTTGAAGTCAGGTAATGTAATTCCTTCAGTTTTATTCTTTTTGCTTAGGATAGCTTTAGCTACTCTGGGTAATTTGTGATTCCATATAAATTTTAGAATAGTTTTTTTTTATTTCTGTGACATGGATTGCATTGAATCTGTAGATTGCTTTGGGTAGTACGGCCATTTTAGCAATATTAATTCTTCCAATTCATGAACATAAAATACCTTTCCATTTTTTGATGCCCTCTTTAATTTCTTTCATTAGTGTGTTATAGTTTTCATTGCAGAGATCTTTTATTTCTTTGGTTAATTCCTTGGTATTTAATTTTATGTGTGGCTATTATAAATAGGATAACTTTTAAACTTCTTTTTCAGACTGTTCACTGATGGCATATAGAAATGTCACTGACTTTTGTATGTTGACTTTGCACCCTGCAACTTTACTAAATTTATTCATAAGATTTAAAAGTTTATTAGTGGAGTCTTTAGGTGTTTCCAGCTATAAGATCACATCATCTGCAAACAAGAATAATTTGACTTCTTCCGTTCCAATTTAGATGCCCTTTATTTCTTTCTCTTGTCTGATTGCTCTAGCTAGGACTTCCAGTACTATGTCAAATAAGAGTGGTGAGATTGGGCATCCTTAATGTGTTCCAGATCTTAGAGGAAAGGCTTTCAGTTTTTCTATATTAAATATGATACTAGCTGTGGGTCTGTCACATATGGTTTTTATTATGTTGTGTACATTCCTCTTATGTCCAGTTTTCTGAGGGTTTCTTTTTTATCATGAAGGAATGTTGAACTTTATTCAATAGTTTTTCAGCATCAATTGAAATGATCATATGGATTTTATTCTGTATTCTGTTGATACGATGTATCACATTGATTGACTTGCATATTTCGAATCTTCCTTGCATCTCAAGGATAAGTCCCACTTTATCGTGATGAATGATCTTTTTAATGTATTGTTAAATTTGGTTTGTTAGCATTTTGTTGAGGATTTTTACATGAATATTCATCAGAGATATTGGCCTGTACTTTTCTTTTTTTTGATGTGTCTTTGTCTCATTTTGGTATTAGGGTAAAAATGATCTCATAGAATAAGTTTGGAAGTATTCCTTCCTCCTCTTTTTTTTTGGAAAAGTTTGACTAGGATTAGTGTTAGTTTTTCTTTAAATGTTTGGTAGAATTCAGCAGTAAAGTCATTGGGTCCTGGGATTTTCTTTACTGGGAGATATTTTATGACAGCTTTGACCTTGTTATTTGTTATTGGTCTGTTCAGGTTTTAGATTTCTTCTTGGTTCAATTTTGGTAGGTTGTATGTATCTAGGAATTTGACTATCTCTTCTAGATTTTCCAATTTATTGGCATATAATTGCTCATAATAGCCACTAATGATCCTTTGAATTTCTGCAGATTCAGTTGTAATGTCTCTTTTTTCAATTTCTGGTTTTATTTATTTGAATGCTCTCCCTTTTTTTCTTAGTCTAACTAAAGGTTTGCCAATTTTGTTTAACTTTATAAAAAAACCAACTTTTTGTTACATTGATCTTTTTTATGGTTTTCAATTTTATTTATTTCTGCTCAGATCTTTATTATTTCTTTTCTTCACTGATTTTGGACTTGGTTTTCTCTTGCTTTTCTAGTTCTTTAAGATACGGCATTAGATTGTTTATTTGAAGTTTTTCCTCTTTTTTGATGTAGGCATTTATAGCTATAAACTTCTCTCTTAGCACTGCTTTTACTATATCCCATAGATATTGGTATGTTGTGTTTCCATTATCATTTCTTTCAAGAAATTTTTCAATTTCCTTCTTAATTTCTTCATTGCCCCACTGGTCACTCAGGAGCATATGTTAAATTTCTATGTTTGTATAGTTTCAGAAATTCCTCTTGTTATTAATTTCTAGTTTTATTCCATTGTGATCAGAGAAGATGCTTGATATTATTTCAATTTTTAGCATGTTTTAAGGCTCGTTTTGTGACTTAACATATGGTCTCTCCTTGAAAATAATTCATGTGCTGAGGAGAATAATGTGTATTCTGCAGCTCGTGGATGAAATGTTCTATAACTATCTACTAGATCTATTTGGTCTATAATATAGATTAACTCTGATATTTCTTTGTTCATTATCTGTCTGGGAGATCTGTCCAATGCTGAAAGTGGGGTGTGGAAGTCTCCAGCTTTTATTATATTGGGACCTATGTCTCTCTCTCTCTCTCTCTCTAGGTTTAATAATATTTCCTTTATATGGGTGCTCCAGTGTTGGGTGCATATATATTTACAATTGTTATATCATCTTGTTGAATTGACCCCTTTTTCATGATATAGTGACTTTCTTTGTCTCTTCTTATAGTTTTTGTCTATAGTTGTTGATGTAAGTACAGCTACTCCTGTTCTTTTATGGTTTTCATTGGCATGGAATATCTTTTTCAGTTCTTTAAGTCTATGTGTATCTTTAAAGCTAAAGTGTGTTTCTTGTAGACAACAGATCATTGGCTGTTGTCTATTGATTGGATAATTTAGTCCATTTACATTCAATGTTATTAATGATAAGTAAGGACTTACTTACTCCTCCCATTTTGTTATTTATTTTCTGTGTCTTTTTGTGTGTGCGTGGTCTTCTCTTCCTTCTTTCCTTCCTTTCTCTCTTCCTTTAGTAAAGGTGATTTTCTCTGGTGATATGATTTAGTTTATTGCTTTTTATTTTCTGGTATCCATTGTATGTTGTTTGGTTTGAGGTTACCACGAGGCTAGCAAATACTATCTTATAAACCATTATTTTAACCTGATAACAATTTAACGCTGCTTGGATAAACAAACAAGCAAAAAGAAAACTAACAAAAACTACACTTTATTTTGTTGTTTTATTTATATCATATAGTACTTCCTTTGTCTTTTTTTGTTGTTGTCGTTGTTTTGAGACGGAGTTTCACTTTTGTTGCCCAAGCTAGAGTGCAATGGTGCCATCTCGGCTCACTGCAACCTCCACCTCCTGGGTTCAAGTGATTCTCCTGCCTCAGCCTCCTGAGTAGCTGGGATTACAGGCATGTAACACCACATTTGGCTAGTTTTGTATTTTTACTAGAGACAGGGTTTCTCCATGCTGGTCAGGCTGGTCTTGAACTCCTGACCTCAGGTGATCTACCCACCTCGGCCTCCCAAAGTGCTCCTGGCGTGAGCCACCGTGCCCAGCCTGTACTGCTTATGTCTTGAAAAGTTGTTGTAGTTATTATTTTTATTGGTTCATCATTTAGTCTTTCTACTTAGGATAAGAGTAGTTTACACACCACAGTTACAGTGTTATGATATTCTGTGTACTTACTATTACCAGTGAGTTTTATACATTCAAGTGATTACTTATTGGTCATTAATGTCCTTTTATTTCTGATTGAAGGACTCCCTTTAGCATTTCTTGCAGCACAGGTCTGGTGTTGATGAAATCCCCCAGAAATCCCTCAGCTTTTGTTTGTCTGGGAAAGTCTTTATTTCTCCTTCACGTTTAAAGGAAATTTTCTCCAGATAAGCTATTCTAGGGTAAAAGTTTTTTCCTTCAGCATTTTCAATATGTCATGCCACTCTCTCCCAGGCTGAAAGGTTTCCTTGGAAAAGTCTGCTGCCAGACATACTGGAGCTCCATTGTATGTTATTTGTTTATTTTCTGTTACTGCTTTTAGGATCCTTTCTTCATCCTTGATCTTTGGGAGTCTGATTATTAAATGCCTGGAAGCAATCTTCTTTGGGTTAAATCTGCTTGGTGTTCCATAACCTTCTTGTACTTGGATATTGATATCTTTCTCTAGGTTTGGAAAGTTATCTCATATTATCACTCTGAATAAGCTTTCTACCCCTATCTCTTTCTCTACCTCCTCTTTAAGGCCAGTAACTCTTAGATATGCCCTTTTGAGGATATTTTCTAGATCCTGTAGGTGTGCTTCATAATTTCTTATGCTTTTATCTTTGTCTCTTCTGTGTATTTTCAAATAGCTTTTCTTCAAGCCCATTGATTCTTTCTTCTGCTTGATCAGTTCTGCTATAAAATAACTCTGATGCATTCTTCAATATACCACTTATACTTTTTACCTCCAGAATTTCTGCTTGATTATTTTCAATTATTTCAATCTCTTAGTTACATTTATCTGATAGAATTGTGAATTCTGTCACTGTGTTAACTTGAATTTCTTTGAGTTTCCTCAACACTGCTATTTTGAATTATCTGCTTGAAAGGTCACACATCTCTGTTTTTCCAGCATTGATCCCTGGTACCTTATTTAGTTCATTTGGTGAGGTCATGTTTTCCTGAATGGTGTTGATGCTAGTAGTTGTTCTTTGGTGTCTGAGCATTGAAGAGTTAGGTATTTATCGTAGTCTTCATTGCCTGGCCTTATTTGTAGCTGTCCTTCTTGGGAAGCCATTCCAGATACTTGAAAGAACATGGGTGTTGTGATCTAAGCTGTGACCTAAGCTTTAAGGGGCACCCCAAGCCCAGTAATGCTGTGGTTCTTGCAGAATGGTAGAAGTACTGCCTTGACAGTCTTGGACAAGATTTGGAAGAATTCTCTGAACTACTAGGAAAAGTCTCTTGTTTTCCTTCCTTACTTTCTCTCAAACAGAGTCTTTCTCTCTGTTCTGAGCCACCTAAAGCTGGGCTGGCAAGACACCCCTGTGGCTACCACCACTACGACTCCACTGGGTCAGACCTGAAGCCAGCAAAGCACTGTCTACCCGAAGCCTCCTGTAGCCATTCTCTGGCAACTGCCTATGTTTGTTCAAGGCCCTGGAGCTCTAAAACTGCCAGTGTCAAAGCCAGCCAGGCTCGTGTCCTTCCCTTCAGGGTGGCAAGGTCCCCCAGATCCCAGATGGGTCCAGAGGTGCCATCTGGGAGTCAGGGACTAGATTCAAAAACCTTAGAAGTCTACCTGGTATTCTTTTCTATTGTGGCTGAGCTGGCGTTTAAACCCAAAAGATGCAGTCCTTCCCACTCTTCTCTCCCCTTTCCAAAGGCAGAGGAGCATCACCCCCTAGTCACCACCACCCTCAGGCCAAGAGGAGTTCTGCCAGACTACCACCAATGTTACCAATGTTCCCTGAAGGCCCAAGGGCTCTTAAGTTAGCTTGTGATAAATGCTGCCTGGCCTGGGACTCACCCGTCAGGGCAGTGTCCAGGAATGTCATCCAAGAGCCAAGTCCTGGAATTGGGGATCCCAAGACCCCACTTGGTTCTCTGTCCCTCTGCTGTGGCTGTGCTGGTACCTAAGGTACACGACAAAGTCCTCTTTACTTTTCCCTCTGCTTTTCTGAAGCAGCAGTTTTGCCCCATATGCACCACAGCTGGTAATGTACTGAGTCTCACCTGAAGCCAGCAAATTTCAGAGGCTCACCCAAGGCCCTTGATGTAGTGCCTGGGTATTGCTGCTGATTATTCAGGGCCCAAGGACTCCTCTGTTAGCAGGTGATAAATATTTCCAGGGCTGGGTCCTTTCAAGGCAGTGAGTTCCCTTCTGGCCTAGGGTTTGTCTAAAAATGTCAGATGGGAGCTAGGGCCTGGAACGGGGGCTTCACTACTCTGACTGGTGCCTTATCCTGCTGTGGCTGAGCTGGTATCCAAGATGCAAAACAAAGTCCTCCCCATTTATCCCTCTCCTCTCCTCAAGCAGAAGGAAGGGTCTCTTTTGAAGCTGTGAGCTGTGCAGCCTAGGGTTAGGGGAGGGGTGATGCCAGCACTCCTTTGGCTGCCCCAGCTGATGTCTCAGTATGTCACGTGCCCCCCAAGTGCACTGTCTCTGGACCTAGTTCAGCACTAGGTCTTGCCTAAGAGTTGCAGTCTTTATGGTCTAGACTGCCTTTCAAGTTTACTTGGAGACATGTAGTGCTGTAACCCTAGGTGGCAAGGTTTGGGGGAACTCAAATTTGGACCACTAAGCTCAGGAATTCCCCTCTGGCTAGGGCTGGTTTAAATGCTCCTTTCATGGGTGGGTGTCAGGTGAGTTTGGTCTGGTTTTTCTTTTTACTCTAATAGGACAGAACTGAGTTCAATGCCTCACAATTATGTGTCCCCCCTCCCACAGCACCCAGAGATGCTCTCGACAACACGCAGCTGCTGGGGTGAAGGGGAAGTGAAGGATGGGGGTGGAGGAGGGGTAGCATTGGTGATTCAAGGCTGTTTTTGCTATCTTTTCTGCCTTTTTCAGCAATATGAAGTTAAAACCAGGTACTGTGAGTGCTCACTTGATTTTTGGTTATTATGAAGGTGTTTTTTTCTGTGTAGATACTTGCTAAGTTGCTGTTCTTGTAGGGGTAGGGGGATGATGGGTGGAGCCTTCTGTATCACCATCTTGACTATGTCTCTCTTTTCTCACAATAATAACCTTCCTTATTTTACTGCTAAATGTATCTCACAAACACCTTTGGACAATGTTTAGATATAGACTCTTTTTGTTTGTTTTTTGGTTTTTGGTGCAGACAGAGAAAGTTGGAAAATAGACCCTTAGCTAGAAAGGACTAAGAGAGAAGACTATTCTGAGAATTTAAAGATCAAAATGAAATAAATCATTAAATATCTGCCTATTTTTAAGTTACACGATGAAAACAAACTCATTTGACTCTTTCTGTCTCCTTTCTGGTTTGATACACAAGCACATGCTGTCTTAGAAAAAGGAATTGCCTAAATGAATAATATAAACTTTATTCTTATAGACTCTTAGAGCAAATCCAGTCAACTAAGAGACTCTATCATCATCATTAGAGCAAGAGTCAAAAGGGACATTGACTTTTACAGGTAGAGTTTATACTGACCAATTCTCTGATTTATTTTGTTTGACAGTTAATGTAGTGCTCTGAGAATTTAGAGAAGAAATAAAATACTCATTCTTTATTTCTTATGTAAAGATTCAGGGAATGAAAAAGAAAGCACAAGATAAATATGACATAGTTTCTACTCTTCAAGAGTTTAAAATATCTTTACTTATAAAGTGAGTATAAGAAGAGTTTTGCTATTTTTTAAGCCAAACCTACTGCATATGAACAACAAGTACAAATTAACAGTTTATCTAAATTTATGGTGTAAGTGCTGGGATGACTTAGAAAAGTCACAACCAATATCAAGCGGGGTTGAGGAGAAAATGTACTTAATGCACTTTAATATGGAGCTGTCTCATAGAAGGGAACAGATCTGAAATTGCAATGGAGAAGGACAAAACAAGCTAGTTGAGTGTAAGAAACAGCTAGAATATTGAGAGGTGTGGGTGGGATTAAGGACTGCTGCATGATTAATAAATATTCTCAAACTCAGTGGAAGTAAAAAAAAAAAAAAAAAGAAAAAGAAAGGAAAAAAAAGAAATGCCTTTGGGCAATATATCACAAGACTTCTACAGAATCAATATACTTCAAAATGAAACTGAACAAAAAAGCCAAAACTTACATATTTTTCACCAACATAGAGAAATGGAGATTCTTTCTAAAAGTATGACATTTTGGTTTTTTAAAGAAAGAAAGAAAGAGAGAAAGGGAAAGAAAGAGGAAGGAAGGAGGGAAGGAAAGAAGAAAGGAAGGAAGGAAGGAAAGAAGAAAGGAAGGAAGGAAGGAAAGAAGGAAAGAACATTTAACCCAATTAGGTCAAATATTTTGTTACAGAAATTTAGTTCAACTTCAGAGGATCTTTCTTGTTTCCTATTCCCAGGAAAAATAAGTAATACAACTGCAAGCAAATCTTAACATAGAATGTATTTTCTTCCTCATTGCCTTATGCCTAATTTAATCATGTGCAGATCATCTATTTCACCTACAAAACAAATTTGTTTTGACCTTTTTTTCAATATATTTCAGAAATAATACACTATTTGGGATTTGTATTTGATTGGCTATATTTAAATTTTTTTGAAAAACTACTTACTACATGTGAAAAATATTCCCTCCTCCCATTGTAAGCTAAATTTAAAATTGTTCAGGTGGTGCTGTCATCATTATGCATATATGAAAATCGTCACTTTTTTTACAAGCCTTATAATTTTTCCTAAAATACTGACTTTCTGCTGAGATGCTTCAAATGTAGATATACCACATTTCCGTTTTCCTTTACCCATCTGCTAATTATAAAGATCAAACTATAAGTTTTATCTAAATAATTAGAAGCAAAGTCTATACATTAAGAATGTAGAACCTGAAGAAGGAAGAAATGAGTAAGTGAATAAATGATGAATTGTTTTGTGTCTGTGTGGATTTTGTGTCTATGTGAATTTTTTCGTGTCTATGTGGACTTTTTTCTAAGTGAACTCTGAACAGCTGTTTTATAACAGGGATGAGGGAGAAAACCAGGGCAGACTATCCATGTAGCAATAATTGAAATAGCTAATATTTACTACATTCCACCCTCTTTTCTAAATATTTTACACACATTCACATGCTTAATCCTCACAAGGACCAGAGGTAGATGCTATCGTCATTCCCACTGTGCAGATGAGTAAACTGCGGCATTTAGAGGTTAGGCAATTTTCTAAGGTCATGGAACTTATAAGTGGTGGAGCTGGGATTCGAGGCTAAGGCATGTGACTCCAGAGGCCAAAATTGAAACCACCACTCCAAAAATGAAATATACAGAGAAGGAAGCCTATTACTGAGTACTGATCATACAACCATCTGACGACATGCTACATTCATCTACATTGGTGCAAAGCAGGTGTCTACCCCAGTTAACTCACATTTCTTCTTAACTTTCTGTCAGCAACTAACAAACCCTAGCATATAAATTTTACATTTTCTAAATCATTGTTCTTCTCTTATATGGGAGACCTGCTTCAGTTTTTGAATTTGTTTCTTCTTGATGAATAGGTAAATCAAACTAACCAGCAAGGACTCATCTTTCAAGATTCTCTGGCTAGGACTCTGAAACCATATTAACCTAACTCTTCGATATAGATCATCTCAACTAAGTATCATTTCCAGGAAGCTGTGCATCATGTTGGGTGCTTTCACTGTGTCTGAAACTTACTAGTTGACATGTCAAAACCTTAATTATCTTTAAAACTCTTGCTAGGATGCAAACTCCTCAATGAGATCTTCCTTCCCTATATTGCATCCATCCCTTCTACATGCTATTAGTACTGCATCGTCACTACGGATTTGCATTTTTTATATGTTGTTCTCACACTGGGTTCTCCAGTAAGTAAGTAAGATCATTAAAAATAATCATGGTATTTTGGAATGCCCTGGTCTGAGAAAAGTGCCTGGCATATATTAGAAGCATCGCAAATGTTTATGAAACCACATTGAAATGTGACTGCTATGTCAGCATTGTTGCAGGCTGGCAGGACTTTATCCAACTACCTGTACAACTTGCTTTTTAGCTAGAGTATGATTTAAGTCATACACATTGAGAAAAAATTCCTGTCATATTTTCCCCAAATTGTCCACAAAGCTATATTCTTCTAGTATATTTTGTCTCCATATACTCTTGTGACATTTTTAGTTTTACTTTAAGTCACATTTTTAATTGATTTATTAAATTTAGGAAGAAATCTACAAATTAAAAGCCATTACATATGTACAGTGGCACATTTTATGTGGTGCACATTTTAAAAACATTATATTTTAGCAGTATAGAAAACAGCATCTAATTTTATCAAAATAAGCTTGCTAGTCATTGTCATTCCCATTAAGAGGATAAATTATCTTTTCAAATAATTCTTAAAGATATACAAAATGCAACTTCAATTTTTAGCAGGATGGTTGATTAAGATAACTAGAAACTCTAAAAGTGTAAATAACTAAATGTAATATATAACATGGTTAACATATAACAAAATGGGTTGGTAACAATTAACAAAAAGTTTTAAATGCATAGCTACGTTTTCAACAAAGAAAAGGAAACCTGTAGGTACCAGAAATAAGATGGAAACCAAAAACCAAAGGGTAAGCATGCAAGCAGAACCTGAGGCGATGTACTTTTCCTCCCAGTATTTTCAAAACTCAAGTTGTATTTACAAGATGAGACAGAGGACAAGCATGGCCTATGCAACCTATGCATGGCAAAGAATGGGAACTGAGAGAATGGAGCAGAGCAGGTACCCTCAAAAGTCTACACATTTGATAGATGATTAAATTTTCTAATTGCCTAAAATCACAGGAAGATAGCAAAGAAGTTTGTCTGTCTCTGTCTAGGCTCTATGTTTTAGACGTATATATCTCCAAAGAGAAATTTTAGTCCTATGGCTATCCCAGGTTTGAGGTTAAAATGAATATACTGTTAATTTTAACAATATACATCATATTATTCCTAAGACAGGGATTACCATTAAACCACCTGGTAAATCTACTTCAAAGCTGTTTCTTAAAGACAGGCCACAGTGTTCTCTCAGATAAAATGTAGGGAAAAGCCTCAGTAAAATAAAGTAGCAATTAAAAAAGAAAACATGGAAATCGCAGAAATAAATTACCATGAATTAGATTAAGCAAACACTATAGAAAGATTAGAGTCTTGGCTGGGCACGGTGGCTCACACCTGTAATCCCAGCACTTTGGAGGGCTGAGGTGAGTGGATCACAAGGTCAAGAGATTGAGGCCACCCTGGCCAATATGGTGAAACCCCGTCTCTACTAAAAATACAAAAAGTAGCTGGGCGTGGTGTGCACCTGTAGTCCCAGCTACTCAGGAGGCTGAGGCAGGAGAATCACTTGAACCCAGGGGGCGGAGGTTGTGGTGAGCCGAGATCGTGCCATTGCACTCCGGCTGGTGACAGAGCAAGACTCTATCTAAAAAAAAGAAAAAAAAAAAGATTAGAGTCTCAAGAATGTGAGATATAGAAAGATAATTTAAATGAGAATATAGAAAAATACATATCAGTGTACAACTTTTTTTAATGCACAGAGGCATAAACATGGCTGCACCAACAGGTAATTTTCCTATAGGGGTATGGGGAGGAAGAGATCAGACTAGACAGGAAAAGGAGGATCAAAGGTAAATAGGTAAATTAGGGTAAATGAGGTCATGATCTATGTAAAGGAAACAGTTTGAAGAATAAGAATATTGTAAAAATAACCCAATTTTGGTGCATATTATAGAATCCTGAGAAATCAGGTTGAGTGGATAGAATGAGTCAATTTCAGTAGGGTAAGCTAGGCTGAAGTAAACATCTTGGTTGGTTTCCAACATCCATCCCATTACTTCTCTACTAAGTAGCTGTATGATTTGGGAATGCAATTCTATTCAAGGTGGGCTTGACTGGTCCACCCATCCCCTCCCCAAATCATGTCTGACCTATAAGACTTTAAACCCACCCACAACTTATTGGCACCTTGTGCCAGTGTAGGCCCTCTTGCTCTATTTCTCCCCACATTGTTTTCTGGAATTTATAGTATCCAGTTGAACAACAAAAAAAGACAAGCACAAGTGAAGGGCTCAAAAATATTCCTGCTGCCTTAAAAGCAGTACATGTGTAGTAGCATAACAGACATTTAGAATTCTGATTGGTGTAATGCAGAGGAAGGAAGTAAAGATAGGATGAGTAATGTGTTCATAAATGTTTAACAAAAGGGGAGAGTCCTGATTTGTAGCCTGTGATGATCCCATCGAAATGGGAGTAAACACTCTCACCATGGCTGATTTCAAGATTTAAGTAGTTTAACAAGCAACTTTCAAAATTCCTGATAATGCAGCTCTTGACTTGACAAACCATTATGAGCAGTCTGGCTCTCATGCACCATAGCTCTCAACCCACCTTTAGAAGATAGCAAAGTACCACTTCAGATGTTCTCTCACCAATGGATTATCCATCGCATTTTTCCAACTGGTTGTATTAGCCTATGGATGACAAATATTCTTCTCAGATTCTAGCAGTAGAGTTACTGTCATCCTAGGTGTTAATGGTAGTGTGAGCATTGTCTTTTTCTTATTTTAATAGAAAGTTTGGAAACAAAAAAAAATACAGAAGCTATTTTAAGTTAGACTCCCAAACTACAAAATACTAATAATATTTATAAATTTATTCATTAGTTTAACAAAAATGTATTAAGCTCTTTCTAGGTACAGTTTTAGGTTGCAAGGGTAGAGCAGTGGGGGAAAATTAAAATAATTAAAACCAACTAACCAAACAATTTCTTCTCTTCTGCTCCCCTCTGAGTTCTTCCCTAATTTGGTTTATAAAATATCTCATTTCTTTCCTTTATGTAAATGAAATATATGGCAGTATATATACACATAATTCTGAATTTGAATTCATAAGTGATGGAAGGAAATAAATGTGCTTGAAAAAAATATGACAGACCATAGATAAACATCCACAAATAGAACTAAAAAAAAAAAACTTGCGTAAGTTTTTGCAAGTCACAAGAACAGCAACCCATCTAGTAAATAAAACAATTGCAGCACTTTTTGTAATAGAAAAATATCTGAAAGATCCATCAATTGGAAAATTGATAAATAATTGTGCTGGATCCATATAATAAAATGTTGCATAACAGAGAAGATGAATAAATCCAAGCTATAGATACCAATATGGGTGAACCTTACAAATTTAAAGTTGAACAAAAACAAATGCCAAAAATATACACAGCACAATGTTTTAAATATATAATTGTAAGACCTTTAATCTATGTATAAGTACACATGTGTGTGGATAATCAATCTTACATTCATGGCAATAATAAAAAATTTCATAAAAGTGGTAGCCTCAGAAGTTGAAGAAAGCATGATGCTATTAAAGAGTTATAATCGGCTTTAGCTGTTTTCAGATTGATTTCTTTTTAAGCTGGATAATTAGCATACAGATTTTTTTATCCTACTTTTTCTTTTGGAACACATGAAGTGTTTTATACATATTTTATTTATTTTTTAAATTAATTTTTCAAATTTATTTTTTAGACAGGGTCTTGCAGAGCCCTGGGTGGAGCACAATGATGCAATCATAGCTCCTTGCAGCATCGAACTCCTGAGCTCAAGCAATTCTCCCACCTCAGCCTCCCAACTAACTGGGACTACAGGCATGCTCCACCATGAGTGTCTAATTTTTTTTTTTTTTTTTGGTAGAGCCTGGGTCTCACTCTGTTGACCAGGCTGGTGTCAAAACTCCACTCCTGGTCTAAAGTGATCTTCCCACCTCAGCCTCCCAAAGTGCTTGGATTACAAGTGTGAGCCACTTAGCTGGGCTGATAACATATTTTAATAATAGATTTTAAATATATTGACTAAATTTTTGTAGCTTCACAAGTATTTGTGTGGTTTGAACATTAGTAAACAGTGTATTATCTTATGCATAAAAACCTTCATTAGTAGTTCTTCCTTTCAAGTTTGGGAATTACTTGAATTAAATATGGAAGCTCCATATTTAATTACCAATGAGTCAGTAATGTTATTAAGGATTTTCTACCCAATTTCAAATTGTAACTTTCAGAGTAATTCATGTGCAAAAAATCAGAATTAATAATTGAGAATTGGAGACAGGAGTAATCTCACCTAGGATATAAAGAATGGTGACACAAATACAGTCTCTCTTTGTTATCCATTATCTGCATTTTGCCCCAGGAAGACCTACCCAGTTTTTCATGACCAAGATTTGTGATGTCATCTGAGTGTATACGCTGGTGTGTATGTGCACAAGCACGTGTGTGCAAATGTATGTGTATCCAGTGAAAAGTGCCTGGTATAATTTTTAATTATAGAAATGAATCCAAAGCACAGAACATAAATTGTAATCAAATAGGATAGTTTCTCTGAAACTAACTTCTATATTGATTAAAGACTCAAAGATATTGAGCTTTTGATCTAGAAATCCCTGCTTTGCCAACCTTAGAATGAAATGTAAACACTGCTGGATGGAGGTAAACACTGCTGAGATAACTCTAAATTAGCCTACAGGGAATATTTTTTTCTCCCTTCATTGAAGTTTAAGGTCAGATCTAAGCAAAAATTTATTTGCAATAAAATGGGCTTGGGGAGAACAAAAACGTAGTCAGCCATAGATTTTCCAAATTCTAGACCTCCTTTGGTCACTGACCAGTTTTGTAACCTTATTTCTCTAGTCTTACTTTCTCATATCTCATCTTTTCCCATTTGTATAAAATATCTGGCATTTTATGCATAATTATGCAATTCATCCTGATTATATTTACCTGTGCTAAATAGACCTGGAATGTTTAATAGAATTTGTTTCCCAAGGCAACCCATGACTTTACATGTGCCCCAGAATTTTCCTCTGAAATAATGAAAGTTTCCTAGCATTACAAAAACTGAAACAAGGTATTTTTTTCTGGTTTATTCTTGATGAAAAAATAAAATAAAATTAGAATACTTGGGAACTGAAAGAATCAGGAAAGTACATGCAGATGTGCTTGCCCTAAAATGAAAACAAATTTTGAGGAGAAATGGAGAAGCAGCATATAAGGTTTTACTGATGCTCGAACTTTTCTTCTTTGCTAAGACTATGCAGTTTTTTTCTTAGAACCGTATAACTAAAGGGGTTTTATCAAACACTAGCACAAGTGTACTTTAAGGAAACGAAACAATTATAAAACTCTACATGGAAAAGTGTTGATATGTCAAAAATTGTAAGTTAAGTAAGACTAGTTTACTTACAAATGCTGTAGCATTTCATACATTGTATAAGGCCAAGCCTGGTGGCTCATGCCTGTAATCCCAGCACTTCAGGGGGCCAAGGCGAAAGGACTGCTTGAGCTCAGGAGTTGGAGACCAGCCTAGGCCACACAGGGAAACCTTTGTCTCTACTAAAAATAATAATAATAACAATAATTTAAAAATCAGCTGGGTGTCGTGGTACTTGTCTGTAGCTCCAGCTACTCAGGAGTCTGAGGCAGGATGACTGCTTGAGCCCAGGAGTTTGAGGCTGCAGTGAGCTATGATGACACCACTGCACTCTAGCCTGGGCAACAGAGTAAGACCCTGTTTCTAAAATGTAAATAAATAAAAATAAAATGTAGTTCACTTATGAGAATTATATCTCCATTTAAACTTTATTAAATCTGTATTGGTTAAGGTGTTGTACAGCTTTGATTTAAAACTTATGTTAGCACAACATCTTGCGTACATAAAAATGATGTTAGATGTTGCAGTGGTTCTTTCTGTTTTTTCATTTTTAACTGAGGACTGTGTTGCAAATGTGAACAAACCAGAACCTCAATATTGGTTTTGCAGATTAATACTCTGAAATGTACAATTCTGTCATTTGATGAAGTAGTATAAGTGGACTCAGGGTGGATACAGAGTATAATAATGACATTAAAAGTAATTTAATTTGAACCTTCATGAGAAAGGCCTGTAGATTGTTTTCTTTAGGATAAATCCACAATTAGTTTCCAAATATCATTATTAGCTTGAAGCAATAAACCCCTTTCCCAAAATAGTCCAGAAGGAAAAATTTTCCTTTCTTTTCCGACCACCACTATGCAATTTCAAAAAAAAAATTGAAAAAAAAATTGTAACGTTATGTTACAGTTTCAAATGCTCAATTGCCTTCTAGACTGTTCTAATTCAGAGCATAGAATCCACTGTGTGCACCTGTCCAGATCCTCACATTCAAGTCTGCTTTGATAGCCTGCTCATTGGAACACTTCCACATCACTGTCCCTCTGGGGCCTCATCTGCTTACACTGCTGGCTGTCTCAGCCTTCCCAGGTGTCAGCTGGGCTCCAGCACAGCCCTCACTTCCTAGTCACAAGGGGACCTGCAGCAGCCCAAGTGTCCAGACCTACATTGAAGGGACACATAGGGGCTGTGGTTCTTCCCATCATGTCCATAATCAGATGAAGTTCTGTGGAATGCCTGAGACAGAACTTCCCGAGCAGCTAATGACACAACTCAGAAGTGTGGGGTGTGATGCCTCATTGTTCAGCAGCGAGAGACAGAAGAAAGAGGTTGACAAATCCAGTTTCTCAGAAAGAAACATTTAATAGTGTAAACTAAAAATAAAATTCTACACCCCCCAACAGACTGAATGGACCGTTTCTTGGCCAAGTTGGACCCCAGAGAAACCTTGAAAACTGAATTCTCAGCCATGACAGGATAGGAGGTTGGACACCACTCATTAGACCCCCTCCCTTACTAATGGCTAACCACCATTAGGCTTTCCTTCCTAGGGGCTAAAAAGAAAGGAGCCCTCTCAAAGGACTCTACCACAGATATCAACCAACCACCTGAAAAAAGACCACCGACCCCGGAGTAGTACTGACCAGTCTATGGAGAACGGGCCGTAAGGATTTTCATGTCCTCTGCTTCATCTTTTGGCGTCAGAGGGCCGAAAACTCTACCCTCGGATCATGCTAATGCTGCTGTTTTTTTGTATGTGGGACCCATGAGGGCTGAGACGCTCAACTGCACATAAGCATAGTTCTCCTTTCACAAATATACATGACTCCTCCCATACCTTATGGAATGTGTACACTTGCCACCCTGCCCAACATAGATTCCTGTTCCAGTTTTCCCTCCCTGGAAGTGTCCGTTTCTGGTTTCTGGCTATAGGCTACAATTCCCAGCCTGTCAGAATGGCACCCTGAAGGCTGCAGCCCTTTATGAGAAATAAAGCTCTCCTCTCCAAATTTATGAACCTTGTCATTCTTCAGTTGACAATTTACGAACCTTGTCATTCTTCAGTTGACTTAGGAATATTAGCCATATCTCTGGTGGTGGTGAGAGGATATGGTGGATCCCTGCACCATTCTCCCTCAGACCCAGGGTTTTTTTTTTTTTTTTTTTTTTTTACCATAGGGAAAGGGTAACGTGCTTCAAAAGGAATTTGTAAGACAATTGAAGTAATTTGCTCAAGGACAGAATTTGTGGTAAGTCAGTCAACACATCTGAGTAGCATTCAAGATGGAGTTGCTTTACCTCCACACAAACTTAGAGTAATGAGAAAAATAAAAAAGCCAGCAGATAAATTCCTGTCCTGTCTTTCTATCTCACACTTTCCTGAGTAGCAGGGGTTACCTTACGACCTGCGTGGAATACGTCCTTAGTGTTAGTGAGGAAGCAAAAGGTGCTTTGTTCTAAAGCTGTGGATTCCTGGACGATGTACTACATTTTCTCCTCCCCTGAATCACTTCTTTTTCCCTCACTGTTGCTACCCTAACATTGCTTTTTCAAGAAAGTATTAGGACTTAAGCTTTGACCCAGGCTATATGTTTTTAGGGAACTTTAAAACATTCACTTTAGGCATATGTAATCTTAAACACATAAGAAATCTAAAATATGAGAATAATTAAAAGACTTTCAGTATAATTCCCCCGAATATCCATAGTTTTCACTCCTTAACAACAATACCCCAAATTAAAAATATATATATGGCAAAAGTCTCCTTAATGCCAGTCAATTAATCTAGTTCAGAAGAAAGCTTTATTTTTCTCATAGCTCTGTACCATATAATATAAAATGCTAATAATTTAATTTTTTATTTTATTTGTATTTTTTTTTGAAACGGCATCTCGCTCTGTCGCCCAGGCTGGAGTGCAGTGGCACGATCTCCGCTCACTGCAAGCTCCGCCTCCCAGGTTCGCGCCATTCTCCTGCCTCAGCCTCCAGTGTAGCTGGGAGTACAAGGCATCCACCACCGCGCGCGGCTAATTTTTTTTTTTTTTTTTGTATTTTTAGTAGGGACTGGGTTTCACCGTGTTAGCCAGGATGGTCTCGATCTGACCTCGTGATCCGCCCGCCTCAGCCTCCCAAAGTGCTGGGATTACAGGCGTGAGCCACCGCACCCGGCCAAAATGCTAATAATTAAAAAACAAAAACAAAAACAAACAAACGAAAAAAAACCTTAGTGAGGACTGGTGAAAAATAAAATAAGTCAATATTTTAAAAGAAATACAGGAAACATTTTATTTAGTTTACTATGGAGAAAAGATCCTATAAACAATAATGATAAACGTTAACAGAAACAAATCCATTGACTGTTTTTTAAAACAAATTTTACTGAGGTGTAATATTCATATAAGAAAATGTACTCATTTTTAAAAATGTACCCACTTTACAGTTTAATGAGTCCTGACAAATACGTATATCCATGTAACCACCATCACAATCAAGATTTAGAATATTTGCATCACCCCAAAGAGTTCCCTTGTGACCTTTTGCAGTAACATTTTCCTACCCTTACACCCAGGCAACTGCTGGCCTCATCAGCTTTCACTTCCTGTCACTACACAGTTTTGTCCATTCTAAAATTTCATGTAAATACAATCATCACACACACGTTATGTATGTATGACATGTTATGTACATGTGTACATGTTGTGTATATATCTGCTCTTTCTCTCAGCACGTTTTTGAGACTCATCCATAGAGTTGTGTGTATGATTTTGTCCTTCCTATTGCTAATATACTATTGTATTCAGGTACCACATGTTGATGCACATTTGCATTACTTCTCATTTTTGGCTCTTACCAATGAAGCTGCTATGAACATTCATGTGCAAGCTTTTCTGTAGATATATATTTTTACTTATTTTGGGCAAATATGTAGTAGTGGAATTGCTGTATCATAAGGTAAGTGTACGTTTACTTTTATAAGAAACTGCCACATTATTTTCTAAAGTAGTTGTACCCACAAGCAATGTGCAAGAGTTCCAGTTGTTCCACGTCTTTCCCAACATGACATTGTTAGTTTTTATAGCTATATGTATTTATATGGCTAGTTTTATCTCCTGGTAGTCTTATTTTGTATTTTCTTTCTGAATAATGATGTTGAGCATCTTTTCATATGCTATTGGCCATCTTGTATCTTTTTTGCGAAGTGTCTGTTCAAATCTTTTATCCTTTTTTTTTAATTGCTGTGTTTGTCTTTTTATTCACTTTTAAGCAATAGAAAGCTGGCAGAATCTACTGGGCATCTTGTAATCTGTAAATATGCCAGGAAATTTTAGTTAAATTTATGAAATAAACTGTTGGCAATAATTTATTACCTCATTTTCTGCTTCAATCTTCCTTTTTCAGGAAACTTCATCTATTTTAGCTTTCTATCCATCCTTGGAACAGGCCCAGACTTTCTCCTCACTTCACATTGCTCTTACAATTAGCTGTGCTTAGAATTCTTCCTCCCTATCCCCTGGCTCCTTCTCATTTTTCTAGTCTCAGCTCCAATGTCATATCCTCAAACGTACCTTCCCTGACCACCAAAACTAAAATAAGGACTTTTATACCGTTTCTTATCATGGCACTCTGTTCCATCACTTCTCACAATCTGCAGTAATATATTTTTATTTGCTTATTTGTGTGTTGTTTTGTTCCCCCACCAACTTGTGCTGCATGAGAGCAGAGATTATATTCAACCTGTTTTCCAAGGAATCTCCAGCACATTGCACAGTGCAAGGTTCACAATGAGTGTTGAATAGATATTTGTCATTGAATGAATTAATATCTTAATTCTCTATGAGTTATTAAATTGAAGGGTGAATAGGTTTAGAACAATCATTCCCTATAGTTCTTTTGTAGTTTTTCACAACTATGAGTAATTCACAAATGCAGATAACCTTGTAATTCCTTCTTACTTTCTTGTTCATCAGGAGATTCTTGTAGTAGAAGAGGCTTCATAAGCCTTCCTAGATAAATGTATGCAAAAATGGATATTCCAAGGAGCCATACAGATTTGTCCTTGACTTTTTTGGAACTCCATATCAATGTTGAAACTTTTTAGAAGTTTACAACTTTGGGAACTACCCTAGAGGGATTTTTGGAATAACAAGGTTAGCCTACGTGTACTGGGCTATTACCGGGCTCATTGGGAGACTAGGCAGATTCCATAAGGAAGAAAGCATGCCCAGGAGAAGACAATGAGGAGTGGTGGGTAGCCTGGTGAGCACCAACACAAGTGTTGTCATGCAGAAATGCAGGATCAATTTTTCCTAATCTTTGAATGTGAGAATGAATAAATGAATAAAGATCTTGGTTTACACTTAGTAATCATATAAATACTGGCAACTTATTTAATCTGTATGTATCTTAGTTTCTTTTTCTTTAATGTGTCATTAGTAATATTTAATTTATAAGCTGTTTTCTGGATTAAAGAAAATGCTGGTAGAATGCCTGATATATATTAGAAGCTTTATCTTGTTGTTTGTTACATTTCAAAATTCTTCAGCTTATATGCGTTAGAAAACAAGCATTTTCTAAACATACTGTATTCCATTCTCTATTCAAAGTACATACTTAACAAATACTCACTGCTAGCAATAAAAGCTTAATGTGGTGGCAAAAAAATAAGGAGCAATTATATAACCTAGAGGCTGCAGCAACAAATAAAAGAAAAATCTAAGAGAAAGAAAGAAGGAAACAAAGAAACAAAGGAGGAGAAGGAAGGAGGGAAGGAAGGAAGGAAGGAAGGAGAAAGAAGGAAAGAAAAAAGGAGGAAGGAAGGAAGGAAAGAAGGAAGGAAGGAGGGAAGGAAGGAAGGAAAGAAGGAAGGAAGGAAGAAAAGAAAGAAAGAGAAAGAAAGAAAGAAAGAAAAAGAAAGAAAGAAAAAAGAAAGAAAGAAAGAGAAAGAAAGAAAGGAAGAAAGAAAGAAAGGAAGGAAGGAAGAAAGGAAGGAAAAGAAAGAAAGAGAGAGAGTCCGGGCATGGTGGCTCATGCCTGTAATCCCAGTACTTTGGGAGGCCGAGGCGGGTGGATCATGAGGTCAGGAGTTCAAGACCAGCTTGTCTAAGATGGTGAAACTCCTTCTCTACTTAAAAACTACAAAAATTAGCCAGGCATTGTGGCAGGCACCTGTAATCCCAGCTACTCGGGAGTCTGAGGCAGGAGAATTGCTTGAACCCGGGAAGCAGAGGTTGCAGACAGCCGAGACTGCGCCACTGCACTCCAGCCTGAGTGACAGAGAGAGACTCTGAAAAAAAAAAAAGAAAGAAGGAAAGAAGGAAGGAAGGGAGGGAGGAAGGAAGGAAGGAAAGGAAGGAAAGGGAGGAAAGGAAGGAAGGAAGGAAAAGAAAAGAAAAGAAGAAAAGAAAAGAAGAGAAGAAAAGAAAGGGAGAGGAAGGAAGGGAGGGAAGGAAGAAAGGAAGGAAGGAAAGAGGAAGAAAATGAGACATATAATAATTCAAAGAAAAAATACTTTTGTGACACAGTCAATAGAGCAGATATTCACACACACTTAAAAAATAATTATTTTAAGATATTAAACATTCTCCAAAGAATAACAAGGTTATATAATTCGTGCTTGATAAAAAACGAAGACTGGCCCTCTCCCTCTCCCTCCCCATCCCCCTCCCCCTCTCCCTCTCCCTCTCGCTCTCGCTCTCCGTCTCCCTCTTTCTACGGTCTCCCTCTCTTGCGGAGCCTGGACTGTACTGACATGATCTCGGCTGGCTGCAACCTCCCTGCCTCGGGCTCCGGTGATTCTCCTGCCTCGGCCTGCCGAGTGCCTGGGATCCCCTGGAGCAATACTACTGATATATTTCTATAGGATGCCTTGTTAAGTGCTTACTGCTTTTAGAAAAGGTACCTGAGCTGATGCCCAAGATTACATTAAGAGTGGAAAGGTATTAATGCCCCTTAAAAACATTTTTTACAGCCTAGCAGGAAGAAAAATCACTTTACTCCCATATTACGCTTTATGTATTGCTATTGTCATTGCTAATTACAGTATCCCAATAAAACATTTGTTTATGAACTCCCTTCAGTTTAGTTTCATCTGTTAGTAAGATTTATTTTCCTCTTGCAGTAAAATTTCTTTCTTCACATTAAAATTTTATATAATTTGATTAGATAAAGGATATGGATGGATAATCAAAATAAATAATGGCAGAGAGACTGGTCAAGTTAATGCCTTATTTGCTTTATTTTATTCTGTTTTGACATAAAAAATCAAGCTCTTTTTTCTTTCTAAAATTAAGAAAAGCTTAAGAGGTCTAAATCTAGTTTAGCCAGACACATCCACTTATATCTTTAACAATTTTGAATGTGTTTTGACAGATATTTCTTCTTTCTTCACCATGTAGATTATAATTTACAGTTTCGTTTCACAGCAGTTAAATATTACAGTCATTTTCAAGGAGTGAAAAAATTATCATAAACTAGCTACCTTTACACTGTCATACATGAATCATTTAGAAAATTTAAGGAATTTATCCAACTGCATTTCTCATAAAACACGCCTAGAAAATTGATTTAGCTAAGTAAAACAAAAGAAAAATAATTAAATAAAGCATGCTATGAAATACCATTGTGACTAGGCAATTTGAGGAAAACTTATTAAATCAAATTTTGTTTAAACACAACTTCTTATTTATGTATTTATTTATTTATAGACAGGGTCTCACTGTGTCACCCACACGGGAGTGTAGTGACGCAATCATGGCTCACTGCAGCCTCATGCCCCTGGGCTCAAGCAATCCTCCCACCTTAGCTTCCAGAATAGCTGAGACTACAGGCACCATCACGCCCGGCTACAAATGCATCTTCTTACATAACATTTTCCAGCATTCTACATATATAATCTGAATTAAAGACAAAGTAGATTATTCACATAGAAGCAAAAAAAAAATGCTGTAGTCTGTTAACAGTTGATTATCAATGCTTGCAAATCATTAAAAAGCTGTATTTCATTTTCTCATTAAGATTTAGAATTATTGTCCGAAATATGACTGGTTAGTATTTTTAAAAGGTAAAATCAAATAACTACTTTAATGTTACATTGTAGTTATTGAAATAGCATAACCTGTGTTTTTTTTATATTATCAAATGTATTTTGTCGTATTTTCAAAGACAGAGGAGGAAGTGGGGGTGTGGAGGGTGAGGTGGAAGAAGGAAGACGGAGGAGAGGAAGAACAGAAAATAGAAAAGTGACTGGCGATTTCATATAAATTTTTAAGTTGTATTATAGAACTTTTTAAATTGCTCAGCCTTCTGTCTTACAATGAATATAATCATAACTGTAGCAGAATGATAGCTCTGTAATTCATACACAAGACAGGGATGCCATACTTCACCTAATCCAAATTGTTTTGAAAGACCAGATCTTGCAGTGATTTGCAAATGCGGAAAATACAATTTTGCTGTTGGCCTTTCCCTTTGCTATACTCTTCAATAGCTAAACTTCTGGTTGGCACTCAAAAATAAAAAAAATGCATATATACTGAATGCAAATAAGAGTGCCTTTGAATTTGGAACAAAGAAATAGTCCTAACGTTGTGACTGACTACTCAATTTTGGCCTTTATTCTCAAGTAAGCATTTGAGACACTTTGCAATCTCAACATATTAATAAATAGGTTGAAGCAACATATTTTAAAATAGTTTGACATTTCTAACTATCTGAGTTGTAGCTTTAGGCTTTAGCACAAATTACTTAAAACATTGAAGTGATCTCTGCTTGTTTTCTAATACACTGTCCAGAGTGATTGTTTAAAACTATACATCTTATTTTACTTCTCAATTTAAATTATCTAATAATTTTCCAAGGCAGGATCTCAGCTCACTGCAGCGTCTGCCCCCTGGGCTCAAGCAATCCTCCTACCTCACCCTCCAATTAGCAGGAACCACAGGCACGCAGCACCACGCCCAGCTAATTATTGTATTTTTTGTGGAGATGGGGTTTTGCCATATTGGCCAGGCTGGTCTTGAACCCCTGAGCTCAAGCAATCTGCCCATATTGGCCTCCCAAAGTACTAGGATTATAGGTGTGAGCCACAGTGCACAGCACAAATTTCTTATCATTATCTTAACGGAGCCTGCAAGAAAGCTCCAGGTGCATTGTTCTCTCTTGTCCCCTTATGCCAGCCACAGTGACCATCTTCCAGTTCTTCTAAAGTTCCAGGATAACTTGGGCTTCAGCATCTTGGAATTCTCTGCTCTTTGCAGATGTGTCTCCACCCCCTTTCTAGCTAACTCCTTATTCACCTGTTAGCCCAAACTTCACTCCCTTAGGGAAGGATACTCTGGACACCCAGATTAAATCAATTCCTTCTGTCACATACTCAATGAGGTCCCCATATTTTCTGTCATACCATTTACCATAGCTTAACTTGAGTGAGGACAGATTAATTACCAGTTACACATCACACTGTAAGATTCATGAGTATAGGCATGATATCAGTATTATTCACCATTTTACCCTCACAACCTAGCACTGTACTTAGGATATAGTAAGTGCTCAAGAAATATTTTTGACTGAATGAATAGATACATTGTATGGTAGAGATTTTTCTTTTTATATACTGGTGAAAATGAACTATAATCACAAATAAAAATAACTTTCATTGTTCCATAATTTATATACATGATTTCAGATATTTCCAAGAGTTGTATCTGGTCACAATGGACATGAGATTAATTTTTCTGAAAATGCTGGCATCATGTGCCCTTTCTATGCTCCTTCTTCTCCACCGTACTTAGAATTTTAAAGTAATATTAGAAATTACAGATGAGAAAATGTGATAAGTGGCTTACTTTGAATTCCCTGACAAGCAAATCCTGAAAAAGGAATTCAAGAGAAAATAGTTCCATGGGAGATGACTCCAGGAAACACTAATAGCAGAGTGAGAAAGTGAAACAGGAAATGGAGACAACTTTAATAACACAACAGCAACAACTTAACTCAATGACAAGAGTGTATCATTAAGCAAGTTACCACTTGGGGTTTTGGGAGCCAAGTAGAAAATATACCTCAGCCTTGTCCTGACTGCAGGGCAAGGGAGCTGGGTATTTTTAAATCCTGTTGAGTGCTGCTCCTGAAGGGTGAAAATTTCCTCATACTTCCAGCCTGCTGCTGGCAACAGCAGAGTGGCCTCAGGCTGCCAGAGAAAACACTCAGACAAAGACACATAAATGCTGTCCTTGGAAGTCTACTGGTGTGGACTGCAATACTAAGAGCTTAGGTGACATGGGCAAAGCGCAGAGTCGGCTACAGTAGGCTTTATAAATAGTTCTCAGTACACTGCACTAAATTCTGATCATCCCAAAGACTGAAGTACTCTATAATCTTGTTTTAATTATGATATTTCTGAATAAAGTGTTTAATTGTTGGTAGTGCCTTTTGAAACAATAATATAAATAATAAAATTATAATAGAAGTAGGCTGCTATAATTATAGCAATGAGCGGCATTGCTAAATTTATACAGAAACGGTAGCCCCTAAAAATATTTTGTGAAAGGAATTACAACACTATTTTAAGGGTGGCTCTAAAACATTAATTATAAAAATCTTCCCAGGTATATATGAATACAATTTTTAAAATAATTTGGCCAGGAGTGAGCCACTTCTCTTGTTCTATTTTCTTTTTCATCTCACATGTTAGAATTGACCAAACTTGGTCTCCAAGAGAAGGCAAACAAAACAAAACAAAATGAACATATTGGTCCTAAGGAGATAAAATGATCTGAAGTAGAAGAACATCAGAATAAAGACCCTGGTCATCTTGTGGTGTTTTCATGTAAATGTGATGGATATTTTATAGAACTTGGAATTATTGTACTGGAGTTCTCTTAAGCACTTTACATGACACCATTAACTTTCCACACAAAAATAAACTGCCATAAGGGATTGATTTAATGCTTATGAATGAGGATTTCAATCCCTTTATAAAAGTAAAATAATATATAAAATTTATGTGGTAATTTTCAACAAATAGAATATTTTACATATACTTATTTTTCTCACAATATCTTTAGATAATATTGCTTCCATCTCTAAAGGATTTGGAAACAAGACTATAATGTCAAAAGAAAGTCTGTTAAAAAGAATGTAAGAATCTCTAAATTTAAAGATGCACTTCCACAACGGAAATAAGTGCTGTAAACAACAACTGTTATTGCAGTGCTTTCACATTCATTGCGCAACTAATTCTCAAAACATTCCATTTTAAAGGTAGGAAACTATGTCTAATATCAAACATCTAGTTATGGCCTCTCCCTCATTCAAAAGAAAGAAAAACCCATTAGATAGGAGTTACCTCGATTTCCCACAAATAAATCCAGTAATCTTGTCTCCTTCTACAGTCCTCTTCTCCTTCTTCAAAGTAAAATAAAGAAACTAAGCCTCTTCCTGTGGAAGGTCAGTGTCTTCACTGGTACTTCAAATCAGCTTCTCTTTCGTCTTCTCAGAAGCCTGACATTATCAATTACCCTTATTCCTTGCCCCAACCACATCAGCTTTTAAATATTCCCATGGCTTCTCAATATTTCATTTCAAGCAGAATAAAACAAACACAAACAAAAACTACAAAAAATAAAAACCCAAAACAGAAAACCTCACCCCTTAAATTCTTCTACCCCTACCTCTTCACAGCCAAATTTCTTGAACCAGTGGCCAATATTGAGTCTCCATTTCATCCCCACCCATTTCCTTCTCTATCCCCATTCTCTCCCCTGTTAAGTTTGTAACCCAACAAATTTTTCAACCTCATTTTAATTAATATCTTTATAACTTTTTTTTTTTTTTTTTTGGAAACAGAGTTTTGCCCAGGCTGGAATGCAGTGGCATGGACTTGGCTCACTGCAACCTCCACCTCCCAGGTTCAAGCTATGCTCCTGCCTCAGATTCCCGAGTAGCTGGGATTACAGGCATGTAACACCACGCCCAGCTAATTTTTGTATTTTTGTTAGAGACGGGGTTTCACCATGTTGGACAGGCTGGTCTCAAACTCCTGACCTCATGATCCACCCGCCTCAGCCACCCAAAGTGCTGGGATTACAGGCATGAGCCACCGTGCCCGGCTCCTTGTAACTTTTGTACCTGTGGACTGCTCCTTTCTTCCCCCGGCTTCATTGTTTTCTGTTCATTCTTTGTCTTCTTCTTGTATTCTGGCTGTAACTACTCAATTTCTTTCTCAAATGTATCCTCTTATACCTACATATTAAATACTTCAAGAGCAGGTATTTCCTTCGTCTCTATATGCTTTCTCTCAGCAATTCATTAAGGCCAAAGGCTTCAATTACTATCCTTATGTATTGACTCTCAAATTTACACCTTCAGGATAGATATCTTTTTGCTTTAAATTAAGATATCCTTTTTTTCTTCTATATGTCTTCCATTTAACCTGCCCCAAAGTCATCATTTAACTCTAAATAAATAAACGACAAAAAGCAAAAGCTAAACTTACCATCTTGTCCTCTTTCAGGATTCACTAGCTTAGTAATTGGCACCACCATCCCTCCAATTTCACAAGCCAGGAACCTAAGAGTCACTTTTCACCCACCCCTTGTACTTTCTTTCAGCTGTCGTACCCAATCCTTTCCCTAACTCTATTAACTATACCTCCTAAACGTATTCCAAATCCATTTATCTCTCTCCATTTCCAATGCCATCACCCTAGTCAAAGTAATATAGTGAGTAAAAGTAACTGCAGTTTTTGCCATTAATAGTATGTATGGCAAAAACGGCAATCACTTTCGCACCAACTTATTACTATTTTCCGCCCTGACACACTGACAGCTGACAACTCCTCTATTCTGATACAAAAATCTTTTCAGCATATGACCATGCTCTTCTCCTGCTTAAAACCCTTTAATATTTCCCCATGCATTTTAGGATAAAATTGCTTGATGTGGGCTACCAGACCCTGCAAGCTCTTCTCCCTGCTTGGTTAATCATCAGGTTTCACTCAACCCTTCACATGGAGCTCCAGTCTCTCTGGACTTTCAGTTTCTTGAATACTTTATGTTCTGTTGCCCCAGGTCCTGGGCACTGGCATTTATCTCACCTTAGGAGACCTCTCCTTGCCTAGGTTTTCCTACTCATTCTTCAAACCTCAGTTCATACTATTAATCCCTCAGAAAACTCAAACCTGCTCATTCACATCTACTCTCATATTCTTAAAAGGCTCACCCTTCCATTATCTCAAGATTGTTAATTACATAATTTTTATAATTATTTTATTAACATTTGTCTTCTCCCATTAGACTATGAGTTCAATGAAAGTAGGAAACATGACTGATTTTATTCTCCATGGCCCTACTAACAATTCCAGCAGTTACTCACTATTTGCTAAATATATAAATAGTCATGCCTGGGTCTTGACTTTAATGTGAAACTCTGACTGTTATGTTGTCTGTAGAGACTTCTCCATTGCAGAGAAACCCATCATGTTTAATAGATCCATTTGCATTTCTGTAAACCACATACAATGTATTAACAGTCATATTTAACAACAAAAATAGACTTACTTTGAAAGCTTAATCCTAAAACCTCAGCTCCTTATGAAATTCTGCCATGTCAAAGAAAAGTATCTAGTTTTCTATATGTATGTTATTACTGATCACTTTCTTTCACTTGCCAATTGAACATACTCATGGAAAACACTTATTTTCCCAAAGCAAAATAGAAGATTGTACCTGGGAATCTTGTAAGTAAGAATAGATGTTCAAGTAATTCAGTTAATCGTGATTCTTCAGTTGTGGAGACATTTGTTATGTGGGACACTGTCAGAACTTCTAGTCTATGGCCACACCACCCCAAACATGCTCAATCTCGTCTGTCATGACTTATAGTGAGAGTGAGTTCTGTAGACAATGCATTGGAAGGAATAAAAAACTGTCAATTGTCTGTTTTTTTAAACCGTAAACATTCTAGATGGCTTTCTAAATGGCTACATTGAGAAAGCAACCTTAGATTTAAGAAAGCTCTAGTTTGAGCAAAAAAAAAAAAAAATTACCTTTCTCTCTCTCTCATTATGGTAGTGGCTATCTTAGATTTGATCTGACATCTAATACAGTACTTTACCAAATGACTTTACCTTTACTTATTAAATGCTGCTGCAGTGACACAATTCAGCTGCACCCTTCACCATGCATAAAAAAAAATCCCGAGGCTCACTTTATTTGATCGCTGACCACTCTGGAGACTTCCCACAATAGCTCAAATCTCAGTTATTCTTTATCTTGTGCCCTTGAATACCAAAATGTAAATCAAACTCACATATATTATCCTGTCTCACTTATGGCTGCTTTACAAGCACAGCATGGAGTCATTGTTCAGCATGGTTTACAGGTACAAACACAACTGAAATCAGTACTGGTTAATTTTCTGAGGGTAATAAGAATATTGAACACATGAATTGCTACTGAGTATTTTTGCATGCTAAAATATCACTGCGTTTTTCATAATATTTTATTCCGTACCAAATAGGAATGAAATGCAAGTCTATCTTTTATAGTTTTATACAAAGAAGCGGAGGTCTTATGATAATAAGTTAATGGTTTCTAGCAACCTGACATGTATTTTCTGTATTTTTCTCTTAAATGTTTTGGGGGTTTTGGAATTTTCTACCTAGAAATAGTCTATAAGTGAGAAATGAATTTGTTCCAAGTTACAGGATTCTGTTTTGTTCTCACTAATGTTTAATTTTAATATTAGAACTTCATCAGAAATGGTAGTATATTAAGATATTTCTTCACAAGTATTGGCTATTGCTAAACTTGGAAATAAACACAAACTAATATATTAATAAAATATACAGTCTGAAGAGCTTGTTAAATTTTAATACTATCATTTATACAAAAAACACAAATATATAAACATTATGCTATTTGATTTACTTAGTAATACAATAAACTAGGCCGGGTGTGGTGGCTCACACCTGTAATCCCAGCACTTTGGGAGGCCGAGGCGGGTGGATCACAAGGTAAAAAATTAGCCGGGCGTGGTGGCAGGCACCTGTAGTCCCAGCTACTTGGGAGACTGAGGCAGGAGAATGGAGTGAAACCGGGAGGCGGAGCTTGCAGTGAGCCGAGATCACGCTACTGCACTCCAGCCTGGGTGACAGAGCAAGACTCCATCTCAAAAATAAATAAATAAATAAATAAACAAACTAGAAAAATATTTAACAAATATTAATATTTACAGTAAGGCTAGAAATGAGAATTTTTAACAGGCCAAATTTCCACAAGGCTTTTATTACTCTTACTGAAAAAGAATGACAATTAACTTTTACAAATGTAATCACTTAAGCCAAACGTGCTTGATCTATTCTCCTATCTTAGTTTTGCTGACATTATAATTTCTAGTTATTATTGTTATTTTGTTTATACATTATCAGTAAGTAGAGAATCAACTAAAACTAATGACTGATTTTTTCCCATGGTTGTAGAGTTTAAATTTATGAGTCCCATTAATCTCAATGTCAGAAATCAATAAAATTCTAGTTTTTAGTCTAGTTAAATGCTTATGTGGATATCCTAAACATTTGCCATATTACTACATGGTGTTAATAATCAATAATTCAACTTCCCTGAATAATGTTATTGAACACTAAGGTATCATAATTTGGCTATGCCATTGCCCAGCTGCTAGTATTTATATAGCTTGTTCCAGTTTCTTTATTGGGTTGTTTTTCTGTATTAAGGAACACAGAAATTAATAGTTTTCAGCAAATTACTGTTTAGAAGACTTATTTGAATTCATAAGTAACTTTTTAAAAGTTAATTTTATTGAGATTAATTTATATATGATAAAGTATACCAATTTTAATTGTATGAGTCAATAAGTTTTGACAAATGCACACTTCCATATAGTCACCAATATGCAGATAGAAAAGTTTCATCACCTTGGAAAATTCTCTTGAGCACCTTTGCAGTTAACCCCACTCTCCTCCCCACTCTCCATCCCAAGGCAACCACTTGTCAATGTTCCATCACCACATATGAGTTTGTCCTGTTCTAAAATGAAATATAAATTAATCATACAGTATGAGTTTTCATGTCTGTCTTCTTTGGCTCAACATATTTTTTGAGATTTGTCCATGTTGTCATATGTATCAGTAGTTTTTCTTTATTGCTGAGTAGTATTCCACTGATGAATTTGTTTACCTATTCATGTGTTAAAGGACATTTGGGTTCTTTTCACTTCGGGGACACTGGAGAAGAATAAAGCAGCATTCTTCCACAAGTCTTTTTACAGACATAGATTTTCATTTCTCTTGGGCAAATAAGAGTGGAATTGCTGGGTTCTAGAGCAGGTGTATGCTTAATTTTATAACAAACTGCTAAGCCATTTTCCAAAGTACTTGTAGCGTTTTACGTTTTCAAAAGCAATATATGACAGTTTCAGTTGTCCCATGTCATGTCACTCTTTTGCAGGACTGCAGCACAGTGAGACCATGCAACTTTGTGTCTTGAAGACCAACCCCAAGATTTCTGAGTTCAGAAAACAATGAAAATAAGAGACTTTTAAATATGAAATCACAAGGTAATATAAAATCCTTCCCTTTACAGGCCTGACCCCAATATTTGATTACTCAGTAAAATACTCATGTAAGAGGATTATTTGGGGAAGTGCATTTTTTTGCACTGAAGCTTCCTTAGATGTAAAGCCTTCATACCAGCTCAGAGGTTCAAAGCAGGTTTCTCTTCCTCAAACCAAAGATTATCTTTGGTTTGGAAGATTGCTTTTTGACCTACGCTGACCTAGCCTCAGCAACTGCACCAGGTGAAATGTTCTCCATCTATTGCTCACCTGCAAAGATTTTGTCTCTCTAAAGTAATTTAGTTCTTTTAGATTTATTTGTACCTGTGGAACAGAATTTTTACAAAATGGTGGTTTTAAACAAAAGTGCGAAATGTTTGGTTTATTGGGTAACATTGTTTCAGTGGGAGTGAAGGAAGATCTTTCACATCTTTTTATGTCCTAAACATAAGCCTAACTCTTGCAAAAATCTTTTTGCAAATTTTAAGTATCTCTTAAGGATGTACTCCCAGAAGACCATTACTTCTGTAATTACCATTACCATAAGTCAAGAGTTATGAATGTTTGTGACAATTGCCAAAAAGAATAACAGATAATATGATAATAGTATTATTTGTCAAAAGAAATACTATGTTCCCTTTCCATAGAATTTGTTACTCTACGAATTGAAACAGAACTCAATGAATTTCATTGTATCCATTTTGTTGAAATATTTGTGTATTGATCTCAAACTTATTTGCATTATATACTTACCTCCTGTCACCACCCATTCATTCAACATTTATTTATTCCAAGAGCAGTCTAAGTAAGAGAATGACACTTTTCTCACTTTTACAGGCAAAATGAAACAAAGGAGTGTAACTGCTAATGGGCATGGGATTTTTTTTTCTTTTAAAAATGTTCTAAATTTGATTGTGGTGATGGTTGTACAACTTTGGGAACACAATAAAAAATCACTGAATCAAAACTTTAAATGAGTGAATCGTTTAATGTGGATGTTATCTCAATGAAACTACTACTTAAAAAAATAAAATAAAAGGAACATTAATGTAAATGAAAATTCCATGGTATGACTCTAACAACCAAATTCTCATCCAGCTGAAAACCAAAATATATTTCTTGGGGCAACTTCTTTTTTTTTTTTTAATTTAATTTTATTTTTTTTTTATTTTTATTTTTTTAAATTTTTAAAATTTCTTCTTTTTTTATTTATTATTATTATACTTTAAGTTTTAGGGTACATGTGCACAATGTGCAAGTTAGTTACATATGTACACATGTGCCATGCTGGTGCGCTGCACCCACTAACTCGTCATCTAGCATTAGGTATATCTCCCAATGCTATCCCTCCCCCTTACCCCCACCCCACAACAGTCCCCAGAGTGTGATGTTCCCCTTCCTGTGTCCATGTGTTCTCATTGTTCAGTTCCCACCTATGAGTGAGAATATGCGGTGTTTGGTTTTTTGTTCTTGCGATAGTTTACTGAGAATGATGATTTCCAATTTCATCCATGTCCCTACAAAGGACATGAACTCATCAATTTTTATGGCTGCATAGTATTCCATGATGTATATGTGCCACATTTTCTTAATCCAGTCTATCATTGTTGGACATTTGGGTTGGTTCCAAGTCTTTGCTATTGTGAATAGTGCCGCAATAAACATACGTGTGCATGTGTCTTTATAGCAACATGATTTATAGTCCTTTGGGTATATACCCAGTAATGGGATGGCTGGGTCAAATGGTATTTCTAGTTCTAGATCCCTGAGGAATCACCACACTGACTTCCACAATGGCTGAACTAGTTTACAGTCCCACCAACAGTGTAAAAGTGTTCCTATTTCTCCACATCCTCTCCAGCATCTGTTGTTTCCTGACTTTTTAATGATTGCCATTCTAACTGGTGTGAGATGGTATCTCATTGTGGTTTTGATTTGCATTTCTCTGATGGCCAGTGATGGTGAGGATTTTTTCATGTGTTTTTTGGCTGCATAAATGTCTTCTTTTGAGAAGTGTCTGTTCATGTCCTCTGCCCACTTTTTGATGGGGTTGTTTGTTTTTTCTTGTAAATTTGTTTGAGTTCATTGTAGATTCTGGATATTAGCCCTTTGCCAGATGAGTAGGTTGCGAAAATTTTCTCCCATTTTGTAGGTTGCCTGTTCACTCTGATGGTAGTTTCTTTTGCTGTGCAGAAGCTCTTTAGTTTAATTAGATCCCATTTGTCAATTTTGGCTTTTATTGCCATTGCTTTTGGTGTTTTAGACATGAAGTCCTTGCCCACGCCTATGTCCTGAATGGTAATGCCTAGGTTTTCTTCTAGGGTTTTTATGGTTTTAGGTCTAACGTTTAAGTCTTTAATCCATCTTGAATTGATTTTTGTATAAGGTGTAAGGAAGGGATTCAGCTTTCTACATATGGCTAGCCAGTTTTCCCAGCACCATTTATTAAATAGGGAATCCTTTCCCCAATGCTTGTTTTTCTCATGTTTGTCAAAGATCAGATAGTTGTAGATATGTGGCGTTATTTCTGAGGGCTCTGTTCTGTTCCATTGATCTATATCTCTGTTTTGGTACCAGTACCATGCTGTTTTGTTTACTGTAGACTTGTAGTATAGTTTGAAGTCAGGTAGTGTGATGCCTCCAGCTTTGTTCTTGGCTTAGGATTGACTTGGTGATGTGGGCTCTTTTTTGGTTCCATATGAACTTTAAAGTAGTTTTTTCCAATTCTGTGAAGAAAGTCATTGGTAGCTTGATGGGGATGGCATTGAATCTATAAATTACCTTGGGCAGTATGGCCATTTTCACGATATTGATTCTTCCTACCCATGAGCATGCAATGTTCTTCCATTTGTTTATATCCTCTTTTATTTCCTTGAACAGTGGTTTGTAGATCTCCTTGAAGAGGTCCTTCACATCCCTTGTAAGTTGGATTCCTAGGTATTTTATTCTCTTTGAAGCAATTGTGAATGGGAGTTCACTCATGATTTGGCTCTCTGTTTGTCTGTTGTTGGCATATAAGAATGCTTGTGATTTTTGCACATTGATTTTGTATCCTGAGACTTTGGTGAAGTTGCTTATCAGCTTAAGGAGATTTTGGGCTGAAACAATGGGGTTTTCTAGATATACAATCATGTCGTCTGCAAACAGGGACAATTTGACTTCCTCTTTTCCTAATTGAATACCCTTTATTTCCTTCTCCTGCCTAATTGCCCTGGCCAGAACTTCCAACACTATGTTGAATAGGAGTGGTAAGAGAGGGCATCCCTGTCTTGTGCCAGTTTTCAAAGGGAATGCTTCCAGTTTTTGCCCATTCAGTATGATATTGGCTGTGGGTTTGTCATAGATAGCTCTTATTATTTTGAAATACGTCCCATCAATACCTAATTTATTGAGAGTTTTTACCATGAAGAGTTGTTGAATTTTGTCAAAGGCCTTTTCTGCATCTATTGAGATAATCATACGGTTTTTGTCATTGGTTCTGTTTATATGCTGGATTACATTTATTGATTTGCGTATATTGAACCAGCCTTGCATCCCAGGGATGAAGCCCACTTGATCATGGTGGATGAGCTTTTGGATGTGCTGCTGGATTCAGTTTGCCAGTATTTTATTGAGGATTTTTGCATCAATGTTCATCAAGGATATTGGTCTAAAATTCTCTTTTTTGGTTGTGTTTCTGCCCGGCTTTGGTATCAGGATGATGCTGGCCTCATAAAATGAGTTAGGGAGGATTCCCTCTTTTTCTATTGATTGGAATAGTTTCAGAAGGAATGGTACCAGTTCCTCCTTGTACCTCTGGTAGAATTCAGTTGTGAATCCATCTGGTCCTGGACTCTTTTTGGTTGGTAAACTATTGATTATTGCCACAATTTCAGCTCCTGTTATTGGTCTATTCAGAGATTCAACTTCTTCCTGGTTTAGTCTTGGGAGAGTGTATGTGTTGAGGAATTTATCCATTTCTTCTACATTTTCTAGTTTATTTGCGTAGAGGTGTTTGTAGTATTCTCTGATGGTAGTTTGTATTTCTGTGGGATTGGTGGTGATATCCCCTTTATCATTTTTTATTGTGTCTATTTGATTCTTCTCTCTTTTTTTCTTTATTAGTCTTGCTAGTGGTCTATCAATTTTGTTGATCCTTTCAAAAAACCAGCTCCTGGATTCATTGATTTTTAGAAGGGTTTTTTGTGTCCTATTTCCTTCAGTTCTGCTCTGATTTTAGTTATTTCTTGCCTTCTGCTAGCTTTTGAATGTGTTTGCTCTTGCTTTTCTAGTTCTTTTAATTGTGATGTTAGGGTGTCAATTTTGGATCTTTCCTGCTTTCTCTTGTGGGCATTTAGTGCTATAAATTTCCCTCTACACACTGCTTTGAATGCGTCCCAGAGATTCTGGTATGTTGTGTGTTTGTTCTCATTGGTTTCAAAGAACATCTTTATTTCTGCCTTCATTTCGTTATGTACCCAGTAGTCATTCAGGAGCAGGTTGTTCAGTTTCCATGTAGTTGAGCGGCTTTGGGTGAGATTCTTAATCCTGAGTTCTAGTTTGATTGCACTGTGGTCTGAGAGATAGTTGGTTATAATTTCTGTTCTTTTACATTTGCTGAGGAGAGCTTTACTTCCAACTATGTGGTCAATTTTGGAATAGGTGTGGTGTGGTGCTGAAAAAAATGTATATTCTGTTGATTTGGGGTGGAGAGTTCTGTAGATGTCTATTAGGTCCACTTGGTGCAGAGCTGAGTTCAATTCCTGGGTATCCTTGTTGACTTTCTGTCTCCTTGATCTGTCTAATGTTGACAGTGTGGTGTTAAAGTCTCCCATTATTAATGTGTGGGAGTCTAAGTCTCTTTGTAGGTCACTCAGGACTTGCTTTATGAATCTGGGTGCTCCTGTATTGGGTGCATATATATTTAGGAGAGTTAGCTCTTCTTGTTGAATTGATCCCTTTACCATTATGTAATGGCCTTCTTTGTCTCTTTTGATCTTTGTTGGTTTAAAGTCTGTTTTATCAGAGACTAGGATTGCAACCCCTGCCTTTTTTTGTTTTCCATTTGCTTGGTAGATCTTCCTCCATCCTTTTATTTTGAGCCTATGTGTGTCTCTGCACGTGAGATGGGTTTCCTGAATACAGCACACTGATGGGTCTTGACTCTTTATCCAATTTGCCAGTCTATGTCTTTTAATTGGAGAATTTAGTCCATTTACATTTAAAGTTAATATCGTTATGTGTGAATTTGATCCTGTCATTATGATGTTAGCTGGTTATTTTGCTCGTTTGTTGATGCAGTTTCTTCCTAGTCTCGACGGTCTTTACATTTTGGCATGATTTTGCAGCGGCTGGTACTGGTTGTTCCTTTCCATGTTTAGCGCTTCCTTCAGGAGCTCTTTTAGGGCAGGCCTGGTGGTGACAAAATCTCTCACCATTTGCTTGTCTGTGAAGTATTTTATTTCTCCTTCACTTATGAAGCTTAGTTTGGCTGGATATGAAATTCTGGGTTGAAAATTCTTTTCTTTAAGAATGTTGAATATTGGCCCCCACTCTCTTCTGGCTTGTAGGGTTTCTGCCGAGAGATCCGCTGTTAGTCTGATGGGCTTCCCTTTGAGGGTAACCCGACCTTTCTCTCTGGCTGCCCTTAACATTTTTTCCTTCATTTCAACTTTGGTGAATCTGACAATTATGTGTCTTCGAGTTGCTCTTCTTCAGGAGTATCTTTGTGGCGTTCTCTGTATTTCCTGAATCTGAACGTTGGCCTGCCTTGTTAGATTGGGGAAGTTCTCCTGGATAATATCCTGCAGAGTGTTTTCCAACTTGGTTCCATTCTCCCCATCACTTTCAGGTACACCAATCAGACGTAGATTTGGTCTTTTCACATAGTCCCATATTTCTTGGAGGCTTTGCTCATTTCTTTTTATTCTTTTTTCTCTAACCTTCCCTTCTTGCTTCATTTCATTCATTTCATCTTCCATCGCTGATACCCTTTCTTCCAGTTGATCGCATCGGCTCCTGAGGCTTCTGCATTCTTCACGTAGTTCTCGAGCCTTGGTTTTCAGCTCCATCAGCTCCTTTAAGCACTTCTCTGTATTGGTTATTCTAGTTATACATTCTTCTAAACTTTTTTCAAAGTTTTCAACTTCTTTGCCTTTGGTTTGAATGTCCTCCGGTAGCTCAGAGTAATTTGATCGTCTGAAGCCTTCTTCTCTCAGCTCGTCAAAGTCATTCTCCATCCAGCTTTGTTCCGTTGCTGGTGAGGAACTGCGTTCCTTTGGAGGAGGAGAGGCGCTCTGCGTTTTAGAGTTTCCAGTTTTTCTGTTCTGTTTTTTCCCCATCTTTGTGGTTTTATCTACTTTTGGTCTTTGATGATGGTGATGTACAGGTGTGTTTTCGGTGTGGATGTCCTTTCTGTTTGTTAGTTTTCCTTCTAACAGACAGGACCCTCAGCTGCAGGTCTGTTGGAATACCCTGCCATGTGAGGTGTCAGTGTGCCCCTGCTGGGGGGTGCCTCCCAGTTAGGCTGCTCGGGGGTCAGGGATCAGGGACCCACTTGAGGAGGCAGTCTGCCGGTTCTCAGATTTCCAGCTGCGTGCTGGGAGAACCACTGCTCTCTTCAAAGCTGTCAGACAGGGACACTTAAGTCTGCAGAGGTTACTGCTGTCTTTTTGTTTGTCTGTGCCCTGCCCCCAGAGGTGGAGCCTACAGAGGCAGTCAGGCCTCCTTGAGCTGTGGTGGGCTCCACCCAGTTTGAGCTTCCTGGCTGCTTTGTTTACCTAAGCAAGCCTGGGCAATGGCGGGCGCCCCTCCCCCAGCCTCGCTGCCGCCTTGCAGTTTGATCTCAGACTGCTGTGCTAGCAGTCAGCGAGATTCCGTGGGCGTAGGACCCCCCGAGCCAGGTGTGGGATATAATCTCGTGGTTCACCATTTTTTAAGCCGGTCTGAAAAGCGCAATATTCAGGTGGGAGTGACCCGATTTTCCAGGTGCGTCCGTCACCCCTTTCTTTGACTCGGAAAGGGAACTCCCTGACCCCTTGCGCTTCCAAAGTGAGGCAATGCCTCGCCCTGCTTCGGCTGGTGCAAGGTGCGCTCACCCACTGGCCTGCGCCCACTGTCTGGCACTCCCTAGTGAGATAAACCCGGTACCTCAGATGGAAATGCAGAAATCACCTGTCTTCTGCGTCGCTCACGCTGTGAGCTGTAGACCGGAGCTGTTCCTATTCGGCCATCTTGGCTCCTCCCCCCTCATCTCATCTTTTCATCTCATCATTTCATTTCATCATTTCATTTCATTTCATCTTTTCATCTCATTTCATTTCATCAATTCATCATTTGATCTCATTTCATTTCACTTCATTTCATTGTTTCATTTCATTTCATCACTTCATCTCAATATTTCATTACGTCATTTCACTTCATCTCATTTCATCATTTCATCTCATGATTTCATTTCATCTCATTTCATTTCATCATTTCATTTATTTCATCATTTCATCATTTGACTTCATGTCATCATTTCATATCATTTCATCATTTCATCTTTTCATTCCATCATTTCATCATTACATTTCATCGTTTCATTTCCTCATTTCATCATTTCATTTCATCCTTTCATCATTTCATCTCATCATCTCATCCTTTCATTATTTCATTTCATCATTTCTTCTCATTGTTGCATTTCGTCATCTCATCATTTCATCATTTCACTTCATCTCATCATTTCATCATCTCATGATTTCATTTCATCTCATCATTCATCTCATTTCATCTTTTCATCTCGTCATTTCATTTCATCATTTCATTTCATCTTTTCATCTCGTCATTTCATTTCATCTTTTCATCTCGTCATTTCATTTGATCATTTCATCAATTCATCATTTCATCATTTCATTTCATTATTTCATCATTTAATCATTTCACTTCATTTCATCATTTCATATCATTTCTTCATTTCACCATTTGATCTTTTCATTTCATTTCATCATTTCATCATTTCACTTCATCATTTCATCATTCCATTTCATTTCCTCATTTCATTTCACAATTTCATCATTTCATTTCATCATTCCATTTCATCATTTCACTTCATCTCATCATATCATCTTTCATTGCATTATTTCATTTCATCTCATCATTTCATTTCATCATTTCACTTCATCTCATCATTTCATTTCATCTCATAATTTCATTTCATCTTTTCATCTCATTTCATTTAATTATTTCGTTTCATTTCACCTTTTCATCTCATCGTTTCATTTCATCAATTCATCATTTAATTTCATTTTTTCATCATTTCATCATTCACTTCATTTCATCATTTCATCATTTCATATCATTTCCTCATCATTTCATCTTTTCATTTCATCATTTCATCATTTCATTTCACTTCATTATTTCATTTCACTTCATTATTTCATTTCATTTCATTTCACCATTTCATGTCATCACTTCATCATTTCATTTCATCATTCCATTTCATCATTTCATTTCATTTCATCATCATTTCATCTCATTATTTCATTTCTTCATTTCATCATTTCGTTTCATTTCATCATTTCATTTCATCATTTCATCATTTCTTTTCATTTCAGTGATACATGTATTTAATTGCTAATGCGATGCCCAGGAGACACCCTATTTCCCTTTGTAAAACACCTCCTTCAACAAAAGGCAACTTCTCATGGCTGGCTAAGTCTACAGGGATACCAGCCTCTCTTCAACCACCCAATTTCATTTAGAACCTCAAACAGCACCTCAGTTTCATAAAAACCTAAAACATAAACACAACACTTGGTTGTAAGTGAGCCGACAGTTTCTTGTCTCTTTCTCTGCTCAAGGCTTAAGGCCGTGTCTCCCCAACTACATTCAGTGGAAGAAAAGATCCCATGGACAAATAAGTTTGAGAATTGTTGTTGCAGGAATTCTCAGAACTTTCAAAACACAAATCCTCATCCGCAGGGATCTTCAGGAGGGAGATGGCTGATGCAGCACAACTTTCTTTCACAGGAGTATCTTGCAGAATACAGTATGAGATACAGAAAGGCTGCATTGAGTCTTTTTAATGGCCCGGGCCTTGGTGGGGGTGGGGTAGGAGCTCTCCAGATAGCATCTAATGAGTAGGAACATTCAGGTGGCTTTTTTTTTTCCTTATTGGCAAAACTGTGTGTACACCATGAATGAAGCTGGTCTCCCTTATCCACGTCAAAACTAAACCCAAATTAATTGGCTAAATTGGGACTCAACACCTCCAGGAGCCACGCGGCAGAAAGCCCCAACACACTTTAAATTAGCTTACCTCATCATATTTCAGGAAAGCAAAACGCTTATGACCAGTATGCTGCTAATACAAGTCTACAGATAATGCTGTATGAAAAACTAGTTTTCCCAGTCATAGCTCGCATAGTCCACATTTTGCATTACACTTTCCCCCCCTTTTTAAAATTTTAAATACAGGTCTTTTTCTCTTCTTTTTTTCAATTTTAATTAAATTATACAAGACGGAGTCTCAGTATGTTGCCCAGGCTGGTCTTCAACTCCTGAGCTCAAGCGATACAACCATCTCCGCCTCCCAAAGTGCTGAGATTGCAGGCCTGAGACACTGTGCCTGGCCTTAAACACAAATCTTAATTCATTCTTACAATTATTCCGAGGTTACAAAAATGGAAGGGGAAGAAAAATGGCAAGTAGGTAGGCTGACTTCGGCTTCATTATTTGGAAGGACAGTTTGCTCGGTTAAAACACACTACTGCCTACAAAGGCCAAGACAACAGAAAAATACAGACTTACATAAATAGATTTTATATGTGACAGCAGTTTGAATGGAGACTTTTTCAATGCAATGAGAAACAGCTGTGCTTGGGAATAAATGACAACGAATTTTTTTTATCTCAACAGCTGTCCTGAGAGCATGTCTCTACATCTCTACCTGCATTCTGGATTCAGGGAGAAAGCCAAAACGGACGACAAGACACTAGATCAGCCGTGTCCAGCCCTTTGACTACAAGGACTTTTCCACCTATCTGTGGTGGTGGGTAGCATGAAAATTATGCACAAACCTTTTTTTTTTTTAACCCCATCAGCTGTTGTTAGCATTAGTGTATTTTATGTGCGGCCCAGGAGCATTCTTCTTCCAATGTGGCCCTGAGAAGCCAAAAGACTGGACACCTGTGCACTAGATCAAAAGGCTACTCCTTCTGGAAGCAATTGTAAAGAATTTCTGACATTATCTTGACATGAAAACCAATGGGTAGTGGGACAGAATGCAAAATCTTGAAGAATTTTTCTTGTCTTTTTTTTTTTTTTTTTTTTTTGAGTCACGGTCTTGCTCTGTGGCCCAGGCTGGAGTACACTGGTGAGATCAGAGCTCAGTGCAGGATCAAGTGCTCCTCCCGCCTCAGCCACAGTAGTAGCTGGGACTACAGATGCGCACAACCACCCCTGGCTAATATTTTATTTTTTGTAGAGATGGGGTCTCACTATATTGTCCAGGTTGGTCTCAAACTCCTTGACTCAAGGGATCCAGGAAAGGATAACAGGTGGGAGCCACCACACCTGGCTATGTGCATGAACTTTTAAGACAAACACAAGGCCCCACAAAAGTTAAGGTTTTTCCCACCTAATTTCCAGGGGGATCTTTTGGTGCAAGGCTGAGAAGCCCTTAAAAGTACACAGACAACTCCAAAGATTCAAGACAGTTCATTCGGGCTGAGCCAGCCCACTGGGCAGACTGACCTTCCAAAAAGACCCACCCATGACATACACCAGATGGCTCTCCAAGAATCTCTTCAGTCCTCAGGGTCCCTAACGTACTGGACAGAGCTAGGAAAGCAAACCCATTTGCTTCTTCCTGCAGGAAACCCCTTGAGGTTAAGACCCCACAATCACATGAGGATGGAGTGGCTCACCCTCAGTCAACAGGCCAGACTCAAGGTGGTATAATGTCTTAACCGCGGGTGCGGGCCTCCAGGTCTGACTCCCAACTCAGTTCTTCTTTAATAACCACACTTTGTTAATTTTCCTTAACAGGGGTTCCTGGCAAGTCATTTCTCCCTCGGGCCTTCGGTTTCCTCACCTACAAGATGAGAGGGCTGGACCAGATGGAAATTCAGGGGGTAAGGGGATGTCCTCACGCAGCCCACCCCCACCCCCACGGGACCCTGGAGCCTCCATCCCAGTTCCCACCACGCACCCGCTCCACAAATCCTGCCCAAGGTGAGGGCTGGTCCTGGGTCCTCTGGCTGCCGCATCAGCGAGTGCAGGAGGGAGGGGAAGCCTCCAAGGGGGTGACGTGGGCTCAAAGATGCAACTCGGCCAGGAGTGAACTGGGGCCCCCGAAGGAGGTGTCCGGGCCGCTCCTGGAGCCCAGCCCGGGTCCCCGAACCCCTTACCTCCAGGGTCTGTATCTCCTGCTGGGTGAGGTCGTTAGACACAGCGCACTTGGTGCACAGCCCGCACAGGCTGCCAATGAAGATGACGATGAGCTTCTGGAGCTGCCCGCACTGCTGCAGCGCCCGGCTGGCCGCAGCCCCTGTGCCACCCTCCGTGGCCGCCGCATCACCCCCACCACCGCCCTCCTTCTTCTCTCCCACCGCCTCCACAGGCAGCGCCACTCTATGCAGGCCACAGGGGCCTAGGCAAGGAGCCCGGGGCGCCGGCGCCTAGGCAAAGAATCCCTGAGCCAGGAGAGCTGGACCAGGAGCACCCCTCGGCGCTGCCCTTGCCAGGACGCCAGTAGAGCTGGCAGCCGAGTCTGCCGCTCCTGCCCTCAGAGCCGTGGCGGCGGGGACAAAAATCCTCGGTGGCGGGGGCAAAAAGTCGCGGTGACAAAAAGCGGCGGCGACCGGGGCAAAAAGTCGCGGCAGCAAAAAGCCGCGGCGGCGGGGGCAAAAAGCGGCGGCGACAGCGGCAAAAAGCCGTGGCGGCGGGGGCAAAACGCCGCGGCGGCGAAAAAGTCGCTGCGGCAGGGGGGCAAAAAGCCGTGACAGCGGGGCGCAAAAAGCCGTGGCGGGTAAAAGGCCGTGGCGAGTAAAAAGCCGCGATGGCAAAAAGCTGCGGCGGGCAAAAAGCCACGGCGGCGGTGGGGCAAAAAGCAGCGGCGGTGGCGGAGGGGCAAAAAGCCGCGGCAGCGAGGGGGCAGAAAGCCGCGGCGGCAAAAAGCCAAGGCGACGAGTGTGCAAAAAGCTGTGTCGGTGGTGGGGCAAAAAGCCGCGGCGGTCAAAAAGCCGAGGCAAGGTGGGGGCAAAAAGCCGCGGCGGCGGAGGGGCAAAAAGCCGCGGCGGCGGGTGTGTGGCAGAAAGCCGCGGCGGGCAAAAAGCCGCGGCGGCGAGGGGGGCACAAATCCGCGGCGGGCAAAAAGCCGCGGCGGCGGGGGGTAAAAAGCCGCGGCGGGCAAGAAGCCGAGGCGGGGTGGGGGCAAAAAGTCGCGGCGGCGGGGGGCAAAAAGTCGCGGCGGCAGGGGACAAAAAGCCGCGGCGGGTAAAAAGCCGTGGGGGCAGGGGGGAAAAAGCCACGGCGAGGAAAAAGCCGCGGCGGCGGGGGGGGCAAAAAGCGGCGGGGTGCAAAAAGCGGCGGGGTGCAAAAAGCGGCGGGGGACAAAAAGCCGCGGCGGCAAAATTCGCAGCGGCAAGGGGTCAAAAAGCCGCGGCGGGCTAAAAGCCCTGGCGCCGGGGGGGCACAAAGCAGCGGCGGGCAAAAAGCCGAGGCGGGGTGGGGGGAATAAGCCGCGGCGGCGGGGGGGCAAAAAGCCGTGGCGGCGGCGGTGGAGGGCGAAATAATGGAGATGGAGTGGAAGGCCGGCACAGCTTGGCATTGCTGGAGTGCGATGTGATAGGAAATGAGCAGCCAAAGACAAAAAGATGTAAGTAGGCTTGACTCATTGAAGCTAAGAACCCAGATGTTATCTTGAGGGTATTAACTAATAAGCAGTTTAAATCAGAATGACACATTCTGATTTGTTTCTTGTACGTTCACATTTGGCAGGCATAGATACTGTTTGAAGAGAGAAAAGTCAGTAGAGAGAGGTAACAAACTTAAATATGTGCCAAGTCTAGAAACAAGAGACCAGGGGGATAGGGACCTTTCAAAATAAAATGCAAGATTTGAAAACTGATTGGCTGGGGGATGAGGAAAAGGCAGGTCTTTAAGGTCCATCCCTGTTTTGCTTTAAGTTGTTAGGGGGTGGTTTTATCACATGTTGTAGAATATGTCATTTCAGTTTTGAACATCTTGAGTTAAATTGTCCTAGCATATCTTATGAATTTGATTTTCTTCCCTGGGAAGCTAATATTTCAAACACTTAAAGAGTATATAGATTTCCAACTTGTATCCAGTTTATAAAACTATCTCTAGGCTGCTGATTTCAGGAGGAGGCTTATGAGTATTCTCCTTGCAGAGAATATATCAGGAGTTAACAGCAGCTTCAATATTTGTGGATGACCAGTTAACTAAGCCACCTCTTAGTGTCTTTAGTTGGGAAATCTTAGCTGAAGATATTCAATAATGAACCAAGAGTGACTAAGAAATTCAATATTTAAGTATATTTCATTGTAATTAATTTGAATTGAAGTAGCCATATACAGCTAGTATTTACTATATTGAACAATGCAAATAAGAGGAAAAAATTAATAACCATCTCTAATACCACATGCCAAAATCCTCATCAATTTATTCTAGCTAAAGGAGTTGATCAGAAGCAGTAGTTGAAAGCACCAACTAAACCAGCTGGGGTTAGTTCACTGTCATTCTCTCAGAACCATCTCTCCTCTGAACAAAACAAGTACAAGAGTTCATTGTGAATCTGCATTCTCCTTGCCTATTTTAAGGTTTTGATGTTGACGCAAATTTGTGAAATCCCTCCTGTGGTGTGATATTTCGTTTTCCTTGCTTTGTGTTAGGACAAGAATGCTTCAGCTCTTAATTTAAAATTATGTTTCTCCCTCCTAGGTTGAGTGAACTTAGAATGCATTCTCTGACATATCCAAGATTTTGTTAATATGAATTTCGGGAAAAAAGCATACTTAATTAGCTAAGACGTCTTATTCTAAGCTTGACCCTATGTTCGACATCTTTTGAATTTCTAGTTGCATGGGCTGCTCTCTGACACTGGTTAGTGACCTGGAAGCTCTATTAATGTTAGGGGAGGTGGTGTATGAGCATTAGAGGTATCCTTGCAAGGAAAGACTTGTCTTATCTCAATACGTCTTTTTTTTTTGCACAGAAGAAAGTCAATGTCTGAGTCTTCTAAAATCTTCCTATTTCCAAATTGCAGATTATGATTGATTCCTAAACAAAGACCTAATTTTTGACTCAGAGACGTGGCAAGCTAGTGAATCACCATTATAATTTAACAATCTTCAAGATAAAATTATCTCTGATATTTAGATTTTGCCCAATTATTAAGATATTTGGGTGTTTAGTTAAGAATGGAAAACTCTAGTCTCTTGAGCAGAGACTATAAAGGCCTCAGATGATCATTTTTAATTTTATGCTCTTTTCTTTAACACCTTCAACACAGTTGGAAGCAGCCGATATTCCCCAGAGTTGTTGTGTTTTTTAAACCAAATGCATGGTTCAGTGGTAGAAAACTGGGCTGATCCAAGCTGTTTTCAGTAAACACTTCATTTCAGGTGACCCATTTCATATTAAATAATCTCTAGATCCTGTCTTCGAAACTAACTAGATCAGATAAACTACCCTGGATTTTCTCTTTTTAGGGTCTGAGAGCTGCAGTCACTTTTGTGAAAATGATTACAATGACAAGATAGAGTTGTAGATGGGGAAAATGTTTTGACTAATTTAAGCATAGTGGTATTTCATATGAGAATTTAAGTTACACACATTTGAAAATTATAATGGAGTCTCTTGGCTGAGCTTTAAAAAGAAATAGCGTTTAGGCTAAAAAGGGAACTGCTACCTCTCCTAAAATCAGAAAGATGTTACAGTAATTCTCCATTCTCTAGAATTATCAAGAAGCACCTTTGTGATGATTTACTTTTGCTCTTGCGAGTGTGAGCCCGTGTAGTCGTGGAACCATCAATTAGAATGGTGGCTTTCTGATCCCAAAGTCACTCATTCTGAAAACAATATTTTTCATAAATTTGAAAGTGAGAAGTTTTGATCTTGCCATTCCCAAGTAACTCTCTTAATAAGAGGCATCAGCATGCTTCAGTGACAGCTGTCACCTTCCATTGCTGAGAGTCATCTTTGAGTTCTCTATTTCACTCCCTACACTCCAATTTAGCTGCAGTTCTCTTGGCCAGTCCTATGAAATACATCCATGGCCTAACGACTTCTCACCACTACTACCACTCATGCTGACAGCATTCTCACCTAAGTCACTACCTTTTTTCGCTGGATTAGAGTAGCCTCCCAATTTATTTGCTCACATAACCTATTTATTCTACACAGTGCACCAGATACACCCCTTTGAAATGCAAACACAATCATATTATTCTCTGGTGAAATTATCTCATATATTCCTATCGCATTTAAAATTAATTCAGAATCATCCCATGATTATCAAAACCCTACATGCTCTTCCACAACATGGTTTACTTCCAAGATATCTCTTCAACATTTTTTTCACTGTACTGAATTGGTGACTAATAGTCATATTTTTGTTTTTGCTCAAAAAGTCTTGACTTGTAAATTTTTCAGTTTCTCCTTTATCCACAGGTAACTCTTTCCTGATAAGGCGAATTGCTTGCTTCCTTGAATTCTGCTCTCAAAGATACCCTTCATTTTCTACCTAATATTAATAACTTTAATCATTCATTATTCCATTACTATGCTCTATAGTGTATACAATTTCTGTTCTTTGTCATGTTATTAACTAAATTATTTATTGGGTCCAGTAACGTATTCCATAAATATTGTACACATAAAAATTGTGTTATTTTTATTCCTGTATGCTCAGCTGCCCAATAACAGTCTGAGGATTAACATATTTGTTAAATGCTCAAATACATTCTTTCACAAATATTAGTTTAATAATTTTATATTAAACTCCCTCTATACTTACAATATGAATTAGATAATTCAGAATAAACATTCCATTGGAAAAAGCTACACAATTTGTTATAAAACATCCTTAAAAGCATCAGAAAATTAATACAGCAATGAAGAATTACAGGACCAAATTAAGAATGGTATGAAAGCCTGTTTGTGACGCTTATGTTTGGGTTATCTCTTTATTTGAGTGACTATAAATCTCAAAAGAGAACTAAAGGGAGAAATAACCATATCTACTAACATGCTAAGGGTACTTAAACATCTCTTAGTAATTGAGAAAATTGAAAGAAAAGAAAAAAGAGAAAGGGAGAAAGAGAAACAGCGAAAGGGATAATGAAGGCGAGAAAGAAGAAGAGAAAGGAAGAGGAAGAAAAGTAAAAAGGAGGAGGGGGAAGGAAGAAGGAAGAAAGGTGAAAAGAAAGAATGGTAAACTTTTTAACAACATAATTTATCCTTCTAGAATATGAATGTTGGTCTATTTGATGATGTCCCACAAATTCATTAGTCTCTGCTCATTGTTTATTTTTTATTCTTTCTGTTTCTCAGAGACAGTATTTTCCATTTTCTTCTCTTCAAGTTCATGGCTTCCTCTGTGTGTGCAAATATACTCTTAAATCCCTCTGGTGATTTTTAAATTTTTATCATTGTAGTTTTCCACTCCAGAATTTGTTATCTCTTTGCTGATATTCCTACTTTTTAATATTTTTTCTGATTCCTTTATTTCTTTGTTTATGTTTTCCTTTTGACATTTGAGTATAATGAAGAGAGTTGTTTTAAAGTCTTTGTCTGGTAAGTTTGATGTCTGGGTTTCCTTAGGGATATTTTCTGTCACTTTATTTTGTTCCTTTGAATGAGCCACACTTTCCCATTCTTTGTATGCCTTGTAACGTTTTTTGAAAACTGGACATTCTAATAATTATAATTACTATGTGGTTACTCTGTAAATCAGACCTCCCCCTACAAACACAGTAATGTTTTGTGGTTTTAAATTTTCTTTACTTATTATATTGTTAAGGATTTTTTTTTTTAGTGAAATTTTCCAAAGTGATTTACAAAACTGTTTGGTTTATAAGGTGTGGTCACCGAAGTCTTTTTGTTTCCTTAACAAATGTTAAGCTAATGTTTTGACAGTGATTTTCTGGTATGTCAGGAACCAATCAAACAGGCATATACAAGAAAAACAAAAAGAAAAGCAAGTAATCATTGTCCAGCAAAATATGTCTGTAGGCCATGCAGACTGGCTTTGTGCTGGGTTCTTTAAAGCCGGCACAAAGTGTGTGTTCACTCTTGCACTGAGTGAAGTTCAAGTTCACTCTTGCACAGAGCTTGCACTGAGGGGAGGGATCGGCCAAGGTAAAAGTGTAGGGTCTTCTTATGACATTTGTCAGCATGTGGCTTAACCTATGAATACGTGTGACTTTGTAGACTCTCCCATGTACGTGAATGAGGCATGCGCCACCACGCCCAGCTAATTTTTTTGTGTTTTTAGTAGAGACGAGGTTTCTCCATGTTGATCAGGCTGGTCTCAAACTCCCGACCTCAGGTGATCCACCCGCCTCGGCCTCCCAAAGTGCTGGGATTACAGGCGTGAGCCACCACGCCCAGCAGATTTATTTATTTTTTAATCTTTCTTTTTTTTTTTTTAGGCAGAGTCTTACTCTGTCACCCAGGCTGGAGTGCAGTGACACGACCTTGGCTCACTACAACCTATGCCTCCCCAGTTCAAGTAATCCTCCCACCTTAGCCTCCTGAGTAGCTGGGATTACAGGCGCCTGCCACCACACCCAGCTAATTTTTGTGTTTTTAGTAGAGACAGGGTTTCACCACATTGTCCAGGCTGGTCTTGAACTCCTGGCCTCAAGAGACCCACCCGCCTCAGGCTCCCACAGCGCTGGGATTACAGGCATGAGCCGCCATATCTGGCCTATTTATTTTTTAATTTTTCAAATGAGAAGGTTGGGTTAGGTAATTTTTAAAAATCGCTTCAAGTTTCTTAACTCCACAATTATTTTCCTGAGACTCTTGCAAGCAACTGATCTTTATAGGTCATGCCTCAAATTCCCAATTGATGTCATCTGGGCAAATCAGTCCAATGACAGCCACAAGTGGTCAGAAAGCTTTCTTAGCAGCCCTCTTGGTCACTAGGCACACTACCTAGGAGTCAAGCTGTGACAAGAGGCTGCTTCTTAAACTTACAAAAGATAGGATCTTCCAGGATGTGCTGCTCTGATGTTTTTGAAGGGCATAGAGAAACACACGGGCAATGTTTGCAGAGGCAACAGACTAAAGAAAGCACATCTATAGTTGTATTGGCTTTGTGTGGGTTGTATGGTAAACAGGTAGTCACCCTGCTTAATGTGGGTATCCCATTTTCCATAAATGTCTATTTCACCACCCCAAAAAGCCCTCTTATCATGAAATTAATCATCTGATGCACTTCAAGTACCAGTCACAAAAATGATGAACTCAGGCAGAATTCCACTGCTAGACAAGCCCAGACAAAAACTGTTACTGTTAGCCAAGGAAATTTGCACACAATTTTGATAAGTGGCACTAAAGCCACATAAGACAGGAAATGGGTTAGAGGACATCAATGTATTGAGACAGAAAGTGAAAGGGTGGGCAGGATTTGCGAGGTTACCAGTTTGAATATGGCCATTCCTGCTTTTACTAAAGGTCAATTTAGAATACAAATGTTACAGAATTCATTTAGAGCCAAAAAGTAATTCTGACAAAGACTGTCTTAAAATGCAAGATTTTTAGGTCCAAAATTTCTTACGTAACCTAAAAAATGGAAATCTTCACAATGTAATGAGATTGGGTCATTTAAATAGTGTTATATCTAACCAGTCCAGACAGACCAGCTAAACAATCCTATTATTAAAAGCCTCTAGAGAGTGTTCAACAAACTCCTTAGATAATGAAGCTTGGGGCAGCAACACATCCCTCATTATAGTCAGAAAGTTCTCTTAACATGTGAGCCAGGTTATTGCGTGCATTTATGTTTTCCCACATGCTGCTCTTTCCTCAAGGAATGCGATTCTCCTCCCCGACTCCCTGCCTGGTTCGCTCATTCTTCAAGATCAAACACAAAAGTCACTGTGTGTGTGATGCTTCTCCAATTCCACTCATCCTGGCTGCCATTCATGCACTAGTGCATGTATGCATTTTTACATTTTTTAAATTACAAAAATCAACCTATTATAACTGCTTAGATATATATGAAGTAAAAATGAAAGTTCTCCCTTTACATGACCCATCCCCCATCATTTCCCTCTTTATCTTATACTGTCAGCATTCCCAGCTTGTAGCACAGTGTCTGGCAATAGTAAATCCTCAAAAAATGATCAATGAATAATTTAATAATGATTAATAAATAAATTAATGATGATGGTGAAGATAAATTTTTAGCATTTATTGAACGCTAACTACAAACCAGGGAGTGTGTTAAATATTTTATAAAAATCAATGAATGAGCTAAAATGCCATTCTGTTATTTTTTTGTATAGGTTTTAATATTTTACTCATAAATATGCTTAAAGAATATTATAATTATATGACTTAGATTGTAAAACAATATGTACAGCAGTGTCCTATTTTTTAGAATAAAATTATAAATATGTGCTCACATATGTGTTTGTGCATGCATAGAAAACAGATTAGAAAGGAATATATTCTAACACCATTATCTCTAGCTGGTAGAATTATGGAAAATTTTTATTTCCTTCTTTTTGCTTCTAAATTTTATATAATGAGCATATTTGGCTTTGTATAATCATTTTTAAAAAGTTGTTTTAGAAGAATAGTACTGATATATCATTCCCTTTTAGCAGTTTTCTCTAGGATAAAAAATAAGAGGAAGTCTGAGCTTAACTAATTAAAAAAACAGATTTCTTTAAAAAATATTAGCAAATCATTAGTGTTCTTACTGGAGAAAGGGCAGTGTTCAAAGAAGAATTAAACAAATCATTCCAGTTGCAGGAAAAATTCAATTTACTGCATGCAGACTGTTTCTTGACTGAAAAGTTAATTCCTTTCATTCAGAATCAGTATGCATATTCACTGGCTATATTTCATCTCACATCTGCAAACTTAATTTTTCCTTTCTTGGTCATCAGAAGATTAGGAAATAAATTTTAGTCCAGGCAATAGATCCTACTTGGCAAGCTCAAAATAACTCAATTATTAAAAAGCAGCACACAAAGACCAGTAGTGACTTCCAAAGGATTGTTAACAATACTTAAAAAAAAAAAAAAAAAAAGAAAAAGAAAAAAGGGTCCAACTGTCTAAAAGAAGACTAGAGATACATGAATAAGAAAATACGATGTTTTGGAATTATGTGCAAAATAGTAATGCTGCATATTACCCATCCTTTAAGTTTTAGCAATAATTAGAAAAAATAGTTTCCCAACAATAAAAGTTATAAAATAATGTCATCATATCACCTAGAAGAGATTATAGATTTTTATAAACAAAATATGTGTTATTATGAATATTTGTATGTACTCTCCAAGAACTAAAAGATGAAGTTCCCCTTTCAGGATCCCCTGTGCCTGAGAAGGAAACTTTCCAGTGAAAGCCTACTAGCTAGTTAAAAATTTCTTAAAAAAGAAAATCTTCTTAGTTGTATACTTGGGAGCATCCTTTCTCTTGGGCGGATCCCTGTTAGACATATACAACTTTTAATGTTTGCACCTTTAAGTGTAGGGATGGTCTCTGAGTATGCCCACATTCGTATCTAAGATATTCAATGCCTGTCCTTCAGACACTTAACAAGGACTCTGAGTTCCAAATCTCCCTTGAGTGCTGCAGTGCATGCTGACGCTCTTTAAAAGCCATAGCACTCCCTTACTGTGAAATAAAACTGCTCTGTCTCTTGCTGGTTGGCTCTCCTCTTAGCAATGCTGGGCTTGCTCATGAAGGTTTCAGAGACCGTGGACTTGACGGACTCCATGGAGTTGCTGTACTGGAAGCAGTCAGACACATCAAAGTCCTCGACAGTCACAATGTCCTGGATGGTTTGCAGGGTGGCCTCCATTGTCTTCTTTACCTGCCACGACAAGGGCCAACAGGATGCATGAAGGGTGGGTTGTTAAACAGCAGGTGATGGAGAAGCTTGAAGAGAGTGGGCTGGGGAAGGCCACAGGATGCCATCAGAGTGTGCAGCTCTGCTTCCCACTGGACAGTGCTAAGTGAGAGGTAAACATCACATGGACTCTGCTACAGCATGCTACTCTCTACAGTGAAAACCTAAAAGCCACTACAACCCTTCATGCTATGTACTTGACCCAGATCTTTTAATGTTTACTTTTAAAATTTAATATTAGCATTATTATAATATTATATAACAACATTATAATAGAAGTTTTAAGGGAAAGAGAATAAAATAAATCTAAACCAACCCCCTCATACAAACAGCTAATTAAAATGTGTGATGGGCCTAGTACTGCAAAGCCCCAGGTTCTGTTTCATGACCTTCAACAAACTGATGAACTTGTTTGCTCATTTGCAAACTAAGTGACCTATCCCTACTTCTTCCTGATCTTCCTGCAGAAAGTAAGACTTACTGAGACACAAGGTAAGAAGCCATCTGAGCTCAACAGAAAGCTGGATCACCCGCCCTTTTGAACCGCTTTTTGAAAGCAAATACACTGAGCCCAGAAGAAACTCACCCTTTCCTAAGAGGATGGAGATGTTTGAAGTGTCAAAGTCAAAGGCCTCTGTTTGTTTGAACATGCTGGAAAAAGCTAGGCATGAGGAGGTGGTTTCAGAGACACAATATTGTTCACACAGCTGCCAAGTGCCATTTTGATTAAATGTGTAGAGGGGAAAAAAAGCATTTCGCAAAAGCTCAAAATAGAGCACAACCTTTGGCAATGCAAGAGCAACTTCCTGGAGTTCAAGGGCAGGATGTAGCAGAGGGGGAAAGTCCAAGCCTACATTTGGCTAGGAAATGTTTGCGGCCGCCCGGACATTCTCTGCATGCTCCTTCCACCTGCTCCCAGACGGGCAGCAGCAAAAGTTTCAACAGGGAAACTAAGAGTGTGGCTTTGAGCCTCCTAAGGAAGAAACTCACCTCTTCGTTTTCAATCTTTAGAGTGGATAAGCGAGACTGCAGTTGTTGGCATCTCTGTACCAGCTCACTCTGGACAGGCTGCTGGGCACAGAGCTGGGAAGCCTAACAAAAGAAAGCAACACCAGGTCAGAAAGAGGATACAGTCCCTTTGGCAGTTCCAGAGTTCCCATTACTGGCAATGAAACTACCCATATTCAAGGTATAAGGCTCGTGGTTTCTATGTTGAAGCAAAACCCAAAGCCAACTTGTGTGAGCCTCTTCCAGGACCAAACAGTACATGAAAGGAATGGGTAGGGGGATCTGTTTGGAGCCCGGCAGGGGTAGGTCTATGTAGGGTCTGCAGCTCCATGGAAGGCTGAGGAGGCTGGAGAAGAGTGCCTCAGGCAGCTCCGGCTCCAGAAACACAATGCTTTGGCACAGTGAAGATTTCCTGCCAAAGGTCCAAGTGGCCACCTCTCTGGCCCCTCCCTCATCCCCCTTCATACACCAGAGTGAAAGCAGGAGAGAAGTGGGTCAGGAGGCTAACTTGCCACTGCTGGCAGCCAGCATGTGTTTACAAATCCAGGCCATGCTTGAGAGCTTTGATTCAATGAGAAAGCGTGAAGCCAGGAACAAGTTCGTTGCCTATGCTAGAGGGCCCGAGAGGGTATGGAATCTGAAGGAGCTTGGCATTTTCCAAAGAGCCATCATTTTACCCCAGGCCTTCCCTAGATCTGTAAGAGAGGAGTCTGACCTTCCCGCAAGGATTATTGCCAATTAGCTTTCCCCTGTGTGAAGGAATGGCTGTTCCACTGTCTCCCATTGGAGATGTGGTTATGGGATGAGGTCATCCACAGTCCCCTGGATGACAGATGAGAGCAGAAGGCTGAGAGAGTTGGGAGGCAGGACCCATGTGGAGACAGCTCCTGTCACCTTGTTACCGTTCGTCCTTTAGCCTCTTGTCTGCAGAGAGACATCTGGATAGAAATGGCCTCCTTCCTCCTCAGCAAAGAGTGGGCACATTCACATGCCCACGGACCATTCCCTTGCTTGAAAAGAAAAAACCTTTCTTCAAATGGAGGGGGCTGGGACTTGACCTTTTCCTCCATTGGCTTTTAAGCTCCCAACTGACTTGACCTCTTCCCCCAGCTGAGAGGCTGGCCTGAGCCAACTCTCAGATCCACAGAGAGCTGACTTCACTCTAACTCTTGGATAAGCAGACACAATGGAGAAAGCTCAGTGGCCAGAACCGGTTAGCGCCAAGAGTGAAATTCTCTGGCTGCCTGATGTCACCAGTCAGGCATCCAGAGTCCCACAGCCTCTGAGGGCACCAAAAATGGAGCCAAGCACCTCCTCCTAGTACATCTGAGAGCACTTGGCATCAATTCATGTGCTGTGCACCCCAGAACACCAGTTAGTGTGGGACCTTGGCCAATTTTAAGGCTTCCGGTCAAAATGCTACCCAATCTTTGGCCCTAGTTCAACGACTTCCAGGCAGCTCCCTCCTGTTGCCTCCACAATCTGCAGACAACCCACACTGATGGGGATAGACTGGCTGCAGAGGCCAAGAATGACCCACCCTCTCATCTCTTTTTATTTCACTCATATGAAGGCTAGGCTAGAATGCGGAACCTTCACAAGCTCCAGGACTGGTCCTGGCCCCTGCCTGGCTCAGCCACTGATCAGCTATATTACATAAAGGGAGGGCCCTGGCAGAAGAGTGAGCTAGCAGAGAGGAATCATGGAGGGAAAAACCACCTCCAAGCCTGTTCCTTTAAGAAGTAGCAGAGCTGATGATGATGTATGCTTTGACAGTGGTCCGCTACCAGGGTGCAAGGTAATACACTTCAGCTGCACTCCGGAGTATGGAAATAAGGCTCTGACAGGGGGAGAAGGGGGCTTGAGCACCCAGCATCTGGATTCCTCCTTTATGGAGACAAGCTGTTTGGCTCAGAAGGCAACTCAGTCACTAACACCAGAAAATGTATCACTCCACTCAGCTGGTCCCCAAGTTCCACTGATCCCTGGGAAGGAACCTCAGTGACAGCTGGAGAAGGTGCTTGGAAGGCAAGTTTGACCAGAAGCCAGGGCAGGTGAGGAATGGGGCTTCCTGAGGCTTGGTGACACCCCTTCCCCCAATTCTAATTGCACATGCTGCCATCTCACTTCTCCATCTGTTCAGACACTGACATTTCCTAAGCCACAGCAATGGAAATGAACTGTAAATGGTTTGATTTTCCCCAAGAAGGAAAGGAAGGAAACCAACTCCACATTTCTATCTCCAGGACAGCGTCTCACTCTCCATAGAGGCCAACTGATGACAGCAAATCCTCTGGTTCCACTGCCACAGCTGTCATTCTGGAGTGGGGATTTCTAGAGTCTGGATGCTAATCTTAAGGGAAGCATCATTCCTGAGGAGCACACATGTTGCTGTTTTTTGGTCCCCGGCGTCCACTCCTCCTTTTTTTGGTAGCTTTGGTCTAACTGCCCTCGGCGAGGGGAACCTCCCACTCCACAACTCAGGCCACGTGCTTTGCATGGACCCAGGCATAAGCACTTTACCCAATCAAAACCAATGAGACACACAAACTTTATGGGGGCTTTGAGGAGGGAGGCAGAGACTCTTTCCACTAGATTTCAACCTACCAGGGAAGGCTGGAAATGCAGTCACCTTGCCTCCATGGGAGAATGGCCTGTCTGAGAATGGAGTTAACACACAGGAAGTAGTACAGAGACAGCAAAACAGTGTCTTGGTAAAATTCCTCCTCCTAAAGCCAACTATACCCAAAGGTCCATCTTGATCTTTTCTATCGCATAAGCCCTATACAACCTCCTTCTAATTTCACCAGTAGGAGAAATGGTGGCTCTTATCCACAGGAATGAGGTTCACTCTGACTTGTACACACAACCACACAAGTGGAACCAAAAGATTCAGAACTATGAAAACCCAGGAGCTTCTCCTGCCTCTCACTTTAGCTTTTTTAGGCCCTTTTTATTCTAGTCACTGGAGGCTAAGAGTCCAAAACAAGGCCCCCATGTTCATGCTCCCCTGTCTGGGCAACCAGCATCAGGCCTTTGGGATAGCATCTTAGCTCCTTTCCTTCCTGCAGGTACCCATTCTTTTTTATTCAATACCCAAACAAAACTATACACTTCATCACAGTCTTCTAACTTCAGGAGAATAAGATTATTCAGAACTCTGCCAAACGCCAAAAGATCACAGCATTCCCTACCTAGCCCTCGCTTCCCCACTAAAGCCTCTAGGATGTGGCCCCACCTCAGCTCTCATTTCTTCTAGCCTCACCACTGGGAGCGCCCCCCTCCCTCACTTTCCTTTCACCATCCTGAACTGTTGGTAGTTTTTAGAATATACCTGCTGTTTTTCACCTTCTTTGATCCTGCTGGGCCCCTTTGGATACCCCTCTCTATGCATAGTTTGAACCCTCCTCAAGCCTTAGCGACCTTATTCCCCAGACTGTAAGCTCCCCGAGGGCTTTAATCCCCCATGTCTGCACCCAAGCCCGAGTGTCTGACAGCAGGCACTCACTAACTGTTTGCTCAATAAGTGGAATGTGCCTCACCCACCTGACAAAAAGCCGGGCCCAGGCCTCTCCCACCCCAGAATAATGTGCCTTCTGTGTAATTAATCTAGACAACTCCACTCAAGCCCCTTGAGGGTGGGGGTATAGGGAAAGGGCCTCACCATATCCCCCATGTGGGGCTGAAACTCAAACTTCATAGGGGGGCAGAAGACGTTGTTGTACATCTCCATGAGGCGCTGCTTGTCACTGGTGGCATCCAGGTTTTCTACTGCATTCTCGATGGCATCCAGACCCTCATGCTTCGACTGTTCCAGGTTTAACTCAGCAGAGAGGAAGGTGCGTAGAGCCCGGTTCAGACTTGCATGGTAGCCTAAGTCACAACACTGCTGTGGGAAGGAGAAGGCACATGAGCACACCATGGACAGCCCCAAGGCTTGGCAGAAAAGGAAGGTGGTCCAGAGGGCAGATCTGACCACATCAATAGGCTTGGCTGTGCAGTAGAAAGACGGCTGACATTCCGACTTCCAAGGTCTGGGTGAGAGTTCTCAGTTCTTGACTCCCAATTCAACGGTTAAACACACCCTAGAGGGCTGTGAGGTGGTTAGGAGGAAGAAGACTCATAAGGATAAAATGACATTATTTAATTAAGCGCTATTTCATAAACATGAGAAGAATTGAGAGTTAAAGAGAATCCTCTTTCATTTTCAGGTTTATCTGGGGTTGTCATTATAACAAAATTCAACAATAAAAATACAACCTGCCACTCACTGAGGGTTACTGTGGTTAAATCACTATATAGCAACCAAGCCAGGCCATTTCAGGGTTCTGAAAGCAGGAGTATTGCAACAGCAGCTAATGTATGCAAGCTCAACTCTAGATGGGAGAAGGAGAGAATGGGGAGCTGACTCTGTGGGTCATCATCCCCACCAATGCCCAACATCCTAGGACAGGCCTTAGCTGCAGACTAGGGTTTCTGACATGCCTCCTCCTTCCTGGCATCTGACAACAGATGGCCCTGCACTACAGAAATAGCATTTATAAGACTAAAAAGCTCTACGCAAAAGTGTTACTGGAAAAATTCATGCCATGTAAAGGATTCTGATTTTTTACAACAAAATGCAAAAAGAGGCAACTGTATAAAAAAAGCACTGGCGCAGAATCAAGCAACCTTGGAAAAGCCACTCCCCTTCTCTGGACCTGTTTCTTCCATAGTAAAATGAACAGATTTGGCCAGGCTAGTGGCTTTCAAGCAGTAGACCAGAGCTGGCACTGAAGCTGCCCTTGAGAAGTGAGTAAAAGGACAGCCCAACTACTAGGACTTGGAGTCTTCTATTCCTCCTTCAACCAAGCCAACCCTGCTCTTTTTTCTATTTAATATTTAGGGATTCTATGTAAGGTTTGGTTTGAAGAAAGAATTCTTCTGTTAGAGAAAAGTCTGAAAATCCTTGGACTAAATGTAATCCCTAAGGCCCTCTTCAGCAATGGCATTCTGTAACTCTGTGATAATATTCCCCATCCCTCCCAAAAGACCCAGAGATCCCAATTCCTTGGCCATCCATCATCCTCTCTATTGCTTAAGCAGCTCTGAGGTCCGGGTCCTGAGAAGAAACCTCAAAGAAGAATCTATGCATAGAGTAAGGCCATCTGCCTGATTGCCATTTCATTGCACAAGCAAGCATCAAATTAACTCTCCCCACAGCCTTTTCCTCTCATCATGATCACATTGGAAGCAGCTACTATTGGGGAAGAAAAGGCATATGATGTGCCTCCTCTTTCCTGGCATCTGACAAGAAGCTCAGTGAGAACATCAGTTGGGTTGGGCTCTGGGTTCAGTGCCAACAGGCCCTGGCAGCTGCCTGGCTGCAGTGGAATAACAGCAGTTACAACTTAACTAGAGGCAGAGGATGGAAAGACATTAAATTCAGTTGGGAGGGAAGAGCAAATGGAAGCTAGACAAAAGTGGCTCATTAGGACGCTGCACGGGCATGGGCTCTCTGGGAGATGCTGCTGGTCTCACCAGGCTGCCCTTGAACCTGTAAACCTTCCTGACTAGCTCTATGTAGACCCTGTTGATGAGCTCTATGCCTATAAGTCTAATGAACAGAAGTAACACGGCCCACAGAGTGTATGAGTGTGGGTGGAGGGGGTGTGGGCAGGGGGTAGAATCTGGGAGAGAAAAGTTACCCTTCAAAAAACTTTTACCTGTTTTTGGTAATTTCCCTTTCCTCTCCATTCTTACTACCTCTACCCCTATTCATACCCTCACCGTCAGCATCACTGTCCTAAACTGTGACTTTAATTATGGCACTTTCCTGTTGAAGAACCTAAAATACCTCTCATTTTTTTTCCCCAAGGTAAAATCCACCTTCCTCAGTTTTGAAATTTAAAAAATGCTTCTATTTCACTAAGTATGCTTACTATACGTCAGTCCATGTGCTAAGTGCTTTATATACATTCTACATTTTAATCCTCATAATAACCCCAATGAGGTTGGTATAATCTTAATTTTCCAGGCTTGAAAGCTGAGGTTCAGTGAAGTTAAACAATTTGAGCAAGGTTCAATAGCCAGAACAAACTGTAATCTGTCTTCAATCTACCCATCCAACATCAACTCCCTTTATTTTCTTCTTCAGATTCATCTGCTCTAATCCAATGAGATACTCTCTGTTTAGGGTAGAGTATTAGTCTTCAAATCAGCTATATGGCCATAAGCAAGCTACTTAATCCTTCTGGGCCTCAAATGAGGATAACACCAGCCACACAGGTTGTTGTAGGCTAACAGGCAATATATTTACAGATATTTGGTACCATGTAGACACTTTTAAAAAATACTAATATAGCTCCAAATCCACTGACCTCTGCCCTTCAGCTCCCAGAATGTCCTTTTCCTTAAATGTTTCCTATGCCTCTCACCTGTTGGAATTGGACCAGATCTTCAAGATCCAAATTAAATTCTTAGCCTCTGGGAAGCCAGCCAACCCTGCAATCCTAGACTCCAGTGACCCTGGCCTCTACTTAGAACCACACTAATCTGCAGCTTTCATATGACAAGGAATACGCTTCTTCATTCTATGACTTGCCATGTCATATCACCCCAACCAGACTAGCTTCTCACTCTTCTTTACATCCCTCAGCATTAGGCCTTGCTCACAGCAGGCATTTAATAAATTTCAGTTGACTGATTGATACCACAAATACAGATTCCAGCCTCTCAGGAAATAAAACATTTAGGCTGAATACTGACCTAAGTCAAGTGGGTAGATGGGGCCAGTGAAGCCATTTGTTTTGCTTACTCTATGGCCAAAGGGAGGCTGGGAGTTTTCCCAGGCTGGCGCACTGCCTCTGTTTATATAACTATTCTGTAGCTTCTTTGTGCCAATGAGTGAGGGTCTGAGTCACAATGTGCCCCTGGCTCCTCTACACCTCTAGCCAACCAGGCAGATTCGGAAGAGGTTCTCCAGAGTCTTGACTATCTATATACCTGTAGGGGAAACAGTCAGAAACCGAGCCTTCAGCGAAGAAGCAATATCTGGCAAGGTTGGGTAAATGAGATTTGAATATTTCATCCTGTTCCAAGAAGAATCCCAATAAGTACAGGAAGCACATTATTTTGCTCACAGTGGGGACAAAGCAGGCTTTCCATGGCTTCTGATGAGTTCTGTGGCCACGCTGGACTCCCCTGGCCATTTCTGGGTTATATAAATGTTTGATGAAAAATCTCTCAGGGGAAATCAAATTTTTGTAAGAAGTTAATGACAGCCCATCCAGATGTATGATGACTTGAGTTGATAGCTCATTAACCCTTTCCCAGCTGATATCTTCACCCAGAGACTCCACAAGGCCTGGAAAGGAAAAATGGGTGTTTCACAGTTCAGGTTCACACAAAAGAGAAAAATAACTGTCCTTAATGACATTTCTTACTGAAACAGCCAAGTTCCCTCATGTCCGACTTGGGTGCACATGGTGTCAAAGACCTTCCATACATGTACACGGCACTTACAACACTCCAGCTATGCATGAGGACAATGCCCTGTTCTTCATTCATCCATCTGCTCCTGGGTTGAGAGAGCCAGAAGAGTATGGGGGAGGAAAATTACATTCCAGTGAGCCTACCATTCTTAGATGCCATCAAATGAGCTCAGAACGTCTTTTTGGCCTGAAGTCAAGGTTTCCCCAGTGTGGCAGATGCCTCACGTGGATTCCTACAGTCTGAAGTTTAAATCTTGTACTATACTATAAAAAGAAGTCGGAGGCTAGTCCTTGGTCAATGTAATGGCATCAACAAAAATAACTTCTTTTCACTTATCCTCAATGCCTTATGCACACATTTGGCTTCAGAACCACTAGGAAGGAGGCAGAAGGCTGTACATGACACAGATGGCAATGGACTGCAACAGGATTCATCCCGTGTCTTAAAGCAAGTAATGAATAATGTTAAGATCAGGATGCCAATATCCCAGGCTCCTCACTTAGTCCTGCTCTAACTGCATCCTTTTGGCCCTTTTTATCTCATAGGTCAGCAAGAAAAAGAAAGACACTACCGATACATGCAAACAACATGGATGAAATTCAAAAACATCATGTTGGCAAAAGATGCCAGACACAAAAAAGGATAATCCCATCTTTGTGAAGTTCTACAATGGGCAAAACTAATTTATGGTGAAAGAAATCATAACAGTGGTTGCCTTGGGGTGGGGGATTGGCTGGGAAGAGACAAGAGAAACTTTCTGAGGCAATGGAAAGATATCTCTTATCAAAATATTTTTTCTATATCTTGACATAGATTACAAAGATGTACAAATTTGTCAAAACTCTTGAAACTGTAACACTTAAGTTTAGTTACTGTATGTAAATTATACTTCAAAACCATATTGAAAGGTACAAAAAGAAAAACCGATCTTAGCTTAGATGATCATCTTCCTCCTCTTTCTATTCCTTTCTTCCTTCAGTAAACACACTATGTGCTCAGCTATATATTAAGCACTGGAGGCTACTAAGGTAAAGAAAACTCTTGGTTCCTGCTCTCACAGAACTTAACAGATGAGACTGAGATCTTCCTCTGTTCATAGTACAATGGCTCACTAACACTTTTTTGACTCCCAACTCACAATAAGAAACACATCTTCTATTGTCACACACTTCCCCATAGGATGTACAAGTGTGTACATACATATCTAACATAAAAGTTTCACATAATCTTACCAATGTGATGTACTCTAATATTTTCTTTCTTATTCTAGTCTCATCTAGTCATCTGAAAACACAGGTTAAACCAATAAAAGTGATTTCCTGACTTTCTTAAGGGATCTGACCAATGGTTTGAAAAATGTTGTCTTACAGCCTATGACTACCTCTAGGGTGAGAACTACTATAATCCATTTTTACCCCAATACTGAGCACGTGGCTTCTCCCTAAATAAATATTTACTGAACATTTATAGAGCAGAATAATACAACTTTAAAAAAAATAATGAATGTGTCCATATCCCAGGAAAAACAACAAAAACCCAACCAACCAACAAACTAAAACAAGACACAACCAAAACAGCAGCAAAGAAACGAGGCTGAGGCAGGCGGATCACGAGGTCAGGAGATCGAGACCATCCTGGCTAACACAGTGAAAACCCGTCTCTACTAAAAAAATACAAAAAATTAGCTGGGCGTGGTGGCGGGTGCCTGTAGTCCCAGCTACTCGGGAGGCTGAGGCAGGAGAATGGCGTGAACCTGGGAGGTGGAGCTTGCAGTGAGCCGAGATCGCACCACCGTACTCCAGCCTGGGCGACAGAGAGAGACTCCTTCTCAAAAAAAAAAAAAAAAAAAAAAAGAAACATGAGAAACTTTATTACTACCTATGTAGCCTTTTGATCCCAGTGATCTAGACCCACACCCTGCCAAGTACTAAGGCAGCCTCTTTTTCAATGGCATGTCACACCACATCCTGTGAAATTAGGCTCTTAGCAGACGTTTTTTTTTTTTTAAATGATGAAAATAAGGTACAAAATACCTCGCTTCTTGGACTGATTTTAAAACACTTGGTTATACCTGATGGAGAATCTATGGATTGCAAAGGTTGTGGCTGATACAGCAGTAACCCCTCCCTTCCCCTGAGATCAGTATTTCGGTGAAAAAGGTAGGGAAGTTGCCTTGAGTACAAAAAAAGAGAAGAGGGCTAACCAATAGCAGCGGTGTGGCAGACAGCACAGTCTGAATTTTTACCAAATGCGAGATAAATAGCAGAAATTGTGCATAAGAAAGAATGGATTCTCTTCCTTATGCTGAGAACAGGCCTCTCTCCCAACAATGAGGAGCTCTTCCCCTGAGGAGGAGAAAGGATCTTGTTTAGGGCTTTGACCTCCATTGAAGGACAGTGTTCAGATTGTCATCAACAAGCAGAGAGAACAAAGAGGTACCAGAACAGGGAGCAAGGCTCTACTAACCCAGTGAGACAATGACACCTAGGGCATTAAGTGGCTGAAATCTACTGAATCAAAAATCCTCGGCTAAAGGGAGACAGGAATCTGTATTTTAGAGAAGTTCCCCAAGCAACTCTTACGTGAGGCCAGATTTTAATACCAGGGAATTAGTCCAGTTCTTCAGTTAGCTAGAGGAGCTTGGGAGTGGGTGAGAAACAAAGCTGGGTTCCAGAACAATTCAGTGACAAGCCTAGATGACCCAGGTGGTGATATAACAGCAAGACTCGGACCCAAATCCCATATGATGTTGTGAGGTGTGGCAGGTTTGCTTGTGGAGAAACCAAGGCAGGAAAGCAAGAGTGGTCGGGCCAGAGTTTTGCAAAGCCCAACTGCTGCCAACAAGACCCTGAAACAAATGGCAGGCCTCCGAGATGAGATACACTTGAAGCCCCAGAGACTGGGATGCTAAATTGGCTGGCTCCAGATGCCTCACTTTGATGACTGGAAGGAGAGGTGAGAAAGGGTGTAATTACATAGCTTCACTTAGGTGTGGCTCAGGACCTGGGCCAGATTGCAGTCTGTAGGTGAGAGGGCTTGTAAGACCCAACTGTAAGGGGAAGCAGCAGGAAAAACAAGGCCAAGAATAACTCACAGGCAAAAAACAAAAAGCTTATCTCTGCGCTTGCCCCTTGCAAAACACATGTGCCTATTAACCGCTTTCCTCAATCCCCTTTGCATCACATATTTTTAAAAATGGGCCAGATGTCAGGGGGAGCTGGATACCTTCCTGACAGGACCCTAATTTGCAGCATAACCTTGGACAAGTGAGTCTCGTAGTCCTCTGGACCTTGAGCTTCCTTATCTAGCAACTGGAGACAGCAATGCTTACCCATAATGGTGATGTGAGAGTTAAATGAGTTAACACCGAGAAACCTTAAATGCTATACAAATATAAGGGATGGCATTGTAACTCTTTAGTTAAGTTCTTGCCACTCACTTCTGTGCAAGAGAAGCTGATGTAATAAAGTATTTCCTAGGTCGGGTGCAGTGGCTCACACCTGTAATCCTAGCACTTTGGGAAGTCGAGGCAGGTGGATCACCTGAGGTCAGGTCACCTGAGGTGAGGAGTTCCAGATCAGCTTCACTAACATGGTGAAACCCCATCTCTACTAAAAATACAAAAATTAGCTGGGCATGGTAATGCATGCCTGTAGTCCCAGTTACTGGGGAGGCTGAGGTAGGACAATTGCTTGAACCTGGGAGATGGAGGTTGCAGTGAGCCAAGATTGCACCACTGCACTCCAGCCTGGGGGACAAAGCAAGACTCTATCTCAAAAAAAAAAAAAAAAAAAAAAAGGAAGAAAGTATTTCCTGGCAGATAGACGAGTGTAGTGGTTATGAGCCTGGGTTGAGTCATCAGGCCTAGGTGCAAATTTTGCCTCTGTCATTTGTTAACTGACTCTGACTAAGTCATCTAAACTCTCTGTTAATCTGTAAAAATATAGATAATAATGCCTTCCTCCCAGAATTCCAGTTAGGATTGAATAAGTGTGAAGTGTTTCACATGGTGCTTGGCAAGCACTCTGATGGATCATGGCTGCTATCTTCCTAATTGTTCTCAAAATGCACCAGATTCCTGAACAATAGTATCGGGAATGTCTGACGAGTATTCTGAAACCAGAAAAGAGGGGCCCTCAGGCCCTTGGCTTTAAGCACTTACATCAATAAGGTCAGATAGGTCATGGATGTAGTACTTGAAGACAGATGCATTGGTTGCCTCCAAAGCCAGCAAGTACTCATTCTGGGCTTTGATGGCCTTCAGCTTATTCTCCGTGTACTTGGCTTGGTGCTGAAAAGGAAACAGAAGTTCACTTTTACCTTTTTTTTTAAAGGGGGGCTTGTTCTCTAAAAGATAAAAGTACAGTGTATTCAAGAACTACAATTGTGTTGCTACTCCCTATGCGCATCTGCCTTAAATTGGGTTCTAATTCTGTTTAATGAGATTCAAGGGCACAATGTAGATCAATTCAGGAAAGGTTAATGAGGCTCCCTACTTAAGATGCGTGCCCCGCTTTGATTCTATCTTCAAATATCATTCTTCATTCTTGCAATGCCACTCTGAAGGAGGTACCACTACTCTTGCCCCTGAACACCTGATACCTGAAACCAAATCCTAGGTTTACAGTCACCCCCAACCCCTCCAAAGCAATAGGATATTGAGCTCTATTTGGAAAATGGATTGGGAAAGGTGACTGCTGTTTCTTGGTTTTCTGCTAGAGGCTAGAATCTTGGATCCCACGTGCCCAGTTCTTCCAATACCTAGTATTCCTGCCAGGGCACAGAGCAAGGCCTCATTTTCAGTCATTAGGCACTAAAAGAACCCAGAGCTTCCTCGTCTGCTCTTCCCAGTGACTATTGGGAAATTCCTATCAGCCATGCCTTACCGAATGTTGCTTCCCAGCATCTACAGCTGTGGGAGCCTACATACCTTCTCCTTCATCTTCTCAATCTTCTTCACTGAGCTCCTCCGGACATGTTTCTCCTCAATGCGAACGTTGGCCGTGGAGTCAGGGGAGCATGGGGTCTGCCGGTCCTCCTGCTTTACCGATTTACCAATTTGCTTCTCCTCCTGCTTCTCCGCCTCCTTTAGTTTGCTCTGAGCACTGATGCTGTCGGCATTGTACATGTGATATGTCTTCATGACCTGCAAGACATCGCCCACCCCCACCCCCAGAGGTCAAGCCAAGGGGGTCATTTCTCTGCTTTACAGACTAACAGACTCAGCTGGAGCTCTCCCCCATGAAGCAATATCCTCACACCCCTAAGGGAAAAATCCAGAAGTGTTTGGTTCAGCAAACACAGATTAAAGACCACTCCAAAGCACAGGAAAGCAATATGTGAACTGAGCCAACATTTCCTCTTATTGAAATAACTTAATGTCTATCCATCATGTATTATTTATTTCTATTCATTATCATTTGTAATCATTTCTCTTTAATATTGGCCAGGTGATTTCTATCACTTAGTCACCTCATAATACTGAGTAGATGGGAAACAACACCACCACTCTCAGGCCCCAAGGGCAAAGCCTTTCTGGGCTGGTCAGGAACCCCGAAGAGGGCAGTGCAGCCTATGGAGTAGCCTATGCTTTCTGTTACCTTTCAGATATAAAATAGGGAAGAGGAAAAGCTTCCAAAAGCTCCTTTTACCGGCCTGGCATTCTGGGGATCTGTCTGTTCTGCTTTATCCAGATCAAACACCCTCTCACAGCAACTAAAGCAGCAGCAGCAATTGCAATGCCAGTTATCATTTACTGAGCACTTAGTATATTCCTGGCTTTATGCCAAGTACCACACAACACATTTTCTCATTTCATCCTTAGGACAATTCCACAATCTAGACAACAACCCTATGAAGACTGTAAGCCTTCAAAACAATTCAGGTAAGAGTCTGGGAAGGAATAAAATCCATATCAAGTATAACTGGAATTGCCACAGGAGGGAAGTAGTATAAAAGGTGAAGGATGATTTTCCATCAAAGCAACCATCTAGGAGTCCAATCCTTTCTCTTAACAGGGAAGCCAGGAAGCCTAGAACTCAAGCTTGTTTCCAATCCTACTAAACATACTACTTCCAGCCACCTAGTGCCTGCTCTACTCTGTGGGAACTTTCTGTTTCCACACAGGGAGTTCACGAGTGCTGAAAGTGTGATGCCATAAGATTTCTTTGAGAGGGATAATTAGAGAGTAGAAGTTGGGTGTGTGTGTGCATGTGTGTGTGTGTGTGTGTGTGTGTGCATGTGTGTGTGTAACACAGGAGTGCAAAGGTACAATATTATTAATATCTACCACTTAATAAACATTGTGTACCATGGGCTTTACGTACATTACCTCATTTAATTCTTACAATAACTCTGTGAAAGACACTGTTATTATTTCTATTTCTAAAGATAAGGAAATAAGGCTCAGAGAGATTAACTATCATACCCAAGGTCATACAATGAGTAAATGGTGGAATCAGGATTCAAACCCAGGTCTGTCAGACTCCAAAGACCACATTCTTAGCCATTAAGCAACACCGACTCTCCTCTGGATAGGACTGGAGCTGAACTGGTTGGGAGGAAAGGTTAAATATGGTCAAGATATTCCTGAAAAGAGAAACTGGTTCCATGTATGAACCTGAGTTAGAGAAGTGTCTCAACCTGGGGCTATTTTGGCCCCCAGGGGAAATGTGGCAGTGTCTGGAAATATTTTTGATTGTCACAACTTGGGGATTGCTACTGGCATCTAGTAGTTAGAGGTCAGGGATGCTGCTGAACATCCCATGCACAGGACAGCCCCCACAACAATTAATTATCTGGCCCAAATGTCAATGGTGCTGACGTTGAGAAAATCTAGCTTAGAAAGACTTTGTGGGTATACTAATCTAGGCCCTACGATCAGCTAGAGGCAGACGAAAGAATAAAGAATACTGGGACACTGACAAAATCAAAGTACATTAGAGTCTAAATTATGTCTCATTTTGAATGCAGAATGTTTTAAATCAGTTTCACCTCATTCTGAACCTAACACTACTTCCCGTAAATTTTACCAGGATAATACTCTTCATATTTTCTATACAGAAGAAAAAATACTTAACAACTAATGGTGTTTAAAAGCCTTTCTAAGTAATTCAAACAGACCCCCAGCTTTCCAGGTTAACTAAGAAGTGGAAAAGAGGCATCTGTTATCTCAGCTGAAGAAGTGTAGATAGGAGGCTCCTCTTTTTTTTCTCTTTTTTCACCTGAATCTGACCATGGGATTCAAAAGCTTAGTGAGAAGTTACAAAAGTGAGTGCTTTTTTTCTTTTTTAAAGTGATTTCCTATTTCATGAAGGTGCATGATAAAGAGAAAACGTTATGAATAAACATGAGATAAAAAAGAGGTCAAAGAATAGCGCTACCAAGTCAACAAATGAAGTAACAAAAATCAACAATTTACAATGTTACTTTCCCCTAAAAAACTTAAAGAACTTTCTTGTTAAAAGAGAGTAAAACGCTACTTTGCCTAAGAAACTATACATTCTTCACGCTAAGCTCTACTTCTTTTGTGTTTTCTTCTCACAGTGGAGAAATATGTCATATACACAATGGTAGTTTTACAAAGTGGTTGCCCAAATGACTGAATGACACTGAATCTCTCTTCTGGGTAAATACTGGAGAAGCTTTATTAGTGCCTTCCAGCTCAAGAGAAAACTGAGGTACCTAGAAGCTGAAGCTTAAATAAGTGATGCCAAAACAATTGAAAAAATAGGAAAGTCAAGACAGGACTTAGAAATGTATATAGATACAGATATACATGTTAAATATATATTTATAAATATATATTTATAGTCAAGATAGGACTTAGAGAAAGCCAAGATAGGACTTAGATATATATATCTATGTACATATACATATGTAAATATATGTATATCTATATATCTATGTCTTAGACATATAGCTACTCATATATGTATATATAGATATGTATACATAAAGATATACATATACATACTTCTATCTATATATAGATAGGCAAATGCAAACTATGGGGAAAAACTGAAAAGTCTAAATTCTCAGTTCTGCAAAGAATATTCCACTTTACTTTGAAAAACTAAACACTGAAATCACATATTTAGCTCTGCTCCCTCTGACAGCCACACTAAAATAATAGGAAAAAAAAGGTTCTAAAATGATTATCATTTAGGTATAAATTGAGAAAAACAAAAAGAATGGAAGCTGAAGCCGAAAAGCAGGTAGGCAAGCAGTAACTCATCTACTTGAGTCCTAAACCAAAACTAGAGTGAGCCAGGAAGCAGCCAGATTTATATCACAGAAGCCCGAAGAGAAATAAGTAGCAGTGGGATGAAGGTAGAGCTAAACACAAAATAAGCTATTGAAAGTCTGAGAACAGGCCGGGCATGGTGGCTCATGCCTGTAATCCCAGCACTTTGGGAGGCCCAGGTGGGCGGATTACGAGGTCAGGAGATTGAGACCATCCTGGTTAACACAATGAAACCCCGTCTCTACTAAAAATACAAAAATAAATTAACTGGGCGTGGTGGCGGGTGCCTGTAGTCCCAGCTACTCGGGAGGCTGAGGCAGGAGAATGGCATGAACCTGGGAGGTGGAGCTTGCAGTGAGCCGAGATCACGCCACTGCACTCCAGCCTGGGCAACAGAGCGAGACTCCATCTCAAAAAAAAAAAAAAAAAAAAGGAAGTCTGAGAACAGTGAGGCCCCAAGATCCCCTCTCCCATTGTAGTGGAAGACTAGATGAGAGGTTTATTCTGTTAGAGAGGGTCCATGGACTAGGGGATACAAGGTTCAGCTGAGGATAGGGGTATACTGAACTTCAACAGGAGGATTAGCTGAAGTCTATGTTAAATTTTGAGATGGTCTAGGCCTCTTCACAACTCAGCTCCCAGACATGAGTGGGAGATCAAAAGTGTGATCTCTCGGCAATGTGACCATCCAAGATAAGAGACCTAGAAATACTAAAGTTGGGGCTTCCACAAGGACACAGCCCAGTTAGAACACCCTACTGTGAAGGCCACAGCTGACATAGAATCTTTTAGTGCCTCACTTTAAAATGTGAATAGGCAGCTAAGAATGACCACGCATTTAAAGGAAATGTCTAATATGAAAGACCAAGACCAAAACTAGCAATTTAGAAGAAATATTATACAACAAGAAGAAAAGTTTGAAAACAATATATCCATAATAGCCCTGGAGAGATAAATGAGAAATAAAACGATACTGCATCATGAAACAAAAGTTGGATGCAACAAAAAAGGGAACATGTAGAGAACAAGAAAAGAGTTCTTGGCAATAAAGATTCAATTCAAGTATCTCTTCAAGGAGCCTGACTTCATCCCTGTCCTCTGTGCAGACATGTAAATGAGTTCTTGTCACTTCATTTTTCACTTGATGCTTTACTTTTCTGTCTCTCCCTATTAAAACTAAACGCCTTGAGGTCAGAAACATCTCTTATTTGTTCTTGTCTCCCTAGTGCCTAGTGCCAGAGTCAAATAGGCAAGCAGAGTTGAGGGACTATTAAGTGCCATTGTTTCAAGGGAACAGGTGCTAAATACCAGTCTGAAGTAGCTCTGCCAGCACACAGCCGCTGCTCCAAGCCAAGGGGATGTAAACTTAGGGGGAGTACAGAAGCATAAGGCCTCTGGAATAACAACAGCCCCAAAGTGTCCCAAAGCCTCTTTTTTCTCAATTCTAGAGCTTCCTTGACTCTTCATACTCAGCCAATCCACACTGGCTTCAGTGCCTCCATGTACACTCCTTCCTGTGGGGGTTTGCTGGGTTTTTCCAGACACGACCTCTGAGTACAACTGAGGCAAAGAATCCCAGAGTTCTTTGGGAAGCAGTGTGTTCTGACTTCAAAGGCATTCCCGGTGCATCAGTCAGAAAATGAAAACCACTTATGCCATGGCTTACATACAAGCCAGCTCATTATGGGGGGAAAACACGTGGAGAAGAATGCTCGCTAGGATTGCTCTCTGAATAGCAGCTGTGGGAAGCAGGCCCCAGCACAGAATGCCAAGTCAGGGAAATCAAAGGCCCTTCAGGCAGAAAAGAGGAAGGTGCAGAGGGGCAGCTGGCCACTCATGGCGGCATTCTGGGCCCGGTGCCCAAAGGCATCTTTATTTGGGAACACCTGGGTCCTGCTCCTTGGATCATCAAGGTTCAAAGGTACTAAAATTACCAACCCTTGGATAACTAGTCCCCTAAAAAAAGGTATTCATGGGCATTAGGAGCAGATGTGAAGGACATGAAAAAACTGGGTGGGTTTCTTATATCCTTGGTTTCCTTTTTCCAGTGACCCCAAATAACTTCTATTGCCTACAACGTCATTGAAATGAGAGGCCCTTCCCTGCCTTCCTGACAAGCAAATAATGGGAAAGCTCCTTCTAAGAAACTCTCCCTTGTTCTCTTCTTGACTCCTCAAAGGTGTGCATACAGCAAGCAGCTTCCCAAAGCTAGCATGTAACAGTCCCAGCTTCCCACCTGATAAAACCACTCTCCCATGCAAGGTGACCAATTAACCCTTTTTAACCTCGAACTTTTCCAGTTTCAGCACTGACAATTTCATGTCCCAGGAAACTCTTCAGTACTAGGCAAAGAGGGACAGTTAGTCACCGTAATCCCATGGTGCCTTATTCAGACCAGTCCTAAACCTATCTTAATCTCCAGAAGAAATAATTCTATTCTCTGAACTGCTATTTTTTTTTTTTTTTTGAGACAGAGTCTTGCTCTGTCCCCCAGGCTGGAGTGCAGTGGCACGATCTTGGCTCACTGCAAGCTCTGCCTCCTGGGTTCATGCCATTCTCCTGCCTCAGCCTCCTGAGTAGCTGGGACTATAGGCGCCCACCACCATGCCCGGCTAGTTTTTAATATATTTTTAGTAGAGATGGGTTTTCACCGTGTCAGCCAGGATGGTCTCGATCTCCTGACCTCATGATCCGCCCACCTCAGCCTCCCAAAGTGCTGGGATTACGGGCATGAGCCACTGTGACCGGCTATTCTCTGAACTTTCTCTTTTTTTCCTTTTTCTTTTTTTTTTTTTTGAGACAGAGTCTCGCTCTGTTGCCCAGGCTGGAGTGCAGTGGCACAATCTCGGCTCACTGCAAGCTCTGCCTCCCAGGTTCACGCCATTCTCCTGCCTCAGCCTCCCCAGTAGCTGGGACGACAGGCACCCGCCACCATGCCCAGCTAATTTTTTTTGTATTTTTAGTAGAGACAGAGTTTCACCGTGTTAGCCAGGATGGTCTCGATCTCCTGACCTCGTGATCTGCCTGCCTCAGCCTCCCAAAGTGCTGGGATTACAGGCATGAGCCTGGCTCACTGAACTTTCTAATGGCCTACAGACTCTGGAAACCTATTTGATCCTTAGCTATAGCCTAATATTTCAGGAAGTATAACTCACCCAACTACTCCACCCCCTAGGATATAGAAATACCAGTGCATGGAGTGTATGCAGACACCAAGGTCATAGAGGTTTGGGGTATCCCTCAAGCTCATACAGCTAGTAGTCAAGACAGGGTAGAATCTAGGCTGCTTAATTCAGGAGACTCTAGTCACTAGACCAGCATTTCTCAATCTTGTGGGTCAGAAGATTGTCAATGTCTCTATATTGACATTGTGGGTCAGATAATTCTTTGTTGTGGGAGCTGCCCTGTGCACTGTAGGATTTTAGCAGCACCCCTGGCCTCTAGATCATTAGATGTCAGCAGCACCTTCTACTCCTCCAGTCGTGACAATCAAAAATGTCTTCAGGCATTGCCAAATGTCCTCTCGGGGTAAAACTCCCTCTGCTTAAAACTCCATTTGGACCAGAATGTTTTGACTTCTCTGAAACTTCCTAGTGCCTCTACTCTTTTTTCCCTCTTTCCATTGCCTACTAGAGGAAAACATCACATTTTAATTTTGGCCTTTAACAGATTATGAAGGTGTATTCCAGCTCACCTTATGGCAGGGGATACCACACTCAGGCAATTCTCAGTTTGAACATCAATGGGAAGATGTTATGCTGTATGTTGACCATGGCCTCACAATGGCCAGTAAAGTAGTTGGCCAATATTGGGCTGTCTTAAGTCTGCAGTCAGAGGTAGCAGCTCGGCCCTCTGCAGACCAGAGAAATAAGTTCCAAGGTTTTCTTCCTCACTCAAACACAGCTTACGCCCTTTCACTTATTTTTTTTTTTAAAGCACAGCATATGAAGAGACATAGGACCCTGGGTAAAAGCTAACAGATCCTTAGACAGTAGTCTTCTTCTGCTGCCTTGAGTCCCACTGAAGAAGTGGCAAGGTTTGTTGGTTATCCAAACTACCCCTCCCCAGAAACAGCTGCAAATAGTAGAGGGTCAAGATGCTTACAGGAAAATAAAAGAATTTATACAATGACTACATGTGTCATTTTCTATCTTAGGGAATTCTCTGCTAGGAGAAAGGAGTAATAGCTCTTCTTGGCACTTAGAAATTGATCTAAAAGAGCAGAAGTAAAGCATTAAAAAGACAAGGTTCAGGAAACCCATCCAGTCTGAAAATGGCTCACATCGATGTGTTTCTATTTTAAAAACCTCTTAACTTCATTTGAGAGAAATGAAAACTTGGGAGTTGAACGAAAGGTACCATCTATCTATGCTTGGCTTCAGAGCAGAAGTGTCACAGAGTAGAAATTCAAAACAAACTGAACATCGCTGGAGATAAGTCAGATGACTACTCTACCCTATTTACTTGCTTAACAGTTGCCATGACAAAATGGCCACACCTAGGCTTCTGGATCAGCAACATCTGATCCCAAATGCCTGTCATGCATGTCATCACTGCCTGTTCTGTGAATTAAAAAAAAAAACAAAGGAAGAAAAGAAAAGAAAAAACGCAGCAAATAAGCAAGTAAACATCAGAAATCAGTATCACCTTCAAACAGGATGGAGAAACCCTGGAGAATGACATAGTAGGCTGGCACATCCAAGCTGGAGAAGGGGCCCCTGAAAGGCATTAGCTGTATAACTTAAGTATTCCCTGTATAACAACAGGAATTTCCTTGGTGTGTATGTGTGTGAGTGTGTGTTTGTTTTCATTATAATTAGAAAAACATGGCTGGGGAACAACCACCACCACCACCTCTCTGCGCATGAATTAACACGCACCAGCCACAGGCATCATGTGCCTGAAGCGCCAGTCATCTCAGAACAGATTGTGTTCTCTTCTTCAAGCCCGCAGCCTGCCTCGTCACTGAGGTTTGGCTTTATAAAACTCCAGGAAGCCAGTGCAAAGCTCTCTCTGCTCAAACTGGTCCCTCTTACTGGGGGCATTTAGGACTCTGTGCTGCCCTCCAGAGCATTTGTTCTAGTCTCAAAGCCATACATCAATCCAAGATCTGATGAAAAACCTAGAACAATAAAGCCTTTCCGACAGGCACATATTAATAGTGCAATGCAGGCTACGTTCCTTGCCATTAGTTCAGGGTCCCTGGTTTGCTGCTAACGGGGTCCATTGTGCCAATGACCTAGACTTTGGCTGGTCTCTAGTAACTATGCCCCAAATAAAGCCAGGGTGAGCTTGCATAGCTGAGGAGAAAACTTATTTTGAGGAAGTATTTTTTGACTCATTCCGTTTTGAAAAGACGAGTGTGAAAAAAGAGATGGGTGGGGTCACCCCCAGTGGGGACCATGCACTTGTCCTTCAACCTCAGTTCAGTTCTGTTGCTGATGTACTATGGCTGCAAGCTGCCAAATGCTGCTTCCCTCTGCTTGTTAAAGAGCCAAGCAACCCATCTGATTTACCGAGTAGAGCTCGTTCAGGACCTTCATCAAATCATCTTGGAGCTGCTGGCCGACTTCTTTACTCTGCAAGGAAAGAGGAATGAAGGTTAATTGGGAAACAGAAGAGAGAGGAGGGAGCAACGAAGGCAAAAGCCACACTGGCTCTACAAATAACCCAGACTCAATTAAGGCCCATTATTTAACCCAGCAAATCAGATAACCACTCCAATCAGACCCAATTATGGTCAGATTACTCAAAGAGTTTTAATAAAATGAAATGTGCCTAGCAAAGGCAATTGCGTAGAGGGAAAAAGGGTGGTAGCCTTTGGTTTTTCTATTGGTCCCCAAAGAGCAGGCCTGAAAGCCACATCCTACCTAGCAACTGTTGTTAGGTGGAACATGGTTTCTCAGATACTTGCAGTCAAGCATTCCAGAAGATTTCAAAGGAAAGTAAGATGTGTAATGGGATGAAATAGGAAAAAGTATATAAACATTCAGGGACTTCAAAGTCCCTAACTAAATAGAAAACTCCAAGCAGGATGGAACTATATTTCTTACTTGCTTTATTTCTACCCAAAACTCACAAGGCAGCGGTATCTCAATATTGACTGCCTGCGAGATTAGCTGTTACTAGATGCTGAAAATATATGTTAAGGGGTCTCCAACTAGTTAATCTTGAGCAGTGATGGCTCCTGGGTTCTTTGCTGCTGCCACCCAGGGCTGACATCTAACTACATAGAGCAGTAGAAATAAAGAATGAGGGCTGGGCACGGTGGCTCACACCTGTAATCCCAGCACTTTGAGAGGCCGAGGTGGGTGGATCAGCTGAGGTCAGGAATTCGAGACCAGCATGGCCAACATAGTGAAACCCCATCTCTACTAAAAATACAAAAATTAGCCGGGCCTGATGGCACACGCCTGTAGTCCCAGCTACTCAGGAGGCTGAGGCAGGAGAATTGCTTGAACCCAGAAGGTGGAGGTTGCAGTGAGCCGAGATTGCACCATTGCACTCCAGCCTGGGTGACAAGAGTGAGACTCTGTCTCAAAAAAAAGAAAAGAAAAGAAAAGGAAAGAAAGGAGGAAGCAGGAAGGAAATTGTCACACCTTCTATACTAAGTGTTGTATGCCAAACCTAAGAGAGCTAAAACTGATTGGCAGCATGGGTCATTGAGAGGGAAAGCCCTTGTTTTATCTTTTGCCAGCTCCTTCTAGATCTTTCCTACCAGAAATTCGGGTATCAAAATGCCATCCTAACAGAAGTTATAATACTGTTTCCCATCCCTCCCACCATAGCTGCTAGCTCCCAGGCAAAAAAAGGAAGGACTTTCATGTCAGATACACAATCATTTAAGATCTTGCTTTTTTTCAAGGTACATACATCTCTACTTAAAAAATACTTTTTTTTCTGATTACAAAAGTAATGTATATTTATTATAATAAGGAAACTAGAAAACCTCAAAAAAGAAAACAAAAGTAACTCTTAAATTCCTACCACTAAGAAATCACCACTCTAAGTGTTGTTATGTATTTTTCTAATCTTTTCTAGTTTTACAAAATTGGGATTGCATTATAAATCCTGTTTTGTAACTTATTCACTTAAACATATGTTGTAAACATTTCCACATGTATTATTGTTCTATAGCATTATAATATGTTCTATTGATGTAGCTCCCATTCTTGGACATTTACTTCACTTCTAAATTTTTGTGATAAAAAATGCCATATCACATTACTTTGTATATGATCTAATGCACACACCTTTCATTATTTTTTCCTAGAAATAACATTGCTGGGTCAAAGACTACCATTTATACCACTAAAATGCCTTTGAGAAAAACGGTACCAATTTAAAATACCACCAATAGCATATATGAATGTTTATTTCACATTTTTTTGTCTTGACAATTTGATGTGGTATCCTATTGTAATTTGCAATCCTTTGATTCTAATGAGCCTGAGCATTTTTAAAAATGTTTATCAGTCATTTTCATTTTTCTTTTATAATCTGCCATTTTCTTATTAAGGTGTTCTCTGCCCATTTTTCTATTAAGGTATTCATTATGGAATATAACCTATGTGTGGCCTCTGTCATGAGTAAGCATGAATTTTTACATCTGATAGTGGGGAAAGGGGTGGAAGGAGCCCTAAATTAGCAATCACAAGATTCTCTTTCTATTCCTGGCTCCTGCATTACCAAAGAGGTAACTCTGGACAACCTGGTTAACCTCTCTGGCCCTCTGTTTTCCCTTCTATAAAATGAAAAGCTTCTGCTAAAACATTTCTAAAGTCTTTTCCAACCTCTGCCATTCTATGATTCTACATGATCTTCTGCCTGGCTTCTAGAGTCCATATTAGCTTCAAACATCCCTCCCTTTAGTGTATGGCTGGTTGGCTAGAAGATAATGAGCAAGTTCTCCTCGGGGACCCAGATGCTCTACAAAATGGACGGGTTCAGGGGATCTTGCCAGTCTTAAATTTATCATTCCAGGGTCTCTCATCCAATGACCTCAACTGCTGGAAGAAGCCACAAGAGGGAATGCCTTTCATCTGTGATCTCACATACCAGCCTGTCCTTTCCATTGAGAGGAAAGCTGAGCTCCACTGAAGCAACAGAGGCCCAAGGAGGTGAAGTGAGGCAACATGACTCACTCTGAGCCCCAGAGTCAGCAACAGGGTCAGGAAGTGACCATGAGTATCACTTCCCACCGCCCTGCCCTCCTGCCTCTGGGCCATCTCCTCCTGCCAGCCTATCGTTTCTTAACTCCTCCTTATGTTTGAATGGCAGAGGTTAAAGGAGAAAGCTCCTATTCCTCTACCCTGTTGCTTACCCATGACTTAAATAACCTAGCCCCAGAGTGGGGGATGGGGGAAGAAGAGGAGGGAAAAGTGTAACCAAAAAAAACAGCAATTAAGCCCAGGCAGATGTTTCCTTTCACGTACTGATTAGTTGGGAGGACCACTCAACTATTATCCCTGTTTATTTGAACAGGCTGCTGAAGTGATCTGACTTACTGCTCCCTCTGGCTGAGGGTTGGGCTGGGAATACATGTGTAGCGAGCCCACTTAAAATGTGCAATACAGCCTCTAGCAATCAGGAGAAATTCTGACACTAGGCCAGAGGCAGGAAATTGCCAGTGTCTCTCCTTTCACAGATGATAAAAGGCCATTCGTTCTCTGTTTCAGAAACCTTAACTGTGTGCCTTTGGGGGAAAGCGTGGCCCCAGGAAGGGCTTCCGTGCTGGCCACTGCAGTGGGGTTGACAGAGCTGGTAAGCCACAAGGGGGCCCCACCCAAAGACAAGGGGGACATTTATTCCTGGGAACAACAAAACCTGATGAGGCCGAGTACATGACAATGAAGACTGTAGAGCTTTTCCGTTCTCTATAAAAAGGCAAGGGGTTTCTAGACAGGGAAGAAAAAGAATTTACAGAGCAGTCTTTGTGTACTAACATACAGCCTGCATCTCTTTTCTTTAAAATTTCTTGGAAGAGAATGAGTCATCTCAACATTGCAGGAAACCAAATAGAAGTTGGGGGAAAAAATTACTTTGGACAAAGTTTTTCTCTTAAATGTTTGCATAGTAATCTTTGCCTGGAAAAAAAAAAAGATGCCTAAATTTAGAATAGAGATGTGGTACAGTTAACAATTCTGGTTCTATCGGATGGGAAGTGTGATGGTGTGCTCAGGCTGGGATCTCTTATTTTGAAACTCACCACAACCATTTGGCCAGAGTGCTTCACTGGCCTCCACTCTGACTGCTGCCGAGGGGCTGATCAGAAGACAATGAGATTGCAACAGCTTCTACCAGTTGTATGCTGACAAAATGGGTAGGAAAGCTTCCTTTTTCCAACAGATAACAGCATTGGAAACAGAACTGAAATGCACTGTGTCATCTCATCTCCCCAAGACAAGACTGTAATGTTCCAAAGCCTCCTTGCTCACAGAAAGGATGTAACAGCAGATATGTACGGAAACATAAGGATCCTAGGCATCCGGGATGCCTGGCCACTGGTCTGGTCACTCTTCCTTAGACCTCTTTAAATCAGTACATTTCCTGAGCTTGGATGGGTTTGTCTATTAGTGTTTCCCAAAGAACACCAATTATGAAAGAGGTTTCAGACCTGTTCTCAATAGGGAGGTTACTTGTTACCGATTCTCTAGTTATTTAGATCAGCACTCATGTGCTTTCCAAGTTGGGGGTGGGACTGTTGTTAATTGGTTATCTACATTTCAAAGCTGTATTTTTTGACAGGCACAAAAGTACCCCCTATTTGTAAGAAAGAAGAATAAAAAGAGGAAGGCATGTCTCTGCCATGTGGCGAGAGCTCATTTCAGCCCCATCCCAAGGCTGAGCCTGTCAGCAGGTAGGAACAGTAGGGCCATTTAGTTCTCTGCCATTTAGCCTGTGTCAGCAGTTTTCCAAAAAAGAATCCAGTTTTCAAGGGCACATATCTCCCCAACAACCACTACTATCCCCTCCCCACCCTAAAGATTGTTCAGAGACCAACTGTTAAAAAAAAATCCAGTTTAAAACTGAATTTATGTTACAGATTTCAGAGGAAAGGAACATGACCCTGTATTAAGCTCTGGCAGCAGAAGCACCACCATACATAAGGTGGTGGTTTCAGGGGCATTCACTAACCACTTCAAAGAGGCCACATTTCAGGAGCTGGCACTTTGCCTGAAATGCTTTTGGTGGGGAGGAGAGGGCTAAAAGGAATGACTGTTTGGTAGCAGGGCCAGTGCTAGGTGATGGTGGGCACTGTGTCTGGTCCTCTCTCTCAGCTAACTTGGGCCACCAAAATAGGTGGTACAGTGTGAGGCTGTATGCCGAGGCTCTGGGGGTTCAGGGGGTGATGATCCAGCAGGTCAGAGCTCAGAAATGACTTCTAGATTTCCCCTCCACCATACTACCTGCATATATGCAAGCAGGGCTCTTTCTATTCAGCATTCATTCATCGGTGAGGATACCATGAGACGGCTCTGAGAAAGACTGAACTCCAGTTAGGACCTTAAACTATGAGAAGCCCAAGGATGTATAAAACACAAATATACTTAATTGCAAAACTTTTATAGAGAGGTAGGCTAGGAGATACCACAACAGGGACACCAGAGGTGCTTTTGCCTTCTGAAGATAGGTAGACTAGGATGTTCAAAAAATACATTTTTTATTGCAATACAGCATAATAGGTGTCTATAATAAAAGTACTTATGTGTCCGGAGTTGGTTCCTTCTGGTGGGTTCTTGGTCTCACTGACTTCAAGAATGAAGCTGTGGACCTTCGCGGTGAGTGTTACAGCTCTTAAGAGTGCTGATTGGTGCATTTACAATCCTTTAGCTAGACACAGAGCACTGATTGGTGCATTTTTACAGAGTGCTGATTGGTGCATTTACAATCCTTTAGCTAGACACAGAGCGCTGATTGGTGCATTTTTACAGAGTGCTGATTGGTGCATTTACAATCCTCTAGCTAGACAGAAAAGTTCTCCAAGTCCCCACTCCACTGAGGAAGTCCAGCTGGCTTCACCTCTACTTATGTGCTGTCCACTATGATATTTCCTATTCTTTTATCTTCTTTTTTTCTTTTCTTTCTTTCTTTTTAGATACAAGGTCTTGCTCTATTGCCCAGGCTAGAATGCAGTGGCCTGACCATAGCTCACTGCAGCCTTGAACTCTTGGGCTCAACTGTCACGTGATCCTCTTCCCTCAGCTTCCCATGTAGCTGGGACGACAGATGTGTACCAACACGCTGGTTAATTTTTGTAATTTTTGTAGAGATGGGATCTCACTGAGTTTGCTCAGGCTGGTCTCAAACTCCTGGCTTCAAACAATCCTCCTGCCTCAGCTTCCCAAGTAGCTGGTAACAGGTATGCTTGGCTAATTTTTAAAAAAATTGTTTTCAGATATGGAGTCTCGTGATGTTTCCCCAGGCTGGTCTCAAACTCCTGGCCTAAAGATCCCTCCACCTCAGCCTCTTAGAGTAGCTGGGATTATATTCTCGAGCGACTGTGCCTGGCCTTTTCTATTTTTTTATATTGGTCATAACTCACTACATTTATTTTACAACTCATTAATGAGTCATTATACACAGGTTTAAAAAGACTGGTTACATACAAAAGTCTGTACTTGAGGAATTAATAAAGAAAATAGTGGTTTAAGGACTGGAGCCCACTAACTTATTTAGACAGGAGCTAAAATAACTTGCCGTCTTGAAGTGGCTGATCAGATGTTTCAAAGCAGGTTCAATTATTGAATGCTGGCAAGGGAGAAATGGCTGGATTTTAGGGAGTGAGCAATAAAGAGTCCATCAGCAAATATTTATAGAACATCTATTAAGTGTCAGGCACTTGTGGTCTGAATGCAAAACAGAAAGTTTAAAAGTTTACAACCTGTTGAGAAAGATGGACATTAATCTAACGTCTGGGCCCATCAGAATGCAATTCTTCCAATCTCAAAGGTATTACTAGAAATGGAATATCTTAAGTTAGTTTTTTTAGTTTAAGATCAATTTTTTTTCCTGTCCCAGCCAAGAGGTTTCCACACCATAACCTAATTCCACAGCAAGCTAGATATTGAATCTAGCTTGCCAAAAAAAAAAAAAAAAAAATCTGATTTCAAAAAATCCAGCTATTACATAGTAAATTCTTTTTCTTTGGATTTGTCTTTCTAAGTTACTAATGGATATTTCAGGTTATAATGATCCAGCTTCAGTATTAGTGACTCCCAAAGCAGTCACATTCCATTTTTAAAGAACCCCTTGAGCTTGTAAGCACCATAAAAAACAATTTCACCAGAAGCTCCTTCACTCAGGAGTTAATGGATATAAACTATCCTAGTGACAAGTTATATTTTAAAAGAAAATGTCAGAAACTTGACTAGTCTAAGGCCCAATACCTGTTTCAGGATTCCTCTTCTGGAATATGAATAGTTTTTGAATTTGATTCCTGTTTAATTATCTGAAAAACTTAGTCTAAAAAAATCTCAAAGCAACTACAATATGAAACCATCTAAAGCTAATGGAAGAGATAGGTTTTACCTTTTTAAGCATTTTTCTGAATCCTCTGTGGTACCCAGCCCATTGCTTTGTGCACAGTGGCCATAAAATAATCAGTTGCTGAATCAATGAGATCAAAGTTTAAATACTATGCTTTCACATAATGACAAGAACTAAACAATATAGCTGCATTGCATCATATAAATTATTAAAAGTGGAAACTCCATCAGAGGTTAGCCACAATGAGCTCCCTTTGGTTATGGTTCACCAATGAGCCCTAAAAGTTGAAATGACTTTTCCAGGGTCAGTAGCCTATCAAGGACCACATGCAGTATTAAAAGAGAGCTGAACATGCAGGCTCTGGAGCAGGAATTGAATCCTACTTCTACTCCCCAATTGATGACCTTGGGTAAATTATATTTAAACCCTCTATGCTTCAGCTTCCACATCTGTAAAATAGGATAATAAGAATAGTGAGATAATCCACATAAAGTGCTTTAAACAGAATCTAGCACCTAGCCTGTTCAATAAATGTTGGCTAATATTAATATTAGAATCCAGCCCCCTCAACACTCACTTGAGTGTTCTTTCCGCTGCACTATGCTGCCTCCTTACGTACTCTCAAACATGTTAAAGATGCTATGTGGAATTGCGAAGGTCCTGGAAACTACTTCCCAGGCAGGATTGTAGCTGAATTCCTCCAATGGGCTCTGTGGGCCCGAAGGGAAGAACGTTCTCTGTTTTTCCTTATGCCTGCTGTTGCATAATCTTTTTCTTCCCCAGTTTCAGTAAGAACTAAATGACTCTGTAAGAAATAATTCAGCTTTCCTGAGGAAAGAAAACAAAAAAACAAAACTCCCAAAACAAAACAAAGAAAGATCATAAAAAGTGCTTAGCAGAAAGGAAGAAATGATGAAGGTAGGGGTGGCAGAATGAAAATAAGGAGGATACAATTACCTTCTATTCCTCCAGATAGATTAAACAGAAAAGATCCTTCTTGGCTGTACAACTAGGATATGGTTCGACTGTGGGCATAAAGGAAACATCCAAAGGAAGGAGCTCCCCACTACCTAGGTCACAGAATACCAAAACCACCCATCAAGTTCTGGTTCAGTGAAATCCAGGACCTCTCTCCTCTAGGACAGAAATGGCTTTCTGAAAGCCATTTCCTTACGGCTTTTCCAGAAGCTCTGGAATGTGTGAGCAGTAACACTTGATAACCCACAAGTAATGCTAGTGGCCCTGGGAGGAAATCCATTCCTTGGCATGATGTGAACTTCATGGACTCAGCTCCTACCCTCTGTGAATGCTCACTAACAAAGCTCACTTTGGTCCCTGACCAAAGTCTCTTGTCAGGGACAGGCATACTCGGGACAAGGGTGGGAGTTCAGGGGAGTTCAGGGTGGGGTCAGGAAGAGGCTAATGGCCCTCTGCTCTCCCAGTCTGAAACACAGTCCTATAATAATCTGAATGTTCTTCCATGGTTGTTCCAATCTCTTTGAATGACCTATCCTAATACTAAGAAAATAAACTCAAAACAACATCCCTTAAAACAGACAATCAAATCTAAGCTTTCATTTCTTAAACTACCACTGTGATCTTTGTCTTGGCAAATTTCCATCTTTTACCCTTTTGGATAATGATTTGGGTGGGGGCGTAATGTCTTCAGGCCCTGATCTCTCATGCCAAAGCATTTCTTGAGGTCATTCTGAAGATGAGTGATCACCCCATTTCCCAAGCAGGACACTAAAAGCACAGAGTAGAAATGGTATCTAGGTGACTGTGGGTATCCTTGAGTAGACTGGGACATAAGGGACAAAAGACACAAAAGCAAACAGGCAACACGAGAGCTCAAATCTCTCAGCAGCTGTAAAATGAACTAAGGAGGAAAAACAATCAATGGCTTGGAACTGGGAGAGAATCGGGGGAAAGAGCCAGAATGATAAGGTACTTGAAAACATATGCCCTTCTACAATAAGGAAATCTATGAGCTGGGGGATGGAAAGAATGCCTGTGTGGCTCCCAGATGGCTGAGCCAGGCGGAGGCTGGAAGAACAGGAGTTAATAGAGCTCATCTGAAAGTTGGAAGTGTGAATGCCAAGAGGAGGAGGGCAGCCTGGTAGGAAGTAAAACAGTCAGCAGCACTCGTACAGGAAATGCCTGGGGCACTGGGAAAATCGCTGATTAAATACTTTTAAGAAAGAGGAACCCAGCAGCAAAGCCAATTCATCGAGAGATCTGTGTAGTTTTAGAACACTGGGAGTAGCCTTTAGAATCGAGAGGAAGAGGCTCCAGTGAGTTATGAAGACAGCATTTTCTTGACACCTCAGGTGCCAGGGTTGGACCTAAGAGGAGCACAAAGCCAACTTTGGGAGAATGAGTAGAGCCCTTTACTGACAGAAATTAGAATGCATTGCCTAGGGACTGGGATGAAGATTTGAGCCTGTATCAGCTTTCTTCAGCTACAATGGTGGTTTGAAGCCTCTTGTCTTTGTCCACAGTAAACACATGGGTAGCCATTCCCATTAGTCATGGCCTACATACAGTTGAAAAAAGAAAAATCAATATTGTTGGGGGAGGATACCTTCCCTCTTGGCCAGTACCCCACTCCTACTGAAAAATCATGGAATTGTGAGAAAAAGAAGGTAGACTTTGGAAATGGAGATTTCCAATCTCCAGCTCTAATTTCTCCCCTAAGCTCTTCGATTTTTCCTCCCCATTTCAGGTTTAAACTTTGTAAATGTTCCACGTACACTTGAAAAGAATGTGTATCTGGCCGGGCGCGGTGGCTCACGCCTGTAATCCCAGCACTTTGGGAGGCCGAGGCGGGCGGATCACGAGGTCAGGAGATCGAGACCAAGGTGAAACCCCGTCTCTACTAAAAATACAAAAAAAAAGTTAGCCGGGCGTAGTGGCGGGCACCTGTAGTCCCAGCTATTCAGGAGGCTGAGGCAGGAGAATGGCGTGAACCCGGGAGGCAGAGCTTGCAGTGAGCCAAGATCGCGCCACTGCACTCCAGCCTGGGTGACAGAGCGAAACTCCGTCTCAAAAAAAAAAAAAAAAAAAAAAAAAAAAAAGAATGTGTATCTACCCGCAGTTGTCAGGCGCAGTATCCATATATGTCATTTAGGTCAAGTTTGTTGTATTTTTACTGACTTTTTTGGTCTAGTTGTTTAATCATTCACTGAGACAGGTGTGTTAAATCTCTCATTGGGGTGATGATTTATCTAGTTCCCATTTTAATTCTGTCCCATTTGATTTACATATTTTAAGCCTATGTTATTAAGTATATATTTCTTCCTGGAAACTTAGTCTTTACTAGGAAATGTCTCTCTCTCTTCTTTTTTGAGACAGAGTCTCGCTCTATCACCAGGCTGGAGTGCAGTGGCGCCATCTCGGCTCACTGCAACCTCCGCCTCCTGGGTTCAAGTGATTCCCCTGCCTCAGCCTCCCAAGTAGCTGGGACTACAGGTGTTCACCACCATGCCTGGATAATTTTTTGTATTTTAGTAAAGACAGAGTTTCACTATTTTGGCCGGGATGATCTCGAACTCCTGACCTCAAGTGATCTGCCTGCCTCGGCCTCCGAAAGTGCTGTGATTACAGGAGTGAGCCACCATGCCCAGCCTGGAAATGTCTCTCTTTATAACGAAAAATACTTTTTGCATTGAAATCTACCTGGACTGCCTGGGCACGGTGGCTCAGGCTTGTAATCCTAGCACCTTTTGAGGCCCAGGTGGGCAGATCACTTGAGGTCAGGAGTTTGAGACCAGCCTGGCTGACATGGTGAAACGCTGTCTCTACTAAAAATACAAAAATTAGCTGGGCATGGTGGCGCATGCCTGTAATCCCAGCTATCTGGGAGGCTGAGGCGGGAGAACTGCTTGAACCCAGGAGGCAGAGGTTGCAGTGAGCTGAGATTGCACTACTGCCCTCCAGCCTGGGTGACAGAGCAAGACTCAGAAAAAAAAAAAAAAAAAAAAAAAGAAAAAAAAAGGACAGAAAGAAAGAAGTGGGGGGGCAGAGAGAGAGAGAAAGAGAGAGAGAGAAAGAAAAGAAAGAAAGAAAGAAAGAAAGAAAGAAAGAAAGAAAGAAAGAAAGAAAGAAAGAAAGAAAGAAAGGAGAGAGAAAGAAAGAAAGGAATCTACCTGGCCTGATTTTATTGTAGCTATCTTTTCCTATCACTTTGCTTTAAATCTTTCTTTATCCTTATATTTAAAGTGTATCTGTTCTCTTACAAGCAACATACACTCTAGTTTTGCTTTTTAAAAATCTGTCTTTAATTTGCATAAGTCAATTTACACCTTATATTGTGGTTTAAACCCACCAACTTGCTAATTGCTTTCTATTTGTCCTGCCTCTTCTATTTTCCTCTTTCCTCTCCTTTCCTACCTTCTTTTTTTCTTCCATTTACAAAACATTCAGAAAATTCACTCTTGTTGGCATACAGTTCCATGTGCTTTGGCAAATGCACAGAGTTGTCTAACCATCACCACAATTAAGACACAGAACAGTTCCATCACCCACCAAAAACCTCTTGTATCCTGCACCTTTAGAGTCAAACTCTCCGCTACCCTTAACCACTGGAAGCCATTGATTTGTTCTGTATCTCTATAGTTTTGCCCTCCCCAGAATTTTTCTTTCCTTCTTTTGAGTTACTTTTTTATTAACTGAATTTGTCCCTTTCTTAGATTGGTACAATACTATTCTTTGAGTGGTTACCAAAAATTACAACATATATCCTTGAATTGCCAACACCTAATACAAATTACTACTTTTACCACTTTCTGAAAATATCTTTAAACCCATTTCCCTACCCCCACCCAGACACAGATTCTATTGTTGATTTCATTGTTGTCATTTATATTAATTTTATACATATTTAAAACCCCACAGGGTTGGCCTGGTGTGGTGGCTCATGCCTGTAACTGCAGCACTTTGGAAGGCCAAGGCAGGAAGATCACTTGAAGCCAGGAGTTCAAGACCAGGCTGGGCAACAGATAGACCCTCTCTTTACAAAAAATAAAAAATAAGCCAGGCATGGTGGCACACACCTCTTGTCCCAGCTGTTATACTTGGGACGCTGAGGTGGGAGGATCATTTGAGCCCAGGAGTTCAAGGCTGCAGTGAGCTATAATTGTGCCACCGCAGTCCAGGCTGGGCAGCAGAGCAAGACTCTGTCCCTCCCACCCACACATCTAAAAAAGGAAAACCCCACAGATGATTATTAGTGTTGTTTTTAACAGTGATTATTCACTTAGATCTATATTTTTTTTCTTTTTTCTTTTTTTTGGAGATGGAGTCTCACTCAGTTGCCCAGGCTGGAGTGTAGTGGCTTGATCTCGTTTCACTGCAAGCTCTGCCTCCCGGGTTCACGCCATTCTCCTGCCTCAGCCTCCCAAGTAGCTGGGACTACAGGTGCCCGCCACTATGCCTGGCTAATTTTTTTGTATTTTTAGTAGAGATGGGGTTTCACCATGTTATCCAGGATGGTCTCAATCTCCTGACCTCGTGATCTGCCCGTCTCGGCCTCCCAAAGTGCTGGGATTACAGGCATGAGCCACCGTGCCCGGCCAATCTATATTCTTATATATAGTTGCTGTTGCTCCTCATTCTTTACTGCATTTCTAAGATTCTATTTGGGATCATTTTCCTTCTGCCTAAATAATGCCATTTAGTATTTCTTTTAGTGCAAGTCTGCTGGCGATATATTTTCTCATATTTTTCTTGTCTGAAAACATCTTTAGTTCACCTTCATTTTTGAAGGGTATTCCTTTCTACACTTTCATTCCACTGTCATCTGCTTTCCATTGCTTTTGTTCAGAAGTCAGCTGTCAACCATGCTGTTGCTCCACTGAAGATAATACGTCTTTTTTACCTCTAGCTGTTTGTATTTTCTTTGTATTTCTCCTGTTTGGGGCTCATAATGCTTCAGTCTGTGGCTTGAAGTCTTTTATAGTTTAGGGAAATTCACAGCCATTATCTCTTCAAATATTGCTTCTATCCCATTCTCTTTGTTCTCTTCTTCTGAGACTTCAAGTAGAAGCATGTTAGGCCTACTTACCCTATCCCATAAGTCTCTTATGCTCTTTTCTGTATTTTCCATCTGTTTATCTCTCTGAGCTTCAGTATGCATTGTTTTCTGACGTTTCAGTTCATTAATTATTTATTCAGCACCATCTAATCTGCTACTTGATCTACACATTGAGCTCTTTTAGTTACTGCATTTTTTGTACTAAAATTTGTTTGATTTTTTAAATTATTGAGATATAATTCACACACTGTACAATTCACCACTACAAGGTACACAATTCAGTGGCTATTAGTATATTTGCAAGGTTGTACAACCACCACCACTAAGTCCCGAATATTTAATCATGCCAAAAGAAAACTCAAACCTGTTAGTAGTCACTCCCCATCTCTCCTTCCCCCAGCTCCTAGCAACCACTAATCTACTTTCTGTCTCTATAGATTTGCATACTCTGGACATTTACTATAAATGGAATCATATAATATGTGGCCTTTTATGTTTAGCTTCTTTCACTTATAATGTTTTCAGGGTATATCCATATTGTAGCATGTATCAGCACTTCCTTCTTTTTTATGACTAAATACTACTCTATTGTATGGACATGACACATTTTGTTTAAATTGTATAGGTATGCCATACTTTGTTTAAGTTTGTTCCATAAATCACTTCATTAACATTTGGGATGCTTCCACTTTTTGGTTATTTATTTATTTATTTATTTATTTATTTATTTATTTATTTTGAGATGGAGTCTCGCTCTGTCGCCCAGGCTGGAGTGCAGTGGCGCGATCTCTGCTCACTGCAAGCTCCGCCTCCTGGGTTCACGCCATTCTCCTGCCTCAGCTTCCCCAGTAGCTGGGACCACAGGTGCCTGCCATCACGCCTGGCCAATTTTTTTGTATTTTTAGTAGAGGCAGGGTTTCACCATGTTAGCCAGGATGGTCTCGATCTCCGGACCTCGTGATCTGCCCACCTCAGCCTCCCAAAGTGCTAGGATTACAGGCGTGAGCCACCGTGCCCAGCCTGGTTATTTTGAATAATGCTGTTATGAACATTTGTGTATAAGTTCTTGTGTGAGCATATGTTTTCAATTCTCTTGGGTATACACCTAGATGTGGAATTGATGGGTCACAGGTTAATTCTATGCTTAAGTTTTGGAGGAATTTTCAGTTTTCCATAGCATCTGCACCATTTCACAATCTCACCAGCAATGTATGAGGGTTCTGATTCCTCCATACCCTCTCCAAAACTCTTCTTTCCTTTTCTTTCTTCCTTTTTAAAATTATAGCTATCCTAGTGGGTGTGAAGTGGTGTTTCATTGTGGTTTTGATTTGCAGTAGCCCAATAAATAACAGTGTCAAAAATGTGCTTGTTGGCCATTTGTGTATCTTCTGTGGAGAAATGCCTATTCAAGTCTTTTGCCCATTTTTAAACTGGACTGGTCATCTTTTTGTTGCTGAGTTGTAAGAATTCTTTATATATTCTGAAAATTAGACCTTGATGAGATATATGATTTGAAAATACCTTTTCTCATTCTATAGCTGTCTTTTCATTTTCTTGACAGTGTCCTCTCAAACACAGAGGTTTCTGACTTTGATGAAGTTCAATTTATTTATTTTTTCTTTTGTTGCTTGTGCTTTGGTGTCATATGTAAGAAATCATTGCCTAATCCAAGATCATGAAGACTTACACCTATATTTTCTTCTAAGAGTTTTATAGTTTTGGCTTTTGCATTTATGCCTTTGATCCATTTTGAGTTATTTTTTTTTATTATTTCCAGGTTTGTTTTTATAATTTAATCTCATAAACATATTAAACATAGTTAATTTAAAGTTTGCATCTGTTAACACCATTACTAGGATCTCCTGTGTGTCTAGCTGTTTCTCTTAGCTTTTGGTCACAGTTCTTATTTCCTCATAGGCCTAATTATTTATAACTGAGTGCCAAACATAATAATGAAAAATGATGAGAGATATATTAGGTCTAGGATGATAGTATCTTCCACAGTATCTTCCTCTAGAGAGGATTTAAATTTGTTTCTAGCCACTGGCTATCCTAAATCACCTTAATCCAATTAGAGGTTAAGATAATTTGAATCCAGGCTTCAGTCTCTATGAAACTGCCTTAGTCTATTTCTGGCTTATCTTTCCTTCTTAATTGTATCCCTTTGGTGTCTCAAAGCCTGGGGAATTTTACCAAGGCTACCCATCCTGGGCCTCTGGGCCTTAAATTTCCATATTTGTCCTGCTAGCCCTACAAGTCTATTAAACACTCTGCTCAGCTTTTTGACACTCAGTAATATTTTCTAAAATGGCAGAAGCCTCTTCAAGGAAAGCAGCTCCCATGAAGCAAAAGGATTGGTCTGAATTTTCTTCTAGAAAAGCTTCCATTTCTAGAAGCACAACTCTAAGTTTAAATTTTGAAAACAGATTATCTTATGTTTATTTGTAGCCCTCACCAGGCCCAGTGCAATTCTGGAAACCTAATAAGAATGGAAATATGCTTTGTTTGATACAATGAACAGATACTGGTGATAGTGAAGGCTTGCCACACTTACGTTTTAAGTTGTTCATTTCCCAGGACGTGGTAACCAAAGCATTCTGGTAAAACAAGAGAGAAGCAAGCCTGAGGTTTCAAGTATGGTTTCACATTACTTCCTTAGGGACTTTTCAAAAACCACACTCCATCAAACAGAAAAAGGAGGTTAAATCTACCTCAAATAAAGGACATCTCTGAAATTAGCTGAATGATTAAGAATCCAGATACTAATCTCAGAGATCCTCTGGTGACCACCAAATGGAGGAACTCTACAAGAAATTCTAAAAATTGGCACGTATAAAAGCTCTATATGGGGCCATCTGGGGTCTGAGAAAGATTTGGGCATCTAGTTCCTGAGACATATGTGAAAATGTCAGCTTCACCAGCCACCTCAAATTCTGTAACAGCACACTGGCTTTTCCTAAGTGGCACTAGCATAAAAAAATTGAAAGAAGTAATCACTGACTTCGAATTCTCTTTCCAATAAGTGGCCATACGCTGTTCATTTCTCCTTCATGATATGTCTGGCATCTGTCTCCTTCTTTTCATTCCTCCTGTCACTGCTACCACATCTCAGGCTCTTATTACCCTGTCCTGGAATTAGAGGCCCAGTCTTTTGGAAATAGCAGCAATATTTTATCATTTCCCTATGAGTAGGTCTTCCATCGTTCCCTAGTGCTCTCAGAATGAAGTTCAAACTCCAAGTTTGGCATTCGAGGCTCTTTTCGGCTTTGTTTCAAGCTGCTCTCCTCATTAACACTCTGATTTAGCCAAACTATTTTTACTCACCACCCTCTGAAGAGTCCTCACACATTCCGGTGCTCTCCTTCATCCTGAAGCCTGTTCTTCCATATGGAATATCCTTTGACTCCAGCTCCCCCTCCATGCTCACAAACTCCGTACTTTTTCATCTTTAATTACTGAAATCATTTTCATTCACTAAAAACCCAGCTCAAATTTCACCTCTCTACATCTCTCTGCACAAAAAGCACTTAGTACTTACAGACGCTAAAGCTTAGAGAGGTCAAAAAATTTGTCCATGAGAACAACTATTAATTGGTGAAGTTGGAATTGAACTCATAAACTCCTTCAATGCTATTTTGTCTTATCTGTATTCTCCTAATCTTATACAATGCCTTGCATATAGTAAGCACCTAATAATTACAGAGCAAAGACAGGGGGAAGAAAGGCCATAAATTTTCACAGCAAGAAAGACATATACAAAAGAATATTCTTGATGTATCAGTTTTTAAATTCATCAGATATATACTGCAGAAAAGGTTGTGATTCCATCTGTTAAAAAGAGAATCATACAAGCAGAACTATAAAAATAAGCTGCTAGAATATTCTGGTTAAAGGAAAGAAATCTAAAACTCAATCAGCTTTAAATCCATTTGCTACATTGGGATTGTTGGCAGTTCAAAGGGCAAATGGCAAAAGCATGTCTCACCACGCACCCTGGCCACAGTGCAGATGGAACTCAGCCAAGGGGTTACCCAGCTAGAAAGCATTACTGCTTTCCCACTGACCAGGGCAGTCCTGTGGAAGCCTTCAACAGCCCATGTGTTCTTTGCTTTGGTCTTGGGACTTAAGGATAAATGAGATGAGGATGGTGGGTAAATGACAAGGGTAGGCACTGTCTTGGGGGCACTGCTTCTCATTCTTGCCCTACAGAGTTCAGGCAACAGTCTTCTTGGGGAGCCCCAAGGAAGGGGGTGGAAAGAGGCTGAAGACAATGGGGGCTTTCAGGAGTCCCCTTAATACCCAGAGAAGCAAGGAGCAGAGCAAAGGTTCAAACACCCAGGGGAAAGGAAATCGCTTCTTGATCCCTTCCAAACACAAGGACCATGATCAAAGAATTGCTTGCTGTAGTTATCGCAAAAAGAAAACAACAACAGGCCTTCCTGCATTCCTGCCTTTCCATGCCAGGCTGTCCTCTCCCCATGATCGTCCCCACCCCCCAAATCCTGGGGACAATTGAGCTGTGTCTCTGGCATGTGTGGAGCTGCAGGTCACGGCCATATTTAACGAGAACATTCATTCTCCACAGGCGCTACAGGGCTCCTCAAAACACCCTTTGTGTCACTGTGCCTTTCTCTCCACAGCCCTTGACACTAATTTAATCAAGATGTCCTTCTAGCTTGTAGATGGGGTGGACTCGTCAGTTCTGCATTCCTCCTGGCATTAGGGCTTTGCAGCCAAATATGTAGACTTAAAACCAGCAAGTTGAGATGGGGTCAGGGTCTCCAAGCCAGAGCATGCAGACCTTTTGGGTAAACCCTAGGCATAAAGAGTGGACTAGCTCTGTGGTATGTTTTTATAATTTTTAGTTAACCCTAAATATTCTGGAGGAGTTGAGAAATATTTTCTTAGGCAAGTATGTAGACATTTAGAAGCATTTTTTTTTAAAGCAAGAAAAAAGACAAAATTTTATCTCTATATTTTTGGACTCATCAGTACTGTTTCTAGAATGCAGAACTAGAAAAAATAGCTCCTTGTCACAACTATGCCTGTCCTTTTTCTCCTAGTCTGCACTCTCCATAATTTTGCAAAATCTGAAAACTTCAGTTCTTTCCCAAGAACCAGATTTTAATTCAGATTTGCCTTCCTTAGCTGTTTCTCTAGACCACAGTCAGTATCCAGAAGAGAATGTCAAAACTGCGGTAGGGAATTTAACCAATAAGGAAAATAAAAAAATAAACCATCTAGAGCCCTGGGTCCCCAACCAGGTTACCTGATTCCTGGTCTAATGTTCATTTCCTATGCTGTGGTAGCTCCCAAAGAGGGCATCACTGCTCATCAGTACCCCTACCCCGGCCCTGAGTTGATTTGTGGACACCAAGCCAAACATTTGAAGTGTGAGTATTATGGGCCAGAAGGAGTCAAATGCATTTGAGGAGGGCATGAGGCAGGCCCAGGGAACTCAGACAATCTATCTTAGGAGCTGATTTGAATGTGTGTTGAAATTCTTCTGTCAACCACAGATCCAACTGTCATGACCTCCCGCCTGGGACATGTAACTATTCCTTCCATCATCTGCCTGCCAGTTTAATCAGCTCACATCAGCAGCGGCAGAAAAATATTCAAAGGGCTATTGTTTCATGACCCACAAGGGCATTTTCAGAAACCCAGTAAGACTCCAGAATATAAGAGGGGTGTACCCTCTATAGATTTTGGAGCAAAAAGCTCAACTCCCTATCCTTAACTCTTTCTTCTCTCGCCTAGGTCAAGTAGGCCATTGACCTGGGGTCAGGAACAACCCTAAGTTCTTAGACCAATTTCAAAGTTATCTTTAAGTAATGTTATAAACCAAATTAAACTCCCAGTCATGAAAAACTGAAAGGCTCTTTCCAGCTCCCTCACAAAGCTATAGTGCAAAAATTCACCACCCTCAAATCAACAAACATATCTTCCATGTTGTTTCTTAAAGTAAGAACTGAGCCACTTCCCTTTTCCCCTCTGTCTTGTTGCCGGCTTGCTTATTTTCTCTCTTTCTCTGGAAAAGTCAATAAGAAATGCTTCCCTGATACTGTCAAATCATAAGAACATGGCCTACAGCTCTAGGTTTTGTATTAGGGCAAAGAGCAGGCATTCTGAACCCAAGAGAGGATACTGCTAAGCCTGAAAGTGGCAAAAGTTTGGGGAAAGGGCTAATGGAAGCAGCCTCAGGGCTACGCAGAACACCATCTCATTTGCTCACATCCTATAACCAAATGATGAGCACATCCACACTGGAGATTAGAAATAGCTCTCAGCTGAACAACAGGAATTTGGTCCAGGAGAAGCAACACCTTGTGAAACATCATTTAATGAAACCTACAATATGTTTAATAAAGTCAGCTATTCTTAGAAGAGCAACCCAGGGCCGGGTGCAGTGGCTTATGCCTGTAATCTCAGCAGTTTGGGAGGCCGAGGCGGGTGGATCACCTGAAGTCAAGAGTTCGAGACTAGCCTGGCCAACATAGTGAAACCCTGTCTCTACTAAATATACAAAAATCAGCCAGGCATGTTGGCACATACTATAATCCCAGCTACTCAGGAGGCTGAGGCAAGAGAATCACTTGAACCTGGGAGGCGGGGGTTACAGTGAGTCAAGATCGCGCACTGCACTCCAGCCTGGGCAACAAGAGCAAAACTCCATCTCAAAAAAAAAAAAAAAAAAAAGAAGAGCAACCCAGAGGTTATATAGATGCCTGTTAATCTATAAAAAATGTGATATTTTCCCCCATTTCAGAATTTTTCCAGCATTTAAATCTATAGCACAAAATGTAAACCCTGCTTATTGATTCCAAACATAGCCTAAATGGCTCTTCTGTCTTCTCTACTCCTCCTCTCACTGCCTTAGATCAGGGCCCCGCTCTTGAATGAACTACTGTAGTAACTTTTTCCCTGTTCTCACATCTCTCTCACATCCAAACATTTCAGAGTAATCTTTCTAAAAGGCAAATCTGTCCATGGCACTCTCTTGGTAAAATCAGCTAGTAGAATTGTTTCAGTTAACAAGCATGCTAAAAATTAGTAAGCAAAGGATGAGGAGAAATAGGATATTTACATAGTATCTTCACAAGACATTTATTACAGTGCAAAGGGGACACCCATCCTCACCGAGTAATTAAAATTATCACCATCAGTAATGGGGACAAATCAACGGCAAGTGCCTCCTGATATAACGCACTAAGAAAAATATGACATCGCTTCTACGGTGTTCTTGCCAAAATTGCTTAAACTGAATCCAATCATGAGGAAACCAAACAAACCAAAATTGAGGAACATTCTACAAAATAACTGACCAGAACTCTTTAAAACCATGAAAGACAAAGCAAGACAGAGGAACTGTCAGAGATTAGAGGATACTAAGATGACAGTTCACCTCGACATCATGTGTGATCCTAAACTGAACCCTGAACCAGAAATTTGAATTGGACATTAGCAAGGCAACAAGTGAAATTTCAGTAAGATTGAGAGATTATAGTATTACCTCTGTGTTAATTTCCTGATTTTGATCATTGTACTGTGATTATACGAGATTTTTTAAAAATCTCGCCCCCAAATATTGGAAAGATGGGATTTTAACATTTGGGGAATTTGGGTTAAGGGTACAGAGGAATTTCTGGACTACTTTGCAATCTTTCTTTAAGTCTGAAATTATCTCAAAATAAGAAGTTAAAACAATAACATTACAGGGGCTTCTGCTTCACTGGCTTCAGGGTATAAGCCCTTTGATGTGGCAGGCAAGGCCCTGCCCACCTCCTCAGCCTCATCGCTTGCCACTCCCCTACAAGGGACCTGTGTGCAGCCATCCTCACCCACACCACCTGTAGTTCCGGAACGCTTTTCACCTATTATACTTCCTTGCTTTCTGCATAAATGGTTTTATCTCCCAGAAATCCCCTATGCTCCCCTCTCCTACACTCCCATTCTTCCTAAGATACAAAGGACATCATAAGGCAAACCTCACCTCATATTTCCCTCCACCCAAGAACCCATTATTACACTGTATCATCATAGCTTATGTGCATGTCTATTTCTCCCACTAGACACTGTATTCAATATCAGGGGCCACGTCAGCCATCTTCATATTTTCAACACATGGCCCAGAAAGTCAGAAATCTATCTGCCCCAGAGAGTCAGAACTCAATTCACTGTGTATTGAGGAAACATACTGTTTCCACTTAGAACTATCATAATAGCCCAATGGTTTGCCAAGCACTTTCATAGAAATTCCCTCACTTAATTACAGAATTTCAGAGATAAATCTTAGAGAGATTAGTCCAAACCATTATCTTACAGATTAGAAAACTAAGTCCTAGACAGGTTACAAAGTTAGGCGGCATTCACAGTCAAAGTTAGGCTGTGAGTCAGTGTGAAACGTAGGATAAGATTCTCATTCCCAGATCAGGAATTTTTTTTCTTTAATTCATAAACTACAAGAGCATCTTTCCTCCAACCAACAAATACCACAGGATGTGTACAGGCAGAATTGTCTGGGCCTGGTGTGGTGCTTGGGGAAAGCATTTAATAAACACTTGCTAAAACGAGCTGAATCACCAGGGAGCAGCACCTCAATTCCTTATTTCACTCAGGTTGAACCTGAACAAGGTGTGACTCTAAGGTCTAACCTAACCTGACTACATCTTGTGAGGAATGCGCAGCCAGAATACACTAGTCTTAAGTGAGAAGGCCTGATTTTCCAACTAAGAGATCTCTGATTCAGAGAGCAGGATCCTGGCTTTCCTCCAGGGCTGATGGGAGGATGAAGCAGACACTGCATAGCCCTGAGCTATGTGGTATCAGGCCAGAGGCAACAAGCTCAGATCACTTCCTTACATCTAACCTGGGTAGGAAGCCCATCCAGTGTGTCAGAAATCATCTGCTCTGATTACAACAGCCTTTTTAATCTTCCTGGCCCAAGAGGGGATACGCACTGATAACTTTAATAATGCCAGCAGGTACAATTAATTTCCATTCCCACTATTTCCCACTCTTCATATGAAGGGGATTGGAAGGATGGAATTAGATTCCACTGGGGCTTCAGCCTGCAGCTTGAGACAGACTGCCTGACACTCAGCAGGGAAAACCTCATCTTGTGTTTCATCAGAAGGACCAATGCTGATATATCAATGTTTGAAAAATCTGTGTGGCCTTAAGCACAGGGGTAATTCTTTTGTGGTTGGGTAACAATGACTATAAAATTAAATTAAATTAAATAACAAAGCCAAGACAGGATTTGATATGAGTCTAATGAACAGTTATTAAGCAAGATTTAATCAAAATGATACTGAAGTATTTTCCATTGTTTCCAAGAAGAATATCTATTTTATCAGTCAACACGTCCTGCATTTAGTGTATCTCTAAAGTAAAGTTTTTGTGACTCTTTCAAGAATTTTTCTTAAATTAAAAACTTAAAGTCAGCTAGAAAAGGATATCTTGATTTATGTAACATTTCTCTTCCAAAGCAGTTTCCTATCCTTTGTCATTGTTATCCTCACAGGATCTCCAGGAGGCAAAGTGGGCAAGAAGTATGCTTCTTGTTCAGTTTATAGATGGGCACATGGGAGTCTGGGAAAGTCAAATTTTTGTGTAGGATTCACAAGAAGGTAATGCAGGAGTTGGAAGTAAATTTGTTTTTAATTCTCTGTCTCAGGCTTACCCTGTTATATTCCTTCTCCTTATTAGCTGAAACGGCAAGAAAAGTGCTTAAAATTTTAAAGGAGGTTAAGTTGTAGGCACCACAGTTTCCCAAGATTCTAAAACCCAAATCTAATGACATTTGTTCAGTTCCCATTCTTCCTGACCCCTTCACAGAACTCATCATTGAGTCTTCTTCTCTCTTAAGTCCTTTGAGCCATATTACTCTCATTTTCCTTTTGCCCATTTTAATTTGTTCTTCTCTCTTCTTTGCTAGCTCTTCAAAGTCTTCTTTCTAGGCCTCAACTACCCTTTACTCTGAATACCCTTTCATGACCTCAACTGGTCTTTTGTGTGGTTAATTTTCAAGTCTTCTTCTAGCTCTTGCCCTCACTAAACCTTCCCTTTACCATGTCTAAAGCTGAAGTCAGAAATATGGTATGTACTGGACAGAGCAGTGAGTAGAATTTAGAAGACCTGGTAGTTTCAGTCACATCTCAACTACTACCTAACTGGGTAAACTAAGGCAAGTTACTTCTCATTGGCTCTCAGATTCTTCATGAATTACAGGGCTTGACTAGAATCAGTGGCTCTTCCACACACTTCCCTCAATAAATGGCAATTCCAACTTCGAATCGTTCAGGCCAGAATGCTTGGGGTCATCTTTGACTGCTATTTTTTTCATACACCATATCAATCAAGCAGCAAATCCTATTGGCTCCATCTTCAAAATATATCCCAGAATTTGACCACTTCTCACCATCTCCAAAGCTCCACCCTGTTTCAATCCACTATGATTTCCTGCCCTAATTATTTATAGAAGCTCCCTTAATTGGTCTTCCCTTGCTGCTTCCACCCTACTCCTCCTAAAGCACTCTCTTCACACAGAAGCTGGAATAATCCCATTTAAACAGAAGTCAGACTGTATCATGCCTCTCCAGTCCTCCAGTAGCCTCCAAGGCCCTTCCTGAAGAAACCTGCTCGCTGCCCCAGACCACATCTCCCACCACTCTTCCTCTTGCCTACTCTGTACAAGGTCTCCTTACTGTTTCTCAAACCAGATAAGCGCATTCCCATCTCATGGCCTTAGATGTGCACTATTATCTCTGCCTGAAATACCTTCCTCAAAGAGCTAAACAGCAAAACCCCTCATTTCCTCCAAGAATCAGTTCCAATGCCAATTTATCAGTGAAGCCGTCTCTGACCACCCTATATAAAAGAGCAATATCCCTTGTACCCCATCCTCTTTGCCCTGTTTCATTTTATCATCATCTGATATATTATATATTTACTTTTTTATGTATTATCTGTTTCAACTATTAGAATATAAGCTCCATGAAGGCAAGAACTTTTTGTTATCTGCTATATTCCAGTGCCCAGCACAGTGCCTGGAACATGGGAGGCACACTGTAAATATCTGCTGAATGACTAAGTGAACTGCTGAATGACTAAGTTGAATGACCTCCTCCCACCTCATGTCAGGCCACTCAGTCCTGTCTATAATGTCTTTCCTCTGCCTTCTGGTAAATCTAATTCTTTTAGTTCCTATTGTCATTATCCAAGTTTCTATTATCCCTCTGAATTATTGTAGCAGGCTCCTATATAGTTTCTTCCATGCTAAACCACACTGAGTACTGCTGCCAATGCCACTGGAAATCATGGTTTTCAAGATTTCATTGCCCTGCCTAAAATTGTCAATGGCTCTCTTTGACCTGTAGTTTGAACTCCTTGGACTGGCATTCAAAGCCTTCTATACTCAGGCTTCAAGCTATTTCCACATATTTCTCCCATTGCTGGTCAAAAGGAAGTCTCTGCTGTCAGACTGTCCTCATGAGTGACATCTCTAATGGGGACAAAGAGGCAGGAAAGGAACTTGGAATCAGATAATATGGAAATCCTCAAAAGATATTTCTGTAAGATAAGAAACAGATGGCTAATTGAGAATCCTGGCAGCAGGTAATTAAAAGAACATCGGCCCAATTCTTTCCCCTCTATGAAGCTCTCCTGACTTACTTTTCATGAATCTGTTTTTTTTCCAAGATCCTATAGACAACAAATTGTCTGTACGACTCATTACATTGCTATCTAAATTGTAACCTGCTTTGGGAGTCTATGGTCTGTCTTTCACCTGAGATGTAAGAAATCTAAGATCTTGAACCATGTTTTAAGCTTGCTCTGCAGGCCTTTTATACTGCCAACTTGAATACCGAGCAATTACAGACAATAAAATAATATTATTAAACTCAACTGAATGGGTTGGTAGTGGTTATTTGTGGTCCTGAATTTGAGTAAAGCAATACTTTTTTTTTTCCTTCAGTCCCTGAAAGCTCAGGTAGACTATGTGGTTTTCCTTTCCTGAGAACTTAAAGGTCCAGAAAGACCACTGACTCTGAGAGCAGCAAAAAGAGAATGCTTTTTCTACTCTCCACCCTCAAAATGAACATCAAAAGAAAAACAAGGTCATGGGAAGAGGCAAGGCAGGAAGGGATGCAATGCTTATGTGGTCAGAAGGCTTGGATTATCTTGGCTTTGGAGAAGAGATGATTAAAGTTGGAGACTGGATCGCCCAGTTTGTTCTCTGTATTTCCTTTCTAGCCTATATGATAATATACCGCTAAAAAAAGATTAGCTTAGAGATTGCAAAGACCACCCTAGCTGGGCGAAGGCACAAGACACACGCTCTTCTGCATGAACACAACCAGATACCTTCTGACCATAACATAACTTTGCAGAGCACTTTGTTCCCAGGTTTTACTGATGCCTATAGCATTCTGAGAAGGAACAGTGAGGGTATGAGTAATTTCATTAGTGTAAAGATGAGGAAAGTGAAACTCAGCATGGTGAAAGAACTCCACTGAGCCAGCCAGGGCCCAGGCTCAGGCGTAGCACTGATTCTCAACTAAGCTCTAAGACAATGAGCAAGACAGAAGAGGAAGAAAAAGGGAAAGCAGCAGGGGGAAAAACCCTCTCTCCTTACCTTATATTAAATGGAAGTAGGGTATTTCCAAATGAAAGCCTTGGCTACCTAGTCATCCTAAAAACAAGTGATTTCCAAAAAGACAACAATGAGATTTTTAATTGCTTCTAGATGTACAAGAACATAGTCCAGGGGAGAGTCAAGACAACAGCCAGCTGGTCGTGGTGGCTCACGCCTGAAATCCCAGCACTTTGGGAGGCCAAGGCAGGCAGATCACTTGAGTTCAGGAGTTCAAGACCAGTCTGGCCAACATGGTGAAACCCCACCTCTACTAAAAAAACACAAAAAACTTAGCTGGATGTGGTAGCCCACGCCTGTAATCCCGGCTACTAGGGAGGCTGAGGCACGAGAATCACTTGAACCCGGGAGGCGGAGGTTGCAGTGAGCCAAGATCACGCCACTGTACTCCAGCCTGAAAAAAAGAAACTCCATCTCCAAAAAAAAAAAAAAAAAAAAGACAACATAGCCAAAGAACCATAAGGAATATATGAAAAAGCTATGGGACAGCCAGACTACAGACTGCTATATGATCATATAGGCAACATTTAAAAGAAGATGCAATGACATGATAAAAATGCTTCTCCAAATGTTAAATGAAAAAAATTACACTAAGCTTAATATATAATGTAACTCTCATTTTTAAAAAAATGTGTATAAAAAAGATTGGAAGGAAATACATCAAAATGTGAATCATGATTCCAAGTAATTATTATTTTCTTTTTATTATGTTTTTACCCACAATATCTTGAAAAAAACACGTTACTACTTTTTAAAATTTTTTCTTTTCTTTCATAGCCTTAACTGAAGCTCAGTATTACTTTAACAATTGAAAAAACCCTAAGCTGAAGGGTTTTTTGTTTGTTTGCTTCCAAATTAAAGGAAAACTGAAATAAAAAATAGAAGATGTTACTTCTCAGTCCTGTCCCTGGGCCTTACTAATAACTACTTAGCTTACCAAGAGGATGATTCTGGGAGCTCTTGAGACCATGAAGAGGGATGGTCTGAGGTTCCTATGGTCTTTTAAACAATTAGTGCAAAGAATTCAAATTAATCTATAACTGGAAGTTTCATATTGAGTAAATGCTGGGAGAAGCTGGATGTAGACCCAAATGATTTGTAGAGAACAGAGAAAAAGGAAAAAAAAAAAAGAAAACAAAACAAAAAACCCCAAGGGCTGGGCTTAAAAGCAAAGAAAGGTAGGATCTAGTAGAAAAACTAAAAGACCAGAGAAAGTCCAGTATTGTAAGGAAAGAAGATGAAAATGAAAAAAAACTGAAGACGCCGTGTCAAAAGGAGGAAAACTTAAATTTTGTCCTCACTTTAAATAAAAATCATGCTCAGACAAGCAGGGAGGAATTCAAAGGAAAAGTCTTGACAAAGATAAATAGGGGAGTCAACAGAAGCCTGTCCTGCAACAAGGGAGGCTAAAGTCAAAGGTGCTACTCTCTCTCTGGACAAGCTGGGCAAGAAGCAGAATCAGAATAGCACAATGGAAATTCTGACCTGACAGAAGCACAGCAACGTATGACTGCAGAATGCATGAGTCATTAATTCCCTGCACAAGCACTGGTTCTTTAGCTTACCAATATGACTGCCACCTTCCTACATGCAAGGCAGCAGAGCATGATGATGTGAAGAGATCAGGGGAAGCCAACTGCCTAGGCTTGAATCCCATTTCTCCCATCAACCAGCTGTATAATCTTCAGTAAATTGCTTAAACCCTTTGCCCATGCTCTTATCTACAAATGGGGATGATAAAACCAGTACTCATCTCAAAGTGTCGTTGTGATGAGATTAAATAGGTTAATACATGTAAAACACCTAGCACAGTCCCTAGGCATGGTTAGCATTCATTTAGAATTATGCTTTTTTTAAAAAAATTATTGCTGTGATTCTTAATAATAACAAATTGACACCTAGTCAGCTTGCACACTATTCGTGTGTGTGGTTTCTCCCAAGACTAATACGTTTTTACAAACTACTATTTGCATGGTGCCTGATGAGCTGTATTAACAATCCTCTCCTTTTCTCAGAGAGGCATTTTTATTTTATTTATTTATTTATTTATTTATTTTTTGAGTCGGAGTTTTGCTCTGTCACCCATGCTGGAGTACAATGGCACAATCTTGGCTCACTGCAACCTCTGCCTCCCAGGTTCAAGCGATTCTCCTCCCTAAGCCTCCTGAGTAGCTGAGATTACAGGAATACACCACGACGCCTGGCTAATTTCTGTATTTTTAGTAGAGACAGGGTTTCAGCATGTTGGTCAGGCTGGTCTCAAACTCCTGACCTCAGGTGATCCACCTGCCTCCACCTCCCAAAGTGCTGGGATTACAGACATAAGCCACTGTGCCCAGCCTCAGAGAGGCATCTTATAGTCAAGTAAGAGAGGTACAGAGATGACAAAAAGTAGCTTGTCTAAAATTATCAACTGATACTAAAATTATCAGATGAATGACTGAACTGGCACCCAATATTTGTAGGCTGGCACCATGAATAACACCTTACAATCAGGTTTCTATCATGTGATTTAAAAAATGTAACTAGAAAATGGAAGGGTCAGACTATCACAGCCCTATTCTAGAGGGTGCCAATATTAGCATCACTATCGGTAGACTAACTAGATGTTATGTATTTCCTGCTCTGATGCTACATGAAGTACTAACATCACTTATTATGCATTCTAAGTCACTTGAATCCACTTGGACCTTTAGAACCAACTTCCAATTTACAGGAAATATGGGATACGGGCAGAAGCTTAACAACACAAGTAAACAACCAGACAAATCTAGAAGATGGGAGATTTTGCAGGACATCTGGCTTGGTCTCTTCAACAAATCAGTTTCATGGAAAGAAAATAATACTAGATTAAAGTACACTTAAGGGACATAAAACTGTGTGCATTAGATACTGGCTTGGACAAACTAGTTGTCAAAGAGATTTTTTGAGTAATTAATTAAATCTTTACATGGCCTGGGTATTAGATGAGACAAAAGTTTATTGAAATGTAAAGGAGAAAGTTCTTGACTAAAACAGTAGATTACAAAATAGTATGTACAATAAATCTGTTTTTTATATCATATTTTTGCTTTCTGTATTTTTAAATTTTCTATAACATATACATCTACTATAAAATTTAAAAGATTATTCAAAAGAATAGAGAAAAGGAAGGGAAGGAGGAAACAAGGAGAGGGAGAAGGAAAGAGGAAAAGGAAGAGAGAAAGGAGAGGGAAGAGAAGGCAGAGGGGAGAAGGAAGGGGGGGAGGGAGAGAGACAGAGGAGGGAGAGAAGGAGAGAGAGAGAGAAAGAGAGAGAAAAGGTTTTGAATTCACTATTCTTAAAGCCTGGCTTGTGACCAGGTTCAACCATACACTGGAAAGAATAACTTCCCATTATAATGTTCATAGCAGCATTATTTATAACATACATAATAGCCTCAAACTGAAAACTATCCAAATGCCATCAACAGTTGAACAGATAAAACTAAAAGTCTCATGTCCTAGGAACCCCCTCAGCCCAAGGCAAACAGGATAGTTGGTCATCTTAGGTGCTGCCCACTGTAAGGAAGATAGAATTTGGCATTCAAAGCCTGCCTAGTTAGAGGGGCTTGATAAACATCTTGGGTTTCCCATGGAAACCCCAGAAAGGCCATGCCTTAAGTATACAGTATTTTCTAAGACGAAGGGCAAAACCAAAATATACCCACTGTAATGAAGTATAAAGCCAAGCCCCCACAAGATCAAGGTGATCAACCAGTAATTTAATAGCCTCCTAGAATAAAACTTCATACTCTTCAGAGGAAGATAAGTACATCTAGAGTTTCTATGACATATTATCTATGATGTCCAATATGCAATAAAAGATTAGTAGGCATGTAAAAAAAAGTCAAGAGGAAAATCAATAAACAGACCCACAGATAATGTCAATGTTAAAAATAGCAAACAAGAATTTTTAAGTAATTGCCAACTATGTTTTAAAAATATACATACAATAATTGGGAGGCTGAAGGGGAAGGATCATTTGAGCCCCAGAGTTCAAGCCTAGCCTGGGAACCACAGCGAGACCCCATCTCTAAAAAAATTAGCCAAGCATGATGGTACACACCTGTAGTATCAGACACATGAGAAGCTGAGGTGGGAGGATCACTTGAGCCCAGGAGTCTGAGGGTACGGTGAGCTATGATCACACCACTGTACTCCAACCTGGGTGACAAAGTGAGTCTCCATCTCAAAAAAAAAAAAAAAAAAATCTGAAATAAAAAAAATTCATTGGATGGCATTTATAGCATCTTAGGTGAACAAAAGAAAGAATTGGTTGTTTTATTTATTTATTTATTTATTTATTTATTTATTTATTTATTTATTTTTTGAGATGGAGTCTTGCTCTGTCTCCCAGGCTGGAGTGCAGTGGCACAATCTCAGCTCACTGCAAACTCCACCTTCCGGGTTCAAGTGATTCTCCTGCCTCAGCCTCTTGCAAACTCCACCTTCCGGGTTCAAGTGATTCTCCTGCCTCGGCCTCCTGAGCAGCTGGGATTACAGGCACGTACCACCATGCCCAGCTAATTTTTGTATTTTTAGTAGAGACGGGGTTTCACCATGTTGGCCAGGCTGGTCTCAAACTCTTGACCTCAAGTGATCCACCCACCTTGGCCTCCCAAAGTGCTGGGATTACAGGTGTGAGCCACCATGCCCAGCCAAATTGGTAAACTTTAGAAATCATCTAAACTAAAGCATACAGAAAACAAAAATTTGAAAAAAATGGACAGAACATTAACAAGCTGTGGGACTGAATCAAGTAGTCTAACATACATGCAATTGATAACAAAGCAAAACAGGAAGGAGAGATGGGACAGAAAAAAATATTTGCCAAAAATTTTTCTCAAATTGAGGAAAAATTTGATATTTTTCCTACAATTTCTACAAATTAGATATTTGACAGATCAGGGATTGTCTGGATATTATATTTAACCAAGCCAAAGGAATACAATGAAAACCATGCTTACACTCTTATGATAATCAAAGAACTAAAAACCAAAGATAATGAATAAATATTGGAAGCAGCCAAATAAAGAAGGGCTGGGCATGGCAGCTCACGCCTGTAATCCCACCACTTTGGGAGGCCAAGACGGAAGGACTGGGATTGCTTGAGCACAGAAGTTTGAGTCTACAGTGAGCTGTAATCATGCAACAGGACTCCAGCCTGGGGGACAGAGACTCCATCTCTTTAAAACAAACAAACAAACAAACAAAAAGATGATATATTACATACAAGTAAGCAATAATAAGAACCTAAGAACCACAGCTGATTTCTCATCAGAAATAATGGAGGCCAGAAGGCAAGTGAATTACATATTCAAGTTGTTGAAAAAAATTATCTGATTCCATTTACACAAACAAATTTTTAAATGGGCAAATACTTATATTGTGTTAGAAGTCAGGATAATGGTTACCCTTCAGAGAGTAATGACTTGAAGTGGAGAGAAGGAGGGTTCATGGGATACTAGTAACATTCTTTCTTCATCTGGGTGCTGATTACATAGCTGTATTCAGTTTGTAAAAATTCATTGAGCTGTACACTTTATAATATGTGTACTTTCTCTAAGTATTTTATACTTTCATAAATAGTTTAGGAAAAAAACTTTGCAAAAATAGATGAAAGGTTCAGAGAAAATACACATCTAGGGCCTACTACAGTGGGAGGTATTCACAGTGTGAATTTTACGAAAGGTTACTATTATTACTTTGTCATCATCATCATCCCACAGAAAGTTTTGAGAGACCTAAATAAACCAAAAACCCCAAGCTCCCTTGGGAGGCAAATCTTACTCCTCAATTTGATTTTCAAGCTCTTTTAAGCACCTAGCAGCATAATGCTGTGCATGCAGTATTCACTAAAATACTTATTGACTGTATAATCTCCTAATTTAGGGTAGTATTCCAATACAAGGTTGCATATGGACACTTTTATTTTTTGTCTACTGCACCTCTCTTTCCCATATTCCATTTCCCATATTCCATTCCTCGTCTTCAGATTCCCTTAATAATCCTTTGATTTATACAAATCGAAGTACTATTATACTTTTGAAAGTTCTAAATATAGCACCTTGAGCTCTTTTAGAAAAGGCAGATACCTAAGAACTAAAACACCAAAAAGGCAAACACACAAACTAACCTAAGCAAAAGACTACAGACATCTTTGATGCACACATTCCCTTTGAGCTGCACCTTCCTAAGTCTAAATAAAAGCCTGGACCACCCAGAGAGCAGCCTCAAGGGAGAGCACACAGATGCTGCTGACCCAGTGTCACAGAAACCAAAGCTAAAACACCCCCAACAGCACGAGCTGCAAAGCTCCCCTCGGTGTTGGCTTTGGCAGCAAACCTGACGCCCCTTATCAGCAGAGATACCTTTGAAGTAGCTGGCAGCCTTCCATCCCCTACTCAAATAAGCTCAGCTTCACATTCTATTCTTTTCTCCAAAGAGGATCTTTTCATCAGATATGAGAGAATAAAGCTCAATTAATTAGAACAGATTTTTGCTACCAACAAGATAAACTGGGCAACTGGAACAGCTGTCTGTAAAGCACTGTGCAAACGCTGTTAGTGACCATGCTATAATGTGGAGGAAATTCAGTCCAATCACAGATACTGAGTTCAGACGAGCAGGAGGGATATGGTAGACGGGGAAGGGAGGGAGGGTTAAATCACTCATCTACTCCTTCTCCCAAAGAGTTAAACCCTTTCTTAAGGGGGCAGAGCACAGGGACACAACCTTTGGAAAACCATTCTTTTCCTCCATTCATTCAATCCACAGCACTTACCAGGGACATTCAACTATACCAGCATTGTGGGTCACCACTTCTCCTCTTCTTATTTATGACCATCACACCACCCAAAATGCCTTCTCACAGTTTCATCATCCACTCTTCTCACACATGCCAAACAGCTGGACTCAAGACACGCCATAGGAAATCCTATCTCAGTCCAAACGGATACCAAACAGATAGGTAACATGCACTGCTTTTAGTTTTAAATCTCATTTATCCTTTTTAACTACCAGATTCATTTCCTTAGTGCCAAAAGAAATCTGACTGTTGTGGCAATTCTCTTGTGACTGATTCACTAATGGCAAAAGGACATGTTTAACATCTCCAAGACCCTGGAGAAAAGTATTAACTGAGTCTCTTACATTCCTTCCTCAGCACTCTTCTTGCATTCCCCACTTCCTGCAGTGTGAAGGAAGCCAGATTCACCCTTTGTCACCAGATTTATTTATCTGAAGCTAACTTCACCCTTCATCACCCTCCAAGAATAAAGTAGGAAACCACAATGGGTTGCCTAGAGAAACTAGCCTAGATGCTTTAACACTGTCTGTTGCAGAGGCAAACATGGCTCACATACAGATAGACAGGATCTTAGGGCATCAGATATTCTCTGTGCTCTGCAGTTTCCCCAAGATGGAAAACAGTGCAGCAGTGATTCTCAGCCCTAGCTGTAGGCAACAATCACCCAGGCCCTACTCCAGAGATTCTGACTAAATCATGCTGGGGTAGGGTCTTGGCATGGGTATTTTTTAAATTAGATCAACTTTATTGAGGCATAATTTACATAATAAAATGTACACATTTTAAGTGTATAATATGATAAAGTCTGTCTAATGTACCACCATGGTCAAGATTATGTAACATTATAAAAATGTTATAAAGCATTGTTTAAAATGTTATATAATGTAGGCTATAAAAACCCTACAAACTCCCTTGTGTCCCTTAGCAGTCAATCCTTCATCCCCATCCTGGCCCCAAGGCAATCAATATCTATTCTCTATCACTATAGATCAGATTTGTTTTTTCTAAAATTTTATAGAAACAGAATCATACAGAATGTACTCATTGTGCTTGGCTTCTTTTTATCAACATAATGTTTTTTGAGCTCATTTATATTGTATCAGCATTTCCCTTCTTATTGCTGAGTAGTATTGATATATGGATACACTACAATATGTTTTTCCACTCATCTGTTGATGGACATTTGGGTTGTTTCCAGTTTGGGCTATTATGAATAAAGTACCTAAGGCAGCTGTAACAAATTACTGCAAACATGGTGGCTTAAAACAACATACATTTGTTCTCTTAGAGTTCTGGAGGTCAGAACTCCAAAACCAATTTCACTGGGCTGAAACCAGTGAGTCAGCAGGGCTGCTTCTGCTCCGGAGGCTCTCAGGAAGAATCCGTTTCCTTGCCTTTTCCAGCATCTAGAGCTGTATTCACTGGCTCATGGCCACTTCCTCCATATTCAAAGCCAGTGGCATAGCATCCTCTCTCTATGACTCTGTTTCCCTCTGCTTCTATCACATGACCTTCCTCTCTTTTATCTGTAATCTCCTTCTTATGAGGACACTTGTGATTGCATTTACAGCCCACCCAGCTAATTAAGCATAATATCCCCATCACAAGATCCTTAAATTAGTCATATCTGCAAAGTATTACATGCATAAGGTAACATTCACAGGTTCCAAAGGTTAGAATATGGACCTCTTTTTTTTTTTTTTTTTTTTTTTTTTTTTGAGGGAGGCATTACTCAGCCTATCACAAAAGCTTTATGAATATTCAGGTGCAAGTCTTTGTTTAGACATATGCTTTTATTTCTCTTGGGTAGATGCCTATAAATACCTGGAATTACTGGGTCATATGACAAGTACAAATTTAATGTCATAAGAAACTGCCACTATTTTCCAAAGTGGTTGTACCACTTTCACACTCTCACTAGCAACATATGAGGGTTCTGGCCAACTTCCTTAACACTTGGTATTGCCAGATGTTTTAATTTTAACCATCCTAGTGAATGTATGGTATATCTTCTTACAGTTTTAACTTGCGTTTCCATCACGAGTGATGATATTGAGCATATTTTCATGTGTTGATTAGCCATTTGTATATTTTTATTAGTGAAATGTTTATTAAAACCTGTTTCCATTTTTAAAAATTTGGGTAGTTTGTCTTATTACTGAGTTCTCAGAGTTCTTTATTCTATAATCTGATATAAGTCCATGTCAGATACATATTACAAATATTTTCTCCCAGTCTGCGTCTTGTCTTTCATTTTGTAAATAAAGTCTTTCTAGGAACAAAAGTCCAAGACTTGATGAAGTCTGACTTATCCTTTATAAAATTTTATGGTTCATGCTTTTTATATTCTAAGAAACCTTTGTTTATTCAAGGTCACAAAGATTTTTTTAAAACTCCCCAAGTAACTTTCATGCCCAGGCAAAGTTGAAAGCTACTGGTCTATAGGGAATCTGACTTGGCTTTTTCAATTTAACCTAAATTTTTGCCATAGAAACTTAAGAGTCCTAACAGCAAAGCAGGAGTACAGTTCACTGCAGTGCTGTAAAAACAAGGATGCAACTGAGCCTTAGCACTGTCTGAACTGACCAGCTTCCAAGCTTAAGTGTGAGCAGCTGTGAAGGGCTAGAAACAGTGATTTGAGAAAGCAAAGTCAGAGGTACTTTTAGTGTGTTCCAGCTAAGTAAAAAGAGAAAACAGGATTATCCTCTCTCCTGTAGGAAAAAGCACACCCAAGTTTATTTCAGTTTAAACTAAGCAAGTGGGAAAAATTATTTCTGTTCTTGGTGGGCTTCTTTAGAACATGCCCCTCATGGAGACCACAGGGAGATGGGAGTCAAACTTGGCAGTTTTTGCCCATGGTTTTTGAAGCCACCGCATTAAACAAATGAAGGTGGCAGCAATAATATTTGCCCAAACCCTGGTTCCAACAGAGGTTAGACAGACTGAGCTTTCATTACATGAAAGGAGATGTCAGGAGCACCAAACGGGCTCAATTTTCCCTCTTGTCCTAGACAAAGTCAGACTGTTTTTAAGCTGTGAACAGGAGGCTACTTTCTTCAGATGTTATATTTAGCTAAAGGAATCTCCAACATGGCTTCATGCAAAATGTAAAATATGTCCCAGCAGACATTACCACAAACCAGAGGGCTAGCAAGGAGCCTCCCTTAAGGGGGTTCAATAGCATAGAGGGGCCAATTGTGCAGCCACCCTGACATCCCTAAATTAGCTAAATTAGCTGTGAGCCAGATTTGGGGCCAATTCTCACATTTAATGAGTCCTTGTTTCCCTCTTACAGGGGGCAGAGATATTTTGCCCCTGAGGAGTGTAAACATGCTGCCCTATTTCATTCCCAACTTCCAGCTGCTTGCCCCAACCCCAGGTAGGAAAAACAATCCAATGTTGATGTTCAACATCTCCATACCCTTTGAAGGTTTATGTGCAAAAGAAAAATTAGGTTAATTCTATAACTAAGTGAAATATCTGAATTCAATGAAACAGAGAAAATCCAGGATTTTCTCTTCTCTGTACAACATACTTAGAGAATCCTAATACAGTATGTAGATGAAAACGTTGGATTCTAGAGCCAAGTGACTGGAGTTAAACGTTAGCTTCATTTCATTTTTCTTAATCTCTCTCTCTCTTCTTTTTTTCTGAGACGAAGTCTTGCTCTGTTGCCTAGACTGAAGTGCAACAGCATGATCTCTGCTCACTGCAACCTCCACTTCCCGGGTTCAAGAGATTCTCCTGCTTCAATCTCTTGAGTAGCTGGGATTACAGGCACTGGCCATCTTGCCTGGCTAATTTTTGTGTTTTTGTAGAGACGGGGTTTCACCATGTTGGCCAAGCTGGTCTTGAACTCCTGACCTCAGGTGATCTGCCCACCTTGGCCTCCCAAAGCGCTGCGATTACAGGCATGAGTCACCACTCCCAGCCCTCTGTTTTGTTTTTTGTTTTTTGTTTTTTTTTTTTTTTTAAACAGACAGGGTCTGGCTCTGTTACTCAAGCTAGAGTACAGTGGCATGATTATAGATCACTGCAGCCTCAAATTTCTGGGCTCAAGTGATCCTTCCCGTCTCAGCCTCCTGGGTAGCTAGGCCTACAGGTGTGTACCACCATGCCTAGCTAATTTTTTTTAAGTGGGGGAGGGAGGTAGAGACAGAGTCTTGCTATGTTGCCCAGGCTGGTCTTGAACTCCTTGCTTCAAGCGATCCTCCCACCTCAACCTCCCAAAGGGCTGGGATTACAGGCTTGAGCCACTGTGCCTGGCCTGCTTAATCTCTTTAAGCCATAGTTTCTTCCTTCATAAAACAGCGATGATGACAATAGTAACTACTTTATAAAATTACGGTAAGGATTAAAGGAGATAATACATATAAAGTGCTTAACATGATACCTGGCACATAGAGGTTCAAAATATAATGACTTCTATTATCATAATTTTTGCAGTGAATCATTAAGTTTTATAGATTAAAAAAAGATTTTTAAAAATGTTGACTTTTGCTAGTGACAAACAGACCCAAATTCACATAAAGCACAGGTGTGTACAGCCATACCACAAATTAAGGTATCTTTTCTAAGCCTATGTCCCCAGAGAAATGGGTCCTTTTGCCACTGGAACCAAATTTACTGGTAAAACATATCTATTTTATGTATTTGGATCCCAATTTGGTATTTCTTCATTGCTGACATTGTAGATATCAGCACCTGAAATAATCCTTCATTCTTCAAGAAATCTGGTCTTCATTTGCTTAAGCTAGCCCTCTCCACACCTATATCCACTTTTGTTTGTCCTTATCTGTGGGATTAAAATTTACCTATCACAATTTAACAAAGGTAACCTAACAACCAGAAGGAAGCCCCCAGTGTAGGATCCCCTTATCGTCACAGAACTGTGGTATCCTGAATTTGGAAGGCACCATGGAGATCACATAGACCACACTCTTTTTTTAAAGTTTAGGGAACTGAGGCACAGAAAGAAGTCATTGTCCAAGGTCTCAGAGTTAAGAGCAGAACTAGGCCCAAGAGAAAGGGTCACTTGGAAAAGGCATCTCCTCTGATAGCACAAAGCAAATCCCCGGGAAGATTCATGTAACTACAGAATGGCTGAGGACATTCCTTAGGACTCTTATCTGATACTATATCTTAACCAGTAGGATTCTAATTCATGTGCAAGGACACTCTAAACAAAAGAGGTTAAAAAACTGGGGTGTGGTATGAAGAATGTTTGTTTGCCCATTACTAGAAAGCAGAGAGGCTCTTTACCCAGCCAAAAGAGAATGAATCAATTTTTTTTTTTTAGGAGTCAGGGTCTCTCTCTGTTGCCCAGGCTGGAGTGCAGTGGCATGATTACAGCTCACTGCATCCTCAAACCATCAGGGTCTCTCTCTGTTGCCCAGGCTGGAGTGCAGTGGCATGATTACAGCTCACTGCATCCTCAAACTATCAGGGTCTCGTTCTGTTGCCCAGGCTGGAGAGCAGTGGCATGATCACGGCTCACTGCATCCTCAAACACCTGGGCTCATGCAATACTCCCACCTCAGCATCCCAAGTAGCTGTGGCTACAGGCACAGGCCACCATGCTCAGCTAACTTTTAAAATTTTTTTAGAGACAAGGTCTTGTTATGTTGCCCAGGTTGTTCTTGAACTTCTGGCCTCAAGCATTTTCCCACCTTGACCTCCTGAGTTGTTGGGATTACAGGAATGATCCATGGTGCTTGGCTCAATCTATTTTTATGATCTGCCAACCAGCTCCTAATTTAAGAGTTTTCTGCCTACATGGGAATGCCCCAAGGGAGGGAGAAAAGAGATTACTCACCCTGTGGGATAGTAATCATTGGCCATTCAACAACCCTGGGCATGTCTCTAATCAACTACAATTTAATTGATCCAAAGTTACAAAGATCAAGAGAAATTCCTATGATCTGCAACTATACACAACAGTATGAATAAATCTCACAAACATAATATTGAAAGAAACCAAACAAAAAAGAGTACATACTGTGCAATTCTACTTATATAAAGTATGAAACCAAGCAAAGCTAATCTCTGCTGTTAAAAGTCAAGACAGTTGTTATCCTGGGGGATTTAGGGTGGGGAGATGACTAGAAGGGAATATGAGGGGGTTTCTAGGGTACAGAAATGTTCTGTTTCTTGATCTGGGTGCTGGTTACACAAGTGTGAATTCAGTTTGTGAAAATGCATATAGCTATTAAATTATAATAGGCATACTTTTCTTCAGTGAAATGTAATATATAAACAGTCCTATGAGAAATAAGTTCTTCCTCACGCTCTAGCATAGTAATACACGGCTTAAGGAAGTCAACCCTGAGCCCATGGCTAGGAATATCATTCACAGACGAATTTTCTTCATGAATGTCATATGCCCCACACCTTGTATACATGCCATGTACCTACCTTTGGTGAAATATGCATAGGGCACTTGAAGAGCCAGGAACACTCGTGACTTTGCTATCTGGCTGCCTTCAGTATAAGCATCTCTGAGATCTGGAGAGGCTATTAAATTATCTAGCCTGGTTTTTCTCTAACCTTCTAAGGCTTGGTAAAAAGGGAGCTGAGAGACTGGGTGAAGTCTAGCTAGGTGAACAGATCTTATAAAAGTTGTTTTCTCAGATGAACAAAGAAAACGGAGGAGGAAACTATCAGTCAAGCCCTTTCCTTCTTGAGATAGTCTAAGTGGCTGTCAAGGTCATAGAGACGAGCTGTCAAAATTTCACCTAAATAGGTTTTAATTTTAGTCACACACATGCATCACCAAGTATTGCAGAATAATTCAAATTAATGACAACCAAGCTGAAGCTGATGCTGGAAACCATGGAGGAGATGGTGAGAAGTACCCTCACTCCAAAATGAGGTGTGGCCCCAACCACAGCACAGCCGGGCTACTAATAATAGCCAGTGAGCTCTGGGAGGAGTTATCTTTCTCTGCCTTCTTTTCGTCGTCAGATGATTGTACCCTCAATATTCTGTCTCTAAGACACAGGGAAAGCACCTTCACGGATGCAATTAGGTAGATGGAAGATTCCAAATCAGTTATTTGATCAGGCTGGTAATTACAGAAAAAAAATGGGGTATTAATTCCAGATCTAGTGAAATCTGGAAAAATTCCTGAGAACTGGAAAGCTGATGAAGAGCTTTGACTGTATCGACTACAGTCCTGTTTACCAGTCTTTTCTCTCATACTTTCAAATTTTAATAATGGATTTTGTCACCTGGAAACTGATGAATTCTAAATAGCCCTCTATAATCTTTTTCTACCTATAACTTTTAGGAAGATTATTTGCCTTCTGGAAAGTCTTCCGGGGATGTCAATGCTTGAATGGTAGACATGGCATATCATATACAATGGTTGGGGCCTTCACCGCTGTCTGTAACCCAACCTCATGAATAAATGATTCCACTTTGAGCTCAAGCTGAGACAGCTTAGAAAAGAGCTTCCTGGATTTTCAAGAGGCTAGTTCCATCGTTGACAGGTAAGGTGAATTGGCTCCTTAAGATTATCATGATTATTTTGAGTTTTCCTTTGTCAAATTGTTCAACCTATACCCAAGGAAGTACGATAACAATTGAGTTTCGAAAGCATTCAGAGACCCAAAGACAAAGACATACCACGATAAGAATAACCACACTTTTGAGTCTACCTTGGCCAAGATAAGACCCTGGGAAGAAAACTAAACTAAAAACATAAACGTATATGAGTTTGCTAAATGAACTAGAATAGGAAAACATAAAATGACAGTGTTGGCCCCTTAAGCTCAACAGCTTCACAAATCACTTTAAGAAAACTTCCCAAAACACAGTTTTTGTTAATAGATGCAGATTATGAATTATAGTACCAGCCCTGGGTTTATACCTTGCAAATGGTTCCTTTCCCAAGGCTACTATTAATTCAGCTCAGAAAGGAAGAAAGGAATGCCAATTCAAATATTTTTTTTCTCCACAAGTATGTGGTAGGGAATGACTAGTGGAAAGCCTATGAAGTGGGCCAATAAGATATTCTTTCTTTTATTTTTTCTTTCCAACTTTTATTTTAGGTTCAAGGGGGGTATATGTGCAAGTTTGTTACATGGGTAAATTGCATGTCATGGGGGTCTGGTGTACAGATAATTTTGTCACCCAGGTAATCAACATAATATCTAATAGGATTTTAAAAATTGTGTCATTGCTCCACCCAAGAACCTCTGTGACTAGAAATATCTCTGTACCTTTTTAAAGAGTCTTCCTGAGTCCTCGCTGACTTGTACAAATCGAGGAATGATATTATTCAGGTAGATGTCACTCAGGGTGGTATGGTCCCTGCTTTCCCACTTCACCTGGTTTAAGAGGAGATTCCAGCAGTTGACTGGAGAGAGAACATTCTGATCCTTCCTGTGAAGAAACATCAAGGAAAAGAAGTCATTGTTGATACACAGCCAGGGCAACATCTACAACTATAGTCCGTGTCCTAAAATCACAGCAATCAAAGCCAATCCAGAAATAAAGATATTTTTCCTGAAGCTCACCTCTCTAGTTTTCTCCTTTTCTAAAAACTCAGTGGAGAAAAAAGGAGAAAATAAGGACAAGAAGGAGAGGGAGGGAAGAGGGGATGTACAAGGAGAAACAGGATTATCTGTTAGGCACCTACTATGTTCTAAGAACTTGGTGAATGCTTTATACGTATTATCTCATCTCATCTAAGCTCTATCATTTCATTTTAAGGAAAGAACTACCATTATCCCCCTTCAACTGATTAGAAAACTGAAGCTCAGAGAGGTTGTCACTTGTCTACAGCGAGTAAGACTAACACAACAAGTAAGAGGGCACCAGGGACTAGAACAACAGTTCTGCATTGTCTGGCTAGACCAGGTCTAAGGTGATTCTGAAGTCCATCATTTTAGCCACTAAGTCATTTGGTTTGTCTCTAGGGTTAGAAACCAAAGTTAGAGATTTTGTCTAGACACAAAAATCACTACAGCACTACAAAATCCCCACAAATGTATCCATTGTAGGATTTAATAAAGGCAAATTTGGAGACATATGCCATTAAAATGTTACTGAAAACTCTGGAGTTCCACAGAACACATCTAAGGAAGTTTTGATTTCATTTATTGAGCCATGATCTCATGTCCCATACAATCAAGAACACAAACCATACCTGAACATGTGTTCCTAAAATGTCTACAGCTTGAGTGGAGCAGTAAAGTGCTAAACCAAGGTGCTCATTCCCTTTTTTTTTTTTTTTTTTTTTTTTGAGACAAAGTCTCACTCTGTCACCCAGGCTGGAGTACAGTGGCACAATCTTGGCTCACTGCAACCTCCGCCTCCCGCTTTCAAGAGATTCTCCTGCCTCAGCCTCCCTAGTAGCTGGGATTATAGGCACCTGCCACCACGCCCAGCTAACTTTTGTATTTTTAGTAGAGATGGGTTTTCACCATGTTGACCATGCTGATCTTGAACTCCCGACCTCATGTGATCCACCCACCTTGGCCTCCCAAAGTGCTGGGATTATAGGAGTGAGCCACTGCGCCCGGCCCTAGATGCTCATTTCTAATGAAAACATTGTGATCCAAAAGAATTATTGATTACCAACTCAGCATTAACTTAAGCAACAGAAAGTTCTACATTTGGAAGTTGGATTTCTTTAAGGAGAGAAACAAAAGTAGGAATAATTTGCAGTACTATTTATCAAGGGATACTGTACACATATCTGGGCCCTTTATACATGTTGTTTGACTTAAACCCCACAACTACCTGATGAGGTGGGTGTTATTAACCACATTTGGCAGATGAGGAAAAGTAGACTAAAAATTTTTAAACACTTTGCCCAAGGTCATATAGCTAAAAAGTGGCAATTCCAGAATTCAAACCAAGCCTATAACTGCAAAGCGAGTACTCTCATTCACTGCAAATAATAACTATCTGTTTCTTTCCCCCTTTCCTCTCTTCCCCGCTCCAGTCAGACTCCTACTACAAAGAAAGTGAGTTGAGAGTAGCTTGGTTATTGGGTCAGTACTGCCTCCATTCAGCACTAAAGGCCAGGCACTTGTGATTTGTAAACCATGAAGTTCAACTTAGAAGGCTTTTCCAATTCTATAGTAGTAACTATTAACAAATAATCATGCCATACTTACTTGGACTTCAGAACACATCAGACAAATCAAATATCTGTCTAACCCAACCAAGAAGTTACTTCAAACCAATTAATATTAGAGTCCAAATTGAAACTGTTCTAAACCTGTATCCGGGTACCACTCACCCCCTGCCCCAGGCATCACTCTTCTGTAGCCAAAATCACTAACTCTTAAGCGTGCCAATCACTGTGACAACACTTACCTTTTTAGGGAAACTGAAAGATTTCTATGGAAATCAAAAATATACCAGCTGAGAGGAAGAGAGACACATAATTAATTTACTCCTTTCAAAATGTTTAGTATCTGGGGAAAAAAAAGTGAACTGGAAACAATCCTAAATTCAAAATGGTAAGATATTTGAACACATGCATTCCATAGCATCTGATGTTTCCATTGCAAGAAAACTTTCAAAATGATTCCAATTAGATTTCAGTTACAAAATTCTAAATAACCTAATTTACATTTTAATCAAGTGGTGTCTCTCGGCAAGATACCCATGTCCTCAGTAAGCATGCTTTTTAAAGGGGCAGATCTCATGAGACTTTACATTGACAATTGGTTTCAATCTATTTCTTAAGGAAGAAGATGGATTGGGGGGGTCTATACTGGTTCTTTCCCTATAGCACTTTACATACACACAAATAATGCCACAATTCAATTCCACAAATGTACACACATTTGTATCTTAAATGAACAAGGCATGGTGTTAGGTGCTTTAGTGGTTATAAAAGTGCAAATGCTGCAATATAGTAAGGGAGACAAAGAAAGACCTATAGTAAAGTAGAACTTTAATGGTGGTACAAACAAAAGGCCAGCTAGCTCAGAAAGGTAGACCTCAGATCAAAAGAGGAAGCAGAGGAGGCAAAATCAACCTAACACCATGGGAAAGGATGCAGAGCACATATCCCCAGGGTGTCCTCAAAAGAAAAGATGACTGAACAAAGATGGGTCAATAAACAGGATGGCTGGAAGTAGAAATCTTTTAAAATAAAATGCCTTATCACTTAATGCTAATAAGTTTTATTGAGAACTTGTAAGGTGTGGCTCACGCCTGCAATCCCAGCACTTTGGGAGGCCAAGGCAGGTGGATCACTTGAGACCAAGAGTTCAAGACCAGCCTGGCCAGCATGGCAAAACCCCATCTCTACTAAAAATACAAAATTACCTCAGTGTGGATGGTGCACACCTGTAATCCCAGCTACTTGGGAGGCTGAGGCAGGAGAATCACTTGAACCCCGGAGGCAGAGGTTGCAGTGAGCTGAGATCATGCCACTGCACTCCAGCCTGGGTGAGAGCAAGACTCCATCTCAAAACAAAAGAAAAAAAAGAAAAAAGAACTTGCAAGGTGCTATAAGTACTTTTCACATGTATTTATTTCCATCCTTACAGCATTTTGTGCGATAGTTACAGTATTAGTATTGGTTTCAGAGAGCAGGAGCTTTTAAACTGTGTTCTGAGATACTCTGGAATTAGCAGAAAATCACATTTCAATTTAAAAAACGGTGACACATCCATTCAAATGAGCAACCCTCACTGACATGAGCAAGAGACCCAGGACCCAGTTTCCCTGCGTTAGATACCACTGCAATGTCTTGCAGGCTGCTAGCATTGTTTTATGTAAACCCTGGAAGAAAGAATCACTGTATGCCTTGGAACTTCTGAACAATATGCTATTAATTAGAATACATGTAGCTTTGCATAGGTTTATTTTTTCATTCACGCCTGTGTGTGCCTCCTCCAATAAAGCTGTACAGGTGAGCCTATAACTTGACACACAGCAGCAAGGTTCAATCACATGCCATAGAAGGCTCAAGGGCCTAGGCTGGGTTTATGTTAGACCGTGGTTGGGTAGCGAAAATCAACATGCTTAATATCATACCATCTCATCATCAGTTGTTGCGATGCCTATTATACATGTTGGGGCTTATCCAATTAATATTTATGAAGGGGAATAGCTGCTAGGTGATGATAGTGACTCAACTTTAAAACAAAAGTATCTTCTTTTTTCCATCTAAATCAATTTAAAGCTCAAGATTACAATAACTTATCTATGCTAATCAGAATTTTCTTGATATTGGACTACCTAAACCAAAACCAGATGCTGAAATGAATATAAAACTATAACTGATTCATAATCCTGATCTCAATATTTTTAGTTCATAAAAACAGCCTCATTGTTCTCATTGACTGACAGTATAATAAGTACTCTATAAATTTGTACTTTAAAAGCAGATTTATACCAATAAAAATACTGCTTTGATCTGTTTCATATATTGAGGCTCTATGCAAGATTTTTATTTTAAAAAAGGAGTCTATGCTTAAAAAACCAGCACTAGATCCTGTTGGCTGTTTCTTCCAGGAGTTCTCAGCCTCTCCTACTATTAATGCAGCTTTTCACACAATATTTCTGGTCCTTTGAGTCTGTAAGCTTTCTCAGACATATTCTTCCTTTCAACTGAGGTGTTTCAATTAATTCATTTATTTATTTTTGGGTAGTGGTAGAGCAAGTAAGGTAGAGAGAAAGTGGGAGGAGGGGATCACAAATATACAGACAATTTTCCCAGCCAACACGAACAAAGATGAAACCCACTTCAGGCTGGAAAATAAGCACGGCAACGAGACGTGATTTCATAGGGAGCATATTAAGGCTCTGCTAGAGTGGTTTCCTGCTCCAGAAGCTTTGCAGCCTCATTTTATTTGGGACCGCTGAAGCCAAGGGAACTTCGTTTGGTTAGGAGATTGAAATTTGTCTTTATATCTTTTCCATCTATCATTTGTTTGCACAGTCTCTTTACTTTCCCCACCCCCAGAGCCTTAGGTTGTATAATACTTGGGCCTTTAAAGGAAAGGGTCTGCATCCCTTAGGAATGTGCTGAGCAGCTGCAAACCTCCTCAAACACTAATCCCTAAAAAGCAGACAAAATACCTAGGAGTATTTTTCTTACTTAAAATGTTTTTCAGGAGGAAGATCAAGAAAACATCATACTGTACTTGAGAGGGAATGACTCTGGAGTCGAAAGGAGACCCGGAAAGTCACATGCTGCCTGTACATCTGCAGAAGACATTATCACTGTAAATGCACTGAAAGAGATAAACCTGCATAGCTGAATCATTAGCTTCGAAGACATTAGCCCAGCTTTTCTCCCTCAACTTGGACTATTTATGGACGTTCAACAAACTTAGCAACAAGCGCTTAAAGGGATTTCTCTAAAATATCCATGGTGAAGAGCCAAGTCCATAAAGGTCCAAGTTGGCCTCTCTATTATGGTTCTTTTCCATATCACCTCTGTTTGGTTTTTATCATCTCATCTATAAAATGGACACGTGCCCTATTGGTATACATCTCACTCCTCAAAGATCTTCAAAGTATGGCTGTAAAATCCTAGACGCTCTCCTGACCTAAGGTGCCATTTAATTAATAATTGCTACATTCATGGCTGTGCAGATGGAATGCATGGCATGAGGCTGGCATTGCTGGAATATAGCTTGAGCTTCTGCATTGCTATAACGAGGTGTGTTTCCTTTTGGGCCAATAGTCTCTAAGTTGCTCACCTCTCAGGGCTGTTGTGTGGATCAAATGAAATGATGGATGCAAAAGAACTATGCCAATAGTTCAGCACTATACAAATGTGAAGAAATATTATTATTTTTATTTCCAAACAAACTAGGACTCAGCTTTCATCAATTTCCAACATGCTTCTCACCCGGCTCTGGGCCAGGGCCAAGATTGCTGCCTGCTGAAAATGCACAGCCTTCAGCAAATAATGGTTTGAGTAAGACAGCAGCAACAGGCAATTAACAAAGCAGCCATAAGGCTCTGGGAAGACGTGAGAGAGATACCAACAGGAGAGCAGATTTTAATCTCCCACTGTCCTTTCCCTAAGGGACAAGGTAGAACAATCAGTCCTGCATTCCACACTGGGAACTGTGTGCTGAGGTTGACAGAAAGGAATCCAAAGGGAGCACAGATTGCCCAAACCCTAGATGCTTCAGCAACTTATACTAAGCTCCCATCCCCTGTCTCAGAATTCCTATCAAACCTGCCAATCTGCATAGCGAGATGGCAACTATCAATACATCTAAGCAGAATATAATTTCTCGCTTTTAAAAACAGACCTATCTGTGATGATAGACAAAACTTAAAGAGTTAAATACATCATTCAATATATGTTATTGAACATACAAGTATGTGGTGAATAAAAAAAGGTACATGCATGATAAAAGGAATCATTTAAGTGATGGTTGGACAGGGAACTTGTGACAAGAAGGAGGTTGGATTTTTTAACCTAAATTCCCTCCTGGCACCTTGATTAAAATGAAATGAACTGAGGCAGCCAAAGAGATTATTTTATTCAGATGAGTGTTATTAGCCTTTCTGGCTTATTTTCTCTATTATGCATTTTGCTGATGCTGACAGAAGCAGGCAGGCTGGATAGAGAGGCAAAGCTGCAGCGGATTTATGGTCTGACAGTGTCATGCATAAAATCAGACCCTTGCTGACCCAGATAAGCCAGAGGATGGATTGGATTTGCTGGGGAAGGTGTTAAAAGAAGGAGGGGGTAAAAATCACCAAGGTAGGAAATGACTTGAAAACGATTCTGCCTGTAATGGTGGATGCTGGTTTTGTGACCCAGTAGTACAGCGGCAGCCTGAAGGTATCTTTCAAAGACAGACGGGCAGGCAGGGGGCGGGCACACTTCTCCGGGCTTATCACAGCTTTGGCTTCAGCGTTGCCAGCAATGAGATCAGAGGAGGAGAGTTCAGAGACAGAGAAAAGTGCCAAAGGCAAAAATAATATAGTCTACATATGGAGAAATGAACTTTTAAATTTTCAGGGACAAGTGAGTACCACAAATTGTCTTCGGTAGCCTAGACAGATGATTAGAAAGGATTCAAGCAGTGGTAGACCCACCTTCTCAAAATAGCCTAAATTGTCCCCTATAATCAGGTTTGGGGGAAGGACTGTATGAAAATAAGATTCTTGTGGCTCTGGATTAGTTCCATGGAGCAGAACCACACCCTTGAGAGAACAGCATGCCCAAGAGCCGGACCTTAGGAATCTGCTTTGAAGTAGAGAACTGGACTAGCACCATGTCTGACATCTATTAAGTGCTTAATCACGATTTCCTGAATGATTATAGGACCAAGGTTCTTGTGGGTTAGGTCAGAGAACTAGGAATGGCCCCCAAATTTAAGCTATCGTAGACACTAACTGGAAATGTCTCCATCAATTTATGTTAAGTGAGAGATTCTGCCTTCCTTTCAACCACCCCTATGGCACGGTGCTCACAGCAGAAAGGAGGCAAATGGAGGGTCTTCATATCTCTTAAGATAGATCTATGGATCCCATAAGACCAGACACGGGGGTCTACACAAGATTTGAATCTCTGCCATCCACATTTCTTGCCTAGTTTCTGATATCTTATTGTCCAGGCTCCTTCTCTGAGTCCCTGATGTCTTCTTATTTCATTCATTCATTTAACAAATATTAATTGAGCCTCCTATTATGGGCTAGCCACTATTCTAGGAATAAAAGGATCAAAATTCTTTTTTCTGACCTGCTTCTCCCATGTTTGCAGACTTCCTGGATCCAAGACATGGCTTTCCTGCTCCTAAACTGTGCATCAGCCACAACCCACATCTTATCCTGGTCTTGTGGCTTGTGTGTACATTGGCTTGGATGAACCCACTGCAAAACCCTGATTTGGCTGACTTCGAAAATCTGCCTGCCCACCAGCTCTCTCTATAGCTTCTGTAGACCTGGGGGACCTTCCCTTTGTTTACATCCCATGTGTTAGCACTAGCATTCCCAGAACTATAGGGAGGAATGAATAAAGAGGCTTTTAAACCCTCTTGGTACAATCTACATGCTACAATGCCACCCCAATATAATCCATAGAACTAAGGGCCTAGAAATGCACTTAGGTATTAAATATGCTCCCTGAAAGCCCCCCAAAATAGGCTGTGATCACATCAAAGGCCTGAGCTGACTCATTCACTCAGTTAAACTAAAACACCATAGCAAGGGTAAAAGACAGAACAAAGGTGTGATCAATGACCGAGGAACATAAAATTTATACGTTTCTCAGCTTAAAAAGAATTCGTAACCATCAATATCATGTTGACAGTTGGATCCACAAAGTCCATAGAAAAACCTGTGAACAACTCTACAATTATATCTTTGATTTTTTCTTCTCTAGTTAATTAAGATGTCACCAGAAGCCCTATAAGTAATTATAGCACATGACAAACATACAGAGAAAAAAAAATACACACAGATGTGTTAGCAGATTTTTAAAATAAATGAAACCTTGGGAAATGACTGAGGCAGACAGTCTGGCTCACCCCTGGTAGTTCATTCTAGAGAAATAAATACCTGTCTGTGCCAAAGTGGAATGACGTCACTCAGAAATCCACACACTTTTCAAAGCAGTAACCACCCCCTTAAGAGCAAGCATCTCTCTGGCACCAGGCATGAGCGGAGAAGTTTGATCTACAGCCAGAAACTCCTCCTGGCTAGCAAATTGTACTGTAGTATGCCAAATAGCAATAAGCCACTGAGAAGAAAGGGTATCCATAAAGATCTCCCCCTCCCAAATACCCGTCCCTGGGACAATGAGTCCCCTTACATGGCTCATAACAACAATGAAAAGGAGGGAAAAAAAATAAAATTCTTGATTCTGTGAAACTATAGATCTAAATGGAATGAAGTCTACACAGTCATCAGATTGGCTGCATGTGTCATTATCAGTTCTCATGTGTTATTTGGATATTTATCTTGCCTTTATTAGAAGGAAGTCTCTTTTTGTGTGGGGGTGCAGGAGGAAAAACCCCCAGGCCCAGTAAGGAATTCTCTTGAGGACAGGGTATATTTAGAATGTTTAATGAACACCTATCACCAAGAATAGGTGGGTCCTTAATCAGTATTGACTAACAACAGATGCCAGAGCCAAAGCAATCCTGTAAATGTTGAGGACAGAAAGACCATGATTCATTTAATGACTAGTTAATATGTTCAGCCTCCACCAATCTTGCCAAATCAGCTGCTCCAGTGTGTATCTGTGCTCACTCTCTGGGTGGCTACTGAATGACCAAATTTGTATGTCCATTGGCTTGTGTGCTCTAAATTACAGCATATTATTAACCATGTTGATATTTTACTGGCAAAACTTTAAAGGGCTGAGTGGTATAAGAGAAGCCCTAGTCAATTTCCAGGTTAGTAGATCAAATTAGCGAGTTCAGGTCCTTAAGGAATCTGGATGAACAATGTGAAACTCCATCTACACTCTGTGGAAAGCGCCTTGAACTATGCTTAAGACCCAGAGTCTAGGCTTAGCTCTGCCACTTACTAGCCAGATAACTTTGGGCAAGTCACAAATGCATTCTGGGTCTCAAAATCTCTTCACCTGTTTTAAAAAGTAAATGGAAGCCAGGTATGGTGACACGTGCCTGTACTCCTGGCTACTCAGGAGGCTGAGGTGGGAAGATCGCGTGAGCCCAGGAGCTTCAGGCCATAGTGCACAATGATTGTGCCTGTAAATGACCAGCCTGGGTAACATAGGACCTGTCTCTTAAAAAATAAATAAATAGAGACGGAGGTAGAGGGAGGACACAGAGCCGTGCCGCCTGCACCAGAGACCTTCGCCTCACCCCGCCAGTTCCTCACCCTCGGGGAGCAACATGGATAATCTCAGTGATACCTTGAAGAAGCTGAAGATAACAGCTGTTGACAAGACTGAGGATAGTTTAGAAGGATGCTTGGATTGTCTGCTTCAAGCCCTGGCTCAAAATAAATGATTCAGTGTAGGGGGGAGGAGCCAATATGGCCGAATAGGAACAGCTCCGGTCTACAGCTCCCAGCGTGAGCGACACAGAAGACGGGTGATTTCTGCATTTCCATCTGAGCTTTGAAGAGAGCAGTGGTTCTCCCAGCAGGCAGCTGGAGATCTGAGAACGGGCAGACTGCCTCCTCAAGTGGGTCCCTGATCCCTGACCCCCGAGCAGCCTAACTGGGAGGCACCCCCCAGCAGGGGCACACTGACACCTCACACAGCAGGGTATTCCAACAGACCTGCAGCTGAGGGTCCTGTCTGTTAGAAGGAAAACTAACAAACAGAAAGGACATCCACACCGAAAACCCATCTGTACATCACCATCATCAAAGACCAAAAGTAGAGAAAACCACAAAGATGGGGAAAAAACAGAACAGAAAAACTGGAAACTCTAAAACGCAGAGCGCCTCTCCTCCTCCAAAGGAACGCAGTTTCTCACCAGTAACGGAACAAAGATGGATGGAGAATGATTTTGACGAGCTGAGAGAAGAAGGCTTCAGACGATCAAATTACTCTGAGCTACGGGAGGAAATTCAAACCAAAGGCAAAGAAGTTGAAAACTTTGAAAAAAGTTTAGAAGAATGTATAACTAGAATAACCAATACAGAGAAGTGCTTAAAGGAGCTGATGGAGCTGAAAACCAAGGCTCGAGAACTACGTGAAGAATGCAGAAGCCTCAGGAGCCGATGCGATCAACTGGAAGAAAGGGTATCAGCAATGGAAGATGAAATGAATGAAATGAAGCCAGAAGAGAAGGTTAGAGAAAAAAGAATAAAAAGAAATGAGCAAAGCCTCCAAGAAATATGGGACTATGTGAAAAGACCAAATCTACGTCTGATTGGTGTACCTGAAAGTGATGGGGAGAATGGAACCAAGTTGGAAAACACTCTGCAGGATATTATCCAGGAGAACTTCCCCAATCTAACAAGGCAGGCCAACGTTCAGATTCAGGAAATACAGAGAATGCCACAAAGATACTCCTGAAGAAGAGCAACTCGAAGACACATAACTGTCAGATTCACCAAAGTTGAAATGAAGGAAAAAATGTTAAGGGCAGCCAGAGAGAAAGGTCGGGTTACCCTCAAAGGGAAGCCCATCAGACTAACAGTGGATCTCTCGGCAGAAACCCTACAAGCCAGAAGAGAGTGGGGGCCAATATTCAACATTCTTAAAGAAAAGAATTTTCAACCCAGAATTTCATATCCAGCCAAACTAAGCTTCATAAGAGAAGGAGAAATAAAATACTTTACAGACAAGCAAATGCTGAGAGATTTTGTCACCACCAGGCCTGCCCTAAAAGAGCTCCTGAAGGAAGTGCTAAACATGGAAAGGAACAACCGGTACCAGCCACTGCAAAATCATGCCAAAATGTAAAGACCATCGAGACTAGGAAGAAACTGCATCAACTAATGAGCAAAATCACCAGCTAACATCATAATGACAGGATCAAATTCACACATAACAATATTAACTTTAAATGTAAATGGACTAAATTCTCCAATTAAAAGACACAGACTGGCAAGTTGGATAAAGAGTCAAGACCCATCAGTGTGCTGTATTCAGGAAACCCATCTCACGTGCAGAGACACACATAGGCTCAAAATAAAAGGATGGAGGAAGATCTACCAAGCCAATGGAAAACAAAAAAAGGCAGGGGTTGCAATCCTAGTCTCTGATAAAACAGACTTTAAACCAACAAAGATCAAAAGAGACAAAGAAGGCCATTACATAATGGTAAAGGGATCAATTCAACATGAGGAGCTAACTATCCTAAATATATATGCACCCAATACAGGAGCACCCAGATTCATAAAGCAAGTCCTGAGTGACCTACAAAGAGACTTAGACTCCCACACATTAATAATGGGAGACTTTAACACCCCACTGTCAACATTAGATAGATCAACGAGACAGAAAGTCAACAAGGATACCCAGGAATTGAACTCAGCTCTGCACCAAGCGGACCTAATAGACATCTACAGAACTCTCCACCCCAAATCAACAGAATATACATTTTTTTCAGCACCACACCACACCTATTCCAAAATTGACCACATAGTTGGAAGTAAAGCTCTCCTCAGCAAATGTAAAAGAACAGAAATTATAACAAACTATCTCTCAGACCACAGTGCAATCAAACTAGAACTCAGGATTAAGAATCTCACTCAAAGCCGCTCAACTACATGGAAACTGAACAACCTGCTCCTGAATGACTACTGGGTACATAACAAAATGAAGGCAGAAATAAAGATGTTCTTTGAAACCAACGAGAAAAAACACACAACATACCAGAATCTCTGGGACGCATTCAAAGCAGTGTGTAGAGGGAAATTTATAGCACTAAATGCCCACAAGAGAAAGCAGGAAAGATCCAAAATTGACACCCTAACATCACAATTAAAAGAACTAGAAAAGCAAGAGCAAACACATTCAAAAGCTAGCAGAAGGCAAGAAATAACTAAAATCAGAGCAGAACTGAAGGAAATAGAGACACAAAAAACCCTTCAAAAAATCAATGAATCCAGGAGCTGGTTTTTTGAAAGGATCAACAAAATTGATAGACCGCTAGCAAGACTAATAAAGAAAAAAAGAGAGAAGAATCAAACAGACACAATAAAAAATGATAAAGGGGATATCACCACTGATCCCACAGAAATACAAACTACCATCAGAGAATACTACAAACACCTCTACGCAAATAAACTAGAAAATCTAGAAGAAATGGATACATTCCTCGACACATACACTCTCCCAAGACTAAACCAGGAAGAAGTTGAATCTCTGAATAGACCAATAACAGGAGCTGAAATTGTGGCAATAATCAATAGTTTACCAACCAAAAAGAGTCCAGGACCAGATGGATTCACAGCTGAATTCTACCAGAGGTACAAGGAGGAACTGGTACCATTCCTTCTGAAACTATTCCAATCAATAGAAAAAGAGGGAATCCTCCCTAACTCATTTTATGAGGCCAGCATCATTCTGATACCAAAGCCGGGCAGAGACACAACCAAAAAAGAGAATTTTAGACCAATATCCTTGATGAACATTGATGCAAAAATCCTCAATAAAATACTGGCAAACCGAATCCAGCAGCACATCAAAAAGCTTATCCACCATGATCAAGTGGGCTTCATCCCTGGGATGCAAGGCTGGTTCAATATACGCAAATCAATAAATGTAATCCAGCATATAAACAGAGCCAAAGACAAAAACCACATGATTATCTCAATAGATGCAGAAAAAGCCTTTGACAAAATTCAACAACCCTTCATGCTAAAAACTCTCAATAAATTAGGTATTGATGGGACGTATTTCAAAATAATAAGAGCTATCTATGACAAACCCACAGCCAATATCATACTGAATGGGCAAAAACTGGAAGCATTCCCTTTGAAAACTGGCACAAGACAGGGATGCCCTCTCTCACCACTCCTATTCAACATAGTGTTGGAAGTTCTGGCCAGGGCAATCAGGCAGGAGAAGGAAATAAAGGGTATTCAATTAGGAAAAGAGGAAGTCAAATTGTCCCTGTTTGCAGATGACATGATTGTTTATCTAGAAAACCCCATCGTCTCAGCCCAAAATCTCCTTAAGCTGATAAGCAACTTCAGCAAAGTCTCAGGATACAAAATCAATGTACAAAAATCACAAGCATTCTTATACACCAACAACAGACAAACAGAGAGCCAAATCATGAGTGAACTCCCATTCACAATTGCTTCAAAGAGAATAAAATACCTAGGAATCCAACTTACAAGGGATGTGAAGGACCTCTTCAAGGAGAACTACAAACCATTGCTCAAGGAAATAAAAGAGGATACAAACAAATGGAAGAACATTCCATGCTCATGGGTAGGAAGAATCAATATCGTGAAAATGGCCATACTGCCCAAGGTAATTTACAGATTCAATGCCATCCCCATCAAGCTACCAATGACTTTCTTCACAGAATTGGAAAAAACTACTTTAAAGTTCATATGGAACCAAAAAAGAGCCCGCATCGCCAAGTCAATCCTAAGCCAAAAGAACAAAGCTGGAGGCATCACACTACCTGACTTCAAACTATACTACAAGGCTACAGTAAGCAAAACAGCATGGTACTGGTACCAAAAGAGATATAGATCAATGGAACAGAACAGAGCCCTCAGAAATAACGCCGCATACCTACAACTATCTGATCTTTGACAAACCTGAGAAAAACAAGCAATGGGGAAAGGATTCCTTATTTAATAAATGGTGCTGGGAAAACTGGCTAGCCATATGTAGAAAGCTGAAACTGGATCCCTTCCTTACACCTTATACAAAAATCAATTCAAGATGGATTAAAGATTTAACCGTTAGACCTAAAACCATAAAAACCCTGGAAGAAAACCTAGGCATTACCATTCAGGACATAGGCGTGGGCAAGGACTTCATGTCCAAAACACCAAAAGCAATGGCAACAAAAGCCAAAATTGACAAATGGGATCTCATAAAACTAAAGAGCTTCTGCACAGCAAAAGAAACTACCATCAGAGTGAACAGGCAACCTACAACATGGGAGAAAATTTTTGCAACCTACTCATCTGACAAAGGGCTAATATCCAGAATCTACAATGAACTCAAACAAATTTACAAGAAAAAAACAAACAACCCCATCAAAAAGTGGGTGAAGGACATGAACAGACACTTCTCAAAAGAAGACATTTATGCAGCCAAAAAACACATGAAAAAATGCTCATCATCACTGGCCATCAGAGAAATGCAAATCAAAACCACTATGAGATATCATCTCACACCAGTTAGAATGGCAATCATTAAAAAGTCAGGAAACAACAGGTGCTGGAGAGGATGTGGAGAAATAGGAACACTTTTACACTGTTGGTGGGACTGTAAACTAGTTCAACCATTGTGGAAGTCAGTGTGGTGATTCCTCAGGGATCTAGAACTAGAAATACCATTTGACCCAGCCATCCCATTACTGGGTATATACCCAAATGACTATAAATCATGCTGCTATAAAGACACATGCACACGTATGTTTATTGCGGCATTATTCACAATAGCAAAGACTTGGAACCAACCCAAATGTCCAACAATGATAGACTGGATTAAGAAAATGTGGCACATATACACCATGGAATACTATGCAGCCATAAAAAATGATGAGTTCATGTCCTTTGTAGGGACATGGATGAAATTGGAAACCATCATTCTCAGTAAACTATCGCAAGAACAAAAAACCAAACACCGCATATTCTCACTCATAGGTGGGAATTGAACAATGAGATCACATGGACACAGGAAGGGGAATATCACACTCTGGGGACTGTGGTGGGGTTGGGGGAGTGGGGAGGGATAGCATTGGGAGATATACCTAATGCTAGATGACGAGTTAGTGGGTGCAGCGCACCAGCATGGCACATGTATACATATGTAACTAACCTGCACAATGTGCACATGTACCCTAAAACTTAAAGTATTAAAAAAAAAAAAGGAATGATTCAGTGTAGTTGTAGTGCTAGATATATTATATGGAATTATCAGCAGTTTACCAGTTGGTTCTTTATTAGTACTCCTGATGTCTTAAACAAAAATGAATAACTGTTTATCTTTTAAAAAAATAAATAAATAAAAAATAAATAAATAAATGGGATAAGCAGGGACAGCAGACCTGCCCTGCCTAACACACATGACTTTTGTGAAGATCCAATCAAACAAGGTGATGCCCTTAAACAAACTTTATAAACATGAAAGTGTTCTACAACTATATATCAGTATCAACATCTTTTCTTATAATTATGACAACTATCATTACTCAACAGCCCACACAATGAATTCATACCCACAAAACAAAGTGACTAGAATCATGTCTGAAAAGACAAATACATCTCAAAATTCCTTTTATAATAAACTTGTTTCATAAATTCCCTACTTCATTAGTATACTAAATAGGAACACTTCCTTTTTTTTTTTTTTTTTGAGACAGAGTTTCACTCTTGTTGTCCAGGCTAGAGTGCAATGGTGCGATCTCGGCTCACCGCAACCTCCGCCTCCTGGGTTCAAGCGATTCTCCTGCCTCAGCCTCCTGAGTAGCTGGGATTACAGGCATGTGCCACCACGCTCGGCTAATTTTGTGTTTTTTAGTAGAGACAGGGTTTCTCCATGTTGGTCAGGCTGGTCTCCAACTCCTGACCTCAGGTGATCTGTCCACATTGGCCTCCCAAAGTGCTGGGATTACAGGTGTGAACCACCGCACCCGGCCCATACTTTTTTTTGCAGAGATGGGGTCTTGCTATGTTGCCCAGGTTGGAGTACAGGGGCATGACCATGGTTCACTGTAGCCTCAAACTCCTGGGCTCAAGCAATCCTCCCACCTCAGCCTCCCAAAGTGCCAGGCTCACAAGTATGAGCCACCTCACCTGGCCAGGAATACATTTTATTGCTATTAATTTATCATCTGATTCTCTGGAAATTCCCAAACTCAGTGAATCTTCTGTGCCTAATGTAGCTGAGACTTTAAACGAAAGAATCATGTGCAAAGAGAAAAGGCCAGAGTGTACAAAAATAGAATCATGGAATTTCAGAGCTAGAAGGGACTTTCAAGATGGTCTAGAGTCTAGACCAAGCCTGTCATTTTCTGAGTGAGGAAACTGAGGCTCAGGGAGCCTGAGGTCACACAGACAGTGGTGGAGCAGGGCAAGAATCCAGGTCTCCTGACTAGTAACTGTTTTCTTATTTCATTGTGGTGGTTATTACATTTCATTCAAAAGCCCTTAGCATCTCAAAGGGCTGGTGCTGAAAGAGTTAATGGACAATGCTCAGAGCCCCAGAGCGCAGAGCTATTCTAAGACAACACATAACAGGAATACCAAGGGTCCATGAACCCAGAGGGAGCAAAACTGCTGCTGCCTAATGGCGCCTGAAAGCATGTTGACACACTGCATGTGGTTACACATGAAAGGCAAGTGAATAGGAAAAGCAGTTTTGAATCCCACCCCATTCTAATTTTGGACTGGCTCTGGGCACCTACTGGAGGACTGGGCCACACCCCAGTCACTCTGTAAAATGACCCTTCAGTTCCTTCACTCTCTCTATTCTGTGGCCTCAGTTAACCCCTTCTCTGCCTTCTTAAGGGCCGTAAGAGACATCAGTAAAAGAGGACTATCAAGGAATTATCAAGATCCAGAAGTAAACCTAAGTGATTGGGGTCATCCTGTAACGAGAAGATTCCCAGTCTGGAGTCAGATGATCCCCACTAGTATCTACCATCCCCAAGCATGTGATCTGAAGCCTTCAACAGCCAGGTTCATAAATGCAAAAGAGAGCAGTTTCTGTAAGTGTGAGGCTTCAAGACCCCAAATCACCTTGCATCAGAATCACCTGGAATGCTTGTTTAAAATGTGGATTCTTATGCTCGTCTGCCAGAGATTACAACTCGTGGACTGATGCCCAGGAATCTGCCTTTCAAATCAGCATGTCAGGTAATTTTATGCACACCAAAAAATTTAAAAAACAATGCTCTTAAAGCAATGTTTTACAAACTGTGGGATTCAACCCATTAGTGAGGTTTAAAAAAATCAACGTATAGGTCACCAACTAGCATTTCTCAAAAAATTAAGTAGGCAACAGTAGAAGAGAATAACAGAAAAAAGTAGCCTGGATGCAGTGCCTCACACCTGCATTCCCAGCACTTTGGGAGGCTGAGGCAGGCAGATCACTTGAGGTCAGGAGTTTGAGACCAGCTTGGGCAACACGGTAAAACCTTGTCTCTACCAAAAATACAAAAAACTAGCTGGGCATGGTGGTGTGCACCTGTGGTCCTAGCTACTCGGGAGGCTGAGGTGGGAGGATCACTTGAGCTCAGGAGGCAGAGGTTGCAGTGAGCCAAGATGGCGCCATTACACTCCAGCCCGGGTGAAAGAGTGAGACCCCATCTCAACAAAAAAAAGAATAACAGAACAAAGTAGAAAATCTCAGAGTACATCACACAAAGCAAAGATAAGTATTGTTCTGTGAAAGTATTGTTCTCAGCTATTTATGTGTATATAAGTATATTCCAGCTTGTAGTATAAAATATAGAGATTCATGATCAAAATGTTTTAAAGTCACTGTTCCAGAGTAATGGTCTTAAATTATGGGAGATAATTACGTATTCCAGATCCCTTTGAGAATCGTTTTTTTCTTTTTTTCTTTCAGTTACCATCCATAGGACTCTGCTTGATACTTTTTGAGAATCTGAGGATTCTCTTCTAAAGCAGAGAAGGAGGGAGGGAGGGAGGGAGGGAAGCGGGGAAACATTATAATTTGCATAGATAAATCCAGCATGTACCTGAACTTCTAGAAGCCTATCCCTCAAGGGCTTCTCTTGAAGACAGTTCCTACAATGTCTGTTCACAGTGGGCACCCAATAACCACTGTACCATGCCAACAGCTTTCTCCCCATGCTCTGTAAATGACCCCAGTGTCTTCCTTATATACCTGTAAGATAAGTGGTCCAACTACGATGATTGTTTTCCTCTTATTTTTAGGGTGACTAGGAATGCCAAAGCTAAACAATGTCCTACAGAACACTGGGAGAAAGCAGTTGGCAAATTCCCAGAATGAGGATTCTGAAAGCAATGGTGTGGGTCCAATGTCACTGCTTTCCAAGGAACACACTCCCTGTCTACAGGGAGTGTCTACTCACTCCCGACAAGGGCAGACAATGGCACTGGCACAATTGTGCACCCCCCAGTGATAAAGTCAATAGAAGAATATCTACTTTATTTGCAAGCTGGTGAATTATTTGACCTACAAATGTACCCACAGACACAGAGGTCCCAGCCTTACCTTCTCTATATGAAAAGGACATAAGGACATAAGGTCCCTAGTCCTAGATGGAAGATTTTAAAAGGGTATAAACATCTAGAAAAACAACCAACAGCCCTAGCTTGATTATCAACACAGTCCCATCCTGATGGTTAAACCTGTCAGTACATAGAAAGAGTAAAAATGAGAATAAAGGTTTTAAAAACCAGCCTTTGCTAAGTGAGGAATATGAAGAAGAGATGGAAAGTGGCAAGGTATAATGGGGGGACAGGGACGGTGAAGAGAAATGGAAGAGTTGGGGAGGAAGGACCATTGAGAAGATAGAGAATCAAACCCCAAAACTATTCTAAAATTTCCTGATGCTTTTCAGTAATTTGTTTTCATGCAGTGGAAATTGGCACAGCATCTAGGATACTTTGGGCCCATCTGTTTTTGAACTTAAGCTGTACACAAGATTCAGAACAGCTGGAATCAGCAGCACTGACCAGGTTATATGTGTCTGGAGGAAAGAGAAATAAAATGAGTGTGTGGGAGATGGAGGAAGAGGGTTAAATGGGGCAGAGGAAGGGGATTCTGGAAGCCATTCCCAGACAGACAGGAGAAAATGGCCAGGTCATCAGAATTGATGCAAAAGAGCTATTAGAGAGGCCAAAGCATGTAACTGAAGAAAGTCCAGGAGGAGAAATTTCAAGGATTTCAGAACAGGGCACTAGCAAACAGTCTCGCAAAAGGACGTAAAAGTTTGCAAGTTTGGGTGTCAATGTGCAGTGCCCCGGGGCTTCATGTCTGAAAGGCCAGATCAACATTATCCTAAGGTCTTACATCAAGCATATTACATGAGCTGCTGGTAAACAGTACAGACAATCATGGCCTACAGCTGAGCAGATGCTGATGCTGATGCTGATGCTGGATTCTTGGTTCGCTAAATGCAAAAGAGGTGATCAGGGAGAATGGCAAGGAGAACCTAGGAGCAGGCTTAGGAGAAACTGGCAAGGGTCTCAATCCATAAGATGGCTTGCTTAGAGACAGGGCTGGCCCAGAAGTAGGGGAAAATGGTTGGTTTGTTCTCAGTGCATGTCTGGCCTATGTCCCCATCACTGACTTCTGCTAAAGCCCTGACTTAACCTATGGATACATGGGTCTCTCACTTCTCCTGAATCTGCGCCATCTTTTTTAGTCAAGAGAAAAGGTTTGGCAGTGAGAAATGTCAAGACCCCATTCCGGAGAGGAAAACATTAAATACAAACAAATAAATAAACCAAATTATATTTCAAACAAATAATATAACTACATTGAAGGTCTGGAGGTTGAGGGATGCTATGGTTTGAATCTGGTTTGTTCCCTCCAAAACTCATGTTGAAATTTGATTGCAATTGCAAGTGGTATTGAGAGGCTGGGCCACTGGGGGTTGTCTGGGTCATGGGAAGAATCCTTCATGAATAAGATTAATATTCTCATGGAAATGAGTTCTCACTCTTGTGGGACTGGATTAGTTCCTGAGAGAGTGAGTTGTTGTAAAGCAAGCTTCTTCCTAGTGTTTGCTTTCTTTTCACTCATTCCCTAGCCTTTCAGCTTCTCCGCCATGTTGTCAGGCAGCACATGGCCCCCACCAAGAGCTGAGCAGATGCTGATGCCACATTCTTATACTCTCAAGCCACCACAGTCGTGAGCCAAATAAGCTTCTTTTCTTTATAAATTACCTGGACTCAGGTATTCTGTTATGGCGACACAAAACAGACTAAGATAGGAAAGAAAGAACTAGTCAGCTAACTTTTGAACATTGTGTCTTGGCCCTCAAGGCTAATAACAAAAAGAACTCTAAACCAGTATTAAAATCTAGTCAGTAGTCTTCTTTTTCAGAGGCATGGGTTAGTAATTCTTTTTTTTTTTTTTTTTTTTTGATATGGAGTCTCGGTCTGTCACCCAGGCTGGAGTGCAGTGGCACGATCTCGGCTCACTGCAAGCTCCACCTCCCGGGTTCACCCCATTCTCCTGCCTCAGCCTCCCCAGTAGCTGGGACCACATGTGCCTGCCACCATGCCCGGCTAATTTTTTTTTTTTGTATTTTTTAGTAGAGACAGGGTTTCACCGTGTTAGCCAGGATGGTCTTGATCTCCTGACCTCATGATCGGCCCGCCTCGGCCTCCCAAAGTACTGGGATTACAGGTGTGAGCCATCGCGCCCGGCCTGGGTTAGTAATTCTGAAACAACTTTCTGTACACTCTAGGACTGAGCAATTAAGTGAAAATGTGTGTTATGGATAATAGGAACCAGGTTTCTCACTGTTCAGAGAACAGGAAAGGGGAGAAAGTTAAATAAAACATGTGGTATTGGATTGGAATGAAAGATACTGATATGATCTCATAGGCTTTAATATATATAAATATACAGACAGATAAAGAAATAGCTATTTATAGAAGTACATGGGTGTGTGTGTGTATGTGTCTATGTGTACATACATATATCTACTACCTCTGTCTGCTGAAAGGGACTATAAATAATGGTACTTCAGTTACAAAGAGCATATTTAGCATCCATGGCTTCTAAATACCATTTCCCACTAAAAGCAACCGAGGCTCTCTGAAAAAATGGTCAACTCCACAGTAAAGGCAAGGAAAGTACAAGTTAAGCCTGGAATATCTTGTTGTGCCACAAAGTAAGGAAGTGCTCAAAGAACGATGGGGACATATCAATAAGACACAGAAGCCAGCTTGAAGGGACTCCATTGGCCAAATATAGAACAATATGAACATTAAAATAAAGATGGTAAAGGATTATAACCTGTTGAATAAAATAATAATCCACAAGTCCACACTGATATAAACCAACAACCAGACCAAAAAGTGGGGGTGATGGAAAAGCTCTTCCTTACAGTAGAATTGCAACTGATAAATGTAGAAGGAATGATGAAAACTGGAAAAATGACTATTTGGTAACCATCATAATAGAAAGTGATTCAAGCAAGAAATTATAATGGATGCTAAAACTAGTGAGTATAAGAGTTGAAGGGTAAGCTGATATTTACATGGTCTCAAAGTATCTCTCCACAATATATACATTAATTACAAAGCTTATAGAACAACTTCATGGTGGAGAAACCTAGCAGACACAACTGTAACCAAATGATCAAATTTAACATCATCAGTTATGGCACAAATCATCAGGAAGTGCTTCCTGATATGATGCACTGAGAAGAACGTGACATTACATTTTATGGTATTCCTGCCAAAAGTGTGTGACTTGAATCTAATAATAAGGAAATTATCAGAAATTGCCAGAAATATCAAATTAAGGGATATTCTACAAAATAACGGGGCCAACGTCAATGTCTTGAAATATAAAGACTTGGAAATCATCCCACATTAAAGGAAAGTAAAGAGATAAGACAATTGAATGAATTGCATAATCTTGGACTTTCGTTTGCCAAAAAAGGCCATTTTTAGAACAACTGGTAAAATCTGAATGTCTATTGATTAGATAATAGTATTGTATCAATCTGTATGTCCTGATTTCGATGACTGCACTACGATTATGCAAAAGAACATCCTTATTTTTAGTAAATACACCCTAAAGTATGTATGGATAAAAGGTCATCATGTCTGCAATTTACTCTCAAGTGTTTCAGAAAAACAAAATATGTGTGTGAGAATTGAGTATGAAAAGGGTGAAGTATAAAGCAAATGTAGTAATATGTTAACATTTTGGGGCAATCTGGATAAAATGGTAGTATACAAAAATTCTTTGTGCTATTCCTGCAATTTTTCTGTGAGTCTAACATTATGGCAAAATTTTAAAACTGTTTACAGATTGCATTCTGGAGAAAAATGAAATCATTTCTCCCATCTCTCCTTTGGCAGTAAGTGTATATTATTTTGTGTTATCTTTTTCCCATAAACTCTCTGTCTTCCACATGACACCATGAGCTTCCTGAGGGAAAGAACAGGATCCTACACCTCTTTGTGACCCCAAACCTGCAGAGAACCTATTGGTCATTAGCGATGAGAATGAAGTCAAGTGTTTATTACTGATTCACATATAATAAAGGTGACTAACAGGGTGGCTCATAACCCAACAATTCTGTCTCCTCAACCTGGAAGTCTACGCCTTATCAGAGCACATACAAATGTATATAAACAAACTTAAAATATTTCACATTAAGTAATAACTCCCATGGGCTAGAATGGTAGCTTATTCTTCTATGTATATTTAATTCCTTGTACAACTCTTGGCACAGAATAAATGTTCAATAAATGTTTGCTGAAAGATTAAGTGAACCTCACATACCAGGATTGGTGTTCACCAAATTCGTACAAATGGACAAAACAGCCAGAAGTGGACTTCTTTTCCAGAAGGAATAATAGTACAAAGATGGGCCGGGCGCAGTGGCTCACGCCTGTAATCCCAGCAGTTTGGGAGGTCGAGGTGGGCAGATCACCTGAGGTCAGGAGTTCGAGACCAGCCTGGCCAACGTGGAAAAACCCCATCTCTACTAAAAATATAAAAAGTAGCCAGGCATGGTGGTGCGCACCTGTAATCCCAGGTACTTGGGAGGCTGAGGCACGAGAATCTCTTGAACCTGGGAGGCAGAGGTTGCAGTGAGCCAAAATGGCATCATTGCACCCCAGCCTGGGCAACAGAGTGAGAGACTCCATCTCAAAAAACAAAAAACAACAACAACAAAAAATTGTACAAAGATGTTCTTAGCTTCCAAAAGAATAAGCGATTTTATCAAAGATTTTCAAGCCAGTTGTTTTTTGCTAGAGTGGCTCAAAAACATTCCCAGATCTGGTAAATCGCTTTTTTTCATCTGATGTACGATAAGAACCTTTCTAAAGTCTTCGTCAATTTGGTGCCAAGGAAGCCTACCAAAGATGTATTATATTTTTTCTATTATGGCTTCCCTGAACTATGCTGTAAAGTAGAAGGTTTCCTAAGCACTTATCATCTGGCTGGAAACTCGGTATGTGTGCTTGGGGACTAGGGGATGGGGATCAAGAAGAGGCAGCACTGAAGTCTTCATAAGCCATATTCTCATCACTCACCTCTGTTTTTTGTTGTTGTTTTTTTTTGAGATGGAGTCTCGCTCTGTCACCCAGGCTGGAGTGCAGTGGCGCGATCTCGACTCACTGAAAGCTCCGCCTCCTGGGTTCACACCATTCTCCTGCCTCAGCCTCCTGAGTAGGTGGGACTACAGGCACCCGCCACCACACCCGGATAATTTTTTGTATTTTTAGTAGAGATGGGGTTTCGCCGTATTAGCCAGGATGGTCTCGATCTCCTGACCTCGTGATCCGCCCGCCTCGGCCTCCCAAAGTGCTGGGATTACAGGCGTGAGCCACCGCACCCGGCACCTCTGTTTAATGAAGTAATGAACATCTAGCAAAACCAACACTGAGAAAGTATCAGGTTAAAATCCAAGACAAAGCCCATAACAATAACCCGTTAATCAGTATATCATAAAAACCTGAGTTGCGTCCTTCAGAAGGCACTAAGGGAAGTGCACCTGTGTGCTCTTCCTGTGTGTTTTTCCTCCTATGTGATATGGTTTGGATGTCTGTCCCCCCCCAAATCTCATGTTGAAATGTGATTCCAAATGTTGGAGGTGGGGCCTGGTGGGAGGTGACTGCGTCATGGGGGTAGATCCTTCATGAATGGTTTAGCACCATCTCTGTGGTGATAAGTGAGTTCATGCTCACTTAGTTCACAAGAGATCTGGTTGTTCAAAAGTCTGGGACCTCCCCCGACTCTCACTCCCACTCTCACCATGTGACATGCTGGCTCCCCGGTGCCTTCTGCCATGATTGTAAGCTCCCTGAGGCCTCACCAGAAGCAGACACCAGCACCATGCCTCCTGTACAGCCTGCAGAACCATGAGCCAATCAAACCTTTTTTCTGTAGAAATTACCCAGCCTCAGGTATTTATTTACAGCATCGCAAAAAATGGCCTAATACACTGTGTATTTGTATGCACATGTATCTAGGACTCTGTGGTAAGAAAGGACACACATTTCCACCCATTACCGGAGAAAACAGGAGCAAGAACAAGACTGACAAATCCAGTCAATGTATAAAAAGGAGTGAGAGAGGAGAAGGAGGGGAGGAAGTCAATACACGTAAGAAGCCAACCCTTTCTTAACTGTGCCTGCCTTCCTGGGTTCACCTTGCTCTGTTTTAGAGTCCACACAATAGCCTGTGCTTTGTCTTCAAGGAAATCGATGAGGCATCATTTCTACCTGTACACTGCAGAAATCAATTCTGTATAACTTCCTCCTTTTGCTAAATCCCTGAGATGCTGCCTATAAATTCAAAGAATTTCAAGCATCAACAATAACCCCTACCCCCACCCTAGAACTTAGTTATGAACATCTGTTGTTTACAAGGGTTCGGGCTGAGAGCTGCCAGACTTGTTCTGCAACCTCTACTTTACCACAGAGGCTGCCAGGGAGGGATGTCTGAATTTCATGCAAGGATGCCCTGTCCCGACTGCTTAAGCAGGAATCAGCAAACACAGCTCAGCATCCTACTGTTGAAGATAATCCTAGTTTGTTCCGATTCATTTTCTAATCCTGGCTCTTTAACCAGCTGCACCCTAAATATATTAAGACGCAGAACTGTGCTCATTGATTCTCCCTGAATTTAAAACCCAAGGAGCAACGACAGTGGAGATGTATAAAAGGAGGAGCTAGCAGAAAAGATGAACCTATTTCAACTCTGAAAAACCCAAATCCTACTTTTTTTTTCATTCTCTCTAAATCTTTCGTTAACAGTGAGTCCTTCCCATGTCACACTGTTTCTTTTCAACATGTGATACTTCTGTGCAGTGTAGGAATTAGATATTAAAGTCTTTACTTCAATTAACCAGGGAACAAATCTAATTGAGAACATAACTATACTATCTTTTACCTTTCCCTGACTGAACCAAGTACAAGTCCCTCCTGAGTACTCCACCTTTCTTCTTTTCCTGGTGACTACTGGAACCTGCTTTAAATGGGGTGCTATTTTTAAATTCCTGTGCACATGTGTTCTTATTATTCTCTCTCAGCCTGCCCGATTTCCCCCATTTCAATTATAAAAACACGTATGGCAGAGACTGTCTTTTCTTCTTATCTTGTAAACCCTCCCACTTAACACAGTCAGCTCCCAATAAGATGACACAGCTTTTGCCTTGAAAAGAGAACTGGATCAAAGTAAATTCATTTAATTGGCTGCGAATTCCTGAGAATTAAAAATCCCAAGAACACATTGCCTAGTAGTAGTTAGACACATTGCTTCCTGTGTCTGCTACAGAATTATTATGGGGCTTACAGGAGCAGAGAAAAGGAAAACTAAAAGCTCCCCGCACACTAGCACTGTTGTCAAGGAACGTGATCACTACTGTCTTTGCTCCATGGAGCTGAACGCCTGAGGTATGGCCTGCTGACATTCCAGTGGCAAATCCTAGGAGACACAGGAAACTCTCAGGAGTCTCCAACATCCTCCCAATTGCTCATAAAAGCATATTTTGCTTCTAACCTGCCCTCTTATCATTCCCTACCCTAAAAGGAAGATATAAAGCCATTTATGCAGAAGCTTGGGAGCTTCTGTTTGGCCTCATGAGACAAACAACCCAGTAAACCACATACTGTTATGTTCATGACTAAGGTTTGTACTGCACTGGCCTGCTGGCCTCGATGGTAGATACTGCAGGAGGCTGAATAGGACTGGCCTTCTTTTATTTGCCCAAGTCAAAATTGGGACCTGTGGGCCTCAACAGTATATCTTTATAGAAACTCAGCAATTTGGCAATAGGGCTAACTATTAACTCCAAAGGATGAGAAAATCAGAGAGTGGTTGTATGACAAATGTCTTCCTCTTCATGATTATGAGCCTGGATCTAAAAGTAACCCACCAAGGTTGAACTATATGACACCTTACAGAACAAAACATACAATTGCTGAGTTTTTATAGGGACTGACCATGCAATTACACAGAGTCACATAATTGCCTATGTCCTGCCCAATGTAGCTATACCATAAAAATCAGGGTAGGGGATGAATTTGTCATTCATGAGGGCCCACAGGTGTCTGAAGAAAATGGAAACTGACATATTACCCAGCCAGGCTTAGGAATACTTAACTCTGCACAAGGAATGACTAGTGTATCTAATATACCAGTGTTTTACCCAGTACAGCTGTGCTCAGGCCCAAATCCTGAGGATAGGGATAATAGTTGCTACTATTTACATTTACTATGTGCCAAGCTGTCCTAAGTGTTTCACATATTATTAATTCACTTAACCAGCATAACAACTCCATAAGGTAGTTATGAATATTATCTTCATTTTGCAAACGAGGATACTGAGGTGATTAAAACCTTTCATCTAAAATCACACAGCAAGTAAGTGGGAGAAATCCAGGATTGTGAACCCAGGAAATCTGGTTCCCAGAACTTGTGATCTTAACTATCAGGGCTGACTCTTCTGTGGCTGATCTTAACTATCAGGATTGACTTTTCCTGATAATTATTATCAGCTACCATTTATTGAGCATCCATTAAGTCACAAACATTAGCTAGTGCTGTATATACATTATATATATCCTTAGAAGAATCCTTCAAGGTAAGTATTACTGTCAACATTTCACAGGTAAGAAATTGAGGCTAACAGGGGTAAAGTGACTTGCTTAAGGTCACAAGCTAGGAGTAGAAGAGACAAGATTCAGACCCAAGTTTTTCTGGCTCAAAGCTCTGGTTTTTCCCACACAAAGTCACAAAGCTTCCCAAAGAACTTTTAACTGAATTCTTTCTCTCTTCCAAAGACTGGATCACCCTGTCTTGCTGATTCCCAAATGGCCTTCTTGCGTCTCTTCCATTCTGCTTTACCCATGTGTGAGAAGTCCTCCCAACTCTTCCTCCAAAAAGGACTCAACAATGACCTAAGGTTCTACATGAACTGGGCCCATGCAAAACACACCAAAGAACCTTCTGTTAATTTCTGAACAAAGGCATCTTGAGCCATGGAGAAGGGAAGCCAACCCTTGCAACACCAGGTGCTACATCTGGGCAAAATCTTTCCTGAGGGAACAAACAGCTCCCAAATATGTCCAAAATGAGTGAGTGACGCACTGGTCCCAGGAAGTCAGGGGTTCTCCCTCCCGGGAGCTTCATGTTTCCTGGTACTTTCCTTCTCAAGGTCACTCCATAAGTCAATGAGGAACCTTCTGGTCTTCCACCCTTTTCCGATTTGCAACCACAACTATAACATTTTCCATGGCCAACTGACTCTATGCTTTTCAACCCAATGCTATCCTGTGAGACTGGTGAATGACTTTGAACTCAACTCCAGGGGAGGAACCCATCCGCAGTAGTGATGTAACTACAGAGATGGCGCACATTCAAATACTGGGCCTGAAGCCGAGAACACAGACTCTACAATAATTTTTCTTTAATTAATTGTGTAACTAACCTCCCACTGAAAGGAGTATTGCAGGTTGAATGTCTACCAAATTCTTAAGATACCTAGGCCCTGCTCCCTCACATCACTTCCAATAGTGACACAACTGATAACCAGCCAAACAAGAAAGTTTACTTTCTATGTCTACCTCCTTGATATTCTGCTAATTTAATATTAGTGAAAATAGGAGATTGTCTTATTCTTCTCTATCTCCAGTACTAAACCCAATTCCTGATACATAATTAGGTTCCCAAAATGTATACTCAATGATACACAAATAAATATATCATTTAAATTCCTTTATACACTCTGTAATCTGAGTATCACAGATGATACAAAGGAAGTTTCCCCTTTGTTCTTCTAAACTCTTACTATTGGAAATCACAAATATTTCCACAGTTTCAACCATCCCCTCTCTGTGCATGTGTGCAAATCTCTACCAACAGCCAAAAAATCTCTTTAGCCCTGCATACAGCCATTCATTTTGTCAACTACTAGAAATTTTAGCTTCAATACTCTTCCAACACCTTAAACTTAAAATCCAAAACCAAATTTCTCATATTTTACTCCTTCAAAAACAATTCTTTCTCCTAACTTCTGTTAAAAAAACACTAGATTTCAGCTGGGCACAGAGGCTTATGCCTGTAATCCCAGCACTTTGGGAGGCCAAGGTGTGCGGATCACCTGAGGTCAGGAGTTCAAGACCAACCTGACCAACATGGAGAAGCCCTGTCTCTACTAAAAATACAAAATTAGCCTGGCGTCATGGCGCATGCCTGTAATCCCAGCTACTCGGGAGGCTGAGGCAGGAGAATAGCTTGAACCTGGGAGGCAGAGGATGCAGTGAGCTGAGATCGTGCCATTGCACTCCAGCCTGGGCAACAAGAGCGAAACTCCATCTAAAAAAAAACCCAAACAACAACAACAACAACAACAACAACAACAAAAACAAAAAAGCCCCTCTCTATTTCTTTTAAAGATACCATTAATTTATCAATCACCCAAGTCAAAAAGACACTTTACAGACCTCTTTCTTTTATGGCTTCCAAGCTCACTTGAAACCTGAATCCCATCAGTCAGCAATTCCTGTAGATTCTTCCTGCACCAGGTGCTTTCCATCTGTCTCTAGACTGTAAGCTCTAGGAGTACAGGGGTGGGTATCTGGCATGTGTCTGGCACATGGTAAGAAGATATATATTTGCTAAATGGACAGAAGGATAAATTCCCCTTCTTTTCATTCCTACCATCCCAACCTAATTTAGATCCTTATGATCTACTGCAGCAACTGGTTTCCTTGGTCTCATGTTTCTTGTCATTTAGCAAACTACCACTAGGTTAATCTTCCTTAATCAGAATTCATACCTATTTAAACCATCAGTGGTTTCCAGTGTCTATTGTATAGAGCCAAATCCCTAATCAAGAGTCAAGGCCCTCCACAATACAAACTCATCTACCTTTGTCCACTTCTTCCACATCCACTTATTCTCCCAGCTAAACCAGTCTACTCACTGTACCTCAAAAGTGCTTTGTTCTTTCTTCTAGCTGTGCCCCTTTTTCCTAGAGTATCTTCCCCTCCCTCTCAAGAGCCATTTTCTTTAAAGCTTTGTTCAAATCTCATTTCCTTACTGAAGTTTCCTGTCTACACCAACTGAGCCTCATCTCTTCTGCAGCATATACTTAGTACTTACTACATATAGCCTTATGTTGAAGATTTGTATTCTTGTATTTGAATTTAATTTCTCCCTGACTAGATTATAATTTCATATGGGAAAGAACTACTCCTTTTATTTCTTTGGATCTCTGTCCTCTAAGAGTTTAGAACAAAACCTCTAAAATAGTCAACAAATATGTGTTGAGGAGAGAAAGAAGCTGGGAGAAACGGTGAAAAGATACTGACAGTGGGTTATAAAATAGCAGAAGGTCTCTGCAAGGAACACAGCAGGACAGAAATGTAGAAGTATTGCTCTAAAAACTCAACAGAAAAAAAAAAGCTACCTAAAAAAATGAGCTATTAAAAGCAGGAGATCAAAACCAAGTGAGCTATGACTGAAAGGTAATTTACAGGAAGTCTATTTAAAAAAAAAAAAAAACAGCCAATGCATTATCAATTAGAGTCCTGCTGGGCCATATTAACACAGATTCCACTTAAAAGAGACAATCAAAGGCTCAGCAACAAATAGGAATACATTTATGCTCTTCAAGGAGCCAAAGAAAATGCAAGAACATCTTCCCTAGAAAGGCTTCCTACCCTCGCATAATACTTTACCACTGCTCTTAATCAAACCAGGCTGACAGAATTTCAGACATTAGCAGGGTCTTCCCACAATTCACAGGGATGGGGAAAGCCATGTTACCTGTCTTAAACAAAGCAGAATAACATAGGGTCAAATAATCGCTACAGTTCTATCTGCAGCATCTCTCATTCTCTGGGGGAAGGAGAAAGAAGGAGAGGGATGGAACCAGAGGGTCAGGCTGCCATGGAGTCAGAACTGTACAGGCTTTAATGAGGATGTCTGCACTGAGCGCAATGTGGGAGAGGACAAAAGGTGAGCAGGAGCAGAGCAGAGTAGGAAGCAAAGCCAAAGGCTGACAGCGTAATGGCTTCCAGGGGAGGAGGTGTCCAAAAGATGAAGAAAGCAGTTCAGCAGCGTCCATCCCTAAATGCAATCACTTAGAACTGTAAGAAAATACCCAACCTAACGCAGTATGAGTGGCTGAAACCCAGCCAGGGTAAGAAAGTGGCCTGGAAAAGGGTGAGATGAATCCATGTGGACTGAATTCAGCCCTGGCCAACCTGCTGCATCCCAAGTTGAATAGTTTCCACGTCCCTGAGATGGGTCTGTTCAGAGTTGCTGCTGGCAGCTGCTCTCCTGGCAGTACAGGAAGACAAATTCATGGCATTGCTAGCCCAACAGCTGCTACAGCTCCGGGGGAGGTGATGAGTGCCCACTGAGATGTTCTGGGCAGAGAATGAACTATTCTGGGACCAGTCCTAGAGTCAGCAAAATCAAGGCTACAGTTCACCGACTGAAAATACAGTACTATTGTCACTCCAGAGACCCAGGAAACCAAGAGCACTTTCTCTGTCCCAGCTTCTTTGAATTCCATTAATTCTTGTCCTCACACTTGGCCCCATCTTGTCTATTTCCAAGGGTATGACCTCAGTTTCAGCCCACATTAACCTCACCACTGGACTCCTTTCTTAACAGGTCCTCCTCCTTCCAGTCTCTCTGCTCCAATTGATCATATGCATCGTTGCCATAGTTACCCTTCGAAAGCACAGCCATAATTATGTTCCTTGCTCAAAAACTATCAATGGTCCCCCATGCTTACAGAATAAAGCCCGAACCCTGTCGCCTGGCATTCATAGACCTCTTTAATCTTCTGGCCCCTATCTTTTCCAGGTTTATTTCACTATCACATTTATAATTCCTGTTCTTCAGCAAAACAGATAAGTTATCCATCAGCGTTTGTTCTCACTTCTGTTAGCCTTTTCTAATACTGCTCTATCTAAAATGCTTCCTTTCCCATCTTTTCACCTTCTTTCTACAACTTCTCCATTGTCTCAACTGTATTAAACTTAAAGGATCAATGCCTAGCATTGGCACTTTAATTTTTTTATCTCCCATCCATTGAACTTGACCTCCCTAAAGCCCTCTCCAGTCCTCCAATCAGAAGAAATCTGTCTTCTTTGTGCACCTGTGGCACTCTGTATGGATGGGTGGCCATGGTCTTTCCTACACTTGTCCTTTCATACACCATGGCAGATGCTGCTGATTGTCCCCCAATATTTCCCCTTCTTCTATATTAAGAGAAACTCTACTTTATAGTCACCCAGAACAATAACTACACTTCCCAGCCTCCCTTGCAGTTCAGCATAACCATGTGACTAAGTTCTGGCCAGTCAGATATGAGTTGAAGAGCTGTGTGTGCCACTTCCAGAGTGCACCTTTAAAAAATAAGGCCATACCTTCCCCTCGTCCTGTTGCCTTTTCCTGCTGGCTGGAATGAGAACATGGTGGCAGTGAGCCATCTTGGGTCATACAGAAAAGGATAACACTCTCGGGATGGAATAAGAAGCCTGACAGCCCTGGATGGCTAACACCTAGACTATGACATCAGAGAAAAATCAACCTCTATCTTGTGTATGCCATTATTACTTGGGGTCTATTACATCAGCCAAACTTATATCTTTACCAAATCAGACATGCCTAAGATGCCTTTCCTATGCCAATGTCAAATTTTCAGTTGCCAGCAAATGTTTCAAGCTTGTCTTAGTGCTGCTGACTGCCAGGTACCAATTCTGTTTCAGCAGGATGGTTGTCTCTGCACAGCAATGCTTGTGCTGTGCACACATTTTAACACTTGGTTATCTTTTGCAACACAAAAATGAGTGGAAATGGAAAAACAAAAGTGCTGTTACTAATGTTGCATTGAGAAGTAGAGGTCTCATCACTGTACTACTAAGATAAGGGCAGAACTCATCAGCTACGTGGACTCTTTAGGTATTCACTGAACTTGAGCAGGCAGGCCATGAGTTTAATGGCGGAAAAACAAACAGAACTAAAGACAAGGTATACAATGCTAAAAATATATCAGGTGAGGGATAATTTGGAATTTCACATATACACTTATTTATAATAATAGAACCTACCTACCCCACATAAAACTGTAGTTAGACATTCAACCATTTGACTTCTGTATACACTTTTAGGAATAAATTATGCATGAAAGTAGGATGTTGCCTGAGCCTCTCTTATTGAGTTTCTCACCACCTTGCCTGTATTAAATGCATTTGTACATATGTTCTATCTCCTCTTCTACCAGGCTGTACCATATGAAATTGCCATTTTGCCTTACAAAAAAAACCAGCAATTTCATATGTTTCACCCTAAGAGATTGAAAACATTTGGGTTTGGGGCTTGTTTTAGTCATCTTTGCATCTCTCACAATACCTTATACATGAGAGAGTATCAATAAGAAATTGCTCTTACAGATCTTCTACTTAAAACACTTCTAGTTCCATCAGACGCCACTTTCCCACCTTACCTTCTACCCTTTGCCTTAAAAAACAAAACTATTCTCTCTCTCTTCAGGTAGCTTTTGCTTCTCCTCATAGTAACTTTTACTACCAATGCAAAACTTTTATTGTCTAAGCCTGGGGTCCTGGATTTAGCTCTTTGTTCTCCTCTTTCTCTTCCCTGAATTCATATACTTTCATCTCTCCCACAATCACTTTTACTCCGAAGATTCTGCTAGCTATCCCCAGTCATAACCTCTTACCTCAGCAGTATGCCGTCTCCACCTGGATACCTGATGGCCTCGTACTGCTCTACACCCAAAATGTTCAAAGTAGGATCACCATTCAAAACAGATCTTCCCTCAACACCCCCACTTCTATCGTGAATGCCACAATTCTTCTAGGTCACCAGGGTAGAGACACTGGGTCACCTCTGACCATTATGGTTCTATGCTTTATCCAGTCAGTTATCCAGTCCTATTTAGTTTCTTGAATACCTTCTGAATATATTCCTACTTCCTTTCCACTCCCCCCACTTTTTTTTTTTTTGCTCTTACTTTGTGTGTAGATTACCCCAAAACCTTCATCCTGGCCTTCTGTTTTCCTCGTGTCTCTCTCCCCACCTAAGAACCCAGAGGACCCACTAAAATGCTGCCACACCCAATCTGAACTTCTCTGCTTGCTATCAAAGGGCTATCATTTGGGGTCTACTCTACTTATTTAACCTTATTTTCCACTGCTCTTGAAAATAGCTGTGTTCTCATATCTCTACTAAAGCTCTTTTCACATTATACTATTTACATAGCTCTTTTCCCTGTTAACCAGGGATTTTTTTTTTTTTTTAGACACAGGGTCTCACTCTGTCACCCAGGCTGGTGTGCAGCGGTGCAGTCATAGCTCACTGTAGGCTCCAACTCCTGGAGTGAAGCGATCTTCCCACCTCCTGAGAAGTTAGGACTACAGGCGTGCATCACCATGCTGAGCTAATTTTTTATTTTTTGTAGAGATGGGTTCTTGCTATGTTGCCTAGGCTGGTCTCAAACTCCTGGCCTCAGGAGATCCTCCTATCTTACCCTCTCAAAGTGCTGGGGTTACAGGCATAAGTCACCATGCTCCGCTTAAACAGGAATTCCTAAGTTTATGTTAGTTCCTATAGGAATCAACACAGAGCACAGTACTCAGTAGGTATTTAAAAGTAATTTGTTGAATAAGTAGACTGATTGTTACCCAGAATACGATCAGGCAGGAAGCTATTGGAGTAAACCAGCTATAAAGTGGAAAAGTTGCCCTCTTCCAGGTTCTTGTGCCACCTTGTATTAAATACTTTCCTTCCACAACACTTACCCCAACTTTAAATTACATATCTAATTGTGTGATTTGTTAAATGCCCATTTCTTCATCTAAGTGCTAAGTGCTAAGTGTAGCAATTTGTTCCCTGCTACACTCCAAGGCACAAAGGAGTTCAAGGAATGTGCAATGGAAATCAGTTAGATGAATGTGTTAGGAACCTTCCCTTTAATAAAGCTGGATCCCACACTAGCCCCTACACCCTCTCATCACCAAATATTCCTGCTTCCTCTCACCTGCACTTGCTGTTCTCTCCTCTGCCACACAAATCTACCTCTCAAGCCTAGGTCCCACCTGCTTCATGACAACTTTCCAGACTATTCCAGAACCTTTAACCATCTCTGACCTCTCATCAGATCTATGTTGTACATAACACCAATTAATGAGATCATTACTGCTTTATGCTCTAATTGCTTCCTGTATTCAAAATCTTCTCTCCAACCACATAATGACTCCCTAAACTTCTCTTGTATTTTCCAATGCCTTGTACAAGCACAGAACTGGTCAATCAATAAATACTCACTGGTTATTTGAGGAAAAAATGTTGCCAAGCACCATCTTTATCAGAAAATAAATCAATTCTTCTAAACTTGGAGAAATCACCCTATTCCTAGTATGTGATCTTAATTAGAACAATTCAGATTGAGAGGTGACAGCATGCTGGCAGTCCTCAGAGCCCTCGCTTGCTCTCGGCACCTCCCCTGCCTGGGCTCCCACTTTGGTGGCATTTGAGGAGCCCTTCAGCCTCCCCCCTGCACTGTGGGAGCCCCTTTCTGGGCTGGCCAAGGCTGGAGCCCACTCCCTCAGCTTGCAGGGAGGTGTGGAGGGAGAGGCACGAGCGGGAACCGGGGCTGCGTGCGGCGCTTGCGGGCCAGCTGGAGTTCCGGGTGGGCGTGGGCTTGGTGGGCCCCGCACTCGGAGCAGCCAGCCAGCCCTGCTGGCCCCGGGCAATGGGGGACTTAGCACCCGGGCCAGTGGCTGCGGAGGGTGTACTGAGTCCCCCAGCAGTGCCGGACCATCGGCGCTGTGCTCGATTTCTCGCTGGGCCTTAGCTGCCTTCCCGCGGGGCAGGGCTCAGGACCTGCAGCCCGCCATGTCTGAGCCTCCCACCCACTCCATGGGCTCCTGTGCGGCCGGAGCCTCCCCGACGAGCACCACCCCCTGCTCCATGGCGCCCAGTCCCATCGACCACCCAAGGGCTGAGGAATGCGAGCGCACAGCGCAGGACTGGCAGGCAGCTCCACCTGCAGCCCCGGTGCGGGATCCACTAGATGAAGCCAACTGGGCTCCTGAGTCTGGTGGGGACGTGGAGAGTCTTTATATGTAGCTCAGGGATTGTAAATACACCAATCAGCACCCTGTGTTTAGCTCAAGGTTTGTGAGTGCACCAATCGACACTCTGTATCTAGTTGCTCTAGTGAGGACGTGGAGAACCTTTATGTCTAGCTCAAGGACTGTAAATACACCAATCGGCACTCTGAATCTAGCTCAAGGTTTGTAAATACACCAATCAGCACCCTGTGTTTAGCTCAAGATTTGTGAGTGCACCAATCGACACTCTGTATCTAGCTGCTCTGGTGAGGATGTGGAGAACCTTTATGTCTAGCTCAGAGATTGTAAATACACCAATCGGCACTCTATATCTAGCTCAAGGTTTGTAAACACACCAATCAGCACCCTGTGTTTAGCTCAAGGTTTGTAAGTGCACCAATCGACACTCTGTATCTAGCTGCTCTGGTGAGGACGTGGAGAACCTTTATGTCTAGCTCAAGGACTGTAAGTACACCAATCGGCACTCTGAATCTAGCTCAAGGTTTGTAAATACACCAATCAGCACCCTGTGTTTAGCTCAAGATTTGTGAGTGCACCAATCGACACTCTGTATCTAGCTGCTCTGGTGAGGATGTGGAGAACCTTTATGTCTAGCTCAGAGATTGTAAATACACCAATCGGCACTCTGTATCTAGCTCAAGGTTTGTAAACACACCAATCAGCACCCTGTGTTTAGCTCAAGGTTGGTGAATGCACCAATCGACACTCTGTATCTAGCTGCTCTGGTGGGGCCTTAGAGAACCTGTGTGTCAAAACTCTGTATCTAACTAATCTGATGGGGAGGTGGAGAACCTTTGTATCTATCTCAGGGATTGTAAATGCACCAATCAGCACCCTGACAAAACAGGCCACTCGGCTCTACCAATCAGCAGGATGTGGGTGGGGCCAGATAAGAGACTAAAAGCAGGCTGCCCGAGCCAACATTGGCAACCCGCTCGGGTCCCCTTCCACACGGTGGAAGGTTTGTTCTTTTGCTTTTTGCAATAAATCTTGCTAGTGCTCACTTTTTGGGTCCATGCTGCTTTTATGAGCTGTAACACTCACTGCAAAGATCTGCAGCTTCACTCCTGAGCCCAGCGAGACCACAAGCCCACCGGGAGGAATGAACAACTCCAGACGCGCTGCCTTAAGAGCTGTAACACTCACCGTGAAGGTCTGCAGCTTCACTCCTGAGCCAGCGAGACCATGAACCCACCAGAAGGAAGAAACTCCAAACACATCTGAACATCAGAAGGGACAGACTCCAGACACACCACCTTAAGAGCTGTAACACTCACCGCGAGGGTCCGCGGCCTCATTCTTGAAGTCAGTGAGACCAAGTACCCACCAATTCCGGACACAAGATGACTTGGAGATTAACACATCTGAACCTTAATTTGTAACAAATACGTCCATAAGCTGAGAATATGATATAGTACTAAAAATCAAATGCTATTTTAAATTTAGGATGAGATTACCAACAGAATAAATCCAACTTTGAATCATTTTCTAAAGCAAATGATTCCTCCCCTAAGTCTTCATTTATCACATACTAAAATAACATTTTTTTATCAGATGATTCTCTTATCATAAAGAGAATAAGACTTGGGAAAGATAAGAAACTCTGAGGAAAAAAACATCTGGAGGAAATTTTCATTCTGGCTTATTTTGAGATGTCATGTTCTCCTCAACCTTAACCCCATCTTCATTGCACAGAGCTGGCTTTTAAAGGATAATTTGTGTCCTGTATTATTAAGGCAATAAACAAAAATAGAAAATGGGGAAAATAAGATACACTTGGCACTAATTTCAAATTCATTCATTCATTTATTTATTCCACAATATTTAGTGAGCATCTACTATACACCACATATTATACTAGGCACTGTGGGACACCAGAAGATCAAACAAACTTATACAGTCCACTCAGAGAAGATAACAGAAGGTAGATAGTGCTGAATGCCCTAAGAGAAGAACAAATAAAATGCTGTAAGAATTCAGAAGATGGAGAACATTCTTCCTTCTGGGAGAATCAGGAAAGTTTCCTGGAACAGGGAGCACCTGAGATGGGTCTTAAGACATGGGCATGGCTTAGACATGCAAAGATGGAAAGACTGACCACATAACCTCAAGTAACAGGATGCCAGTGACCCACTGGAGTGAATGTTCTGTTTGGCTCGGGTATAGTGGAACAGAAACAAGAAATAAGGTTGGAAACCTGTTTGAGGCTTTCCAGATGTAGAGGGGCTTAAAGACCAAGCCAAAAAGCGTGCACCTTTGTGAATGGAACAGCATTTCCCAAATGTCAATGTGCACACAAATCACATGCTATGTTGTGGGATCTTGTTATAGTAGGACTGGAGTAGGACCTGAGATACTGCATTTCTAACAGTACAGATGATGCTGACACTGAGAAACTACAATTTGATATCAAAAACATAGATGGGCTGGGTGTGGTGGCTCACACCTGTAATTCCAGCACTTTGGAAGGATGAGGTGGGAGGATCACTTAAGGCCAGGAGTTTGAGACCAAACTGGGCAACATAGCGAAACCCTGTGTCTACAAAAATTAAAATAAAATAAAAATAGCTGGGTATGATGGTGCACACCTGCAGTCCCAGCTACTCAGGAGGTAGGCTGAGGCAGGAGGATCACTAGAGCCCAAGAGTTTGAGGCTGCAGGGAGCCAAGATCACGCTATTGTACTTCAGCCTGGGTGACAGAGCAAGACCTTATTTCTAAAAATAATAATAATCATAATAAAAAGAACATAGACAATGGAGAGACATTGAAAGTTTTGCAGAAAGAAATTCTCTGATCGCCAGTGTGTTCCAGGAAGATTAACTCCGATCACAATGGAGCAGGCAGATTGGAATGGAGAGAAACTGTAGACCAAGCTTGTCCAACCTATGGCCTGTGGGCTGCATGGGGGCCAGGATGGCTTTGAATGCAACCCAACGGAAATTTGTAAACTTTCTTAAAATATTATGACTTTTTTTGCAATTTTTTTTAAGCTCATCAGCTATTGTATTAGCATATTTTATGGGTGGCCCAAGACAATTCTTCTTCTTCCAATGTGGCCCAGGGAGAACAAAAGATTGGACACCCCTGCTGTGGACTGTGATCCTCAATGCTGGCTGTTCATTAGAATCACCTGGGAAGCTTTTACACCACCCTGTTACCCAGGCCTCACTCCCAGAGATTCTCATTTAATTGGTCTGGAGTGGGGCCCAGATTTCTGTATTTTTTTTAAAGTTCTCCAGGGAATTCTAATATGCAGCCAGGGTTGAAAATCTCTGCTATAGAAGATATAGTAAATACTGCAATCATTCAGGCAAAAAAGATGATGATCTAAACTAGGGCAATGGCACTGGGAACCAAGTGAATGGGCCAGCTGTATAAAATAAACTAAATGTAGAAGAAATAGACCTTAGCAGCTACCTAGACAGGGATTTAGATATAATGGCCTCAACATCATTTATTTCTTCTAATTAAAGACAGTTTGGTGAAATGGTTAAAAATATAGACCCTGCAGCCCAATTCCAGCTCTACTATTTACTAGGGGTGTGTGAGTGTGAGTGTGTGTGTGTGTGTGTGTGAGAGAGAGAGAGACAGAGATTAAGATAGACCCTGAGTTAAGCCCCTTAACCTTTTTATGCCTCAGTTTCCTCATCTATAAATTGGGGATAATAACAATAACCATCATATGGAGTTGTTGGGATTAAGCAAACTAACATATATGTAAAGCCCTTAGTAACATGCCTGGCAACAGAGCTATAAACAAGTTTGCTGTTATTATTAGCATGGTTCATCATCTACTCTCATCTCTATGAAATGTTGAATTGCACATAAGACTGATCTGGAAAATGAGAAGTCCTTGAGGGCTTTCAACCAATCTGAAGCCAGGGGCTCCTGAATTCAGCTGGATCTAAGTGGCATACCCTGCCCCCCTCCACCCTGGACCCCATATTCCAAGGTCTCAGAGAGTAATAGCCACAGAGCCCCTACTTGAATTGCTGGTCCTTGGTGCTGCGTGTCTTGGCCAGGAAGTGTTCTGCCAGCTTCTCCAGGTTGCGGGAGTAGTCCATCTCAATCTCTGCCTTCTTTCGGAAGAAGTCCTGGAGGTCCTGCAACAGTTGCACCCGAAGCTCACACTGCTGGTCCAGGCATTTCATCTGCTCTGTGAGCTGAGCACGGATCTCTACAACAAAAACAAGAGAAGACAGTCAGAAAGACAGCCCTAAATAAACCACCATGCATGCCAATATTCACCCACCTTCCACTTACTTATTCCCCGTGCCCTGGGAAATTGAAAGCCCTGAACAAAAAAGCCTAAAGTCTAAACTGGCCATAGGATGTGAGGCACCTCCAAAAATGCCAACCCTTTTTACACCATTAAAGAACATTGTGAACCAGGAATCTGCTGAATCACTTATGAGAAGCTGCTTATTAAAAATAATAACATTCCTATCTACCATTTATATTACTATGTTTCTAGTGGCACAGAGCCAGAATCTGGGTTGTCTTCTGGCAGAGGGCCCAAATGAATTATCACCCCAACCATCCTATGAGGCAGGTACTACCTCATCCCCATTTTAAAAATGAGAAAACAGAGTCTTGAAGAAGTCAAACTTTTAAGTGGTGAAGCTGGGATTCAAACCCCAAGAGACTGACTTTAGAGACCATGCTCCTACTTTTTGCATTTTTCCCCATCATTTCAAAATGTTGTTTACCATCTTCATGAAGTAGGATGAAGGTCAGGATATTTTAATGGAGATAGGAAGAAAATCTCCCAAGGTCAAATGGTAGCAATCAAAACAAAAGAAGCACAAGAACTTCTGGGCAGGCAAACCATTCACTGTCAATCAGATTTCACAGTTTCCAATATCACAGAATGAAAATCATTTTTTAAGAAGACTTGGAAAGAGTTTTTTTCACTAACAAATATCACTCATATCTGTGTTGCTTAATCTTCATAGATGCTGTAGTGCCTCTATAGTGTCATAGCTAGAAATACTTCTGGTTAAGCTCTAGCATGCAGATTTCTGGCTGGTCAGGGTCCTTGTATGGAGCTAGCAAACACTCTCTCTGGAACTGCTGCAAAGGCAGCTATAGATGCAAACAGATTTGCCTCAAATGCAGCACTGCATTTGTTACTGACAAGAGACCTGGCACTCACAGGAAGCAGTATGCCAAAGCCAGACTGATTTTCAGCTCAGAGAAGGCTTGCAGTGTGTATCCTGCTGAAGTTATGTCCCAATCCCCATCTGAGTCAGAATGGAGCCATTTCTTTCATCTTTTCCCTCTGCAAGCCTGCTCAGCTCCAAATGCATTAGGATGTGACAGTGACTCCAATCCCACAGAAAAGGAGCACCTATATTATGCCTTTCCTTATGTGTGCCCCAAATTCATTCCCAAATAGTACAGTTGCAACAATGCTTTCTGTCTATGCTATGTAATGCTATGTAATGCATCATTATGGGGAGAGGGGGTCTAGAGTTTTCATGTGAGCTGCAGATAAATCAGAGGCAAATCAGGATCAGAACTATGATGCTGAAATGTTCTTGAAGCAATGAGGATGGGTAAATGGTGCGTTTAGCTTTGCCTTAAAGTAGTCGAGGCTCCACAATCTGTCCCCATCTACATTTTTGTTTCTGTTTTTACAAATATCAGTATGTCCTTTGCAGATGATCTCAGGTGATCTGTAAGCGCAATTCTCACCCTCTTCATCCTCATCTCTCTCCCTGTCAACCACCAATGCCAACCAGCCCTGCAGTAACCTCACCTGAACTGAAACTGAGCTCCGGAGGATTGTTTCAAGCAGACAGAAGGCTGTGCAGAAAAGCTGCCTACCTCATCACTCATCAAAGCTCTCTTGTTCTGTGTTTTACAGAGTCTGATTACAAGGGTATTGGGGGTAAAGATCTGCAGAGGTTATGTCAGGCATCTGGTTCTTGCCAGGGATTTCTGGGTCTCTTAAAGGGAACAGCCCTTGTTGAGACTATTCCTGTAGGCATCTGTCCCCCTTCAATATATTAGTGAAAAGCTGATAGTAATAGCCATTGGGTGGGCAGACTGTACATTGAGAGGGCATTCAGAATGCTTACTAATATTACTTAAATTCCATCCGTTCAGTAAGAACCAAGTGCCAGGTGCGGTGGCTCACGCCTGTAATCCCAGCACTTTGGGAGGCCGAGGCGGGCGGATCACAAGGTCAGAAGATCGAGACCATCCTGGCTAACATGGTGAAACCCTGTCTCTACTAAAAATACAAAAAAAAAATTAGCCAGGCATGGTGGCAGGTGCCTGTGGTCCCAGCTACTGGGGAGGCTGAGGTGGGAGAATGGCGTGAACCCGGGAGGCGGAGTTTGCACTGAGCAGAGATCGCACCACTGCACTCCAGCCTGGGCGACAGAGCGAGACTCCGTCTCAAACAAACAACAAAAAAAAGAACCAAGGCGTTTTTAGGGTGGAAAGGCTTTCCAGGTACTGAATCAGTAACAGATGTACAGGGGATATGGATGGGCAGTAAGGCTGTCAGGTCCCTCTGAGTCCCCTGTAATGCACTTAAGAATTTACCTCAGTAATCTCACTCACCAGGGGAATAGAAAGGAATAGTTAGTTGGATGACACCCACCCTCTGCCAAAAAAAGAGAGGACAAGGCAAAGTCCCATGAAGTTCCAGAAGTAGGCCACTCCAGAGTTAGCCTGTCCAAGGAACAAGTACTTAATAGGAGGCCTCTGAGATATGTGATTTAATATAAGAAACCCCCAAGCACATCCAGCCAGCAAGGAATTCCAGCCTGATTTTGCAGGTGCCTCAATGAGGGCAGCAGAGTATATGCTGCATCACAGGTACTCCCTCTGGAACCCTGAAGGGATGGGAGCATGTGTTTATTGAATACATTTTATAGGCCTTTCTATGTATCATCTCATTTAATTCTCACAGGTAGTCTGTAAGGTATCCACAATTATCCTGATTACACTAAGGAGAAAACTGAAGTAAGACTCTTTAAGTAATTTACCAAAGGGTCAACAATTATGCAACAGGAGCTGGAGCTAAATTAAGGTTTGTCTGACTTGTCAAAGAGGTTAATAGTAGGTCAGAGAAACAAAAACAAGAGAAATAGAACACCAGTTTGGAGTCTCTGAAAGTATCTCTGTGTAAATCACAGTGACCATGACTCTTAACTCCTGGAACATCGCCTTTTCCACTTTCCAGCTGAGGGTTGATTCAGGCCCCTAAGACAAGTTTGGACTTGCCCACCGACTCACCAGCTAGCTCTGTTTCAATCTGTCCACAACCACACTGGATCCCTTCCCCACTTCCTAGATCTACTCTACAGGACAGCTTAGGGGGAAGTGCTTTTCTTGTCCTGTGAGTACACCCTGAGGTCTACCAGGAAGCCCAGAGGACAGAGACAGTAAGAAAGCAATATCCCCACCCCTGATCCAGGAAAAAAAAGAGGCTCTGTTAATAGATACCACCTGCTAGTGTGGTTTATTTGTGATATGACACCATGAGCATCTCCCCTCCCTCACAACTGGCCAAAAAGAAGAAGAGGAAGAGGAAGAAGAAGAAGGAGGAAAAGGAAGGAAGAACAGGAGGTGGAGAAGGAGAAGGAAAAGGAGGAGAAAAAGAAAGAAGAAAGAGAATGAAGAAGGAAGAAGGAAAAAGAAGAAAGGAAGCAGAAAGAAGAAGATGCCTCCCTTGTTACCATCTTCAAAGCATCCATACAGGCATTAAGGGAAATTCTAACTACTCTCACTCTTAGGCGTACAGCTCCAAGACAGAACAGTTGTTCTATCCAGGGAAAAATGTGCTGCCTTAGGCGCTGCTGCTGCTGCTACTCCTACAAAGACAAACAATGGTCCCCAAGAAGGCAGCTATGCTGGCCCCAGTCCCCGTTCATGCACACAAGGGGCAGGAAACAATGGGCCACTGAATACCAGCACTCCTGGGCCATGTGCCCAGGCTGAAGGCCCCTCTGAACCCTGGCCTATCAACAAACAAAAGGGCAGAAAGAAGAAAGAGGCAATTTAAAAACATAGAGGAACTCCTCACAGTTCCCTCATGTGCTTAGGCGATCATGCATGTGCACATCATGTGTACACACTCAAAGACTCACACCACTCATACCACTTACACCATGCTTCACGATACCAACTCAAGAAGGCTTTACACATCTGGTTTACAGTTGGATGAGAATTCTTGGGAGCTATGGAGATGGTGGGGTCCTTGCCAGTTCCTTCCCTAGAAATACATGGAAAGAAGTCAAGCTCTCACTTTCTAGAAGCAGCTATATCTTAGGGGTACAAAAGAATTCCCTGGCTATTCACAAAGCCAAAGTACTAAGGTCGCCATGAGTCACCTGGAGTGATATATACATCCAAACAGCCTCCCCTGAGTGCCCAGTAGAGCCCATTTATTCAGCAAATCTTACTGAGCCTTTCCTGTATGGAGGCACTGTGCTAGGTGATGGTGACAAAGGAGGAAAAGACAGGTCTAAGCTCTGTCTAAAGAGGCATGGCTTGACAAAGAAGAGAAAGGACAAGAGAACACAAAAAGTCTTATTGTTTCTGCTTTAAATATTCTTTATTATAACAAAGCTGTGGTAATAAGCCCCAACCTGAAGATCTAATATTTAAAAATCATCAATAGCGGAAAGAAATCACATAACAGGGCTAAGAAAAATCCAATGTCCTCTATCATTTTTTCTTATTATGTTTTTTTAAAAATGACACTTGAATAAAAATTGCAGCTTCCCTTGCAAGAGGAACCCAATTTTTTTAAAAGGTTCCTGAGAATCAGAGTTGACCTCTGGTTGATATTTCATGCAGAGATTCAAGACAAATTTAAACCTCCCTGTTTTGAAATTAAGATAGTGATGATTGTTGCTCAACCTTGTGAATATGTTTAAAAAATTGAATTGTACACTTTAAAAGAGTGAATTTTACAGTATGTGAATTATATCTCACTGAAAAAAAAGATTAAAAAATTCAACCCCACCACATAGCATATTCTGTTGAGCACCATCTGCCAGTGAAGGGGAAAATAACCCAACAAACAGGAGCCAAAAGGAGGAACGGATTCTTGGTTTCCATTTCCCCGTGTGTATGAATTAAACACATTCTGCATTGACTATTCCTAAAGCAAATCTTGGAAGCTGCCCCTCTGGGCCGTAGGCTTGGCCATGACATTGAACTCCACTGGCAGATCACCATTTCCAAACGATGTCAGATAAAGACCTGCCAGGGAGTGTTTTTATATGTGAATTCAAATCCAGCATCACCAGACACACCCATGAAGCTTCCCCTGGGAAATGCTGCCTCCTTGCCCATGCTTGGCCACAGCTGAGACACTAACTATACTCGTCCTAGTATTTAGAAAGAGGCTTATTTCCTTTTTAGAAAGATGCTGAAGGGTCTCAATAAGCATGCAACTGGCAGAAAAACTAGCCCTAATAGGATACTGATCATTTAACAAAAACAGGCAGGGCCCTGCCACACTGACAATCATGTAGACTCCAAATTACAACACCTGCCAATGCAGATGACACAGTCCTCTGAAAACTGCCCTCACTTCAGAGAACATCCAGGGAATTCAACAGTCAGCAGAGTACAGGGGGTGAGGGAGTGGGGGTGTTCAGCCTATTGCTTTGAATCCAGAGATCCCTTTCTTTCCTCCTTTCAAAATTCATCTTCTTCTTCAGGAATTTTCTCTGATTAAGTCATGAATACCACATTTCTAAGGAGAAAATGGGGGAGGAAGGGCAGGCCAGGAGACAGATGTAATCTTTCAGGAGAGTCACACAGGCATGTCCTTCCTTTCTCCTTGATGTGCCAGCACCCAGGGGGCAGGAGCTGCATCTCCCACAGGCTCTGTTGCCAGCACGTGGAGCAGATCAGCCCGCGCTCCCCATTGGGAACCTGGTCTGACTGCCAGTCTTTTTCCACCCAATCTGCCTCACCTGCTTTTAGCCCCTTCACAAACACATGATGTCACCTCAGCCATCTCAGGAATATTAATTCCTAGTACCTTTCCAGAGAATGTTACATAAGAATACAATTGAGGCTTTCAGGCGCTACCCTCCATATCTCTTACCAAGACTTCTTATCACAACAGTAATCAGCCCCTCTCAAAACTGTTCCTCAGGAAACAAAATACCAGAATGCCCTGCCAAGTCTTGCTCTCTACTCTGCTAGTTTGCCTTTCTATGAACTTAGTAAAGGGAGGACTCAAAAATCCTTGCTGGACAGATGTGAGAACCAAAGCTCAGAGCAGCAAAGGGGATTGACCAAGATCACACAGCTATTTAGTTGCAGATCCAAGACTGAAATCCAAGTCACTGAGTTCCCAATGTCCTTTCCTACTTTTACTTACTCTCATTGCAAACATCTATTTGAGTGCCTTCCGGGTGCTCTGGGAATACAGACAAAAAGTTCTTCCTCAAAGTTAGCAGGGTAGTGGAGAAGAAAGAAGAAAAAAACGGTAACAAACAAGGTTAAATAATAATATAAACAAATGAGTATGCGCACAGAGCAGAGAGAGAGACACAGCACCACCCTCAATGTGTTATATGTGCTATAACACATCCTCAGTGACTGACATTACTTACCTATGAGTAGTCAGTTTCCAAGAAAAGGCCATCAAGATACTTTCAGTAAACTAGGAAACAGCAAATATTCTTCCTCAAAGAGTGTGACTGATAGTCTTTTTCTGCATTACTTTACTCTATTAAGTAAGGCACAAAACAGGCCAGGCACAGTGGCTCACCCCTGTAATCCCAGGACTTTGGGAAGCCGAGGTGGGCCGATTACTAGAGCTCAGGAGTTCCAGACGAGCCTGGGCAACATGGCAAAATCCCAGCTCTACAAATTTTTTTTTTAAGTTAGCTGGCGGGGGGAGGTGGTGCATGCCTTTAGTCCCAGCTACTTGGGAGGCTGAGGTGGGAGGCTTGCTTGAGCCCAGGAGGTCAAGGCCACAGTGAGCCGTGATTGTGCCACTATACTCCAGCCTGGGTGACAGAGCAACACCCTGTCTCAAAAAACTAAATACATAAGGCACAACCAACCAACAAATAGCTATTATGTTTCTGAAATAATTGTTTTTCATTCCTTATATCCATGTTTTCCCCACTCTCGGTCCACATGCTTTCAGTAAAACTGATCCCACCCCTGCCCTCTCCAAAGATAGTGTGCTTTCTCAAATCCAGGCCTTGGCTGGGAGATGGAAGACCTGGGGACAAAGAGAGTGTGACACTGCCACTGCCATCTTGCTACCGTGAGTGGAAAGCCCATTTGAGAATGGAGTTGGCCCAGAGAAGCAGAGCTGAGAGATGGGGAGAAGGAAACATGAGTATCTGAATGAAGTCACGATGAGAAGCCAGCCCTATCCCTGGACCTTTCAGTGACACAAGTCAATTCATTCAATTTTCGCTTAAAACACTTTGCCTAGGCCAGGCATGGTGGCTCACACCTGTAATCCTAGCACTTTGGGAGGCCCAGATGGGAGGACTGCTTGAAGCCGGAAGTCTGAGACCAGCCTGGTCAACATAGCAAGACCTCATCTCAAAAAAATAAAATAAATAAAATAAAAGATACATAAAAAAGAAACAAACAAAAAAACCACTTTGCCTTGGATTTTTGGTCCCTTGCAAAGGGGCGGTAATGGATAAAGTGAGGATTTCTGAAGTATGAAGTTCCCTGTTCTCAAGAAATTACAATCTAATTGTGAAGACATGATCCAAATATACATTTCAAAATTTCACATAACAATTCATATTACATAATTGCACAAGATATATAATTATATAGTACAGAAATTATGTTATTGTATACTATAAGGACATGAAATTAAGAATAAATACTACAATGAAAGTGTTGAAAGCTCAGGAAGATCAGTGGGGAATCCCATTACTATAGTCAGGCTTCTGGAGGTAGTCTAAACTTCTTGAAAAGAAGAAATTTGGTCGAGCACAGTGGCTCACACCTGTAATCCCAGCACTTTGTGAGGCCGAGGCAGGCAGATCATGAGGTCAGGAGTTTGAGACTAGCCTGGCCAACATGGTAAAACCCCATCACTACTAAAGATACAAAAAATTAGCCAGGCATGGTGGCACACACCTGTAATTCTAGCTACTTGGGAGGGTGAGGCAGGAGAATCGCTTGAACCCAGGAGGCAGAGGTTACAGTGAGCTGAGATCACACCATTGCACTCCAGCCTGGGTGACAGGGAGAGACTCCATCTCAAAAAATAAAAATAAAAAAAAAGAATAAATTTGTCTGTTCAGTTGACTAATGTACTTGTGGGACCCAGAACAACACCTAGCATTATAGTAGGCCTCCAAGTTTGTGGAGGGAAGGCAGGAGAGGAGAAAGAGAGAGAGAAAGGGAAGGAAACAGAAATCTGAAGTAGTATTCTGAGGAAGAGTAGGATTTCAGTAAATGAAGGGTGAGGAGAGGATATTCCAGAGTAAGAGAAAACGTACACCAAGAGATAGGAATGTTTGAGCGTGGCCTCTCTGTGGGGTAGGGAGGAAGATGTCCTTACTGGAACAAAAGGTGGCACTGAGGCTTGGTCAAAGATAAAGGTGCAAGAGGAGGAATAGCTCCAAAGGCCAATAGAGTAGTTTGGATCTCAAGCAGCCAGAAATGGAGCTGGTAAAAGTTTGTGTCATGATGAATGTAATAAATGGAGTTGAAGCAAGATCACAGTGAAGGAAGTCTGCTGGATGTAGTCCTATGCTGTCTAAATGAAGAAATGGAGTGAACATTAATGAGCAATACAAGCTGAATGGTAGAGAGGTCAAAATGAGTAGGAGAATTCCATGAGTGGAAAATCCCTGCACATACCAACACCAATCATTAGCAATAACACGTACTTTAGAGCCCATGACTCTATAGTATGATTCCAAACCATACTTCCCTTCACAGTAGTCAGCAAACTGGAGCCATAAGAGACATCCTTGGGTTCAAAGGTAAGACAGTAATCTTGGTGGGAGGAAGGGGGTAGTGGGGGCAGTTGTGACTGGAACTCTGGCCTCCCTGGCTTTCCTTTTGACTGTAGTTTTCTCTGATGGACTTTAAACATGGCCATCTTCAAAACTGTCTGCCCTGTGCGGTAGATTATTCCAAAGCTATGAAAGAAAGAAACACTCCTCCCCTTACATTAACTCCACACTACCTAAAAACAATGCATGCACCTTTGGTAACAAAGAGAAACCAGCTAGTGGGAAAGAGAAGAAGAAAAATGGCCCTACAAGTTTCCAAAAGACGTTCAGTCATCCATTAACTTTCCAGCCCCAAGTGAATGCACAGAAGACAATCTCATAAAGCCAATGAGAGGGATATTTCAATATCATCGTGACTACTTTGGCAGGCTGCCTTAGTTCTTTCAAGTGACTCAAAAGCAAGTTAAAGACAAAAGGATCCCAAGTGAAAAAGCTGCCACATCAAATGCCAAAGTAGTAATTTTAGCTCCTAGGTCTTGCCTGAGATGTTTAAGAAACAGAATTCTCAAGGTCCAAAATTTAGAATTAACTTGTACCACAAACTAAAGATGCAGGATGTGAAGACCAGCAGCTCCTCTGGGAAATGTCACCTAGTCTGATGCTCCTGATTCATTGCTAGTGACAAGCTGCAAGTCAGTTCCCAAGGACCACGATAATCAACCAACAAACCCAGCAAATATTTATCTAACACCAACTCTGTGGGAAGATCTGGGTGATGAATCATTGGAACACACATGAAAATGTAAGATATTTACACAAGAAAATGTAAGACAGTCTCTTACTCTCAAGGAGCTTACAATTGAATTGGAGAAAAGGAGGACTAAATGCAAAAATATTTAAGAGTATAAGACTGGCATCCTAAGTGCCAAAATAATGGTCCCAGACTACATTAAGAGAGGAAGAAATCAGTAAAATCTAGCATGGACCTCTTGAGACCTTGGGTGGGGGGGATTTAAACAGAAGCGAGGGGGATGACAGATGAAGGGCTGTAGTTAGCAAAGCAAAGTCAAAGAGGCTAAAATGGGCAGATGAAGCTCAGGAGGCTGTGAGAAGCCTTGTGACTTGAAGGTTCACACAGAAGAGTATGAAGAGAAGGGGTAAATAAGCAGGCCAGGGCCAGCAGAGAGGGTCCTGCATGCCTGATGAGCAGAACAGATACAAACACAGTTCTAAAGGGCTCTGTAAACTCTGGACAAAGCAAAATGAGAGTCTTGAAAAGCAGGACAGCCCAAGAAGAGTCAAAGCTCAAGGAGAGTAAAAATCCAAGAAATTTCCTACCAAACAATTCCTGAAAAGACCAAATGTCAGTTCAAACATGTCCACTCTCTTAGAGGACAAAGGCACACTGTATGTTCTCAAGGCTCCAACACAATCGAGTTGAAAACAAACCAGATCAATATTAAAATCCAGACCCTACGTTCCTGTAGAGCTGGCTCTGGAGAGTTCACTTCATTTTGTGCAGGACCCAGCTTAGCATAAGTACTGGCACATTGTTTCAAGTTTAGTTCAACAAGCAGGGACCAAGCACCTATTCGTTACCAGTGAGAAGGACAAACAAAAATGATTAAAGAAGACCAAGAAGTTCAGTTGGCCCGTGAAATGCCTACAAAGCATCCTACTGGAAAAGGCAGTTGTATTCTCCTTCTGTTCTCAGGAGAGGTCAAGTCTAGAAATAGACACTTGGGAGCCATCAGCAAATATTATAGATGGCAGTTAGGAAGTTAACCAGCAAAGTGAATGCAGCTGTCCATAGACAGCATGTAGAATTAAAAAGATGTAGGCTTAGGATATCCCCATTTAGGTGGAAAGCAAAGCAAGGAGAGATAGGAAAGTAGATTAAGAATGAAGAGAGATGTACAAAAGTGTCAATAACTATGGAGTATTTAAATAAGACAGCAAGGCAAAGAGCTCATTAACCTTGGCAATGAGAAGTCTATCATTATTGAGGGCCTGCTCTGCCAGATTCAGTTTATGCATCACCCCAGATGAACACAACTACCTTGCTGCTGGCTGAAACAGTCTGCCCAGTTCCTGTTGCAATGGCTGTTCCTGGGCCTTCATATGTTGTTGATGCACCAGCCTGACAGTGCATTGCCTTCTACCCCTGCTGCGTGACTCTCAATCCCACCCAGGCTTTCTCTCCTGCTACTGAAGCATGAGACTTGGAGTGACCTATTCAATCAGCAGTCATGTCAACAACAAGTACAGAGAAGTGGAGGCTCCAAGAATCAAACTTTGACCTACAGGAGATAGAAATTGAAGAATGAAATATTTTCCCTCCTTGCCCCAGTGGACTGTTCAGAGATGCAGTAGCTTCACATAGTTACGTGAAGATGTCCCACAAGACCAAGCAATCATCCTCTCATGAAGCTATAGTCAACTTATAAGCAATCTCTTGTTATGTTCTCCCTCCTTCCCTTTCTCCCCATTCCTGCTTCCCTGGGATGACTCTTGCAAATGAAGTGTACGCTTTTGCCTCTCCCTCTAATTTATATTTTCAAGGACTCTAGACTAAGACACCTACCTTGTGACAGGTACTGTTCTGGATGTTGGGTAGACAGTCCCGTCCTTGACAAAACTTATTCCAATGAAAGAATCTGCCCAGCAGATCCTTCAGAATAGATAACCATTTATTTTTCAACAACTCAATATACATGTGAAGTGACTGGTTGGTTATAAGAACTGATTTAGTTGACCACAGTTTTTTTTTATGGAAAGGTAAACTGTCCCCACAAAAGTTATAGGCAGACACATCTTATATATTTACTAGTAATCACATATCCCATTTATTAAGTGCTTATTATGTGCCAAGTAGGCTCCTATTGAGTCACTATTCAAGTATAAAGGTATCTCACTTAATCCTCAAAACACCCCAGGGAGATTAGTTCACAGCAAAGCTGAGTGATTAAGAGGATAGACCGCATTCAGAAAAACTTGGATTTTAATTGTAGTTCTGCCACCTGGTACCTGTGTCTCCCTGAACAAGACACTTAATCTCTCTAAGTTGTTTTCATTATCTACAAAATGGAGTTTGTAATAGCAGCCACTCCACTGGATTGTTATGAAGAATAAAAGAGATGGAGAATATAAAGTGCTTGCTACATGCCTGATGCCTAGTAAGCCTCCATTAAAAGGCAACCACGATTCCTCCCATTTCACAAAGAGGGACCACTGAGGTTCAGAGAGATCAGTTAACTGCCTAAGCTCACTCAGACAGTAACAGATCACAACAGGATTTGAACCTAGATGTGTTTAATTCTTAAAATCAGTGCTCTTAACCACTCTCCCCCATCCATTTGTTTCTAATGCTGAGATACGGCCTCATGTGGTTGTCTGTCATAGTGGAATCTTTTAGTGCTAGGCTGGCAATGTTGATTGGTTAACAAAAAGAATCCCCGAATTCCTTCACCTTCACCAAATTAAGAATCCTCATTCTCGCTGTCTTAACTCTGAATGTTTAGGTGTATGTGTTGGGAAAGAGGGGGAACCACCTTTTTACCATTTCTTCTTGAAGGCAATAGCAGGAAAAAGTCCATGCCATCATCTAGAGATGCTATCCACTGGAGAGGCCGCAGAGAAAAGTCTGACCCTGGAACTGGACTGCCTGGGCTCAAAATGCCAGCTCCACCACCTACTAGCTATGTGTGACCTTGGGCAAATTACTTATCTCTCTATGAAAGAATGTCCCTATTCTGTAAAATTTTGTTAATAACAGTATCTACCTCACAGAGTTTTTATGAGTTAATATTTGTAAAGTTATTAGAATAATTCCTGGTACATTATACTGTAAGCACTACATACATTTCTTCTTCTTTTTTTTTTTTTTTTTTGAGATGGAGTCTCGCTCTGTTGCCCAGGCTGGAGTGCAATAGAGCAATCTCAGCCCACTGCAACCTCTGCCTCCCAGCCTCAAGCAATTCTCTTGCCTCAGCCTTCCAAGTAGCTGGGATTACAGGCACCTGCCACCACGCCGGGCCAATTTTTTTGTATAGAGACAAAGTTTCACCATGTTGGTCAGGCTGGTCTCAAACTCCTGACCTCTGGTGATCCACCTGCCTTGGCCTCCCAAAGTGCTGGGATTACAGGCATGACCCACCGTGCCCGACTTATATACATTTCTGATAATACATAAAATCTATCCCATAGGTTCTTTGATCCTTTAACTTTTCGATAAAGAAGGTACAGAAAGTGATAGGAATTGAACAAAACTAGTGGCTTCAAACTTTGGCAATCCAACACACATGCACACACACATACACACACAACTGAAAAGTGTCATGAAACAACATTTATCCTTAGTCATGAACTCTGATATTTTCTATAACTTTTTAAATGCTGGTTGTGGCTCACTAATTTGCTTTCATGATTTAGTAAAAGGTCTCAACCTGCAGTTTGAAAAGCTGTGGAATAAACCACATGGCCACCAAAGGCAGAACTAGAACAGTCTTCAAACCACTCAGCTCCTTCTTCATGGGCTATTATTAAATCAGAAAGGGCCTAAGTTTCACTTATTGCTGTAAAAGAAACTGTACATTCCGTATCCTCCTCCTTTGCCCTCCACAGTTCACGTGAGCACTAGAAATTCAGAGAACACCCAGGAACCAGTGGGCACTTCCTATGTATGCAACTCATGTTACTGTTGCCCAATCTAAGGTGCTGCCATTCAACATCAGGGAGAGTCCTGTGGCCTGTTCTCTTAGTTTCGTCTTCCTTATTTTGAGGCCCAGCAACCGTCATCATTCACTGTACCTTTGGAGCAAAGAAGTTGCTGATCTAAACACCACAAGGCAATGTTGTTATATATTTAGTAAAAAGATTATAAACAGACTAGATGAAACTTATTAGTGGTTAAGTTTAAAAAAACAAAACAAAACACCAAAAAAAAAAACAGTCCAGCTGGGCGCGGTGGCTCACGCCTATAATCCCAGCACTTTGGGAGGCCAATGCAGGCAGACCACGAGGTCAGGAGATCGAGACCATCCTGGCTAACACAGTGAAACCCCGTCTCTACTAAAAAAAAATACAAAAAAAGTAGCTGGGCGTGGTGGCGGGCGCCTGTAGTCCCAGCTACTCAGGAGGCTGAGGCAGGAGAATGGCGTGAACCCGGGAGGCGGAGCTTGCAGTGAGCTGAGATGGCACCACTGCACTCCAGCCTGGGCGACAGAGCGAGACTCCGTCTCAAAAAAAAAAAAAAAACCTCCTTATCTCTTAAATATTGAAATATTCAAAGATAAATTATATCTGCTATTGTTTCAAAGTAATGGAGGAGAGTGGGAATGGGTGAGGGATACAGATAAAACAAAATTGGCCCTGAGCTGATGATTATCAAAGTAGCATGATGGGTACATGAGAATCCATAACACTAGTCTCTCTACTGTATATATTTGAAATTTTTTATAATAAAAAGTTTTTAAATATCTAATTAATGGTGTGTAAAAAAAAGGCTTAAGAGACTCACAATAAATGCAGAGGAAGACAATAAATAAAACAGAAAAAAATATCCAGAGAACTAAATCTGTGAATAGAAAAGGCCCATAATATATCATGAAATGAACACAGAAAAATCAACAAAGACTTATAATGTTTAAATTTTTGCCCTTCAAGGATAAAGAAAGAGTTATTTAAGAATCAATGGATTGCTAACAAAATACAGCAGAAACCCAGATTGGTCTCAGACTTCTCCACAGCAATATTCAAGGCCTGAAGATAAAGTAGCCATGTCTTAAAAAATTCTGATAGAGAGCAACTGTGATCCAAGAATATTAGGAGAAGCTGAGTCATCACTCAAGTGTAAAAAAGGTTCAGACATCTCTCTTCCTCTGCAACTTGAAAGATCTCAGCCTATGTAGCACCCACGAACTCGTCTTGAGAAACAGAAATCTTGCACCCAGTAGATCAATCAAAACAAAAACCACAGGAACAGGAAAGCCACGATCAAAGAACAAGTGGCTACATATGGCACCAAGACCAAAAAATGGGAGCATGCAAGTTGGAATGTAAATGTTAGAAAATTGCCAAGGCAAAAAAAGAAACAACAAAAAAAAGATAAGCTATAAAAATTGAGAGATAGGAAGAGTAGTGCAAGGAAGTTTAAAAACACGAATTACCTAATTCTTCCAGACAATCATCTAAAGTGAAGATATAACTAAAAATGTCTTTAAAAATATTAATAGTGACTTTAGCCTCCTAACAGTTTTCATAATCTTTTTTTAACCTTAGAGAAAACTTTTAGGAACTATTATCTTTGGTAGAGAAAAAAGTACAGCAGCTCTTTCACTTTCATTTCAGTTTTCTTTTCTTCTGTTAAATTCAAGTAAAAAGAAATGCAGTTATTTTTATTTTTATAGTACATATGGTATAATGCCATTCTTATAAAATTATTTCACCCTCACCAGCCACCCTTCTGTTTATGTGTACCAAATGTTAACACTGGAAGAGAAAGTCCATATGCACCATTACCAAATCCAGAGCCTTCCCCTCCTACCTGCCTGCCCTGTCTCAGCCTCTAACCTAGGTTTATCTTTCTACCTGCAAACCAGAACCCACCCCTTCTTGCTTACTCAAGCCCTTTCCTCCTAAAATTATACACTCTTATTTTCCGTATCATCATTTTCCATCTCTACTGGCCCATTACCAGCAGCAGTCAAACACACTGTATTTTCTCCCATCTTATTAAACAAACAAACGCATATTTTCCTTGATCTCTTCCCTTCTCCCAACCCACCTACCTTTTCATCGTGGCTTCTCTTTACATTAAGACTCAAAATGGTGTCCGTACTCCCTGCCTCCACCTTCTTTCTTCCCTTTTTCTCTTAAGGCCACTGTAACCAGGCTCTTGCTTCTACCACTCTTGTGGTGGGTGGTAATGACCTGCACATGGCTAAATATTGCCAACTCTTGAGACTCCACCACCACCATCACTGGCCTGAGAACACCACACTCTCTTGATATGCTACAGACACACATTCTGTCTCCTTTGTTGGGCCCTCTCCTTTTCCAACATCTAAATGCTGAAATGCCCCATGCATGATTCAGTCATAGGATCTGTTTTCTATCTCTCCTTGCTTCCTATCAGATCCCATTCCATTCTATGTCTGGTGATTCCCAAATCTGTATCTACAGTCTAGATCTCTCAGTCAACTCCAGCCTCCAACTGACTTACCATTTCCTCATAGCCATCTAACAGGTACCTAGAACTTAACATGCCCGAACCTGAACTCTTGACACCCCATCCTGACCACACCCCAGCACGTTCCCTACCCCAGTAACGGTACCACCATTCACCTGCCAGGCCACAAATCTTCAGAGTTATTATTGACTCTTCTCTTACAAATTCCCAATCCAATTCATGAGCAAATCCTATCAGCTCTACCTTCAAAATGAGTCTAGAATTCAACCCTTCCTATCCCTTCCACCTTTTGAACAGTGCAACTCAGCCTCATTTTGTTCTGAATTGCTGTGGTAGCTCCTAACTGGTCTTGCTGCCTCCTCCCTTGCTTCCCTGCAGTCTACTCTCCACACTGCAGCCCTGCTCATCATCTTTCAATGGCTTCCCAGTGGAGAAAAGGTAATGGCTTTCCAAAACCTTACATGGCCCAGTTCACCCTTACTCACTGGCCCCCAGCTACACTGGCCTCTCTGGTCATAGAACATGGCAAGCAAACACCCACCTCAGGGCCTTTGCATATGCTTCCCTTCGCTGGAAGCATACTTCCCCACAGTCACGTGGTTAGCTCTCTCACTTCATTGAGCTCTCTGCTCACAGCAGCCTTTGTGACCACTCCATCTGAAAGTGCCCCGACACTCTCTATGCTCTTACCTCATTTTAATTTTTCTTCATGCCACTTGTAAATCTATTTAGGTGTTTATCATTTTCTCCTCCCACTAGAGTGTAAGTTCCATGATGGTAGGGACTTCACTTTGTTCCCTGCTGATCCCCGATGCCACAGTGCCTCACATAGAGTAAGCACTCAATAAAGGCACATTGAATGAATGAATCAAGAGCTGTTTTTTGGGTGATGGGATTTGGAACAATTTATTGCTGGCTTCTTTTTACTTTACAGTTTTGCTTGAATTTTTTATAATGAGTATTTACTTTTTTAAAAAAATAAGCAAGAGTTATTCCTTTAAAAATTAAAAAAGGAAACCCATCAAAAATCAAAGGAGAGATGCATTATCTAGTCACCTCTGCTATATTTTGACAAGTGTTTTTCCTTCATTATTTATGATAGCTACAAAAGGATTCACAATGTAATGCCCACGGGGAATTTTTCATAATTAATGAAACCTCTTTAGAATGAAACCTTTACTGGAACAAAAGTTTTAATTGCCCAGGGCTGACCATGGAGTATGAAGACAAAGCTCCTGAGTAAGAATAAAAATTTGCAAGGTTTTCCTAAATTTTACTCCCCACTATAATATTTTTTTCAATATTGCTACCATAATCCAGATGCCAGAATCCAGGATCTGTTGGCATCCTGAAACCCAAAAAGTGTGATGGGCCAGGTGTGGTGGCTCACACCTGTAATCCCAGTACTTTGGGAGGCTGAGGCAGGCAGATCACTTGAGGCCAGGAGTTCAAGACCAGCCTGGCCAACATGGCAGAACCCCATCTCTACTAAAAATACAAAAAGTAGCCAGGCATGGTGGTGCACCTGTAAGCCCAGCTATTCAGGAAGCCAAGCCATGAGAACCGCTTGAGCCCACAAGGCAAAGATTGCACTGAGCCGAGATCACACCGCTGCACTCCAGCCTGGGTGACAGAGCAACACTCTGTCTCCAAAAAAAAGTGTGATGATCTTTCGTAATGTTTAAATACAAAATAAGAATATCCCTTTCAAATAAGCTGACACTTTTTGAACATGTAATAACCAGGTTCACAGAATCACAGAGGCCAGTGAGAAGAAGATTTAAAAGTACCCGTGTGAGCCCCAGTGACACATGCACCACCAGGAAAGTTTCCTGTCCCTGTCCCTCCAACTAATCCACAGCAACACAATGTCAGCAAGTGGCACAATCTGCCTCCCCTGCCTCCAGGCAGCCATGGGGAAGGTGGAGAGCAAAAGGACCATTCCCTGTGTCACTGATAAGTGAGGCTCAATGTGAAATACAAGGCATGAGAGGCGCCCAAAGGTAGGCGACAAGCTCAGTATCTCCCCTGTATCTTTCTGTCTCAGGTATAATCTGCATCTTCTGCTCTTTTCGTGATAAGAAAAGGAACAGCAACAGCATGTCTACTATGCAAATGTGGACTACTAATCTGGCATCATGGAACTTAATGTAGAAGTTTATGCAACCCTGAGCAAGTTTCAAAACCTGGTCTCCTAACACATATGTCTAAGTTTTCTAAGGCTCCTGACCAAGCAATAGACTGTGAACACCCCAGAAGTTCAAGCAGGTCTTCCAGGGTCTTCACACTGCTAACCGCAATCATGGCAACTCCTTCGTTTCCTTTTTTAAAAAATCAACAACCTTATTGTTTTCCCAATTATCCCTTTATAATTGGGCAGTTTAGAGCCTCAGATATATCAAGTGAGTATGCACAATGATTAGGGGTGATGAGCTAATAAACATCATTATCTAGGCCATGGTGGTTTTGCAACCACCACTTAGGCCAAGATGGTATGAGCATTCTACAGTTTTTCACTGCTCTTATTCTTTGTCATATATCATAAAATGTACAGTCATAGTGGACTGTGGATTAAAAACAAGAAGTTGGCTGGGCATGGTGGCTCAAGCCTATAATCCCAGCACTTTGGGAGGCCGAAGGGGGAGGACCACTTGAAGTCAGGAGTTCCAGACCAGCCTGGCCAACATGGCGAAACCCCATCTCTACAAAACAATACAAAAATTAGCCAGGTGTGGTGTAGGCACCTGTAATTCCAGCTACTCGGGAGTCTGAGGCATGACAATCACTTGAACCCAGGATGCAAAGGTTGCAGTGAGCAGAGATTGCACCATTGTATCCAGCCTGGGCAACAGAGTGAGACTCCATCTCAAAAACAACAACAACAACAAACGAACAAACAAAAAAACCAACAACAAGAAGTCTAAGACATTGATAAAACCCAATTGTCAACTAGAAGCATAAAAAACAGTACCAAGCCATCCAATTCACATCTAGATGATTTTCACCAGATCACTAGGTTACATTTACCTGATTAAATCTTTAGTATTTCAAAATCCAATATTAAAGACATAAGATATAGAGATAAACATATCCAAATTGGCTTTGTAACTGTTAGAGGAAAGGCATTCCATAGCTACAAGGTGTTACTCCCTTGTAGATATGCAGTTGAAACTCTCTGTGGTAACCGCTACCATGTAGAAACAAAACTTAAAAATTACATGTAAGAAGCAGTCATTCTAGAGTGTGAAATGCAAAAATTCCAAACATTAGGTCAAGAATGCAGGTTTCTCTTATTTTTAAAAAATGTGTTAGCAAGTAATTAAATTTCCAACTATATTTTTAATGTATATTTGGTCTCAAACTAAGCACTATATTTTATTATAAATTTTAAACAAATCACACGCTTACATAATTCATTTAAATAAATTAGTGTATATCACCTATTAAATGAGAAAACATCTTTATATAAAATGGACGCTATTAAATTTTAAAGTGTATATTAAAATAAGCTGTATAATAATTTAATAATGTTGATGTAAAAGAAAATATTTTACATAAATTTGCTTTATAATAGTCTATAAAAGTAATGACATTATTTTTTAAATTCCTGAGGGGGTTCACAAAATTATATTACTCTGAAAGAAGTTCATTTTTTTTTTTTTTGAGACAGAGTCTCACTTGGTTGCCCAGGCTGGAGTACAGTGGCATGATCTCGGCTCACTGCGGCCTCTGCCTCCTGGGTTCAAGCAATTCTAGTGAGCCTCAGCCTCCCGAGTAGCTGGAATTACAATGGTGTGCCACCATGCCCGGCTAATTTTTGTATTTTTAGTAGAGATGGGGTTACACCATGTTGGCCAGGTTGGTCTTGAACTCCTGGTCTCAAGTGATCTACCCGCCTCAGCCTCCCAAAGTGCTGGGATTATGGGCGTGAGCCACCATGCCCTGCCCAAGTTCATAAATTTTTAAATGTTGGGAAATACCAGTCTAATATAAAAGTCTTTTTAGTCAGACTCCAGTAATTTAAACCAGCTTCTTGGGCCTGCCTTCCAAAGGAATCTAGTCTACCAGAGAAGACAGACTACCATAAGAAGTAATTGCAATGTAAAAAGCCCATTATCGGGGAAAAAGACGATGCTGTAGGAGTATACAGAAATTGGTCTAGGGCTCAGCAAGGGGCTTGCAGAGGAGCTAGATGTAAAGGATTGGAATTACCTATGGGAAGAAGGCAGGAAAAGTACTCCAGCCAACAGCATGTTCAAAGGCCCAGAGGCAACAGAAAAGAAGCTGCATGCAAGGAACCGAAATAATCGAAGAAATTCAGGGTAACTGAAGCATAGAATTTAAATGAGAAGAGGAAAAAAAGATGAGACTGTTGAAAGAAGCAGGGGTCAAGCTCTGGTGAGTATTGCAAATAGTCTGAAGAAGTATGGAATTGTTCCTAAGAGCAATGGGAAGCTATTAATGTGAACACAGAGTGGGAATTAGATAAGCAAAGTACAATGTTTTTAATGACATAAGTGTTCCCCTCCAACAGAGAGCCAAAGTAGAAGGGAAATGTGAGACTTTTCATTTTCAGAGGGCTCAAGTGTTCTAAGAATCTTCTAATAATGACTCCCTCAAGCTGAATCTTCCAAATAAAGCAAGATGCAAATACTCCCCCTCAAAATGCTGACAGCCTGGTGATCCAAAGGCTAGCAAGAAAATGACCACATGCCCTGACCTTGCAAGTAGATCAGTCTCATCATTTAGATATTACAGACAGCCCCAGAATCACTGTGTGAGTCAGAAGATTTGGGCCTCTGAGTTTCACTTTCCTCATCCTAGAAACTGTGGTAAGAATTTATCCCCTGCCTACCCACCTCACACCATTTAAAGGTCACTTTTCAACCACATGCCTCAATAACATAAGTGGAAAAGATTCTACCAACTGCATTGACTCAATCCACCAGAAAAAGACAACAAGAAGCAAGAAAATGCTTCATAACGTACAGTATGTCTAAAGTTATCAAGCTGCCTGATCATTTCACACCTCTGAAAAAACATCCTACTGTTCAAATCCATAGATGGGCATATTCAGAATTTGCTTGAGGCAGGAACAAAATTCAGAGCCAAGTCAGCTAGCAGTAAGAAACACTGAACTAAATAAAAGAACCAAATGAAAGACATTAAAACTTAGCATTTGATTCAATCTGGTTCTAGGCTTAGGTTGGATGCAGCTGACAAAAGTGAATCAGCCTGGAGCTGGTGAACTCAGGTTCTGGACCCTGAACACACTACATGACTTGCTTTGATAGAACTTCTGTAGAATTTGTCATGATTTTACATGTCTCAAAAAGTTATTAGTAATTTTAAAAATCAATGATAATGTAAAAGCAAAGTGTTACAGGTTCCAACAAAGAAAAGCACTGAAGTTTTTTTTTTTTTTTTTTTTGAGACGGAGTCTCACTCTGTCGCCCAGGCTGGAGTGCAGTGGTGTGATCTCTGCTCACCGCAAGCACCGCCTCCCGGGTTCAAGTTTTTTTTGTTTGTTTGTTTTTTGAGACAGAGTCTTGCTTTGTCACCCAGGCTAGAGTGCAGTGGTGTGATCTCAGCTGGCTGCAACCTCCACCTCCTGGGCTCAAGCGATTCCCATGCCTCAGCCTCTGGAGTAGCTAGGATTATAAGTATTTTAGTAGAGACAGGATTTCGCTATGTTGGCCAGGCTGGTCTCAAACTCCTGACCTCAAGCGATCTGCCCAACTCAGCCTCCCAAAGTGCTGAGATTACAGGCATGAGCCACCACACCCAGTCTCAAATTCTTATTACTATGTTTGCCAGTATTTTTTAAAGATATGATAAAAAAATGGTTTTAAATTATTTTACAGGTCTCCAGGTTCCCTGGGCAGGTGTGTATTATGTCAACTTGATTTAAAAAATTTTTTGACATTAGAATACTTTTAGAGGAAAAGACACAAAATAACACAATAGCTTGACTGGATGAACCTGATTCCCTTGGAAATTTCATTTTCCTTTTCAACAAAGTAGTCTTCCCCAAATTTTAGAAAAAAAAACCCGTATCCCAGTTCTTTATTATTAAATGGCACATTTCTCAGAATAAAAGGCTGAAAGCATAGTTCCTCTAATTCATAAACTGGAGCATTTTACACTGTATTATGACACTCAGTACAATGTACAATAATTAGCAATTTACATCTGTCTTCCCTGCCAGGTTAGGAGCACCGTTAAGTCCAAGACCATGTCTTATTCATTGTTATATCCCAGCACCTAGCGCAGAGCTGGCATAAATGTTGAACTAAAATAAATGGAAATGAGTTGTGCTTTCCCTGTCTTTAACAATGAATCTTTGGCGGATTCCAACAAAGCCTCAGAGTTAACTATGTGTAGATCCTGGGTCAGCTAAGGCTCACAGTAAAGATTTCTGCCTAATTGCCTCTATCTCCACTCTTCCTTCCCCTTCCCTCTCCACCTCCAGAGGGGAGTTCCCGCTGGAAATTGCACAATTCTTTGTGCAGAGAGAAACAACAAGCTTAGTTCCTGTTGACCTGAAGAGCATAATGTTCTGGCACAGGATCTTCCACCTTCATAGAAGAGTAACAAACTCAATTGGGATTATTTTTCTAACTAAAACTGTCATTTGATGTCTTCTTTTATCTCACCAAGATACAACCTTCTGAGCCACTCATCTTCTATCCTCATCAGTTCCATAATAAGCAAATACAACTTTGGGACAGTCTGAGACAGCGTTTTCTGAATTTTTTCTGACCACAACCCATAATGAGCAATACATGTTATAATGTGATCCAGTATGTGAACACATGCACACTCACCCAAAAAAGTCTGACACAACAATATTTACCCTTTTTGCATCCAATTCACTTTACAATTTTTCATTATTTTTCTATCCTATTCCATTTACATTTTGAAGAAAGCTGGTGAGTAGTCAGCTAAAATGGCTCCACAACCTACTCTGCAAAGGAGTTGCAATCTGCACTTGGAAAAACACTGGTCTATGGACAGGGCTCTGGTCAGTGTTCTCAATAACAGTTTGGAGACTTTAAGCAGTAACACGACAGCTTTCAAAAACAAAACAAGGGCTGGGCGCAATGGTACGTTCCTGTAATCCCAGCTATTCAGGAGGCTGACGGGAGAATTGCTTGAGCCTTGGAGCTGGAGACCAGCTGGGGCAACATAGTGAAACCTTGTCTTAAGAGGAAAAAAAAAATACAAAATCAGGTACACAAAATGAAATTCTCATCCAAAATAAACCATTCTATATCCTTCCTTGAAAAACCACACCAACGCTGGACTTTGTAGCACAAAGACTTGTAAGGAGGTCGGGGCTAGACTAGATCCAGATATGCCTAATATTCAACTAGGCCAAAAGAACTGCCCCCTCGCCCGCCAATGAAATGAAATGCCTCCAAAGTGATCCTCTGGCTATGTACATCCGCTAGCATGCAGGTGGGTAATGAAGAGAGTGGAGACAACCAGCCGATTTCTTCCTGGACTTTCTGAGTTTCAAAGTGCTTTCACTTCTATTATTTCATTTAATGAGATGCTGTCAGAAAGTTCATTTCCAGAACTGGAAAGTATTAGGTGGTAGAGAAAAGCATTTCAGGGCCGAGCACGGTGGCTTATGCCTGTAATCCCAGCACTTTTGGGAAGCTGAGGCAGGAGCATCACTTGAGTCCAGGGGTTCGAGACCAGCCTGGGCAAAATAAGGAGACCTTGTCTCTACAAAAAAAAAAAAAAAAAAAAAAAAAAAAATAGCCAGGTGTGGTGGTGCATGTCTGTGGTCCCAGCTACTTGGGAGGCTGAGGTGGGAGGATTGCCTGAGCCCAGGAGGTCAAGGCTGCAGTAAGCCATGATCACACCACTGCACTCCAGCCTGGTGACAGAGAGACCCTGCCAAAAAAAAGAAAAAAAAGAAAAAAGTGTTTCAAAATGCTGTCTGGGGTAAGAGGGTTAACAGTGGGAAAACATGTTCAGAAATTAACTAAAATAATGTCAAATATGCCAAAAATCGTAAGTATTTGAGATTCTTGAAGCAGACGAAGGGAAAGGTTGGGTTGAGAGTAAGCTATATAAGTATTCCTGTTCTGTATGCCAGAGAATGGGGGGTGGGGGCGCATGGAATCTCATCAATTTACCAAGTCCCAAAAAGAGTAGGTTCCAGGTCTCTAGTAAGGCTTCGATGCCAGGTTTTGTATATTCTCCCTTATAATCAACTTTCCCCTCAATTCTTAGAAAGATCTTATGGAGTTCAGAAGACGATAAAGATGGAAAGTTGTAAGTCCTGAGAGATATAATTGATGTAGATATAGATATTTACAGAATAAAAGCCAACAGCCTATCATGGTATGATGTAATCAGGCATCTCCTCCCTTCCTCCTAAAAACCTCTCACCCTCTCCTCTCTGACCTCATCTCCTAGTACTTCCACCTCATTCCCACCAGAGCACTCTGCTTCAGCCACAGTGGCCTTCTTGCCATTCCTCAAATACACCAAGCACACTTGAGCCTTAGGGCTCCACCTTAAGGCCTTTAAACTGGCTGTTTCCTCTGCCTGAAATGCCTTTCCCCCAATATCCACGTGGCTTACACTCTTACCTCCTTTAAATTTTTGCACAAATGTGACCTATTCCATGAGGCCTCATCTAAAAGCTCCCTACCCCTTATTTTAAAATGCAACCTGGGCCAGGCACAGGTAGCTCACACCTGTAATCCCAGTACTTTAGGAAGCTGAGGTGGGAGGATTGCTTGAAGCCAGGAGTTTGAGACCAGCCTGGGCAACAAAATGAGACCCTGTCTCTAAAAAATAAAAATTAAAAATTAAAAAATTAGCCAGGCATAGTGGTATGTGACTGTGGTCCCAAGTACTTCAGGAGGCTGAGGCAGAAGGATCCCTTGAGCCCAGGAGTTGGAGGCTGCAATGAGCTATCATGGTGCCACTGCACTCCAACCTGGGCAAGAGAGAGAGAGACCTTGTCTCTTTAAAAAAAAAAAAAAAAAAAAAAAAGTAGAAGAAGAAAGAAGAAAAAATTTTAAAAAGCAACTCCCCTCACAACTACCCAGCATTCTTGATGCTCCTTACTGTACTTATTACCTTCTAAACACTAGCAATTTATATATTCATCATGTTTATTGTTTGTCTCCCTCTTCCCCAACTGAAATGTTAACTCACAGAGATCTTTATTGTATTGACTGAAATAAAGCATCTAGAGTAGTGTCTGATACATGATCATCAAAAAATACCTGTTGCACAGATGAGTGAATGAATAAATGAATGAATAATTGTAAAACATATAAGTATATCTTCACCTACTTGGTAGTGGCTAAAAGAAAAAAAGGGTCTTCTACTCTATTTTCTTCTCTTTTTTTTTTTGAGACAGTCTCACTCTGTCACCCAGGCTGGAGTGCAGTGGCATGATCTTGGCTCACTGCAAACCCTGACTCCCTGGTTCAAGCAATTCTCATGCCTCAGCTTCCCAAGTAGCTGGGATTACAAGCGTGCGCCACCATGCCGGCTAATTTTTTAAATTTTTTTATTTTTGCATTTTTAGTATTTTTCACCAAGTTGTCCAGGTTGGTCTAGAACTCCTGACCTCAAGTGATCTGTCCGCCTCAGCATCCCAAAGTGCTGGGATTACAGGCAAGAGCCACCACTCCCAGCCAGAGGGCCTTCTACTCATAGATAAACAACTGAAATGCAAATGTTCACGGACAGCATTACAATGGTCAAACTACCAGGATAAATTAATAATATCAGATCCTCCTCTGTTTTCATGAGGGAGAAGTTATCTGCAAGGTAGGATTGGCAGCCACCACAAAGGAAGGGAAAAGAGCAAAGACAGGAGGGATTTAAGACAAAAACAGCAACTTTAAAAAGTTCACTACTTATCCATGAGTTATTTCTATTAACCTTTAGCAAAGCAGGAACAAACAAGTTTTAGGAAGATAATTTTGTCAAGCTTCTGAATACCATCATCTAGACTGATTTATTAAGAAATATGTCTTTACCTATTTAATATAGACTTCCTTATAGAGCAGCATGGCTCTGAAGCATGAAGAAAAACAATTTTGCCTCATTTTGGCAAGATCCGAAACCAAATTTATCCAATAGCCAGACTGTGAAAGTCACCAAAATTTTGGGTGTGACTATTGGCCGTAAAGAGTGATAGATGGCCTGAACAACATGGAGAAATCTCGTCTCTACTAAAAATACAAAAATTAGCCGGGTGTGGTGGCACATGCCTGTAATCCCAGCTACTCAGGAGGCTGATGCAGGAGAATCTCTTGAACCCAGGAGGCAGAGGTTGCCGTGAGCCAAGGTCATGCCATTGCACTCCAGCCTGGGCAACAGGAGCAAAACTCCGTCTCAAAAAAAAAAAAAAAAAGAGTGATAGATGACCATTTGGGGATGTATCCTAAAAGCCAACAGCTTGGATATCCAATCCTGGAACTTCAACAGGACTAGGCAGCAAATACTCAGCTGCTGTGCAATTAACAAATTCAGAATCCGCAGCTTGCTTCCCTGTGGGAAGGGCACCACCCTAAAAACAAAATAAAAGAAGACTCCTCATCCATCTACTCCTCAGTTTCACTGTGGAACTCATGCCCTGGAGAGAGGTAGGTTTATTTCTCATCTGCAAGCAGAGTTCCCAGCCTAAGGAAAACCCCAGAAAGGATTTCAGGCCACAAGGAGGCAATTTCAGAAGGATGAGGCCATAAAACAATTATAGAGGAACGGGTTAATCTGTATCTGGTCATAATCCATATGCCCAAAGCAACATCACTACAAGGTAATCTCACATCAGTCACTGGCTTTTCAACCCAGGCAATTTTCTTCACTCCACCTTCCCACCCTTCCTCAACTCCACCCCCTACCCCACCCCCCCACCCCACACACAAAAACAACAACCAAGTTTTATATAAGGGAGGGGAAGTGGAAAGAAGGCAGAGGGTTAAATTTCTCACATCTAAGGCTCTCGGCAACCTGAATTTACTGAAGCCACTCTCCCAGGAGGGGGCATATTGTGACCAAGCTTTCCTGCTTACCTCCTGCCATCTGCAAAATTAAATTAAATGGTCCTTCGCTTCTGAAATCCTGCCATCAGTGACCAAAGGGAACATCTGAGTATACCAGTCAGAGATCATGGCTTTTCTTTTTTACCAATACACACAAATCATTATGAGATTAAGTTTCTGAATGGCTAATGTGCATCTTCATAAAGAAGCTAAACATTCAGTCTAACACCCACATGGAAGGGGTTGAAAGGGACTAGAATTGCACTTGCTGCTGCCTTGGAAGATGATTAAAAGCAGGACAGGCAGAAAGATGATGGCATTTTCACCTCACTTTCACGGAGTAGGGATATTGGGGATGGACATAGGAAGTCAAGCGCCAAGAGCTAAAGGGTAAGAGAAAAGGGCTATTAGAAGGCAATGGGGCCTGGCATGGTGGCTCACACTTGTAATCCCAGCACTTTGGGAGGCCCAGGCTGGTGGATCACGAGGTCAAGAGATCGAGACCATCCTGGCAAATGTGGTGAAGCCCTGTCTCTACTAAAAATACAAAAATTAGCTGGGCATGGCGATGCGTGCCTGTAGTCTCAGCTACTTGGGAGGCTGAGGCAGGAGAATCACTTGAACCCGGGAGAGGCGGAGGTTGCAGTGAGCAGAGATCGCGCCACTGCACTCCAGCCTGGTGACAGAGTAAGACTCTGTCTCAAAAAAAAAAAAAAATTTAAATTTAAAAAATTAAAAAGAAGGCAATGAGAAGACCCCTGGAAGGGAAGAATATCCCCTCCAGTCTCCTCACCCCAAAGGAATTGCTCTCTAGGGGGTTAAACCCATAGACATTAGAAAGCCTGTGGTCACCACACTACAGATGACTGCTCTAAGGCAAATAGAGATTTAAAGCAAAGCAGGGTATTCCTGATACTTTTTGACCTTTTTGCTCTGCCAGTTTCCATTTTCTGACCCTAAAACCCAGACAAAAGATTCTGATGTCTTTAGCCATCTACCCCCCACCTTCCCCTGACTGAACAATTTGATTCGACAATTATTTCCACACCTACCTAGTCTGATTTCCAACACGACTAAATTTGGAACAATGGAAGCAAGTGGGTGAAAAGGAACAAAGAAAATAAAATTCAGGAAATGACAATCTTCAGAGTAACAATATATAATTTGAAAAGTAACTCAGACCAGGAACAGACTTTATTTGAATATAAAATTACATACAAATCATATTTAATTCAAACCACTTCAATCCAACAAATCTTCACTGAGCACCTACTACTATGCCCTGCGGGGAAAGACAAAAAATACTTGGTCAGAGCCCCATCCAGTCTAAAACACAGCAGGCTCCCATTCCTGCACAAAGAGACTTTGGGGAGAACCTGTAAAGGCTCTTGATTAGGGATATATCATAAAGAACCTGTGCCCACCTAAAGATCACTCTTAACAGCATTTTTGGACCCATTTATCACCTCCACAACTCCAGAATGGACAAAGAGGAAAGTTACAGGGACTGAGGTGGAGAGAAAAAATAATACGATTGCCAGCAAAGCTCAGGAATATACGCTTTTTGATGAGACACCCAGAAGGGAGAGTAAAAGAAAGAATCTTTACATCATATTTTTCTTTGAGAAATTACAATCCACAAGAGAGGTTGTTCACCAAGATTTTTTTTTAACCACCCTAGTTTTTTGTTTGTTTGTTTTAGACAGGGTCTTGCTGCGTCACCCAGGCTGGAGTGCAGCGGCATGATCATAGCTCACTGCAAGCTTGAACTCCTGGGGTAAGGCAATCATCCCACTCCAGCCTCTGGGATTAGCAGGGACTACAGGAACACACCATCACACCCGGTGAATTTTTTATTTTTTATTTTTAGTAGAGATAAGGTCTCACTACATTGTCCAGGTTGGTCTTCAACTCCTAGGCTCAAGTGATCCTCCTGCCTTGGCCTCCCAAAGTGCTGGGATTACAGGCATGAGCCACCATGCCCAGCCCATAGTAGTTTGTTTTTGTTTTTGTTTTTGAGACTGAGTCTTGCTTTGTCACCCAGGCTGGAGTGCAGTGATACAATCTCGGCTCACTGCAACCTACGCCTCCCGGGTTCAAGTGATTCTCCTGTCTCAGCCTCCTGAGTAGCTGGGATTACAGGCACATGCCACCACACCCAGATAATTTTTGTATTTTTAGTAGAGACGGGGTTTCACCATGTTAGTTAGGCTGGTCTTGAACTCCTGACCTTGTGATATCATAGTTTTTAATAAGCTCATTTCTCTTTTCCCCTATCTTGTTCTGAAAGACATAGAATTTTCAGAGGGAGAATTAGGAATAAAAGTATCTCTTGATCTGGGATCTAGGAAAAAATACTAGGACATCAGAATCAACGGAATGAAGGGATAGAAAAAAAAAATCCAAGAAATTGGGAACAAGGGAAGTCTGCAAAGCTCCTGGTCCCACAACGTCTACACTCCCAAGACCAATATCCCATTGTAGAAGCACTTATTCTGAAATCATAAAAACAACTTCAACCCATAAATTCTCATCTCTCAACACAGTGACCACCCACAGACGGATTTTTACGAAAATGAAGAGTTCCCCTAGAAGCCTTAACTCTGAGGGTCATCAAAATTAGAACAATCTTTTTTGAGCTTACACACTGCTGTCCTCAAGGGTTGCTCTGGGGTCAGTCTGAAACTGAAGTGATATCAGACCTCTCTGACACTTATTTCTAGTGTCAGTATCTGCCAGCAACTCACCAAGAGCAAAAGTCCAGGGAGCCCCTTCAGGGAGAAAGTTTCTCACTCTGGATCCCAATTCTACTCTGAAAAATTCAACTGTACAACTAATATTTTACAACAAAGAGGTTCCATTTTAAAAACCCAAGGACACAGAGGGACAGCCAAGGTGACAAGGCTCAAATTCTGATAGAAAATATAAATCCCCAGATATCCTCTTCCCCTGTTCAAGGGCAAAAGCTGACCAGGCCTAGGGAGGAAAGACTCCTGTACAGTCTGGTACACACCACTCCTTCTGCTCATTCCTCCCAGCAACCACTCTTGTTGGGAGATGAATGCAGTCAAATGTTCTCCAGTGATGCAGAGCATTCTCCCATTCTTCAGGGCTTCAAAACAAAGCCAAAGAGCTGCCTGCTGTATTTCTGTACTCTTATAACACAGTGAGATCCAAGGACTTCCAACCATCTGTGTGCCAACCCCCAGCTACTCTAAGACGTAAAAAGTGGAACAAAGGAGTTTGTGGCTGCAAAGATGGAGAGAAAATGATGGCTTAAAAGAAAGGCATATCGTTTTCCTTGATAATTATTTTCTTCACTTTGCTTTTCTGTATTTTCCAAACTGTCTATGATAAACATGTTGCTTTTCTAATTAGAAAAAGCAGGAAATGTTATTTTAAATGTTTTTTTAAAATCAGCAGAGCACTATCCTGAACGCTTTAACGCAATGGTCTGGGGGTACCTATAACACGCCTTGGGGAGGGCAGGGGATGGGAGGAGGAAAGAGAAAGAATGAATGAAAATCCAGTTTTTAAAAAGAGGAAAAGAAAAACTAGGGGGTTGGGGAAAGATGGGGATTTCCTATGCATTAATGTGCACACTTAGACTAAAGAAAAAAATTGCTGGGCACAGTGGCTCACGCCTGTAATCCCAGCTCTTTGGGAGGCTGAGGTGAGTGGAGGAGCTGAGCTCAGGAGTTCAAGACCAGCCTGGCAAACATGGTGAAACCCCACCTCTACCAAAAATGCAAAAATTAGCTGGGCATGGTGGCGCATGCCTGCAGTCCCAGCTACTCAGGAAGCTGAGGCAGGAGAATTGCTTGAACCCAGGAGGTTGAGACTGCAGAGAGCCGAGATCGTGCCACTGCACTCCAGCCTGGGTGACGGAGTGAGACTCCATCAAAAAAGAGAAAAACGAAAAATAAAAAAATTAATTTATAGCAGTAGGCACCTGGTTAGTATACTGCACAAGAAAGTACTCAAAATAGAGAATCATTATTTCTGGGTATGTTCTGAGAAGGAAGATTTCTACTTGGATATATTTTACCCCTGGGCATGTCCAGGTTATAAGGCCCAGGTAGATAATACAGTTCTAAAGACTCAGGGTTTCTCTACTGTCTCAGTAACTCGCCTCCTGTTTCAGGAGGGCCAGAAGCAGCTGCTGGTCACTGCCAAGCAGACAGGACAGCAGCTCTGTTCCCCCTTGCAGTCCTCAGTGCTCTGAAGCTCACCCTCCATTCTACTCTCCTTCTGGCCTCCTGGAAGACTAGGGTCTTATAGGTTCTTCCCCATGAGTCTTACGAGAGAGCCTTCTAATGATAATTCACTGTTACCTGGGCCTGGGCTCATAGGAAGCACACGCCACAGTGAGGGGAGAAACAGATGCCCATTTCCAACAGAAACATCTGTTCCTTCCAGCTCAGGAAAATCTGTTGGCAGAGAATCATGTGGTAAGATTTTTTTGTTAGGAAAAAAGCTAAAATGCACACCACAGAAAAATGGACCAGTGCTATTAGGATACAACCAGTCCTCTATGCTTTTTTTAATTTTTTTTTTTTTTTTTTTTTGAGATGGAGTCTCGGTCTGTTGCCCAGGCTGGAGTGCAGTGGTGTGATCTCGGCTTGCTGCAACCCCTGCCTCCTGGGCTCAAGTGATTCTCGTGCCGCACCCTCCCAAGTAGCTGGGACTACAGGCATGTTCCACCATGCTAGGCTTTGTATTTTTAGTAGAGATGGAGTTTTGCCATGTTGGCCAGGCTGGTCTTGAACTCCTGGCCTCAGGTGATCTGCCCACCTCGGCCTCCCAAAGTGCTGGGATTACAGGCATGGGCCACCAAACCCAGCCATTCTCCATGCATTTTAAAGTAAGGGAACCAAAATCCTGCTTCCTGAAATCTTGCCCATTGTTACGAAAATCTGAGTGCCACACTTTTGCCCACACAGGTGCAACTCCCACTTAGATACAGCTCCCTGACCAGTCACTGCTCCAGGGCAAAGTCCAGTGTCACTGAATGAAAACCATGAGTTCTAGAAAGGAAGTTCATTTGAGTTTTTCACTAAGTAAAGGTCCATAACCATCCGTGTCGGTCAAGACCCTCCCTGCCAGGCCAACATAACCTGGAAACTGGGAAACCCTGAAGAGAAGTTACATTCTTTTAGACTCAAACAACACCACCACCCCAATCCACACCCTGGCCTTTTCAGAAATCTACAGGGGCACTTTTTGTTTGTCAGTGTCTAGGGAAGTGCTACTGGCATTTAGTGCAAAGGGAAAGGAATGTAATGTCCTAAATGTGTGGAACAGTCCCAAAATGCATCTAAAATGCCAATGGCATCTCTGCTAATAATCACTGTATAGAAATAGTTTGGTTTTATTGGTTTCGTCTGTTTTCCTAAATAGGTATAACAGTCATTCACCTGGGGGAAACATTCTCAATACAAAACAGTAAACAATGACAAGTAAGTTTCCCTCTCATCCCTACCCTTCCCCAAAGGTCTATACCTCTGAGGAAACCATTTTCTTATATATCCTTCAAGAAATACTAACTGTGTAAACAAGCATCTGTGTATATGCCCCTTCCCTTTTTAAAACGTGGCACGTGTGCCACATTTTTTTCATTTAACAGTGTGTCTTGGAGATTTTTCATATTAGTACATATCAATCTGCCCCTTCTTTCTACCAGCTGCATAGCATTCCACTGCATAGCTATGCTTTTGTTTATTCAACCAGTCTCTTTTTTTGGTGGTACCTGCCATTGTTTCCAATTTTTTGCTGCCATAAACAATGCTGTAATGAATGTAGATGTGGGTGTATCTACAGAATAAAGTGGTAGAAGGAAACCAGTAAGTCAAAGGGTATATACATTTTAAATTATTTCTAATACTGCCCATTCAACAATATAGGAGACTTCTTGCTACTCTGTACTCAGAATGCAATGTATGAGCAAATGTTTTTTATCTAATATGTGAAAAATGACTACATACTGTACTTGCAATTTAATTTGTATTCCTCTATTATGAATAAGACCTGGCATCATTCATTTCCTATGTTCATAGGTTTCCATGTTGCAATAAGTCTTTGCGGGTGTTAGTAAGTTATTTAGTTAGTCTGTTTGAAACAACAGTTCATGTTCTTTACTCATTTTTTCTTTGGATTACTGATCTTTTTTGACTTTTTGTTGACTGTGTGAACACTTTATAAAGGAAATTAGCCCCTTCTCATGTGTTGCAAATATTTTTCCCAGTCCATCTTTTGGTTTTATGATATTATTTTTAACCATGTAGAACTTTTAAAATTTGTCAATCTTTTCTTACATAGCTCCTGAATTTTCAGTCAGGCTTACATTATATTCCATGGTTTAAAAATATATACCTCTATATTTTCTTTTAATATTTTTATGGTTTCATTTTGTACATGTATATTTTAATCAATATAAAATTTACTTCCATATAAGGAGGAAGACAGGGATCCAATTTAATTTTTTCCCAAATGGCTACCCAGTTGTCTCAAAACCAGTTATTGAAAAATCCATTCCTCTCTCCCATCCCACCAATTTGAAATACCATGGTTTACTCTATGCCAAATGCCTTTGTGTATTCGGCTGTACTTCTGCATTCTCTACCCTGTTTTTCTAGACTCTATTTTTAATTTGGAGATGGCAAAAACAAATCTAGGGAGCAACCTTGAAGTGTCATAAAGAAAAGAAAATGGCCTTTAGAGCCTAGAGGCAGTGTTCATAGAAATTGGAATTAAAAATCATTCTCTCTGATGACTCTAAGTCCAGCTATTCCATGGGACTTTACCCCAAGCCTCATCTTCTGCTTGTAAATAGTTTATATTTTTAAATGTAAACCTTTTATTAAAATGTAACATAGATACAGAAAGGAACACAACTCTTAAGTATCCAGCTTAAAGAATTTTCACAAAGTTAACAAAATCATGCAACCAGCACCCAGATAAAAAATAGAGCATCGCTAGTGCTCTGAAAGCCCCTTTGGCTTCCCTTCCAGTCATTACCCTTCCATAAGGGTGACCATGATATGGATTACTATCACCATAGATTGGTCCTGCCTCTTTTAAAATTTCATATAAATGGAATCATATAGGATGCACTCTTGTTTCATGCCTCTTTCACTCCTTACTATGAGATTCATCCATGTTGTTTTGTAAAATTCATATTCATACTCTCATTATATATGTAGTATTCCACTGTATGAATACACCACACTTTGTTTATTCATTCTACTTCTGAAGAGCATTTTGGTAGTTATTTGGGTCTTATAATTAACACTGCTAAGAGCATCTCTGTATGCCTTTAAGTCATCCTACTAGTTTTATCCTTTCTGAATCCTTTTGTTTTAGGTATGTCTCTTCTACAGAGCAATGAATTGGTTTTGCTTGAAAGTCAATCTGAAAATATTTTCCTTTTATTAGGTGATTTTCAGCTCATTTATATATTTATATTACTGATATATTTAGTCTTAAGCCTGTCATATTATTTTATATTATTTTTACTGTTTCTATTATGTTAAATTCACTCTGTGGTTTGTTTTCTTTGCCCGTTTTTCTATTTAGGGGAGTCCGCATTTTTGTTCTAGTGGTTATCTTTATACTAATACTTTTTATAATGTCCTTAGCCCCCTTTTGTTCTTACTCTCCTACTATCTGGTTTGTCAGCTTTCAATAATGAATTCTTTGACTCCCAATTATTTATTAACTTTGTGACAGTCTGATTCTATTCTCCCCTTTTTATCTGCCTTCCTCCATTCTGCTCCCATTTTTATTGGCTTTATTTCTATTTTTCAGAACATATATCATTTACACACATTATTCTTCCACCCTTTCCTTACCTTTGCTTTAGTCTTATATCTATCTTAAAATATATTCCATGTTTGAATACTATACAGCCATAAAAAAGGATGAGTTCATGTCCTTTGTAGGGACATGGATGAAACCATCATTCTGAGCAAACTATCGCAAGGAAAAAAAAAACCAAACACGGCATGTTCTCATTCATAGGTGGGAACTGAACAATGAGAACACTTGGACACAGGATGGGGAACATCACACACAGGGGCCTGTCATGGGGTGGGGGGAGGTGGGAGGGATAGTATTAGGAGATATACTTATTGTAAATGAAGAGTTAATGGGTGCAGCACACCAACATGGCACATGTATACATATGTAACAAACCTGCACATTGTGCATATGTACTCTAGAACTTAAAGTATAATTTAAAAAAAAAAAAAAAAAATATATATATATATATATATATATATATATATATAGTCCATGTTCATCATAAGCCCTTTTGTTAAAATTTTCCCAAATCATATTTGCATGGAAGAACTTGTCACCTTCATTTTAAAGGATATTTTCACACTGTAGAGAATTTTATTTGTATGTTATTTTCCTTATTTTGAAGATATAAATCCATTTTTTTCTGGATTCCTTTTTTTCTATTGAGAATTCATCCATCACTCTTTTCTATTCACTCTGCATAAAACCCATCCACTAAATTCTTACTTTCATTTATTATATTTTTAGTTTTATATTTGTCACTTTATCCAGTTTTGAATTTCCAGTTCTCTGCCAAAATAATATATCTTGTTTTTATCTTACCCTTAAACATATTTTGAAAAGTTATTTTTAAATCCATACCTGATGACTCCATTATCTGGATACTCTGTGGATCTGTTTCTATTATTTATTACGTCTCTTAGTTTCAAATTATTTTGTTATGTTACCTCATATGCCTGGCTGTTTTTAACTGCATACTGGACATTTTATATGAAAAAATATAGAAATTAGAGAAATAATTTAAGACTTCTCCAAGAGGATCGTCCTTTGCTTCTGAGATGGAGCTAAGAAAACTGGCCATCCAATCAAGATCCTTAACCCAGTCAGGGAATGAGAGGGTATGAAGCTGGGCCTCAGTCTCTATGAGGGCTAGTCAATTTTCCGTTCATACTCGATCCTAAAGTTCAGCACCTCAGAATAGCAACCCAAAGCCAAAGATATTTGCCACGGCCCACTCTCCTTGGCAGGTCCTAAATTTTGAGCCTCTAGCACCATGAATGTTTGAAAGTGGCCGGGCTCGGTGGCTCACGCCTGTAATCCCAGCACTTTGGGAGGCAGAGGCAGGCGGATCACGAGGTCAGGAGATCGAGACCATCCTGGCTAACACGGTGAAACCCCGTCTCTACTAAAAATACAAAAAATTAGCCCGGCGTGGTGGTGGGCGCCTGTAGTCCCAGCTACTTGGGAGGCTGAGGCAGGAGAATGGCGTGAACCCGGGAGGCGGAGCTTGCAGTGAGCCAAGATTGCGCCACTGCACTCCAGCCTGGGCGACAGAGCAAGACTCCGTCTCAAAAAAAAAAAAAAAAAAAGTAAGTTTTGCTGGAAAGATTTCTAGCCTCTCAGCTGCCTCTTTAAGAATCAGAAGATATGCCTCTAGGGGAAAGTTTGTCCCAATGTCACTCTCGAATTTCCTTGTTCTCCAAGATCTTGGCTCCATAATATCCTACTGCTTTGTTAGCTCTCCACTGACTTCAAACAGATTACCAAAATTTTGTCCCAATTTTGGATTATTCCCTATGGAATTATATTGTCCATGATATCCAGAAGAAGACCTCCAATGAAGAAACCTGGAGGAGGGACAAGCATAGCTGGTAAGGCAGCTTGATGATTGTCATTAAGGATGCAGGGCTCCATCTATTTTTCTTCAGTGAGTTAACACAGCACTTCACATCACAAGATGGCAGCTGAATGTCCAGGCATCTCATCATATTTTAAGCAATAAAAAATACAGAAGGTCGGGCGTGGTGGCTCATGCCTGTAATCCCAGCAGTTTGGGAGGCAGAGGCGGGAGGATCACCTGAGGTCAGGAGTCCAAGACCAGCCTGACCAACATGGAGAAACTCCATCTCTACTAAAAATACAACATTAGCCGGGCGTGGTGGCACATGCCTGTAATCCTAGCTACTCGAGAGGCTGAGGCAAGAGAATCGCTTGAAACCAGGAGGCGGAGGGTGCAGTGAGCCGAGATCGCACCATTGCACTCCAGCCTGGGCAACAAGAGCAAGACTCCATCTCAAAGAAAAAAAAAAAGAAACATAGAGAATGAAAACAATGGGCCATGCCAGCCAGGTCTGTTTCCTTTCCCATATTTTTTAATAAAAAGAATGCCTTCTTTGAGTTATGTTTGCCCTATTCATAATAATTTGCCTTCTCTTTTATAACTGGAGACTCTGAAGAGTCACATAACCTCTTTAGGTCTTAGTTTCAGTCAAATGAGTGACCTGCACTAGATGATCTCTAAGCACCTTCCAGCTCAAACATTCTTAGATTCTATTAACTTGCTTATCTTCTCATTATTTTTAGGAGAAAAGTAGAAAGAAATAGGAGAGTTTACCTATTTAAGAGGCAAGAACTGAAGTCTAAGGATGTAGAATGTCCAGAGCTTTATCCCCTGAATGGCAGAGGTCTCAATTTAAGTTAAATCAATATACCAAAACCTAGGTTTAAAAATTAAGCTGGAGAGAAAAAAACACGTTCACTTTATGAAAAATAATTCTAATCTTCTGGCAGGTTTTGTTATAATGCTTTTCTAATGCCTTGAAATTATGATTAGATTTACAGTAATTCAATTTGCACACAACTTTCAAAAATATCCACATGCTCTTTTGTTCATCTCTAATTACTATTATTTTTCTGAAACAGACCAATACACTATTCTTGGTGATTCCTAACACCAAGAATATCAAGCATTCCTTCTCTCTTGGTATTTCTGTGACCGTCTTTCTAGGACTTTAGGAGCAATTTTCTAAGTGCCTCTCAAGCCCAAATCTTCAGCTATTAATGAACATTCAAAGAGAACATCTTTAAATCCCCAACTTGAATTTTTATATTTTTACTTCTTTAGAGGTGGAATGTTGAGACATTCCATATATTTGGTTAAAACAAATATGAAAAGATTCCTTATTTTTCTCCACCCTTCCTTACATTCCTCATGACCAACCATCCTCCCAAAAGGAAGCGGGGTACAATTTGTCTACATTATGCCAAATATTTCAGCTTTTTAGTTTCACCATGGAAAAAGCATTAAACTCAGCTGAATTATTCATGAGATCCTAGGTAACATGATCATTGTTTTTGGCCTTTGGCTTCAATACTTTCAGCCTTGCAACTCATTTTAGAGTTTCTGAATGGGGTTAACAAGGGACTTTGCTATATACACATCATTAAACTGTTGGCATGTGTCCTGGCATGGAAATTTACACTGTATCAATAAACCCATATATTTGCAAGGATGTGTGTGTCTTCAATGCTGTTCTTACTTTGATCAATTTTTCCTACTTCCCTGGAGTTTCACCCAGATCAGATTTTTAGAGTATGTGCCAACATGAGATGACTAAAATATTCGAGACAGAAAGAAAAATCTGAGCCCCAGTTTAGAGATTCTCAATCTTCCTCCAGGGATGATCATAAGACTGGCTTGATGGATGAGGGGCAAATGTCACCATGCACATCACTCTGAATTCCCTTCATTGCAGTAGCAAAAGCATGTTTCCCAGTTTGGACATAGAATTAAACAGCCCATACTCTTCCAGTGCCCAAAGTTTTTGAATGAATTGATTCTTCCTTATAACTGTCATTTAGACATGCCTCCTCTCCTGACCTTCTCCTATTCTCATTGCTTTGGTTTGCCCCAAAGAAAAGGAAGAAAAGAAAAGCAGATAAAGCTCTCCTTTCCCCATTACAACTCCCAAGTAACACTTTTCTCATTTCTTCCCATCAAGGCAGAATAGGTGCTGCCCACCCTCGTACCAAGAGATTTCTTACGGTCACACAAAGTAAATCATCATTGCCAACTGGCACTGAACCTAATGTTCCTCAATGATCAGACCTGAGCTCTATCCCTATGTTTCTTCCAGAAAAGTTATAACCATTCTCAAAGTTTTCACTGGAGAGCATTTAAGATTTAAGGAAATATGTCATCATTCTATTTCCTTCCAAAATTATATTATGCAAGATATAAACATTATGCATCAATTTGCATTCCACTTCTCCCCAGTGTGAGAGTCTGGTTAATACAATTAAACTGGATCAGTACCTACTAAGCAACTAGATCTCTGGAAAGTCTGAATGCTGAAGATGGATGCCCTCGGGGAGGGGCTTAACACAGCACATAAACAAAGCTCAGATTTCATCTTCCACTAAACCCAGCAGGACACTAATGAGTTTCTAAAGATGCAGAGCAAACTAATATCATTCTCGGTTGTCATTTATTTTGGAGTACACTAGTTATTTAATTTTGTCACATGCTACCAAGTAATACAACACATTGCTTTCTTGCCTTCAGTGTTATCCCCTTTCCAAGGCATAAGAAACTACTCTAGAAGTATCCAGAGTCTTAAGACATATAGGGAAATATTAAAAGTCATTAATATGAGTCCTGGGGGATTCCCATTTCCTTCTCATAGCCTCTTTGTTCTTTGGAGATTTTTCTATCACATGATCTTGTTTATTTTCTTTTATAGCACTTATCTCAATATTTAATTATCTTAGTTTATTTATTATGTCTCCCTCATAGATGTAATCTCCATTAGAGAAGAGACTTCTGTGTTGTTCACTGTTATATCCCCAACCTAACAGTGCCCAGCACAAAGTTAAATACTCAATACATATGTATTAAATGACTATTAAGGCAGTAAGAATGGGCTGGGTTCTGCTGCATGAACAACTAACCCCCAAAATTTCAGTGGCTTAACCTCACAAAAGCTCATTTATTTTTTATGCTGTGTGTCCAACAAGGGTCAGGGAGGGGCAATCTTTCCATCATTGTAGTTCAAGAGCTCAGATTGACAGAGGTTCCACCTGCTCACAAACTTTCACCATCACCAAGGCAAGAAAAGAGAGCACTGAACTGTCCCATACTGGCAACTGCTTCTGCCCAGAATTGCCATGTATGGCCACATTTTGCTGGCCAATGCAAGTCAAATGGTACCCCTAACTTGAAAGGGAAGGAAGGAAATAGATGTGAGTAAGCACTGGAAGCCTGTAAAAAATTAAACAGCGACTCCAGAATCTTGCTGTTTTAAGGGGTTCATTTGGTCCAGCCCTGTTTCCAGGCAAGGCTGCAATCAGAAGGTAACAGATAACAGCAGATGTACTAAACAAGCAGACAAACTAACAATGGACATTAAGTACATCATACCAAGAGGCTTTTCAAAATCAGTAATCAAGTGGCACTATCAGGAGAACCTTTATAGGAAAAAAAAAAAGTCTTAATTGCCCAATCAAAAGGAAATACTTGTATTCCTTATGTCATTTACCTTAGGAACAAGGTAAATGATTCAGGTACGCTCTGTATTCATGCTCTTTTACTAAAACCTTCTTGGGGACTAAACCAACTGTAGGAAAATATCCAACAATTTGACGTCATGTTTTCAGAAGACAAAAAAAAAAAAAAAACCCACGATAAAACCCTGTTCACTGAAATCCCATTCATACATTTATTTTTTTACCAAAGTAATACATGCGAACAAAAGCAATCAACTGGTGGCAGCATTTAGGCCCACTAAGACACAACCACCCATTACCAAAGAAGGCCTGCACATCATTCTGACTCATGTTTGGAACTTTCTCTAGAGCACATCTCTTGGTATTTCCTGCAGATATACAGCAAGCAAGATTTCATTCCTGCCAGACAAGCTTTTTTTTTTTTTAATCTCCACCAGTCAGTCTCTTACAGTGAGATAACCTCCAGTCACAACTCTCTCTCCAAATGAATTCCCAAGTTGCCATGGCAACTAACACCTTCCTCCAATACTGTCAATATGCTTCCCAACCCTAAAGGCAGCCCTCTTGATTTACTGCCAGAAGTACCAATCTCCTCATGTAAAAGAGAGTGCCTTCCTTTGCTCCAAAACTATCATGAGATTCTTTAGAAGACCCTCTGTTAATAATATTAATAGTATCAGCTACCACCTATTGAGGGCCAACTTTATTTCTATTATCTCATTTAATCATTTCAAAAAAAAAAAAAAACAAAAACACTGCATGGTAAATATCACTCTCTTTACTTTACAGATTTAAATAATTATAAATCGGAGGTTATATAACTTGACCAAGAGGCAGAACCAGGATTTGAACACAGAATCTTCTGGCCCAGATTATCTCTGAGGCTTCCTCCTTTGACACAAGATCTTTTCCAGCTCAGAGGAGTAACTTCATCTGTCTTGTTCTCTCAGCCTAACCTTGCTTCTTTTTCTAAAAGTGCTTTCTACACTTCAAGACAATTTAGTTTGCTTTAATAACAACACTGCTCTAAATCCAATGGCACTTAAAGGTGTGTTAATGCTGATTAAACATTAAGAGAGAAAAGACTTCATTCTCCTGCTCTTCATCTCCAAGGGCTTTGGTGGGGAAGAATGAGATAATGGGTGCTAAGGGTTTTGTACTGAGAATGAAGGTATACAAGATCAATACCCAGCAGATATTGAGGTGTCCACAATGTGACCAAGTGCCAAGGAATGTCCATAAGGGTAGAACTGCAGCCAAGTCTCCTGGATTTGCTTCCTTGGACCCCTTCCTCGGGCCCCACGCCTACCCGTATGACCACATCCTCACTATTCTCCCCTAAACACAAATCGAGGGACATACAAAGCAAGCACCGTACTTACTTCTTAGCCAATCCGTCCCCTCCCCCATCCCCAACACACAGGGAGACTTTATGTTAGCCTTGTAAATAAGAAACACCATTCCACAGTTATTTTTCCAGTCTGCCTTTTTTTTAACTGCTCACCTGGCAGAAACTGTTATTCTCCTGGCCAGCAGCTATTTGTAAAACTGGTCTGCCTCCTTATTTTTATACCAAAGATACTAATTCTTTAGTAGAAACGGGAGTATTCCAAATAAGACAATTAGCAAGTCACCTAGAATTTCCACCCACTCCACAGAGGCACACAAACAAGAGAATTAACCCAATTTGTTGTCTATAATAAACAGGACATTCTACCCACCACAGAGCCCCAGAGGTTTGTACGAGATTACTAACTCCTAGTAGTAACGGCTACAATGGCCCAGTTCCCTATTTTATTACTGTGTGCTGAAATTTTAAAGGCGCTCCTCTCCCACCCCCATCTTCCCTTGCATACTTCTGCACATCAATCCATTAAGAATCTGAAGTGTAATTTATCTTATTCACTATTATCCTGTTAAATTGCTCTACAGCTGCCATGGCAGTAATTGCAGTGATCAGTGATTCAGACTTCTTAAGCAAAGGGTCTTAAGTAGGTTTCATTATTAAAATTTCCAAAGGTTTTATTATTGAAATAAACCTGAGATAGAACAGTATGCCTCCATGGGGCAGTCATACTAATGATTCTTAAGTTATGAAGGGATGTCACATTCATCATCAATGTTGCACTCATGAATACGAGTAATTGGGAATTTATCAACCAACAAAACCAACTGGCATTCTAAGAATGAAGAATAATAATCTCATTTTAAGTAGCATATGCAGTGCTGTGCGACCCTTTAAAAAGCTGCCTTTGTTCACTGAAGTATTGCTTGTAATAGCAAATACCGGAAACAACTCAAGTGCACATTTGTAAGGAACTGATTCAATAAAGTAGGAGGCAGCCATCCACACAATGGAATACTATGCAGCTCTGATATACGAATGAGAAAGCTTTCTCTGTACCAACAAGGAAAGATCCCCAAGACATACTGTTAAGGACAAAATAGTACACAACAGGTTAGATAATGATTTACCTTTCATGTAAAAGAACGTGGAGGGGTAAGAACATATGTTCATATCTCCTTTTATTTACATAAAGAAACACTGCACAGATATATAAGGAACTATTAAGAGTGACACCCACAATAAGGAGCAGGGGTTCTACAGGGTGGACCAGACAGGAGTGGAAATAATACTCGTCAACATATGCCTTTCAAAAAAATTTTTTTTCATATTTTAAATTTACCTTTACTACCTATTTATTTGGTTCAAGGCTCCATTTCGTCCACTTTGGGACTAGGTAATCAGGCTTTAAACTACTTACCTCTGCCTGTCAGAAGTCACTAACCTCATGACAGGAATAATTTAGGTTAGAGGAGTAGCAAAACTATTACTCAACTGTTTCTTTAGAAAAGGAGAAACTCATAAAACATGGGACCCTAAAATTTGAATATTATATGTAAGACGGGGTTAAAATGTGTTCAAAAAGTGTCTTCTAAAAATGTACAAACAACAGAGGTGTGACAGTATGCTGAAAAAAATATGAGGGGGGTGGAAGAGCGGGATAGAGAGTGGTCCTCCTTCCCTACTCCCTTTACAATGTTGATTTCATCCTTGGGTTTTCATAATGAACTTCTGTAAAGGGGAGATTTGCATCCAGTTTTAAGACCATTTTCAGCACAAGTGCTTTTTTATTAAGTATTTCTGTGGTTCCCCTTCCCCAGACAAAAAGGAAAGGGGAAGCTATTGTTCAGGACTTCTAATGGGTTTATCTAGCTTTGTGGGTTAAAAGAACCCACAATATTTAATAAATTTAATAATATTTAATAAATTTATTAATATTTAACAATGTTTAATAAAACTTAGCCACTTACCTAACCCTTGGGTCAGAGAGTTCTTGCTCTAACAAAACACCAAGAACAACTAGACACTTCTACCTACCCATAGCCTCAACTAGATAAATGCAAACATGTTGGCTCACTCCTGTAATCCCAGTACTTTGGAAAGCCAAAGTGAGAGGAACACTTGAGCCCAGGAGTTTGAGATCAGCCTGGGGAACATAGGGAGACCCTGTCTCTACAAAAAATAAAAAATTAGCTGGGCTTGGTGGCACGCACCTGTGGTCCCAGTTACTTGGGAGGCTGAGGTGGGAGGATCACTCGAGCCCAGAAGGTCGAGGCTGCAGTGAGCTATGATCATGCCATCACACTCCAGCCTGGGTGACAGGATGAGACCCTGTCTCTTTTAAAAAAAAAAAAGATAAATGCAAATATGAATCACCTACAGAATTAAAAGGCCACAAATGTTCCAACCTTAGCAGAGAGTCTGGGAAGAAACCTCCACCACTGCCCCAGTCAACCCAACTAAGAGAAAGAGGTTGGCAGCCAGAGGAACAGATAAGGCAAGGCTTCATCTGAGCCTATCAGCTTCTGCAGAAAAAATATGCCATGGTCATGGGATGATCTGACTGACTGACTGATGCAAACTGTCCACACAGCTAGTTTACCTTTGCCTCCTCTCTGGATCCAAAATGTAATGGAAATGAATGCCTTATGAAATCCAACCCTGACCTTCTCATCACACACCCTTCTTAGGAGAGCCCACACTAGCTAACGACTCCAGAATTCTGGTTACCATAAGTCTAGGCATCATGCCACCGAGCTCTGTCTTTCCAACTACCTTTTAGACATCTCTACCTGGATGTCCCGGGAGTCTCATGTCCAAAGATTAATTCCTTCTTCCTGGCAGTGTATGCTCTTTGTATCTCCACTTCTCCTGTCTCAGTTAATAGCCTGTTGATTGATCAATTTCATTCTAGGTTCATGGAACACCAACCATGCACCAAGATCCCTGAACCAGAAGCCTGAAGGGCATCTACAGTCCTCCTTCTGTCCTACTCCTATTTCTATTCACCTTGTCAACAATAAGCTGCACTGATTTTTTACCTCCTAAATATTTCTCAAAACCTCACTTCCCCTTCATATTCACTGGCACTCCCTTATTCAGCATCTCATCATTCATTCAACAATATTTAATGAGTATAAAGCATACCTAGGTGTTTTTAAACAGAACAAAAACGGTGTGATCTTTGCTTTCTGGTGGCTCAACATCTAGTTATTTCTTATCTGAACTATTCAGATATACTCTTGTCTCCTACCATTAATTATCTCAACAGTAGCCAGAGTGTCTCCTCAAAACTTAAATTAGATCATTTAATTCAGGGATAGTAAACTCTTTCTATAAAGGCCAGATAGTAAATATTTTAGGCTTCTGGGCCATATGTTCTCTGTTGAAACTACTCAACTCTGCTCTTGTATGACTGTTCCAATATGGCTTATTCATAAAAATAGGCAGCAGGACAGATTTGACCCATGGGCTGTAGTTTGCTGACCCCTGATTTAATTAATCACAGTGCTTCTTACTCCACTGGAATTAATCCAGATTCCTTCCCATGGCTTAGAATGTGCTCCACCCTCAACTGACTATTACTTGCTCCTCTGGGCTCCACCATGCTCCAGCTACTCTGACCATCTTTACGGTGCTTACGCACCGTGCCAAGCCTGTTCACATCTTAGGTCCCTGCACTTGCCGTTCTACCCATCAGGACCACTCTTGCCTAGGTCTTCTCATAGCTGCCTCAGCTCAAATATCACCTCCTCAGAGAGGCCTTCACTGCCCATTCCCATTAGTACCCATCCCAATGCCCAAACACTCTAACTCCCATAGCTCTATTTATTTATTTTTTCAAATTACTTATCACCATCTGAAAAAATATCATTTGTTGCATGTATATATATATATATATAGTATATATATATATAGTATATATATATATATATATAGTATATATATATATATAGTATATATATATATATATATATATATATATATATATATATATATATATATAGTCTGCTTTCCTACCACCACACTACTCTACCACTATTAGAATGTAAGCTCCATGAGGGCAGAGACTGTCTTATTCACTCACCCCCTAGGTTCCCAGCACCTGGATCAGTGCCTGGCACTTAGCAGGGGCTCAGTAAATATCTATTATCTAAACTGTTATTGCCTCTAGTCTCCCTCCCTCCAACCCACTGGTATCTTCACTGCCACCAGTGATCTTTCAAAAATACAAATGAGACCAAATATAGTGGCTCACACCTGTAATCGCAGCACCTTGGGAGGCTGAGGCACAAGGATCGCTTGAACCCAGGTAGGTGAGGCTGCAGCAAGCCATGATCACGCTACTGCACTCCATCCTGGGAAACAAGAGTGAGACCCCATCTCAAAAAAAAAAAAAAAAAAATAGCAGTGTGTAGTGGTGCACAATTGTAGTCCCTGCTACTTAACAGGCTGAGGCAAGAGGATCACTTCAGCCCAGGAGTCTGAGGTTACAGTGAGCTATGATCACACTACTGCACTCAAGCCTGGGTGACAGAGCAAGACTCTGTCTCATAAAAGAAAAAAAAAAAGTAAAATGCAAATGAATCATGTCACTCCCCTGCTTAAAATATTTCCATGGTTCCCCACTGGCTTTAAGATACAAATGCAAATTATGTGGCAAGACCACTATAGCTCTTATCATACCTTCCCACACTCTCGCAGTAGTAGACTGTGAGCTCTAAGTGGTAAGGACCAACTCCTGTTTATCTTTTTATCTCAGGTACTCAGCATAGTACCAGGCACATTGTTGGTGTTCCATGAATGTAGAATGAAATTAATCAATCAACAGGAGTACAACAACTAGCACAATGCACGATTCTAATGTGGTAACTCAATAAGTACCCAATTTAAAGGCAAGGAAGCAAGATTTTACACAACACTCTTCCTTTCTTTTCTTTGGAAGCAACTTGGGTGGGGGCTATGCTTATAACTCTGAATCTAACTTTGGATTTTGTCACCCAGATTTTACCTGGCAGGCAGCCACTCACCACTTTCTAAAAGAATGGCAGGAGAAGGCAGGGAGCTAGGTCATGCAAATCTATCATGCTGTTTCCTGTGATCAGCTCTGGTAAAAAGGTTAGGAAAGGAGACATAACATGAAGGCTAAAATGCAACTTAGGGATTCTCCATGTATTCCAAGTGTCTACATTCTCCCTGTCATCTATTAGCAAAGAAAACCCAATGCTGGTTCTTTTGCTGTACAAAATAACCTAAGAGGTTCAGGGACTTTCTTTAGAACTGCCTCACCAATAGAATGGGAATTGTTACTTCTAGAAGAATTTCCATTAGCCCTTTAAAATCCTTCAACATTCATTAAGGCCAAAGAGATTTCACCTAATTTAGTCTGACGGGTATGTGAACAGTCTTTCTAGGGAATACAGACTCCCAAATTGTTCAGCTGGGAAGTAAGGAGGGAATTTATTACTCAAAATCAAAGGGAAATGAAAAGAGGGCAACCCGGAATTCATTACTCCCCTTCTTGGTAGGGGTAATGGGTTCCAGAGTCATTCTGTTACCTTTACTATGACCTCCTTACTTAGCATCTAAAAGCTTCTGGTGTTGGATGCAGCCAGGTAGGTTCTCTTCTAATGTAATAAAATCTGCTTCAGCAAAGCTTATACAGAGTCATCTCCAGACTCCAGAAATAATAGACTATAAATTACTGGATCTCCCAGTTGATACAATGAAGTGTAAGTTAGCACAGTCCTGAATGACCACTCTACACGCTACTCTGAGTGGCTCAAAGTGAACTTTGACACAAAGACTGGAGCGAACACATAGCACAGCTAGATCCGGGATTAATTCGCTTGAGCCCAGCTCCTCACTACTCACCTATGAGTCCAGTTCCAGAACCCAAGTAGAGGATGGGGGAGCAAAGCTCCTAGCTTTTTCCCTACTGTCTGCATCTCTTTCACATATCTTATCTTCTTGAAGAAGTTAAACAGGCTCAACTAAAATAACTAAATGATGAAGCCCTATACAGACAATCACCAGAGATTCACAAAACTGCATTCAACACAGTTACACAGACAACTTTGAGGATGACTTGATGTACCAGCGATTTACCACATTTGGGACCATTCAAAATTCCTGTCAAGGATCTGCCTATATCAACATGGGAATCAAGAACCAACCATTCAAATGGGCCCTGCTGCCAAGCCTCTTTATAATGCCATCTCTTCATATTGTTCCATTTAACAAAACTGCAGCCTATCATCTAACCTTAAATCCCTTTGCCAATGATACAGAGCCAGAGTATGCTACTCCCTAGAGCAGGAACTCAACATGATGACCTACTAAACACCATTCAGAAGATGCTGAGACTCATGAATTGCAATAGGAAAAAAAAGACAGAGAAGTAGTCAGCCAGGTACACGCTGTGTCAAAAGTGCACTACAACCCCCAACCCCATTCTGCTTAATCCTAGCTGGGCTGACACCAACCTGACGAGACAGGCCAATAAGATCTCGAACTGAAAGAGGAACTCCTGAACTGGATTCTTTAGAACCCAGGAAGCAGCAGAGTAAATCATTAAAGACCAGATAAGATCTTGATGAGGTGAGGGAGGGTTTCAGTTAAATGGAATGCTGGTAGAACACAGGGCCCAAAGGAGAAAAGTTAACCTGAGCCCAGGTGGAACCTTGCTTACTAGAGTATTAAGCATGAGTTGGGACAACTATTCTAACCAGAGAAATTGGCTCCAGTGAGGGCAGTTTGGCAATCCAAGGTATGGCATGTCTATGGCTGGCAAAATTCAGGGTGACTGAAGCAAAAGTTTCAAAACCATAAAGACTACAACGGGGGTAGAGCACAAAATTCTCAAGAGATGAATCTTTGTAAGAGTGAGGCAGAACTACATGGTGGTTTTCGATCTGTTGATGCCCAACAAGAGCTTCTACTGGCTATAAGCAGGGGTGCAGGCTGTAATCGCAGGAAAGGAGGTTCACAAAAGTAATTCAGTCCTAGAGCCCAAACTGTGTTCTCTACTAAAAGGAATCAAGACCCCCTAGAGAAATGGCTGACTCCATGTATGGTGCAGGATATAGATCCTGGAACACCTTTTTTTTTTTTTTGCCAGAAAACAAGGAAGCCATCCAAGTCCAACAGGATCACGTCAAAAGGCCATGGGAGTCAACTTGAAGAGATACTTATTAACCTGAGACAATATGAGCATCTAAAACAATTAATAGTGACTACAATGGGCTCAAATGCAAACAATAATCTATGAGCTCATTACGATATTCAGGAAAAAAAACTATTGGTCACTACAGTGGAGGTTACTAGTCACTAACTCATTATTCTGAAAAATGACTTAAAATGGGAGATAGGGTGGAGAATTAGGTATTTATCCAGTTTTTCCTGTACAAATGTAAATGTTTAGGGAGATTGAAGTAGATGAAACAAGTCTGGCAAAATTGAGATAACTGTTTAATCCGGGTGTTGGGTACATGGAGGTTCATTATATTTCTTTCCCGTATATTTTATATTTGAACCCCCTCCTAAAAAAAAAAAAAAACAGAAAAAGCAAGACAGAATGTGAGCTAAGCAGCTTAGGGTTTAGGCAAGGCTTCTGCCTACAAGAGAGACTAGGATATGAGGGGTAATATTAGTCCTGATGGGCCAAACCAACTGGAGGGATATAGGGAGGTGCCAAGTTGCAGAGGTATCATGTTGCCCAGCACTTGATCTAGAATCCTAGATTCTAGGTCTGGTTAGTAGCAGATTTACTAGGTGGTAGATCTGAGGCTACCTATAGAACTTCCTTTGCAGTCATAATTAGCTCAGAAACTACAAAAGGGCTTGCTCTTGAAAATGGAGCCTTTGTCTATTTCATGCTGTTATAACAGAATGCCACAGACTGCATAATTTAAAACAAAAAAAAAAAAAGGATCGATACCATCCTGGTTAACACGGTGAAACCCCGTCTCTGCTAAAAATACAAAAAAAATTAGCCGGGCCTGGTGGCGGGCGCCTGTAGTCCCAGCTACTCGGGAGCTGAAGCTGGAGAATGGAGAATGGCGTGAACCCGGGAGGCGGAGCTTGCAGCGAGCCGAGATCTAGCCACTGCACTCCAGCCTGGGGGACGGAGCGAGACTCCGCCTCAAAAAAAAAAAAAGAAAGAAAGAAAAGAGAAAGAAAGAGAGAGAGAGTGAAGGAAGTGAGGGAGGGAGGAAAGAAAAGAAGAAAAGAAAAGAGAAAAGAATTTCTTACAGTTCTGGAGGCTAGGAAGTCCAAGGTCAAGGAACCTGCCTCTGGTGAGGGTCTTCTTGCTGCATCATCCCATGGCAGAAGGCAGAAGGGCAAGAGAGAGCGAAAGAGCAAGAGGGCAAGAGGGGCTGAACTCTCTTTCACAAAGGCTAGCAAAGAAGTATGCACAGGTTAAGGGAAAAAGTCACAATGAATCCTGTAGTACAGACTACTTTATCAAAAGCAGCTAAAAAAAGATCTCATTAACTCCCCCAACTCATCTCCACCCACATCTAAAGAGCCACACACAGCACCACCAAAGGCAGCAGAATGAGAACAGCGTTCTCCTCGACAGACCAGCTGTGAGTATCCAGACAGACACCCGACCTCAACAGCTCCAGAGCAGCCCCAGAACAGCCCCTCCCTAACCACCACTCAAGTAACCAGCTGGGAAAGTATTCAGAAAACCCGCATCCTGACACACCACTGCCAAACAACTTAAACAGCAAAGAACAACCCATCTAAACAGCAATGCCGGCTGCCAGGAAAAGTTGTGTAGGGACAATGAGTAGAGGAAAAGCAGATCCCTTGGGGTCCACCAAGAGACCCAGTCTCTCAGCTTCAGCACTTCCAAATGCACAATCCATACACCTCTAGGGCCTGTGGATCTCCACGAGGCATATTGTCTCCTTCCATCTCCTCAAAGATAAATGAGCAGGCAAGCTGGCCAGAAAACCACTCAGGGTATTACTCTTTAAAGAATCTTTATAGGGTCAAAGAGGAATGGGTCTACAGGCTATATGTATTCCCCAAAGATTCTCAGGATGATGTCAGAATCCCTTTCCAGATGTGTTTAACACTTTGTGGTCACTTGTATTCCTGCCACTGAGCGCCAGTGCTTTGCTAATTTGAACTGATTCCAGCTCACACTGACTCCAGCTTCCTGGATCTGATTACATTTAGCCAAGACTGTCATCCATACTGTACCCTTTCAAAGAGTCCTAAAAACAGCTCTTCACCTACTCTTTCAAGACAAGTAATAATATCTGCCAAAGAATGGGGAAAAAAGATGCAGAAAAAGAATACAATTAGCATACTACCAAGAAAGCAAAAAGCGAAGGGAGAGGAGAAACTAAAAAATTACATGTGGACTCACACTTATTTCTAAAGCTGTGCTAATATCTTTTTGCTTGCGTCTAAGGCACCAATTTTAAACTGTTACTGGGGGAAAAAAAAAGAGAGAGAGACAGAGAGAAAGAAAAAAGCAGGCCTAAATCTTAAAGTAAAACTTTTAGCATAGAAGATAAGAATTGGTGAGAATTCCATTCCCGGTTATTTACCCTATAGGCTAAAGAGCTGCCTCTGCCTCTAAGGATCAGGGCATTCTGTGTTTGATGGCAGAACCTAAGTCAGAATCCAGCACAATCCCTGACAAGTGAGAACCTCAGGGTAAGTTGTCCTGACCTTGAGATTGCTTCTCTACCTCTTCAATTAAAAAATATATATAAGGGCCGGGCACGGTGGCTCATGTCTGTAATCCCAGCACTTTGGAAGACTGAGGCGTGTGGATAACCTGAGGTCAGGAGTTCGAGAACAGCCTGGCCCACATGGCGAAACCCCATCTCTACTATAAATAAAAAAATTAGCCAGGCATGGTCGTGGGTGCCTGTAATCCCAGCTACTTAGGAGGCTGAGGCAGGAGAAACACTTGAATCCAGGAGGCGGAGGCTGCAATGAGCCAAGATCGCACCACTGCACCCCAGACTGGGCGACAGAGCAAGACTCTGTCTCAAAAAAAAAAAAAAAAAAAGAACCAAGGGGGAGATCCCTCTTGCCACCTCAGTTGTTTGAACTCAGCTACTCAAGGTCCACGTTGTCCAGATCAAGGGCTCCCATGAGTGACAGTGAGGCGGATCTGATCACTTAGAGGGCTAAAGGTAATCCTACAAAACCTGAAGATGTACAAGGAGAATGCAGCTGCTGCTCAGAAACTCCACTAGCCCAGCTTGAAAAGACATCATCTACAGGGTAATACCCAGTTCTCAATTCTAGGCCTCATAGTTTTGCTGAGTGTCTCAGAAAACTGTCCTAAACTTTTCTGGCCTTTCTTATTTTGCCCACCTAATGTAAGAAAACTAAGCTAAAATAAATTTTGTCACCAAACCAAAATGAAGCTCTCCAGGTGGTGTAGCTACTATAGTCAGGAGACTTGAACTTCCCTTAACCCAAAAATGGCTATCTGGAAGTCAGCATCCTCAGAGTACGTTTCAGATGCAAACTAGAAATATGTCAGTGTAAACTATGAAAGTGCAGAGCCTTTGCTTCAGTAAAACTAGATGCAGCAAAACCACGGGCTTTATGCATGACTGGTATTGTAAGAGAGGCCACAGGGAGTAGAATTAAATATGACACCTCCTTGACATATGATCAAAGCTCCTTCTAACCTCAATTTGGGGCACCATATATCACAAACCAGACAGCAAGAAATTAAGTAAATGTAAGTCTTTTTTTTATGCCATCCCAATTACATCTTGCTCAGTTCACAAACATGTTCCAGCAAATGCTGGAGGAGTTTTTCTCTCTTTAGGAGTCCTCCCTCACTTTACCCTGTTTAACAAAAGACCTCACACACTTAGAAAGAGGATGGAGGCAGGCCAGCTTCAGGACATGCTGCACAGGGAGGACTGACTGTCCCAAAGAGGGGGCTCTACACCCCTCTGACAACTCCACAATAGACCAGCTACACACAAATGCCTGAAATAAGGAAGTCCATCAAGAAAATGAACAGTTGGCGAGATCAAGGCTTCTGGCCCAAAGGGCCTGCAGCTGGTCTGGCCATTCATCAAAAAATCTGAATTTAAATGGAGACACATTCGACTGTGACATGTAATAAAAGAACTGGAGCAACAAAGGGTCTTGATTTTGGTTTCCTTTCCACCCTACACATCTCCTGCCAATGGAAGAGTGAGCGTGCCTGTGGTGCTCCTGACACATCTGGGGTAGTTCCCATTCACAGTGCTCACCCTTTGGGACTTTCCACACATTACAGGGTCATCGTCCATCTATGCTAACCTAGAATGTCCAGATAAAAGCTCCTGTTTAGAGACTGGAGAGAAAATTGTCAACTCTGAAAGCCCACAAACTGTCTCAGCCAGGGGGAGCACATGCAGGAAAGACTACAGAATCGTATGTCAGAAGCCTAATTTCAGATTGACCCCTACAGCTTTATGACTGTGAGTAATTCACTTACTTTCTCTAGGCTCTGTTATTCTCACATCAATAATGAGAAAAGTGGACCAAACAGTCCCCCAGATCCCTTCCAATCATAACATCTTCTGACTTTATGATTAAAGAGTGGTACTAATAACGCTAAATCTGTGGCTTAACCCCAATAGGAGTCTTCTGGGATTATACTAAGAAAAACTATCCCACACAGACAGAGCCATTCTGACCATGTCCCTCCCTACACTGACCATCATACAGATATGTGCCACTGGTATGAGAAGTCCTTTTTACAGAGGACATTGACTGATTAAATAATAGGCTGATTTATTCATTCAACCAACAAATATTTACTGAGCAGCTTCTAGGTATTTAGGGATACAACAGAACAAAACAGACAAAATCCCTTCCCTTATGGAGCTTACGTTTTAGTGAAGGAGGAGGGGGAGTCAGACATCAAATAGGAAATATGAAGTGGGGTATATTTTATGCAGAGTAGCCTAGAGGGTCTTGATAAGGTGACTTTTTTTTTCTTTTTCTTTTTCTTTAATTATACTTTAAGTTCTGGGATATATGTGCAGAATGTGCAGGTTTGTTACATAGGTACACATGTGCCATGGTGGTTTGCTGCCCCCATCAACCCATAATCTACATTAGGTATTTCTCTTAATGCTATCACTTCCCTTGCCTCTCACCCCCCGACAGGCCCTGGTGTGTGATGTTCCCCCCACTGTGCCCGTATGTTCTCATTGTTCAACTCCCACTTATGAGTGAGAACATGCGGTGTTTGGTTTTCTGTTCCTGTGTTAGTTTGCTGAGAATAATGGTTTCCAGCTTCATCCATGTCCCTGCAAAGGACATGAACTCATTCTTTTTTATGGCTGCATAGTATTCCATGGTGTTTATGTGCCATATTTTCTTTATCCCGTCTATCATTGATGGGCATTTGGGTTGGTTCCAAGTCTTTGTTATTGTGAATAGTGCTGCAATAAACATATGTATGCATGTGTCTTTATAGTAGAATGATTTTTAAACCTTTGGGAAAGGCCTTTGATAAGGTGACTTTTGAGCAGCAATCCAAAGCAGTGAGAGAGTGAGCCATGCAGACACTATGGGAAGAATGTTCCAGGCAGAGGGAACAGCAGGGCCCTGAGACAGGACAGGGTCAAGCATGCCTGGCATGTTAAAGGAAACACCATGAGCCCAGTGTTTATTAAGAGGAGAAAGAGCAGGAGAGTAGTAGGAAACACAGTGAGACAGGTAGTAGAAGCCAGATCATGTAAAAACTGGAAAGTCACTGGAGAATTTGAACAGAGGGGTAAACATGATCTGAATTCCATTGTAAAAGGATTGTTCTAGCTGTTATATTGAGAGTAGACAGAAGGAGGCAAGAATGGAAACAAGGAAACCAGTTGGGAAACTACTGAGATAATCCAGGTGAGAGATGATGGCAGATGGACCCAGGGCAACAGCAGTGAGGAGTAAAGAGGGACAGAGTCTGGGATATATTCTGAAGTTGAATCAATAGAACACTGGAGGACAGGATGATCTTGGAAAATCTTGGGACTACTGCAGAACCTAATGAAGCTAAACGGTACTAAATTCCAACATCCACTGTGAAATCCCAAGATTAGGGATTTGTTCATCTCTGTCACGTAGTGTCCAACCCAGTACTTGGCACATAATGAGGACACAAAAATCTTGAATGAATAAATGTGGAACTGAATATATTACAAAGCCAAAAGATCTGCAGTTTGATAGGTCTTTGGGAGACCAAAAAGCATCTGGTCCTCGACATATTTCACCAACAATGAATACCCCTCCCCTGAGTGAATCCATTTATTTTTATTAAAAGTTCCTCTTTATAACTTATTTCACAGTAGTAAGCAATGAAGCTGACAAACAACTTCACATAATACAGCTAAGAATCTGAACAACTTGGTTATTTCCCTGAGAGGCCGGATGCAGTTACCAAACCTTATACCACCTCAGCAACTCCCATCTAAAATACAGGGACAAATATTACACAAACAGTAAGCTTATGCTCTTACAGATAGTAAATCATGAGGGTAACTGAAAAGGTATGCTTATGAATAATAATATTATAATAAGCAAGGAATAAAATAAGCCAAATCTATACTATTCCTATACGAGAAGCCAATGGGCTACTCTTGAATGTGCTTCACTTCCTCTGTGAAGCTGAGAACAAAAATGCCTAGATTTTTTTTTCCCAATAGCACTGCTCTGAGAAAGGTAACAATTCCCAACTGCAGAAGCTCCTCTGTCAAGATGACCCTTGAGAGTCCCAAAGTTCTTAACCCACAGAGACTGACAATGTACAAAATACAGAAGCAGAAAACCGAGTATAGGAAAAAAGGTACATTATAAACTACATTCTGGCAGCAGTTTCCTCGGTTAAGTCATTGATCATCTTGAAGGGCTAAATTAAAACCCAACATTAATCTGGCAGTAGGTGTAAAAAACATCTTATTTACCAAAATAGAAAAAGGAGGAAGAAAAATAAGACACGTAAAGTGTTTGAGATCAAATTACATTGTAAGGGAAGCTGCAATATTTGGAGACCGAGACCTAGACAGATTCATCAGCTGAGTTGGAAATCATTTGATGTGACCTTGGACTAATTATTTAACTTCTCTGCCTCTGTCTCTCATCTGTGCCTGAGTCTCCCCTCAATGTGAAGGAGAACAAATGATTTCAGCCCCCTCCTATCTTAACAGGGATGTTATGAGTCTGAGATCACAGAGGACACTGTCTTTAGTAAGATAATTAAGGACCAGGCTGCTCTTAGAAACACCCCCACAGTATGGAGGCTCCCTCTCCCTGGCATCATTTGGCTTCAGAGTTGGGCAACCAAATATGCCCACATAACATGACAAACTCAGGGTTTGGGGCCAGCATCTTGACAGATACTGTCAGGAGCCCTAGATGTGAATCCATTCTCACATACATAATTACTATATTCAAGTGTTTAATAAACATTTAGTAATGCTTTTAAGTCACCAGTATCTTCACAAGAAATGACCATATTGTTGCCCATCTATTAGAAGAGATGGTGTTCAAGGTATGAAGTAGTAGAAGGTTCGTGATCATGAACCCCTGGGCAAGTCAAGATCCTCAATTGCCACCTCTATAGGTGGAAGTATAGGCCTAACAATACTAAGGATTAAAAGTGAAATGCTGCTGGCGCAGCCCTGGGCTCACAGAAGCAGCAAAACAAGCACTAAAGCCCTCCTCCCGCCCACGGTTCTGCTCAATAAATAACAAGTGCTGTTAATTCTTTAATTGTGGATCCGAGGAAAATGAAACAGGGTTCACCCATAAACATCTTATCTGCCTTGATTCCCCCTGTAACTCCTTGACTGGAGCAGAGTAAACAGGCTGAACTTTAATTAGGATCGTAACATGAAAATGATCCCAGGTAAGCCAGGCTCATAAACTCCAGACAATTGGGAGGAGACTGGTTTCTAATGGACTGCTCCATACCTGGCCTAGTCAATGACAGAAGCAGACCCGGTCCTTTGTCCCAGCTTCCCAAAGAAATCCATTAGCCAGGCCCACATGGCTTCAGTTCAGATGTGGGGTCGGAGGCTTTCTATTCCGGTGATTGTGGTCTAAGAATAGAACTCCCAAGCACAAGGCAAATGGATTCACAAGAATTGTGTTCATCTACTATCCACATTACCGTCTGAGGACTATTTAAAGCACAAGGCCAGAAAGCCCCTCTCTGAATGGGAGGACCAACGAGGGGAAACAGGCAGGGCATGTTTTTAATATAGTTCTGCTACAACTTGCAAATATAGTGTGACTTGTAGAGCCCCAGTCTGAATGCCAGGATCTTGAGATACACATCCATCCTCAACAGCTCAGATATATCACTTGGCTCCCTGTCAACCACTGAGTAAGGAATGTCAAGTCCATTTGACAAATGGGCAAGTGGGAAGCATGGAGGGACAGATTTATACAGTGCTAAGTCCACTGCTAATAACAGAAACAGTTAAAGCTGATTGTGTGCTTCTACGTGCCAGGTCCTTACTAGGCATGTCACCTTCACTCACTCTAACTTCACAACGTCTCTATAAGATAGCCAGTTATTTTGTGCACATTTAGCAACAAGAACACTGAGGTTCTGGGAGATTACGCAATTTACTCTCATGATAAAACTTATATGTGGCATAGCTAGGATTTGAACCCAGGTCTCTCTGACATTAGCACTTGTTTGGGGTTTTGTTTGTACCATGCTGCTTCTCTTGGTTTCCTTCTGCTAACTTAAGAATGCAAGGAGCCTATAATCCAAAACCATACTCTAAACATTAAATCTCATAACTTGTAACTTATGTCACCGATTTGGTGAGCAAACAGAATTAAGTAGTCCAGGGCCAACAGCAGAATCTTCAGGGACAGAAACCAGATAACTCCAATTAGGTGGGCTAAATGGATAAATTCCACATCAAAGGAACCTTTACTAGGAAAATATCCGGTGACCTTCAGCCTCTGATAAGACTTCATCTCATCATTTCTCCTGTCCCAACACCCCTACACTTCAACTAGCTTCAAATATTCTGTATCCACACCAAAGACTGATTCAACACTTTGCAATCACAAACCCAAAGGCAAGTTCTCTGGGATTGCATCAGTATGAAGATTTTATTTTGCAAAGTTACTTCCCTGACCAGCCTCCCTGCTGCAGACCTCTTCAAATTTCCCAGATTAAGAAGACATTCGAAGTGACAATTCCAGGCCTTATCATGTTCAACAAACTGGTCACAATGTGTCAGATGAAGGGCAAGATCAATTCTCTGGGCCTCTTGCTTCTACATCTCTTATAGAAAGTTACCATCATCAAAATCTTTCGCATCACTCAAATCATCAACAATAGTTAGAAGAACAATAACACACACAAAAAAATTAGTAGCAAAGATAAGCCAGTACAAGTAAGTGTGACACAGTCCAAACCAACCTGGGCACATTCTCACAATCCCTTGGAAATGACTTTACCTGAAGTCTACGTGACTCATTTAACTCGGCACTAAGATGGAAAGGTCTAGGGCTCTACAGAAGTTCCTAGTAGGAAAACTTCATTCTTTTCCAAGCCAGGTCTCCAGGGCCTGGCTCTGACATGGTTACCACTTCCACGGAGAAGCTGACAACAGCTGGTCACATTCTTTTCTCTACCCTATTCCTCCCCATCAGGTGAAGATAGCTAACTGCCATGTATCTTATCTAAGGAGGCTAACTTGCAGCAATGATGTGGCATGACAAGTGAAAAGTAATGGGGATCTTGAACAGTCAAAGTACACAGTTAACATAAACAAGAACATGCTGTTCACCAAGTTAACAGTTGTCAAGTCTACAGCCAGTATTTTCCCTATATTCATTTCTCATAAATCTATATCAAATCAGGAGAGGTGGTGAAATGAGGCTCTAAGCTTCCATGCACCAATCTTAAGGAAAAAAAAAAAAAGTCTTTTCTTCTAAGAGGGGCGCCCTGGCTATAACCTCTTTTGAGGTGGCTGAATGGGCTTGGTGTTCTGAGTAAAAAAGAAACAAAAACAAATTTTTTTTCCCATTTAGAGAAATGGAGAAATTAAATGGTTTATATACAGACCCGATCCCTTTCATAAAGTTCGCTTGGAGGTAATACCACCATTTCAGGCCCTCTTTGAAGAAATACCATCTCATGTTGGGTTCTAATTAAAGATATGCTGTTTTGCCGGGCGTGGTGGCTCACACCTGTAATCCCAGCACTTTGGGAGGCCGAGGCAGTTGGATCACCTGAGGTCAGAAGTTTGAGACCAGCCTGGCCAACCTGGTGAAACCCCGTCTCTACTAAAAATACAAAAATTAGCTGGGCGTGGTGGCGGGCGCCTGTAATCCCAGCTACTCGGGAGGCTGAGGCAGGAGAATCACTTGAACCTGGGAGGCAGAGGTTGCAGTGAGCTGAGATCACACTCCAGCCTGGGTGACGGAGCATGACTCTGCCTTAAAAAAAAAAAAAAAGTTTTAAAACATTAACCTGTAAGTTGTCAATATTAAATAATAAGCATTTAGGGTAAGGGCTGGATGTATAATACTATACTAAGTCAAGAAAGTTCAAAATACAGATCATTCAGTAACAGTGGCAGTGACAAAAGAGATCCTGGCTAATGCCACCACCATCCTAATCCTGTGGGAAAATGCCACCAGGAAACATTTCTATCAACCACACCATCAGATTGGGAAGCTGAGTAATTGGTCCAACTGCCAGACATTGATATATTCAAATCAATTAATCGGTAGTCACCAAGTGACTAAAAAGTGGACAGCGCTCCACTGTGTGCTACAGTATACATCAGGCATTTCTAGTTCTAGTCCTAGTCCTGCTCTTAACTTTCAAAGGCAAATCAGGTTCAACCTCAATGTGAAAGAATAAACAATAAATCAGAGAGCATTTATTATAAATTGCCAAAGAAGGTTTAGTCCAGTCAGCCAAGGTGCCCCTCTATTTCTCAAATGCTAAACCCACTCAGAATGAGAGGAGCTGCTCCATCAACCGAGTAGATCCAGATGGTCTCCGTGGAAGAAGCAGCACAGCTGAGAAGCCCACTGCTCAAGACTACATCTGCCCTTTCTCTCTAGATCCCTTAGAAAACAGAGTCACCCCTCCTCCATCTCAGTCTGAGACACACAAAGAATGAAACTTTCTACAAAAGAGGAAGGTCTGAAGGACACTAGCAACTGTCATGAGTTTCCCTATGACTCGAAGCCTCTTGGCTCTAGCATAGGGCAGCCATAGTCCACATTCAGAAGCATCTTGTTTCCTGTTCTCTAGGTTAGAGACCCAGCTAAGAATAGCACCCCATTCATGCTGCTGTGTACACATCCTTTTCACTTGCTATTTTCTCTCACACACGCATGAAGCCCGGGTCTTGTACATTCTCTAAGGTAAATGCAAATATTTATAAACGGGCACAGAGTAGTGGTTTTATTCCCTGTCCAGTCTACAAACAGGCACTACCTAGAAGAATTCCACTCCAGAGCTGAGTGACACAGGAGTAGCTGGGCCACAGGCTCCCTCTCTGAAGTTCCAAATAGAGACTCACACTCGGAAATAGTAACCTAGTGGAAATACATATAGGATGCCCAGTACCTGTGCAGAACTTCACCTCTGTGCATGACCTAAAACCAGAAGTCTGTAAAATTGATCTCTTTTTATTACATGGAACCATGTGAAATTATCAACAAAATGGTAATTTCATATGATTTAACCTAAAAGAATCCTAAAAAGCAAATCAGGCATTTAGCTAACAAACAAGAATGCAAAATCAATTGTTTCCCAGGTGGTTCCACTATGGAACACCTCGTAAGACAGGCCGAGCATTGATAAGAAACATCTATTCGCTCATGGTTCCATGTTTATATCCATATTTGTTCCTGGCCCTCGAGAGCTCACAAAGGAACAGGCAAGTGAACAGGCAAATACCGCACAGTATGGAAACTACTACTCTACAGAGACGTGCAAAATAAGAACCCTATATATAACTCAATTACAACATTTCTCAATTACACTGAATTCTGCCTGTTTGTTTGTATGTGAGCCTCACCAGTGAGATGATGCACGCTCAGAGGCAGAAACTGTATTTCTTTGTCTTTAAATCCCCAGCATACAGCACAGCTCTTGCACATAGTCAATGCTAAATGAAGTTTGTCCAAAGACTCAATGACTTAGAGGCCAAGCGGCCTCTGTAAAAATGAGGTGAGTAGTGACATTTCCATTAATAACTTTGAGGTTTTTATATTTTAGACCAGACTATTAATTATAGCATTGGAAAGAGAATAACAGACTCCTGATTACAGAACTACAAAGAAAAGCAGACAGGGGGTGGCGGGGGGAGACTACACTTTATAATCAAAATAAATCTGAAAATATAGACTAAAGTCTGCCTCTAACTGGGAGTGTGGCAACATCTTTTTGTCTCTCAATTTAATATCTTTTTATTTCAACTGATTTTCCTTACAAGTACAACAGAACCATCAAGTGCAAAAGGAGTAAAAGGTGTTCTGCAAACAAAAGCAAAGGGGACAAACCCAAACCACCACAGCTCAGGTGTGAGGGGTACTTGCCATGTGTCTTTTGGAAAAGAATGTCCACTGGTGGATGGGAGGAGATGGGCACTATGCCCTCCAGGAACTTGGATACCTTTTATGAGTTCAAAAAAAGCCAAAAAAACAATCAAATTCATATGGATACCAAGATAGGTAATTAAATGTTGAATTAAAGATCAACACGAGGGCAGAGATTAGGCTGACTTCCAGGTGGTCAGAGTTGAAGGAGATAAAACACACACACACACACACACACACACACACACACACACACACACAAACTCCTCCCAGCATTAAAAAATAATAATAATAAAAAAGTCATTTGGGTCACCTTTTAAATCCATAAAGCAATCATTTCTAAAAGAAACAGCAGGTACAAAACTAGCCTCAAGAAAAACCCTCATCTTTCAAAGCGGAATATTCTGACATAGGTTCGAGAAGACTTTCCCTCCCATCAAATAACCAAAGCTTTGGGAAAGGGCAGCACAGAGCTCTCCCTAATATGAAATATTTTATCTATACATTAATTTCTAAAGAGACACTGACCCAAGCACCATACTGCTTCGGAAGAAGAAGTCTTTATCTTAATGAATTGATCTCATCAATTTAGCTGTACATTTGATCCCAAGACCCTTTGTGGACCTGATAACCCTGGGGAGGCCCTTAAGTGAAGCTGTCCCTAGGGTGGCCCACTTCATCACAGAGACCAGCAGACAGGAAAGGGCCATTGGGGAGATTCTTATTTTATTATGTAAGTCAGAGGAAGCCACGTTTAGCTCCTCTGCTCTACTGCAGCATCCCTATTTGTACCTGGTATAACCAGCAGAGGTAGAAAAGGAAGTCTGTCTGCATAAATGAAAACAAGGGCTAGCCACTCCCGTCTGATGGTAGGTGGTCCTCCACTAGTACCTAACTATGAACACCCACAGTTAAGTTTCTTTCTCTTCTTCTCTCTCAAACCCATTTCTTTTGTTTTTTAGGGGTTTTTTTGTTAGCTTGTTTTTGAGACAGGGTCTTGCTCTTTCACCCAGGCCAGAGTGTAGAGGCATGATTACAGCACCGTAGCCTCGACCTTCCGGGCTTAGGTGATCCTCCTGCCTCAGCCTCCCAAGTACCTGCGACCACAGTTGGGCGCCACCAAGTCCAGCTAATTTTTAAATTATCTGTAGAGATGGGGTCTCCTTATGTTGCCCAGGCTGCTCTCGATCTCCTGGGTTCAAGCAATCCACCCACCTCAGCCTCCCAAAGTGGTGGGATTACAGGTGTGAGCCACAGCGCCAACCCAAACCCATTTCAATTTACTTCCAAGGAATGGAAGAAGTAACATAAATGGCAAAGTGCAAAGGTCAGGTTCAGCAGCCCTATGGGAAAAGCATAGGCTTTAGAGGCAGACTTTGGGATCCTGGATCCCAGTTCCTAGGACCTGTGTGACCATGAGCACATATCTTAATTTCTGAGCCTTAGTTTCCTCACTTCTGAAAAGAGGACAATAATATCCACCTCACTAAGGTGGTATGGGATAGTTGCTATGTTTGTTTTGTTTTTGTTTTTAAGCCTCTAAGGCCAGAGGTTTTGTGAGTGCTGGATGACTTCATTTCTAGCTCAGGCAAGCAGAAACTGGATATGAAACTGAAGAAGAGTGACATCCACATATGGCCTAGGTGTGAACAAATTCTGTTTGCTTGCATGCTTGCATGGCTAGGACGCTAGCATTTCAAGGAGCCAGCTCCATGAGTTTACAGCCAAACTGGAGAACCATTCTATAGTGATGAGTACAGCACATTTACACAGACATGCTCAAAAGCACTGCAAAATTCTCTCCCTAGTCTAGAATTCCTGAGTTGGCCAACTCTACACAGTTCAGAATAAAACCCAAAGACTGCCAAGACCAGTCAATGTTTTTTTTTTTTTTTTTTTTTTGAGACGTTGTCTCACTCTGTTGCCCAGGCTAGAGTGCAATGGTGCGATCTCAGCTCATTGCAACCTCTGCCTCCCGGGTTCAAGCAGCTCTCCTGCCTCAGCCTCCTGAGTAGCTGGGATTACAGGCGCCCACCACCATGCCCAGCTAATTTTTTTGTATTTTTAGTAGAGACGAGGTTTCACTATGTTAGTCAGGCTGGTCTCGAACTCCTGATCTCGTGATCCGCCCGCCTTGGCCTCCCAAAGTGCTGGGATTACAGGCGTGAGCCACCGTGCCTGGCCCAATGTCTTTCTTTTTAAGGAACATAAAGTAATCCAAAAAAGACCCAGAGATTTCATTCTAATATGAAATCAGTCTTGCTAATAAAGTTACTGCCTCTATCAAAATCTATAATCTTCTCAAGATATCTGTCAAAAATTGTAACTGTTGCAGACATGTGGAAAAACTGGCCACACAGCAGCATAAACTCCCTCTGGCTAAAAAGTACATCAAAAATCTTTTCATTCGGCTGAGAGCAATGGCTTATGCCTGTAATTCCCAGCACTTCGGGAGGCTGAGGCAGTCAGATCACCTAAGGTTGGGAGTTGAAGACCAGCCTGGCCAACATGGTGAAACTCCGTCTCTACTAAAAATATAAAAATCAGTCGGGCATGGTGGCGCATGCCTGTAGTCCCAGCTACTCGGGAGGCTGAGGCACAAGAACTGCTTGAACCCAGGAGGTGGAGGTTGCAGTGAGCCAAGATCATGCCACTGCATTTCAGCCTGGGCGATAGAGGAAGACTCTGTCTCAAAAAAGAAAGAAAAAAAACTTTTAACTTCCAGGCCAGGGTGTCTTTATATCAATTTAATGCCAACCACAATACTAGCTACGGCTCTTCTTTGGGGAAGGGGGACTAAAGAAGGTGGCCTCCAACTGCTATCTCTTTCCCTTTGCTGCTGCCTCCTTCCAACCTACAAAAAAGGAAAGAGTCTGACATTCAGAATTAACCTTGCAAAGAAATTCTGTTTGCCAGCCCACAGGCATTTTGTTTGTTTGATTGGTTTTTCTGCTGTTGCCACTGCTGTCACCTTCCTGACCAAGAGGCCCACAGACTAGCACTTTTTTAGATTCATTTCTGGCAGTGAGTGGGTTTGTAAAGATTGCATTTGTAGTATCTGCTGGGTCCCAAAAGTGTGGAAGGACAAAAGACCATAGCCTTCTCTTAAATTCAGCTCAGAACCAACCTCGCACCTCAGCTAGAAAAATCACTTCCATCAACACTGCTCCCAAATGGAGCCCTTCCACCCTCTGCCCAGCTTCCAAGCCCAGGCCCTGAGACCCACACTGCTGTTTGTTTCGGCACCTGCAAGCAGCTTGTTCACAAGCATCCAGACTACAGAGCAAGAGGAGTTTCAGAAGGGCCCTCCAACAAGTGAGTGGCCTGGGAAGAAAAGTGACAGGCAGGGTCTAATGTCCCACAGTAGCTTGTTTTCACTGCCACTTTGGCTTTACCTACCATGGCCAGCAGCTATTCAAACACTCTGCCCAATGCCCAGCCACAGGATCCTATTAATTCTCTTCAATTAAGAGAGGACCTACCCTGGTTCCCAGAAAGCCAAAAGTAAGTGTCAGTTTCTCCCTCTAGGCAGTCTCTAGATTTAAGGGTTCCTTTCACCTCGCCTAGAAGGGCCCTCAACCTTGAAAATAAGAAGCAGCACTATGAAAACAAACTACCCATTTCTCAACTGTTCAAAGATTAGACCTTGTACCACCTCCTTGCTGGCTCCCAAAGAGACCTCATCTATAAATGGAAATAATAACACAACATGCCTTGTTGTGTCTTCTTTCAGGGCTGTAGATATGAACTAAGATAACATACACACTTAGCATACTGCCTGGCACACAGTAAGCAGTTGATAAATATTACTTAGTACTGATATGATTTTTATTATTCTAAGAATGAGTTGTAGTTATTATTAAGAGAGTAATCTTTCTAAAATACATATTGTTCCAACCCAAGCCTAAAAGCTCCACAGTCAATTTTCAGTTTTTCATGCAAACACAAGGAACCAGTATGGCAAAAATCCTAAAAAATAGATACTCTATAGGTTCTCATTTGGATTTTGAGTACATTATGTGCAGTAATACATACATATATCCATCTATTCAATAAAGAGCTGTTTGGCACCAACAAATATATAGCACTGAACTAAGACATATATATGTCTAGTTAGTACTTCTGAGCACCTACTATAGGCCAGACACTATATCAGGAGACACTGGAGATACACACATAAGTAAGAAAAGGGCCCTGCCATCCAAAAGCTTATAGTTTAATAGAGGAATTATGATAACAGGTGCTAAGATAAAAATCCCATAGCAATCAGTAGAGGCAAAAAGGAGAGAAACATACGGGTGATACTTTCTTAACTGACTTGCCAGCTTATGTGACATACCAACTTCTCTTCAAAATAAACTGGCTGAGTTGCATAGCACACTGGAGGCTGGTTGTGTATTACTCACATCTACTCCCACCAGCCAGGTTGGCTGCTTCAGGGTCAGTAGTTAGTTCACGCTAGGTATACTTGTTATTTTAATTACATATTAAATTCTTATATAATACAAACAAGTGAAATATGAGTATAAAAAAGTTATTTCTATGAAAAAGAGGTTGAATGCTTGGAAGAAATTTGAAGGCAAGTTGCTAAAAAAAATTCCTCCTGAATTAGATATGGGCAAGACAACAGTAAAAGGTTGTAGTGGTGGAGCTTAAAAATCTGGAAGAATTCTGCCCTTCATTTCTCAAATGTATTTAAGAACTTGGTTCACTTAAACTGGAAATCACAGATCAAATGTTAAGTGTATAATTTATGAAAGAAAGTCAACTGAACTCTACTTGAAAGATCCACACTTTAAGAAAAAGCCCTGGCCCACATAAAAAGATTTGTGAATACGTGTACATTCACTTTTTTTTTCCCCCTCTGAGACAGGGTCTCACTCTGTCGCCCAGACTGGAGTGCAGTGGTGTGATCTCGGCTCACTGCAACCTTCGCCTCCCGGGTTCAAGAGATTCTCGTGCCTTAGCCTCCCGAGTAGCTGGGATTACGGGCACCTGCCACCCACCTAGCTAATTTTTGTATTTTTTTTTTTTTAGTAGAGACGGGGTTTCACCATGTTGGCCAGGCTGGCATTTACATATTTTTAAGTTAAAATAAAATGCTAGCTAGATGATGACATGTGCCTGTAATCCCAGCTACTCAGGAGGCTGAGACTGTAGGATGGCTTGAGCCCAGGAGTTAGAGACCAGCTGGGGCAATAATAGAGAGACCCTGTCTCAAAAAAAAATTAAAATAAATAAAATGCTTGAGAACAGTTTTGTCTTCGTTTTTAAAGACTCTCTGTTTTAACTGACTTTTGGAATTAACTGACCAATTACTAGTCCAATTGCCCCAGATAAGAAGGTGTTTCCAGTATACCTGCCTATTTCTCAGGCTGATAGCAAAATGAGTTTATATTCATGCAGCCCAATCCAAGCAGGTAGCAGAAAAGGCTGCCTTGGGATTTTATAAAATAGACCTGTTAAATACTTCTCAAGTAGATCAAGTGCAGGTGGAATACTAAATTTTAGCCATATTTCAAAAGACTGAGATGCTAATGCCTGTGAACATGCGCTATACACTAACTACTCATGGCCTGAAGCACAGACCAAAAGGTGAATGATATCCCAAATGCCACCTCAGTTTTGGTCACAGGTCTGGATACAACTCATTGGTTGATCCAAGCATCTGATGTTCCACCTTGACATGTGATGCTATCTCTGGAAAAAGAAAATGTCGCAGGTGTTGAGAAAAGGTACAAGTACCAACTATCAAAGAGGAGTAAGATCCCTTCCCAAGACCCCTTTATAGTCAGTCTAATACCTTTCGGTTTATTTGCCTAGAATGCTGGACTTCTATACCACATAACAAGATTCCACACACTGAAACAGAACCAACATCATTAGCTTCTTACCAGTGTTCTGCCATCGAGATGCAGTCTGTCAAGAGAAGCAGCACAGAGTCTCATGTCAAGAGAAGTCTGCAGCAGCAGAAAGACAACTAAAAAGAGAGACTTCAGTGGAATTTGAGTCACCTGACATTAGTCTTAAAAAAGATATTTAAAATACAGAGAATCCCACTGATGGAGGAGAGAAAAATAACCCTCTTTTTTTCTTTAAAGACAGGCATTGATATGAGCGAAAGGAAAAGAACTGGGGAAGTCTTTGTATATTGAGAGCTCAGTTTATTTTTACTCTCTGCCAATAGAGGCAAGGTAATTCTATAAGCACCATTTAACTTTCTCACTACAAACAAAATAGAGTAAGTCGTATTAACGACTTACTTGCGCTCTAAACTTCCAGCTCCAGAACACTTTTTTTCCCCTGAAAATTAAATTGATTCCTACAGAATGGTACCCAAATGTGTGATTTCAAAGGCAGACCCCAAAACTGATGGGATCCTCAATGAGAGGATGAGGAGGCATTTTCAGTTTCAACTTCAACTTAATTTCTTCATTAGGGGTAGGCCTAGACGACTTCTAATTAAAATCCCTCTCTTTCCCAAACTCTATGATTTCAAAGAAACAAAAGGAAATGAGTTTCAACTATAGCTGTCAAATTTTAAGTCAGGTATCAGCAAGAAATTCCTAACTGGAAAGCTGTCAATCAATGAAACAGGTTTCAAAATAGGTTGTGGAATCTTCTTCCCCAGAGACAGTTAAAAATAGGCTAGGCAGCCATCTGTCTTGGTGGGATACAGCCCTTCCAGGAGGCTGGCATCAGAACAAAACCCTTCTTCCCTCCCTCCCAGGGAGTCCACTAATGAGAAGTGATTAAGGGCTATGAAGAATAAAGGAAGGAGACAGCAGCCCAACCAGGCCCATGGGCTAGGCGGTTGAGATTTCCTGTAGAAAGGGAAGATACAAGCTGCAAAGAGGAATATACAAGGGGAAAAAGACAGGAAATAACCACAGGGCTGTGAGCATTTTGGGGAGGGCTGCACCAATCTGCTTCCCAGCTGCAACAGCTCAATTTGGTCCTGGGGACTGGGAGCTCAGCCACAGCTCTTTGGGGAGGGTATTATTCCCCTTCCTAGCTCCCAAACCCATGTATACATGAAGCCTAAGTGGAAAATGGGAACTGTCAAATAAATCCAAGATTTCCCCAGGTGACCAGCAGCATCCATGAAATAGCTCCAAAAAGTTTTCCTTTAAAATACATTGTCTTTTTTTGTTCCTTGCCACTTTCCTTGGCCATCTATAATCTTACCCATTTCCTGCAGTTCTTAACATTTCTTTCATTACTATGGAAAGCTCTCTTGGGGCACAAAAACGAATAAAACCTTCATGGACCTTTGGAAACCTAACCCCAATGAGAAATGGAAGAGACAGCATTGCTGTGGACTGTCACCTCTGCAAAAGTGGGACTGTCCCTCTTTGCAGACATGAGCAGCTCTCTGCCCCCATCTTTGTACAAACACTTCAGATATACACACTTGGGGCTTTCAACTAAGTCTCTGTTCCTGCTACTGTGTCTCCTGAAGAATACTGGAGTCAGCCATGCAGCACTGTGACATGGGGATTCAGGTACCCAGCTTTGCTGGTAGACAAAACACAGGAAGCCCACTGTTTTCTAAGCTCCCCATAGTTCAAGAGGCCCCTGCAGGGGAAAGAAGATGGCAGTAAGGTCAAGGAGTCAACATCAAGGACTCATCAAGCTGAGGTATGCAGCAAAGTAAAGATGGAGGCCAGGGATGGCCAACAGCTGTTAAGAGTTAGACACTGGGGAGTACAGGGCAAAACCAGTGCCTGAGGCTCAGTGCTCTCAAAAAGAATTTTTTTCTGGTTGAGGCTGCCAGCTAAGGAGAAACCTGAAGCTCAAGCATGCAGTCTGGTGATTTTTTCCCCCTTCAGCAAAGCCAGAAAAATTTGTAGAGATAACTAGAAGAAAATCAATACCATAGGGCCCAAGATTTAACAGGAGCCTTTGCAGAGAAGAAATCTGAGTCTGTCCTGTCCTTGCAGCTGTCTTAGATCAGAGGAGATGGAGCTTTTACTCTAACAGAAGATATCAGACTTATTGAGAACAGGAGATAATGGATAGGAAAGGGCCCTAAAAACTCAAATAGCCCAAAATGAATGAAAGAGATAATCATAATACACAGGGCTACTCCCAAACTGGGTGGCTAAATAGGAGCAAATAGAAAAGTAGAGACCACCATTCTGGATCATATCCTGTGGCCACCTGAGGGGCTTAGTGAAGGCACCTATCTTCCATCTTGCTGGTATGGAGGCAAAGCTGGCTATGAAAAGGAGCAGGCTCCCAACCTGCCTTTGCTGGATGCCACACAGCAACGCCGGGGAGCAACTCTGGTCCAGCACCTGGGTAAACAATGTGACTCTCCGGAATGTCCCGAACACTACAGTCAAAATCTAGGATTTAGGAACAGTATAATGGGGGATATCTCCCCTCAAAACCTAACTCAGTTACAGAGGGAGGGATCTGTCTAGGACCCGATCTGCTATGAAAGTTTCTATTATAAAACTTGGGGTTTGCTCATTTTTCAGAACTGGGATCTTCAACACCTTTGGGATTCATTCATCAGATATGGAATTCAGACTGCTTAAAGCCTTGGGGAACTGCAACTAGGCAGCAGAGAGCTAGCTGGTTTCTAAGGAGATCGAGACTGAGCAGACGATACAGAAGTAGAGCATCCTCTAGAGGTCGCCTAGTCCACCACCCCACCACCTCCTGCTCATTCCCACCCCTCCCCAGCAGCAGGCTACCAGGAAGCAAGAGCAGACAGGTGAGCTGGTGTCCTGTTTTTCAAGCTCTCCTGGGAAGGAGAACCCACATAATTTTTCTATAGCCTGGAGCTGGTAAAAGAAGGGAAGGAAGGAACTAACAATGGAGTAAGCAACCCACTAACTTCCCATTCACTCTCATAACTCAACATGATGAGGCAGGCTGGCTGCCAGCCAGGACTCTCTCCAGAAGGATATGGCTGAAGGGCTGTCAAGTCCGAGTGTGGGACAGTGAAAAGAGCATTGCATTAGACATCAAAAGACAGGGGGAATTGGGGAAGGAAAGAGGAAGATTAAAGCCAAGGACCGTGAAGGGACTTTTTGGGGTGATAGAAATGTTCAACCTATTGATTATAATTGTGGCTACACAAGTATATACCATTTGTCAAAACTCATTGAACTATAGGTTTCAAATAGTGAATTTTATTGCACATAAATTATACCTGAATAAAGTTGTTTTTAAAAGAAAAAACATGCATTCTAAATTCTGATCCTGCCCTATTAACTGTGTGACCTTGGCCATGTCACTTAGCCTACCTAATGCTTCAGTTTTCTCATATTTTAAATGGGATTACTAATTTCTGACCTGCTGGCCAGGTGAGATGGCTTATGCCTGTAATCCCAGCACTTTGGGAGGCCGAGGCTGGTGGATTACCTGAGATCAGTTCGAGACCAGCCTGGCTAACATGGCAAAACCCCATCTCTAGTAAAAATACAAACATTAGCTGGGCATGGTGGCACACACCTGTAATCCCAGCTACTTGGGAGGCTGAGGAAGGAGAATCACTTGAACCCAGGAGGTGGAGGTTGCAGTAAGCCAAGATCATGCCACTGTACTCCAGCCTGGGCAACAGAGTGAGACTCTGTCTCAAAAAATAATAATAATGATAATTTCTGACCTGCTTAGCTCACAAGATATTTAAGATCAGATGAGATATGAAATAAGACCCATTTTTAAAAGCACAAAATGCTAAGCAAATAGGAGGTAACTATAATTAGGTTGGTTCCACAATACTTGGGATCTCCCTGGCTATGTATTTTCTGGTGATCTTGAGAAGATTCTGTTTTATTTAATTGACGATGGTTCAAAATCTTTCCTCTGGAAAACCTTGACTGGAGTGTTCTTTCTCCTTGCTTCAGACTATCTGCTTGCTCACCTCTCCACTATGTAAACGTAACTTACTGTGAGCGCCCAGGCCATCTGGCTACTACAGATAAGCACCCCAGCCCGGGAGCACAGACGCTGAACGCAGCCGCCTGACCAGAATGCAGACACCAGGGCAGATACCATTCTGAAGCTATGGACTCTTCCCTTTCTGGGGAAATCAGTGAGTTGATATTTTCTATGTTGCCACAGGGAGCTCTTTCTGGCAAAGGAAACGGAAAGAAAACGCAGGATCTCCTCACCAAAGCACAGAATGGGGAAAAACACCAAAGCCTGGGCAGTTGGGCAGTTAGGTACAAATCTACCAAGTGAGCAGACTTAACTAAAAGGGATTGTGATGATCTACTCCAACAATTTCATTTTTAAAATTAGGAAACGAGGCCGGGCATGATGACTTACATCTGTACTCCCAACACTTTGGGAGGCAGAGGCAGGTGGATTGCTCGAGGCCGGGAGTTCAAGACCAGCCTGCCCAACATGGCGAACCTCTGTCTCTACTAAAAATACAAAAATTACAAGAGCATGGTGACACACGCTTGTAATCCCAGCTACCGGGGTGGCTGAGGCACAAAAATCATTTGAACCTGGGAGGCAGAGGTTGCAGTGAGCTGAGATCATGCCATTGCACTCCAGCCTGGGCAACAGAACAAGACACTGTCTAAAAAAAAAAAAAAAAAAAATTAGAAAACTAATTATCAGAGAGGCCAAGAGTTCAAGGCTAAGCAAAATTGTTAAGTAGGTCAAACTGGAGGTGCTTCAACCTTTTGATTTTAGCCCCATATACCTGCTTACTTCCCCCAGAGTGCCCTCCCTCACTAAACTGGCATCTAGTAGTCTTAGACCCTTATCAAAACCTTGTAAAGAAACAAATGGAATCTCATACTAAAGTATAAATAAACAGCTAGTCTTTTGAGTGAGATACAATAAAAGAATGTTTTAAAGAGATAAAGCTACCAGTAGAAGAGATGTCTTCAGTCTATCCACCTTCAGGGACCTTGACAATAGCCCTAAAATCATACCCAATAGGTGGTTTTGTACCCAGCTGTTGGCAAATAGGGTACCAAAGCTTGAAACTCTTCCAGATTATTTCAAGTGGGCTTACAAAGAAGTTCAAGTGGACCTGCAGAGTAGTGGGTCTTATCTCCAAGCCCGAGCTGTAAGTAGCAACACTATTCTTTAGAAAGGCATTACATATCTTGCATAAATGAGAATCAGAGCTCCCCATACAATACTGCCACTGCCACTCTTCCTTGCAAATGCTCCTTTTAAGTCCATACATTAAGAATACCATTCTGGGCTGGGTATGGTGGCTCACCCCTGTAATCCCAGCACTCTGAGAGGCCGAGGCAAGCAGATCACGAGGTCAAGTGTTTGAGACCAGCCTGGCCAATATGGTGAAACCCCATCTCTACTAAAAAATACAAAAATTAGCCGAGCGTGGTGGCGGGCGCCTGTAGTCCCAGCTACTTGGGAGGCTGAGGCAGGAGAATTGCTTGAACCCGGGAGGTGGAGGTTGCAGTGAGCCGAGATCGCACCACTGCACTCCAGCCTGGGCGACAGAGCGAGACTCCGTCTCAAAAAAAAAAAAAAAAAAAAAAAAATACAGCTCCATGAAAGCAGGGACTTCCTCGGTCTTGTTAATAACTCTATCTCTAGCACCAGACCAGAGCCTGGTACATAGTAGGCATACATAATCATGTGTTGAGTACATGAATGAATTAGTGATTGAATGAATGAATTTTTTAAAATGCACTGAACTGAATGTCTCTGAAGACAGTGTAGGGCCCTCTGGTACCACAGAGGCTGTGTCATGGGTCATGCCAGTACTCACAAGAAATGTCAACGCTGGCATACACTTCACCAACAGGCAGATATATCTGTAAGATGCAGGGGTAAGTTCAAGTGCTTCCATGAGGCATTTCCGTAATTAATTATTAGCATTCATAGGCTAGATACCTATAATACCAACTTCAGCATCGATCTAAAGGAAACCTATTCATTTAAACTGACAAAAACATGCTGTCATTTTCATTTCCATTACAAAGCATGCCAATGCAGTAGAAACATTTTGATTGACTGAATGGCTTTCTCTCAATCTGCACGGCAACTGATCAGTTTACCAAGGGACAAATAGTTCAACAATTCAAGTCAAAAGCAGAGAAACCTTTTTTCTTTACTTATGAGGCATAAATCAGCTATTTAAAATATATAGAAATTACAAATACTTAAAATTATCTTCTGGGAGATCCTAAATAAGGTAAGATGTGTGTGTGTGTGTGTGTGTGTGTGTGTGTGTGTGTGTGTGTGTATGTGTATATATATATCTCTCTCTCAACATGTAACCAGAAGAACTGCTGCAACTGCCTGTTGTAGACTGCCTCCACAGCCCAGTAAGTGATGTACCACTTCATCTCCATCAAGACCTTAATTCCTGCCCCTAGAGAATAAATGAGGTAACAAAACTGGAAGCACTTTGAGTCTCTAAAAGAAGCTATAGAAATCCTGAAAGAAGAAAAGACCAAGTACAAATAGTCTCTGAGAGGACAAAAAAAAAAGTGTTGCATAAAAAGAGAGTCAAGGTGTTAATTGCTGAAGAGTCCTTCAGGTTGAAGAGAAGGATCCTTCACTATCCTGTATCCTGCAGCCCCTTCCTTCTTTTCAAGGAACTGCAGAGATTATGTCCGCCATTCCTATCAATTTGTTTATTCAGTGGCCTTTTGACAGCCAAACTGCTAGGAGCTGCTCAGTTGCCGCACAGCCAAGCAGGCCTGCACAAGTTTCCACCACACCCAGGCTTCAGCTTGGTAGAAAATGAAAATGGTCAAGAGTTTTAATGAGTTGTTAATGATTTAAGTACTCACAGTGATATGCTTGCAAGATAAGACAAAAGGAACTTAGGAGCAGTGAAACCAAATCAAACCAATAATACATTCAACAGTGATGAATACAATTACACAACCTCTGCATACATTTAGGGAGCTTCCGAAACAGAATTTGGACTGGAACATCCCAAGGTCTAGCCTGCTTCCTCCACTCAGAAGCCCACCCATACCCTTGCTAAGAAAGTATTCTACTGTTTTCTTTAAACTCTCCTGGAATTCTATAGGCTTCCTTCATAATTTTACCTTATTGCTCCACAAAAACTTGGCTTCTAACGTCAACCCTACCTCTCATCTGCTTACTGAGGACAGGACGAAACTTGAGTTGTTCCCTGCAGACAAAAGTACAACGGTTGACACTAAAGATCACCTATTTGAAGTAAAACTGGTTTTAAGCAGGTTAATGAACCCCAGGCTTACAGGTTCTTGCACTTGGTATATTTTTCTAACACACCCCAACAAGATAAGAGATTGGAAAATGGCTCCTTTGGCTGGTTGAGAAGGAATGTAATCTTTTTTTTTTTTTTTAAAGCGCTGATGGAATTACCCTGCTAGGGAACCAGCATACATATGTCATTCCTTTGTACAGTATTTTTACAAGTATTTGATTTTGTTTACCCTAATTTATCCAACTCGGGAATAAAAAGGAATCTCAGATCTATGAGAAGGACCTCCAATTTCTCATTCTCAGCTTCAAAACAAATTAGTCAGTTTAACATTAGTCAAGACACAGGTTGCTGTGAAATAAGAATGATTCTAGGTCATGATTAAGATCGTTCTCCAAACTATCAACAAGACTGTCTAATCACCTGTTATGAACCCAACACTGTTAAACAGCAATGGCATGTACAAAAGAAGTATGAAATAAAGTTCCTGTCATCCACACCTAACAATCTAGAGGCAGCCTTCAATTAATTTGCTGATAGGGTGTATTGCATAATAAGTTTTATATATTTGTTGTTTGAAGTTCAAACACATTTCGCCATAAAAGGCATGCTATCGTGTTTCAGTTCTCATGCTGGTAGAAAACTGTTTTAACCTCTAATGTAATTGAGATATCAAGTACCGTATGTGAAATGAAACATGATATTAAAAACTGGTGTAACATTAGAAATATCTGACATGTATCTGGTGCTTTGTGAGCTTGAAAGAGTTCTTCATCTACATAAACTTCACATCATAGTGTATTATGTGATGATACACGGTCATATTGTCAACGGTTGAAGAAATTGAGGCACAGAAAGCCTAGAAGCTTATACAGAGTCACACAGCTACTAAGTGGCAGCAGGACGCTCACGTTGGCCTTCCAACTCTAAATCCCATTCTCTTTCCACTAGTGTAAAACTGAATAAGAAGCAGGTGTGAAGTGTTTTGTTTTGCTTTGTTTTTTAAGACTCATGGCTGAGAAAGAGGAAATTTTATCTGAGAAAGACAGGGAGGTAAGTGAAAACTTTTAGTGATTCAAAAGGAGGCTTAGGGGCACTTTTAGAAGCTTTCAAGGTTGACGAAGCTGGTGTTTATGGCTTTCATTTCACTTGGAGCCTCGTGGCCAGGCTTTTCCTCCTTTCAGATTTCTCACTGACTCTTTTCAAGTTCGACTGCCCTGATTAGAGTATGTTTTGTTTGGGATTTAACTCATGAATAGGAATACACCAACAGCAAAGAAGGGTTGGAACAGATTTCCTTGAGGTTACTGGACAAGCACTGGAAAAGAGAAGAGGAATGAGGAAGAGAAAAGTACAGATAAGATAAATTGCCTGAGGCAGAGTTAACTACACAGCAACCCTTGAAAGGAAGATACAGGGAAAAGGGGCTGAGGGAGGGTATTATTCTATGAAAGAGACATGGGACAGATATTGAGACAGCCCTCACCACTGTGCCATCAGGCCAGGGCAGCAGCAGCTGCAACTCAACTATGCGTAAATAGGTCTTTCCCTTATATGAAGGTCTACAGTTGAGAAGACATCTGTGAAATTAGCAGATGACGGCACAAATAATCCCACATATATGCCTTTCAAAAAATCTCTCTAACCGAATAAAAATGCAAGGAATTTCATTCGTTCATTCATTCATCCAATACACATTTATTATATGCTAAGCACTCTGCTAGATGCTAGAAAACAACGATAAACAGAAACAGTCCCTGCTCTCAAAGAGCTCATAGCTTAGCAGACAAGAGATGTGTAAACAAATACGTGCAAAATAGTGTGATTGGTATGACCTCATTTTGTTAAATAGCGAATACAGTATTGGCACAGTCATACTTCAAGCATGAACAGAGCCCAAGAGGTTCCCCAATGTGCTCAACCTGGCAGACTTGCTATTTATCATTTACCCATCCGTATTCAGAGGCTCGCACTCATGCTTAGGCCAAATCTCCATTATTAATCACATATTTACCAGCTAAGTCACTTTCCTAATGTCTACCCTACCCAAGTCACTGTTTTGTTTCTAAGAAGGAGGAAGGTGCGTGTTCATCTATCTCGCCCAAATTGTGTAAGGGCAACCTGAACTTGGGGCGGTGCAAAAGGGGTTCACTGTAACACGGCACGTCATTTCAAGTATGGCCCAGAAAGCAACAGGTGATTCACTTTAACAAACATACTTGAGCCAGTGTTATATAGGTCAAGTCTCATCAAAACAAACACCAAGAGATGGTCCACTTTCTTCTGTTGCAGCAAATAAAATCTTAATATATATTTGTTTGGGTTATGTAATTTGCAAAGCTGATACACAAGCATTACTTCATTTAGTCAACACAGCAACTCCTAGATGTAGGAATTATATGTTCATCCTATATCTGAAGAGGCTTGAGGCCAGGAGAGGTTAGAGACTTACCCAGGGCCACATAGTTGATGGCAAGGGTCAGAGCTACCACTGGTACCCAAGCCTCTGACCTCCAGCTGAGTGGTCTTTTTTCTACCAAACTGTGGTGTAAAACTCTCAAGCCAACTGTGGGTAATCTCTGTTACACAGAAAGAATTTATAAAGGAGGAGAGTAATAACTCCTATAGTCTCCTTGGATTGAACACATTGGATGAGAAGTACTCATAGGCCACTCTCCTCAAAATAGAAATAACACTAAAAATTCAAAGCCTTTGGAAGTGAGAATAGAATACATTAAGTTCAACTGCCAATATCTGAAATATAATTTCCTATAAATGGTTTTAGCCTGATCCCCTCTTTCAACATATCCTACAATCAAAATCTCCAATCAAATCCTCTATCAAAGCGCCATCTCCCCATTCCAAAGTTATTCAAATTAAGGAGATCAACCACTTCTGCCTCCACACCCTGAAACAGCACCAGCACCACCTAGTCATGTTTTGCTGAACTCAGCCTCTCCCACACTCCCCAGGCTGCCTTTAAAAGAACTTGTTCATTAGCTGGCTCTTCAGTCACCCATGGGAGGTCAGGTGGTGGAGGGTGCTGGCAGGGCTTGACTTGACTTTTCTTTCATTCCCAGCTGACCCTCATAAGGGGCCTCCAACCAAACTCGGAGCAAGGCAGCTCAGAACTCCAGTTTTCTCTCTCCTTGTTTAGCTGTGCTCTTTCCCTACAGGGCACAGGGAAAGAAAATGCTATTAATTCCTGCATACAAACACGAAGCCCCTTCAAGGGAGAATATTTCTGAAAGTGAAAGGTAAGAAGCTGCAAAAGGAGGTCAGGTATTTGGCACGTAAAAGGGGTGTCATCTATTTCACAGTTTCTCTGCAACATTCCCAATTTAGAAGAAAAGAAAATGACAGATTTAATGAAAGGCGGATGGGGGTGGCATTGTCACTTGCCTAATGAAATTCCTGCTTGAATGGAACTGTCATCTCAAACTCAGGGTATCTAAAATAATGCTCATTCTCTCACCAACTGCTGCACCTCTTCCTGGCTTCCATATGTCTATTTCTGCCATTGCCACCATCGTTCTCCCTGTCTCCCAAACTAAAAACCTCAGGCATTCCTGACTCTTACTTCACCCCTAGGCCCCACACCCATCTCGGCAGCTCATCTTCCCATCTTAGTGGTATCTCTTGATTACAGTGTGGTCAAACATAATATCCAAGATAAAAGAACCAGCAGGCTTTAGAGTTGGACAGACCTGAGCTGCAGTCCCCATTCCATCATGGGTCACCATCACCTCGGATCATCTGCCTGACTCAAATTTCTTGTTCAGTAAATGGGGACTCGCAATTCCCTCACAGGTGACTCCAGTAATTGATCACATTTAACAGCATGTTTGCAGCACCCACCACAAGGCCTGGTATGCTGTGTGGGCAGGAACAAGCCTCTTGCCCCCAGCCAGGCAACTCAGAGCAACCAGGGAGTCCCTCTGAAATGACTTCATCACACTTCATCACTCTTCAACTCAGAGTGCCCCCACTGATCTTTGTTGCCCCAGTATGAAGCCAGACTCTGGCTGATCTTCAAGGTCATCAAAAACTATCCACTTCGATCTTACTCCTCTGTCTATAACTCCTCTGCTCCAGCCCAAGAGTCTACTCCCTCACTCAGCACACATTTATTGGGTGCCTACCACATGCAAACATGGTGCAGGAGGCTGGGAATGTTGAAATGACAGGCTGCCCACTGTCCACCCTCAAAGAACTCACAAGCTTTCTGGTAGTGAGTGTAGTCTGGGGGAAGGAGCATGGGGGTGGGGGTGAGGGTGGATAAAACCATCATTGTATTAGGGTGTAGGAAGTGATGCAGGAGCGGTAAGCACGGTGGGGGCTGTGGGAACTCCACTGAGGGAAGACACACTGCCTCTGTTCTTTCCTCCTACTCTCGACTTAGCCAAATCCTAGTCCATAAATCAAGGTCTTATTCATTCTGGCCCACACCTCTCCCATCTCAAAATTCCTCAAGTTCTTATCAACACCACTCATTTTCAGTCATCTGCTGGCTGATGTCATTTCTTGTATTGCTGTGGGTTATTTTTTTTTTTAACTACTTTCGTATAGGTAGGCTTTTTTTCTCCATGGTTTCTATGATCACAGACAATAAGGACTAGGCTCTAGACAGTTCTAAGTCTCTCACGGAAACTACATACTCATTATTTTGTGGAATAGTTGATATATTTGGAACTACTGACAACTGCAAAATAACACATTCCTTTCCCTTTGAAAAACAGGCACTTCCCTCGCTGCTAGGTTCTGAGTTCTGTGTTGTCTTACACTTTTCATCCAACCCAAGATGAGAGACGAAACCCTTGCTATCTCAAAAAACGATCCAAAATGTAATTTGTTTAAAAATGGTAGTTTTTAACTTTTAAAATTGTTCCATCTAAAAAGTTATTCAAATAAAATCTTAGCGGGACACCCAATATCGTGAACATAAAAGCAGAGCTATTCTGGTTGGAGCTGTGGGGACAGCCTAGTGCTGCTACCTCAAAGGGGAAAATATTTGACTCCCTCATCAGCAACCCCTGATGCACATCCAGCGGCAGCACCGCTACAGCATGATGGAGAACTCATCTTGCCCACAAATATGTATAATAAACTTAATGTATGTACAAATGAGACATTACAAATCAATGGGGAAAAAGATGAACCCTTTAATAAATATAGCCACATGGAATATAAAATAAAGTTAGATCCCTACCTCACGCTGTTCACGAAAATTTACTCCTTGTTTATTCAAGACGTTATGTGAAAGGCAAAATGTGTAGGTGAAAATATAGAAGAATATCCTTATGATTGTGTGTGTTTGTCTTTTAAATAAATCAAAACAGTAAAGAAAATTAATTTCTTTAACAAAAAGTAAATTTGACTATATTAAATTTGGAATTTCTTTCTTTTTTTTTTTTTTTTTTTTGAGACAGGGTCTCCTTCTGTCACCCAGACTAGGGTGCAGAGGCATGATCACGGCTCACTGCAGCCTTGGCCTCTAGAGCTCAAGTGATCCTCCCACCTCAGCCTCCTGAGTAGCTGGGATTATAGGAGTGCATCACCATGCCCAGCTAACTTATTTGTATTTTTGGTAGAGACAGAGTCTTAATATGTTGCTTCAGCTGGTCTCAAACTCCTGGACTCAAGTGATCCTCCCACCATGGCCTCCCAAAGTGCTGGGATTGCAGGTGTTAGCCACCATGCTTGGACTTGGAATTTCTTATATATCAAATAATTCAATTAAAAGTAAGATGATAAACTAAATCCGGGAGCAGGTATTGCAACCTATAATCGTCAACAATGAGTAAACAGAATATAAAAGGAACATCTACACATCAATTATTAGAAAAAGCAAGATGGCCTAAAAGAGTTGTCTCTAGATTGCCATTTAAGAACTACTCTGAGGCCGGGCACGGTGGCTCACGCCTGTAATCCCAGCACTTTGGGAGGCCAAGGTGGGAGGATCACTTGAGGTCAGGAGTTCAAGACCAGCCTGGCCAACACAGTGAAACCCCGTCTCTACTGAAAATACAAAAATTGGCCCAGCGTGGTGGCACGCACCTGTAATCCCAGTTACTTGGGAGGAGGCCATATATTATCTCAGTTTATCTATACAACCACCCTGGGATGTAGGCAGAACATATATTATGCCAGTTTCTTGATAAGGAAATTGAGACAACTTAAATGATCAGTCCAAAGGGAGAGAAATATACATGTATCTTCCCTAGTAAGATGCAAAACCTACTTTTCTATCTTCTAATGTACAATCTTGCCATTACAAAAAACTACCTCCATCTTTTTTTTTTGGAGACAGGATCTCCAAAATGTTGCCCAGGCTCATCTTGAACCTCTGGGCTCAAGAGATTCTCCTGCCTCAGCCTCCAGAGTAGCTGGGACTATAGGTACACATCACCATGCCTGGCTTATCTCTATTTTCTAAAAAATACCTGTATACACAAAAATCTATACATGAATGTTCAGAGCAGCTTCATTCATAACAGCCTAAAATAGGAAACAACCCATATGTCCGAACCATCATACATTCATACCATAGAATACTGCTCAGCAATAAAAAGGGATACACTATTGATATGCACAACAACCTGAATGAGTCTTCAGAGACTTGTGCTGAGTGAAAAAAAAAGGCCAATCCTAAAAAGCTACATGCTAATGGTTCCATTTTTATAATATTCTTGAAATGACAATATTATAAACATGGACAAGAGATTAGTGGTTGCCAGCAGTTAAGGACTAAGGACTAAAGTGGGGTGAGATGAAAGAGTGAACTGGGAGGGGCAGGACTAGAAAAGGACAACATGAGTGATCCTTGCAGTGATGGAACTGTTTAGAATTTTGACTGTATCAATGTCAAGGTCCTGATTATGATATTGTGTTATAGTTTTGCAAGATGTTAACCATCAGAGGAATCTAAGTAACAGGTATGTGCAATCTCTCTGCATTATTTCTTACAACTGCATGTGAATGCATAATTATCTCAAAATAAAATATTAAAAAAAAGAAAAAAAAAAAGGCCGGATATCATCCTGCCCTGTGTTGTACAATTCTGAGGTTAAATGAGATAAAGTATGGCAAGGCACTTTGACTGCCTTGTGCCCTGTAAATACTAGGTAACATCATCATCTTCCTCTATCAACCAGTCTCATCAGCATTACTCACTGTTAGACTATTCCTTATCCACATAGCCTTCGATATCTCTCTACTATGACCCTATCACTGTACTTGTGTAATCCGATCACCCCTCTTGCTATTGTTTGAATGTCCCCTCCAAAACTCATGTTGAAACTTAATCCCCATGGTGGGGCCTTCAAGAGGTGACTGGATCATGAAGGCATGTCATCCTGAATGGATTAATAGATTAATGGGTTATCTTGGCAGTGAAACTAGTGGCTTTTTAAGAAGAGGAAGAGGGACCCGAGCTGGCAAGTTTACACACTCAGCTCCCTCTCTATGTGATATCCTACGCCACCTTGGGACTCTGTGGAGAGTTCCCATCAGCAAGAAGGCCCTCACCAGATTCAGCCCTCAATCTTGGACTTCCCAGCCTCCAGAACCGGAAAAAAAAAATTGTTTCTTTGCAAATTACCCAGTTTCAGGCATTGTGTTATAATCAACAGAAAACGGACTAAGACATTTCTAATAGACTGCAGCTCCTTGAAGGCAGAAACTTTTTTCTGTATCTCTCTATGCCCACAGCTTAGCATAGTATAAAACATATAGGCCAGGTACGGTGGCTCACGCCTATAATCCCAGCACTTTGGGAGGCTGAGGCAGGCGGATCATGAGGTCAGGAGTTCGAGACCAGCCTGAACAACATGGTGAAACCCTGTCTCTACTAAAAATTTAAAAATTAGCCAGGCGTGGTGGCACGTGCCTGTAATCCCAGCTACTCAGGAGGCTGAGGCAGGAGAATCACTTGAATCCGGGAGTCGGAGGTTGCAGTGAGCCAAGATAACATCACTGCACTCCAGCCTGAGTGACAGAGCAAGACTCTGCCTCAAAAAAAAAAAAAAAGACAACATACAGTAGGTGCTAAATAAATGGCTGCCAGGTTGAAATTAGCTCATGATCTTCTTGTTCAATACAAAGTGTCCCAACACTGGAGGAAGTGAGGAGGGGAGGGGACAGGAAAGAAGAAGACTCCAGTAGCTATAAGCCAACACCTTGAAAGTTTCATCAATAGCCTCCTCCTTCCCAAGTTGCTGAGAACCCAAATGAAGCAAATGTCTGTATAGAGGGTGTGGCCACAGCAGCAAAAACATGAGTTCAATTCATCAAGTCTCTTCTTTAAACTATTTCAAGTTCTGCAAATGAAGGAACTGACCATTTATAGATTGGGTCACTGGAACAAGATGGGAAGGTGGGCTGCGGTATACTATTCTGGAAAGGATTTTAAAGGTTAGCTGACAGCCCTTTTCCTGAAATGATTAACACTGAAGAATTGTCCGAGGGCAGAATGTATTTAAATACTCTGTCAAGATCTCTCAGAGATCTGACACTCTTGGCCTAGGCAAACATATTTGGCTAGTGAGGTGGGGAGGGGGTTCCCATGCCCTGAAAACAATGCTAGCTCCTCACTCCTACTCCAAATAGTTTCAAGCATAAAAAAAGTACACGCAGTTGCTTTGCTGCTCCTAACGTTATCGGATAATTTTTCAAATTCTTACTCAATTACATATCACGCTCTTATCTTCAATCTCCACAGGCCAAATAGCCTTGCTTTCACATCATGCCCACTAAGCCTGCAGAACACAAGTATCCCTCCCAAGTAATTCCAGCTCTCATAAACATGAGATCATTTTACATTAAGTTTTGTTAGAGTATTTGTGTGTATGGTGTTTGTGTGCGTGCGCGCACACGCGCATGCCTAAGTGTGCATATGCCTTTTCTTCTAATAAGAGTAAGGAGATTTAACACAAGAGAAGGTTAGAAACTTGGGAGGTTTCTGTCTCTGCTTAATGATTAACTCTTTTGCTACTGAATCCAGAAGAGCTGGCCTTTCTGGACTGGCAGTCCCACTCCCTGGCCAAAACAGCAAAAGAAAGCTCATACGCACACATTCACTCTTAGAAAGAAGTAACCAGCACAAATCGGTTTCAGCTTTGGCAGTGAGAACACTATTGCAGTTTTAAGGAGAATTAGGTGTTTCCATATTGTGTTGTTACTGGCCTTAAAATATCCAGATCAAGAACCTCATTAATCAAAGTAACACGTCATCTACCCAAAATGCTTCAATGTTTGATTTAAAATTGCTGACAGCAAAGAACTGAGATAACTTACATAACCACAAATCACTGAAAAAGAGAGATCAGGAGATACAGCACAACGGACTCTAAAAATGGCTAAAAACACAAAGCCTAATTAATGTCATTTAAAGATGAAACCTTTAAGAAGAAAACAAAGAAAAAAAAAAAAAGATGAAACCTTAAACCAGAAGTAGAAGAGGGGAGTAGGAAGAACCTGTGCTATCTATTCTCTGGTTTCTATCCTTCCCCCAGGATAATAATCAACATCTAGACTCTATGTGACAACTCACTTAACAATAGCCATTTTTTGTTCATATGTCCTAAAAATCATGAAGCTAGGAACTAGTAATCCATCTTTCCACTTTCCAGCTGAGAAGCTGAGAATCCCAAAGGTGGAATGACATCTTCAACATTACATAGCTGGTCCTCCATTACCCTACATTTCTTCCTCCCTATGAATGATATTTTTTAAATGCTGTAATGATAAAAATATGAGCTGTCATTATTATTAATAGTACTCATTTAAAACAACAGACTATTACTAGCCTATTCATTAGGCAAAAGGAAAACAAACATAAACATGAAAACATTTCAATTCCACATTACAGCATGCTTCATCACAATCCTCAAAGAAATCCTTAGTTGACAAAAGGCCTAATACATAAAGAGCAATGTAAGAGGCAAGAGGCCACTCCACATCCTAAAAGGGCCTGAAGTCACTTCCCGAACAACCCAGATGTCTAGATCAACCCTATACCAGTTCCATAACCACACTGCCTCCCCCAGGTTTGTCCCAGACCAGATGTCAGAGATTAAGAGCCTCCCACTTCCTTATTTCTTTAATTTTCATTAAGGACAATCAATCAACTTCCTTTTTCTTTTAAATTTAAGTACTGCACACAACAACATAAATATCTGTAATACTAAGAGTTACACAAATTCCATTTCTGACCTACCAACATGGATGGGGAAAACCATACAAACCAGTTACAGCAGGGAATTTTCTAACTCTAGAAGTCTCTGAGCTTACTGGAAGTCCAAAGTTTAATAGTTATCCTGATTAAAACATCCTGATTAAAGTGATCCAGTCACAAGTTCACCTGTAGGCCCATCAAGTAACTCTCTCTCCCCTCGATTTTTCTCCAGCTGTGAGGCACATCTTCCTATTAGATCGTGATACTTCAACAAGTATCACTTCAACTGCTCTCCAGGCCAGCTGCCACTCTGGTACTACCTACCACCTGGGGCCTACCCTCCATAAGTGTGCAGCAGCCATGCAGGCATGGCAAGTTCTGGGGGTGGAAAGAATGTCATTCAGAGAATATAATGGTTTTTGTACTTCAAAGTGTGTCTACTTAAAAGGGACAAATCATCATCTTCAACATCTTTTTTGTTGTTTGTTTTTGAGACGGAGTCTTGCTCTGTCACCTAGGCTGGAGTGCAATGGTGTGATCTGGGCTCACTGCAACCTCCGCATCCCAGGTTCAAGCAATTCTCCTGCCTCAGGCTCCCAAGTAGCTAAGATAAATTACAGGCACCTGCCACCATGCCCAGCTAATTTTTGTATTTTTAATAGAGACGGGGTTTCACCATGTTGGCCAGGCTGGTCTTGAACTCCTGACCTTAGGTGATCTGCCTGCCTCGGCCTCCCAAAGTGCTGGGATTACAGGCTTGAGCCACCCAGCCAGGCCGATCTTCAACGTATTAATAAGCAAAAATCATGAACCCTGAAAGCTGGAAGGACCTTAGAAAGTTTCTAATGTTTAACCCCTAGTATTTTAGATGAGAATACCAAGGCATAGGGAGGTACAGTAGGTATGTAACAGAAAGACATTTAAAACACTGCATTAATTCTTTATTGTACCAAGTTACTAGGAAATGAGGACAATCAACTGAGTGTGTACAGCATCTCATAGTTTCAACTGAATTCTTTCATTTCAGCTTCACACCAGTGTTAAGTCAGCTTGGGTTCATAATCTGTCCTCATCACTTACTAGCCATGTGCTTCAGAGCAAGTTATTTAACCTCACTGTGCGTCATCTGTAAAATGGGGATAATAATAGCAGCTACCTCACAGGACTGTTGAGAAATTCATGAGTTCATATATGTAAAGCACCTAAAACAGAGCTGAGACATAAGAAGCACTTGATAAATGCTAACCATCATCATCATCATTATTATAAGGGCCAAGAATTGTTGTTCCCATCTTACAGGGATTTTATAGGGAAACTAGGGATTTTGAGACCTTAGGTGAGTTATCTCTAAAATCATGGCAGCCAATGACAAAGCTAAACTAGAACCCAAGCTTTCTGCCTCCCAATCCAGCACTTTCCCTTAGGATCATTCTGCCTGTGTAGAATCCTGTAGCTCAACGCGTAACAAAGTACTGTATTGGCCCAAAAGAAATGTTGCTCCAGAATAGGTACCTCAGTCAAGATGTCTTCCCAAAGAGCAGCTTACTCATCTGACAAGCTCTGGTGCAGTATCTCCACCGCCTACCAAAATAATAAACACACGCACACACAAAATCTAATGGGGAAAGGAAGCAGATTTCTAAGGGATTTCAATGTTTGGAGAAGAGTTGGCAACAGCCAACTCTTCAGAAACAAGACATATTTCTTAAAGCTTATGGCATGGCTTGTCATGGCCAGCTCATGCTCTTAAGTCCCTTTGTTTTCTGTGCTTTGTCCTCCTGTGGAGCCCTGGCCACCCAGCCACCCATGGCTGCCAGGGTCATCTTCTCCAGGGAGAGTATTCAGATCCTGCCCACCATGCCATGATTCTAAATGCAAGATCTGGGCTCAAACAGCAAAGATAAGGTCCCAACTTTCACAGTGATTTCTGGGTCACCTCTCCACTGATTAATGCATTTAGAAGATATGGTTAAGAAAAACAAACAAACAAACAAAAAAAAAAAACAAAGAGAATATGCCTTCTTCCTAAAGGATGATATCCTAAAATATACACCAAAATGGAGGAACATGTCCCAACTGTTTTTCCTTCCTCACGAATACATATTTCAAGTTCAGAACCATTCATTCACAACGTATAAATAAGGTCAAGGCTATTTCATACCAAATGACTTGAAAAACCATAAGGGACCATTTTCCTGCTTGTTCCTTAGGACCTCTCCTTCCCCATTTACCAAAGATCTCACAGCTGCTTCTAACCAGGCAATAGCTCTCTCCACACCGTGCTTTGAAAAAGGAACAAAACAGTTCCTTTTTCAGGTCAACCCAGTTTTAACTCCAGGTCAAGACAGACAAACTTTCTCAAACTTAGACTTTTAGTGCCTGATTAAAATGGTGAATAAATCCTGGACAAATGTACAATGTGTTTTTGCTTCAATTACAGAAAGCCTTATGTTTGTTTTAAACTCTCGGGAATTTCAGTGTTAACATTTTTCTTGGTTTCCAAGGTGAGAGATGTGACTGAAGAAATTTGGTCAAAGCAAGTATAGCTCTAGGGCAGTGACTCTAAAGAGGGCAGTGATTCTAAAGAGGGCTGTGCCAGCAATAAATTTAAGGAGAAACACACCCCCGTGGGGGAGGATCCATAAGGCTATGTAGTTTGTACTTGTCCTTGTATAATGCAAATATATTCACAAAGTTTAATCTATATCAAATTTCAAATAATATTAACATAGGGCATGGGTTTCTTACTGGAGTCGGGGAGAAATGCAGAAGCGTGCCATCATGGCACTATCACATCCAAACTCAACTCAGAAGACAGTTCAATTCAACTTATAAACATTGTAGTGCTTACTATGTGTCAGGAGCTGGACATGCAGAAATGAATAAAAGACCATTCTTTCCTGAAGGTGCTCAGTGAGTTGTAAACAAAGAGATGTAAATGAAGAGATCGCAATGTAATATGATGAGTGCAATAATACAAGAGTGTACAAAGACACTGCAGAGGAGATGCTGAGAGCGTACTGATGAACTCTGTGCAGAAGGCAAGGGGAGATGCTGAGGAATCCTGCTTGGGATCCCGCACAGGGGAGCAGGGAAGGCTTCCTGGAGGGGTGGCATCTGAGCTGCTTTAAAGGATGAATAAGTTTTACAGGTTCAAGGAAGAGGACCCATTCCAAAGAGAGGGCACAGCATGGATACAGCACAAACCATGACACAACATGATAAAGAAAGGAAACTAGAGGCAGTTCAGCTGTAAGGCAGTATAAAATGTAAGCAGGGTAAGTGGGAAGTGATTAATATTAACAGTCTTTTATGCTACGATGTTAGCAAAAAAAAATGAGTTTTTAAAAATCACTCTGGTGACATTGTGCAAGATACAGTGTCAAGATACAATTAAACTATTTCTAAAAGATTATTTGTAGTAGTTAGGTCATCCATTCATTCAGTACTACAGACAATAAGTGTTTACTGAGAGCCACCATTTGAGCTACAATAGTCTTCCAGACACGTTTCCTATCTGAAGGGACCTTATAATAAGCTATTTATTTAGCATTTAATATTTGCCATACACTGAGCCAGTACTCTTAACACAACTGCAATTAATAGCAAGGCAGGTCTCATTATCTCCACATCACAGAAAAGGAGGCTTGGAAGAGAAGTTGAGTGACTGCAGCAAGGTCACACAGCAAGGAGGTGATGCTGACAAGACTCCAACTGAGGGCTGGTTCCAGAGCCTGTATTCTTTGCATTGCGCTACACAACTTCAAAACATTCCTACGTTCAGAAGTCTGGTAGAAGAAAAAAGAATGAAATACAAATATTCCAAACATAAGGCAGTATGAGATCAATGCCATATGAGATCTATTAAGAGAAGCACTGTGTGGGTGAAATAGAGAGAAGGGTTATTTCTGGTCAGAGCAATTAAGGAAGCAATCCCAGAAACGTTGGGCTTTACCAGAAAGGTGAGATTTCTTTCTTTCTTTTCTTTTTTTTTTTTTTTTTGAGATGGAGTTTCACTCTTGTTGCCCAGGCTGGAGTGCAAGGGCACGATCTCGGCTCACAGCAACCTCCAACTCCTGGGTTCCAGCCATTCTCCTGCCTCAGCCTCCCAAGTAGCTGGGATTACGGGCAAGTGCCACCACCCTCAGCTAATTCTACATTGTAAGTAGAGACAGCGTTTCACCATGTTGGTCAGGCTGGTCTCGAACTCCCGACCTCAGGTGATCCACTGCCCCCAGCAGAAGGATGAGATTTCAATAGGTGAAGATACGGGACTGCGCAGCGAAAAAGGGGCATTTCATGAGCAACACGTAGAACTTAGACTCTGGCGACAACCAAGGTTCCTATTCCATTATTCACCAGCTGCAGACCCTGGAGAAATAACTGAATGTCCTACACCTCACTTTTTTCATCAGTAAAATGGGATACTAGTAACATCGTTTTCCTAAAGTTGGAGTAAGGATTATGGAATAATCTATATAAAGTATTTAGCATAATGCTTAGTAAGTGGTAAATATCCAACAGACAGCAAATGTTAGCTAGTAGTCTATGTGTTTAAAGAATGGTAAGCAGTCAAGTTAGGCTTCCAGTCCTCTTAAAGCAAAATAAGAAATGTGGTCGAAACAATAGGTTGCAGTCAGATTGAGAATGAAGTTCATGTCTACCTTAGAAAGTTGGTCTGTATTTAGCAGGCAATAGGGAGTCAATCATTAGAAGAAAGAAGCCATATTAAGAACATTCTGAGTAGATCTCCAGTGGGAGCCCCTAGCCCCTCTCCTTGACATCTGGCTTATTTGTGACCCCTTCTAAAAAGGCATGAGGCCCTAGGACTAGTTCAGGCCAGATCTATTTTTTCGTTTGCTTGTTTTTTGTTTTTGAGATGGAGGCTTGCTCTGTCACCCAGGCTAGAGTGCAGTGGCATGATCTCGGCTCACTGCAACCTCTGCCTCCTGGATTCAAGCGATTCTCCTCCCTCAGCCTCCTGAGTAGCTGGGATTACAGGCACCCACCACCACGCCCAACTAATTTTTGTATTTTTGTAGAGATGAGGTTTTACCATGTTGGCCAGGCTGGTCTCGAACTCCTGACCTCAGGTGATCCATCTGCCTTGGCCTCTCAAAGTGCTGGGATTACAGATGTAAGCCACCACACCCAGCCAAGCCAACTCTATATGGAAACAGACACTGTCATTTGTCCACTCCTAACATGGCCATGATTTTTTTTCTTTTCTTTCTCACTCCATCCTGTACCTTCCCTCCTAAAAGCAGAGTAATGGCTGAGACACAATTATTAGCCTGACTTCCCTTGGAGATTGTCTTGGTTAAACAAATTTTCCAGAAACTAATCTGGGTAGCTTAGATCATTATTTATTTGTTACTTTTTAAAATTTGTTAATACCAGGCTTTCACTTAGTTATCTTGAAGTTAATGCCTCTTCTATAACATAATTATTAGCTCTATCACCTAGGCTAGACTGCAATGGTGCAATCAATCATGGCTCCCTGCAATCTCGAACTCCTGGGCTCAAGCAATTCTCCTGCTTCATCATCCTAAGAGAGCCTAGGACTACAGGTATGTGCCATCACACCCAGATAATTTTTTTTTGAAATGGAGTCTCGCTCTTGTTGCCCAGGCTGCAGTGCAATGGTGAGATCTCAGCTCATTGCAACCTCTGCCTCCCAGGTTCAAGTGATTCTTGTGCCTCAGCCTCCCGTATAGCTGGGATTACAGGTGCCTGCCACCACACCCGGCTAATTTTTTTATTTTTAGTAGAGACAGAGTTTCACCATATTGGCCAGGCTGGTCTTGAACTCCTGACCTCAGGTGATCTGCCCACCTCCCAAAATCCTGGGATTACAGGCGTAAGCCACCGTGCCCAGCCAGTTTTTTGTTTTTTGTTTTTTTTTCTTGCAAAGATGGGGTCCCACTATGTTTCCCAGTTTGGTCTTGAACTCCTGGGCTCAAGCAATCCTCCCACCTTGGCCTCCCAAAGTGCTGGAATTACAGATATGAGCCACTGTGCCTGGCCAATAGTACTGGTTTATTAATACATTATAACGAAGAAACTTTGGGGGTAATGATTACATTCACTATCTTGATTGTGCTGGTTTCATGGGTATTATATATGTCAAAGCCTATCAAATTGTATACCTTAAATATGTGCAATTTATTAAATGTCAATTAAATCTCAATAAAGCTATTAAAAATATGGTAAAAGTTTAGTAATTCATGTAATTATTAAAAGGTGTACAACTTTATAATTAATAATATACTAATATACAAGCTAATGCACATATTAAAACCTTAAATTTAAAAAATTTATCAGGACAAGTGATTATATAGAAATGTATATACAGGCTTGTAAAACTTTGGTATAGTGTACCTTTTAAAAAAAAAATAACCAGCCTGGGCAATGTAGGGAGACTTCATCTCTACAAAAAATTTTAAAACTAGCTGGGTGTGGTGGCATGTGCCTATAGCCCCAGCTACTTCGGAGGCTGAGGTGGGAGGATCACTTGAGCCCAGGAGGTCAAGGCTGCAGTGAGCCGTGATCAAGCCACTGCAATCCAGCCTGGGTGACAGAGTGAGACCCCATCTGAAAAAAAAAAAAAAAAAAAAAGAAAAAAGAACACCCCTATGTTACACCTATGTTCACAGCAGCATTATTCAAAATAGGCAAAAGGTGGAAACAACCCAAGTGTTCATCAATGAACGAATGGGTAAACAAAATGGGGTATATACATACAATTAAATATTATTCAACCTTAAAAAAGAAAGAAATTTGGACATATGCTACAACATGGATGAACTTTGAGGACATTATAGGAAGTGAAATAAGCCAGTAACAAAAAATATATACAATATGATTCCACTTACCTGCAGTATCTGGAGTTATCAAATAGAGACAAAGTACAATGGTGCTTGCCAGAGACAGGGGCAGGAGGGAATAGGGAGCTGTTGTTTAATGGGTATAAAGTTTCAGTTTTGCAAGATGAAAAGAGTCATTTAGATGGATGGTAGTGATGGCTGCACAACAATGTGAATGTACTTAATGCTACTGAACTGTACTCTAGAATGGTTAAGATGGTCAACCTCCTGTGTATTCTACCACAATTAGAGAGAGTAAGGGAGATATGAGAGTTCCTACACATTATTGTAAAATCAGTAAGGGTGTTAATTTTGTAATTTTTTAAAATGCTTTTAAGTGCTGTTATTACTTATGTTTAAACCTAACAACTTCCAAGGCAACTTTCCCAGATTCCCCAAAAAGTCAATTCTGGAGCTGACACCAGGTTAAAACTGCTAATTTTATTACTACCAGAAATCTACATATCAACTGCTTTTTCCCTGCAATATGACATATTTTCCTAATGTAGCTGTCAGAGGTCAAGGGTATAAGGTAAGCACAATTCCCATGAAGCATTCTCACTTCTGGAAGGACAACTCTACAGGTGCCACTGGGTAGCCCAGTTTATCTGGAGTGAATAATGGGAGTCAGGGTCTGGGTACCTGCTGATTTTAATAGTGAGGGCGCCTACATACTGCAGCCAGGTCTATCTCTGGACACCTCATAGCAGAGAAATCATCAGAGCCTGTCTAAGTTTTCAACCTGCATGATACATAACGGATGTGGCCACAATTACCAGATAGGCTTCTTCAAAGGAAATTTCTGTTCTCATTCCCCAAGAACACCTGAAATTGAAAAAGCTAAGGACCCCTCATGAACACTGTTTCCAACTACTGCTTCTTTGCACAGTACACTGCATCCCCTGGCTCCTTGCCTACCACCTTCCTCTAGGGTCTTTCAATTGCAAGATGCAGAGTATGGTACTTGAAAGTTTCCAAGAGTTTCATTTTCTTCCAGGAGTTCACCTTACTGCTGCAGAGTAGCTTTTTTTGTTGTTGTTTTTTCCCCTGAGCAAGGGACAGGAGCCCTCAATCATCTTGTGGGAAAATGATAGCATCTGCTTGAGGATTCCAACTAAATGTTTTACTGCAGCTTTTCAAACTGACTATATTTAACTGATTATATTTAAAACTGATTAACTGATTATATTTAAAGCTCCCTTGGGGAATGGGAGCTGTGAGGAAAGAAGCTTTGGAGAAGACCTTTGTTGGCATGAATGAAAAATTGCTCAGACCTCCCAAGGGAAAGAGCTTGTTTATATACCAGCCATCAACATTCCCAAGTATATATACATACACAATATGACTCCAGTTTTAAATTTCATCTCCTGCTCTTGAAGGGTCCTGAAAGGGTTAAACTGTTCCAAGCAAAGGCCTGCACTTTTTCTATCAAAATGCTCCAGATGGAAATTACAAAATTTCGCTTCCAGCTCTGTGGTGCACACACACTGTTCTCTTAAGACATTAAAAAAAAAAAAAAAAAAAGACAAGACCCCTAATGTTCTCGAGAAAGAAAATGTGACTGCTCAGCATACAGTGCCACCCTGTTTCAGACTATTTCTTCTGGAATATTTGCATGAACTGTCAATCTCAAGCTTTCTGGGAGACTGTAAAAACTCAAGGTATAGAGAGGGTAAAGGAAAGGGGCCTTAAATAAGGAAAGAACAATAGCTGGGACTGTATACAGTCATTACAGTCATGTGTATTCACCCAAATACCACCCAGATTCACAACCCTGGTAACCATGCCCTGCACCTTACCACCTTCGCTGCTCCAATCCCAGCAACAAGCTAACAGGCTAGAGGCCAAAGGCTTCAGTTTATGACCATGAATCTGACCAGGGTTGTAAAGAATTTCCAGAGATTAATGTACATCAGCCCTCCCCATACCTGCAGGTTCCATATCTGCAGATTCAACCAAATGGGAATGGAAAATATTCAAGAAAAAAAAAAACAATAAAAATACCAATACAACAATTTAAAATAATACAAATTTTAAAAGCAGTATAACAACTATTTACATAGCATTTACACTGTATTAGGTATTATAAGTAATCTAGAGATGATTTAAAGTATACAGAAGGATGTGTGTACATAGGTTATACGTAAATACCACACCATTATTTATCAGGGACTTGAGCATCTGCAGATTTTGGTATCCTGGGGGAAGTGGGGGTAGTCCTTGAACCAATCCCCTGAGGATACTGACGGACAACTACATATGAAAGCATAATGTAAATTGGAAAGAGCTATGTAAAAAGACTAAGAATATTATTGCTTTCAAGTCAGACATTGAGAGGCATGAACTTTCCAAGGAATGTGGGCACCCACAAACCAGAAACAATGATGGTTTTTAAGAAGAAACTACAAGGCAGGTTGACTAAGGAGGCACACCCCTCATAAAACCACTCTGGGGTAGGGTTGGGGCTGAAGCCTCAGGAGTTCCTCAGGGCACATGCAAGCAGGTGGTTTATAGGGAGGCAAAAATCAAGGGATAGGGAGGGTCCCAGAAAGTCCCATGAGATGAGGGTCCCATTTAGAGTCCATTTGACTCAAACAATTCTGATTGAAAAAACAGGACCTGGGACTCTGGTCAAAGACAGGCCGAACCACAGTGGCCAATAATTAGTTTACTTGTTCACTGACAGAAAAAGAAACTGATGTCCAGAGGGTTTAAGTGACTGACCCAAGATGTTTTGTTACGACTAAATGATCTTAAGCTAGAACTTAAGTTTCATTCCTTACTTATTTCCTATCATTTAATAGCTGGCACTTTGGGAGTGAATATGCAATGCAGCCTCAATAGTCAGCCCAATTCAGCAAAAGAAAGGCTCACAGAGAAGTAGACCGTACCATTATTGAGCACTTACAAGTGCAAGATACTGTTCTAAATAATTTATATATCTCATCAACAACTCACTACTATCTTAGGAAATGTATTTTATTTTACCTATTTTCCAAATAAGGAAACTGAGGCTCAGACAAGTCATGTAACTTGCCTGAAGTGAAAGGCTAGCTACTGGCAGAACCAAGATTTAAACCTGAATCACTTTGACTCTAAAAATTGCACTTAACAACCAAACCAAACTGCATAGCTGTTACAGCAATTTTCTTTTTATCTTGGCATCTGTAAGAGAAGTAAGTCTGGCAGCACCATGAGTCCCATATAACACACAAAAAGCTGACACTCATAATAATTCTGACCCAGGGCTTCTAGCTAGTGGGAGGCAGAGCCAAACCAGATCGCAGGCCCTTTGTCTCCAAATTCTGTGCTGTTCCATAGAGAGCCCAGCTTCCAGAATATAAGCTCCACGAGGGTAGAGACTTTTTCTTCTTCACAGCTGTATGGCCAATCGCCAGAACACACAGCAAGCACTCAATAAATAGTTAATGAATAAAGGAATGAAGTCAAGCTGCCATGGTTTGGCTGTGTGACCTTGGAAGGGCTTCTCATCCTCTCTAAGCCTCAGTTTCCTTATATGGTGAATGGAAGGTGACAATAATATCCATTTCCTGGGTTGAGTTAAGGATTAAACCAGACCATTCATTTAAAGCACTTGGGATGGACTGGAACATAATGAGCAACCAAAATGTAATCTATTATCATTATCATTATTACTATTATTATTCATTGACAGATTTGGGCTCCTTAAGAATTTTTTATTTTTTTCCACCCTGGTCAGATGATGTTTCATAGTAAAGATACAGAATAGAGAATTGAGAGTTGGTAAATCTGCTTCTAGTTTCAGATCTGCCACCATCTAGCCGTGTGACCTTGGACAAGCCTCTTCAGTTCTCTGTATTCTCCTCAGCTGTAAAATGAAGGACTAAACTATTCAAATCAGTTCCATAAGCATTCATCAGGCACCTTCTCGGAGTAAGACATCATGCTCAGCCACCTATAAAATTCTATGATCCTGAATAGTATCAATGGGAAAATATCAGAGCAAAGCAAAATAGTCTGTTTGTGGCAAGGTTGAAGAGAGAACCCAAATAGCCGACTGCATTACATCATCTCAATGAGCAATGTTTGTAAATATCCAAAGTGTTTAATTTTGAGACACTCTTGAGAAATCCTTTGCCAATAAGAAATTGGCAGATATGGTTCTATTAACACCTATCAGCCTTGAACCTTCCAAAAATTAAACATTTAAAGTCACTTTGCACCTTAGTCAAATGGCGTGCTTCTGGAGAGAAATCTGGGAAGATCAAAGTTATTAACACTCCCGATGGCAACAGTTTAAGAATAGGATGTGTTAAAAAAAAAAAAAAAAAAAAAAAAAAAGACATATCTGGTTAAAACTGCAGGGGGGATTCCAAGAGCAAATGCAATGCATCTGGACAGGACATGGAGGCCAGTGGCCTATTGTTTACAAAAACAGGCCTGGATTATGAACAGTGACAAGAGGCCAAGACCTCAATAATAACTCACAACCACACCTCTCTCAATCCCAGTTCAACTGAAGCTATCAATCAGTCAACTCCCCCACCTCTGTAATAAACCTACCAATATTTGCAGCCAAGTGGATAGAAGGCCCCTTAGGGCACCTCCAGCACTGACCAAACTAATGACGTAAAAAAGATCCTGTAGGTACAATGAGGACTTCAGACTACCTTCCAACCTTCCAAGAGATAAGGGAGCTGCCCATTTCAAACTCTACGCCTACCCCCACCCCCCAGCAATCATTAGAGGGGAGCCATGGCCCTTCCCAAGTCCTCTCTGATAGGAAAAGGTCTCCTTGCACTGGTGCAGGGAAAGGAGGGGCCCCTCCCTCTGTACTCTGAAACAAAGGAAAACCCAGAGCTCCAACCATGTGGTGTAACATTCAAGGCCACCCACCTCTTCCACTCCCCAGCTAAGGTCTCAATGGGCTGGAGCCACATGGCTCTTTCCAGTGACTGACCAGGAAAGGACAGTGCCTTGCACAAACACATGCTGCAGCTCTTTAACAGGCAGGAACCCTTCCTATGGGAATTGCTGGTTTAAAAAACGCTATCTGAGTAAGGGCTCTTATTCATGAGTCAAGTCAGTCGACTAGATGAGAAGACAGGTCCTTGGTTTCTCCTAGTCCACATTTTGCTTTACCCTTCACATTTTTCAGGAGAGGGAAATGGGGCTTTAAAAGCATGTCTTCCGGAGCAGAGGGCCACAGCACAGAAGGGTTAAACAATTATGTCTTCCCATTTTCCAGAATCAGCACCAACCAGCTACCCTAACATCCTCCCAACTCTATTCAGATTTAGGTGAGGGCGGAGACCGGGTGTGGGTGGCCTTATTCTCTGATCTCTGATTGTATGCAGGCCGACCAGAGACCAGGCAGGTACAAGGTACACCCAAGGTGGCAATGGACTTTTGGTGCCAATGCCATTGCAAATCTCATGTTTTAATATAGTGCATCCGAAAAACCCCTCCTCTCCCAAGGCTCTCCAAATGGTACACCTTCCCAAGGTTGCCTTTCTGTCTGGACTCCTCTTCAATCTCTGAAACAAATGTCCAAACACCTGTCAGATTTCAGTTGTCTTTCAAGGAAACCTGACCCAGAGAACCGGAGGCAAACTGCCTTTCTCTAAGAGCCTCCTGCCCCTCCCCCCACCCTGTCCGGCTTGGGGGGAAAGGGCTGCCAAAATCATGGTCAGCCCCACAAAGATACTCCTACAGCCCACTGCAAAAATTCCTTTCCAGTGTCAATGGCCCCCTGGCATTGCCCATCCTTTGGAGGTTCAGACCCATCTATGAAACCACCTCTGGGGTCAGCCTGCCCCCATCTGCTCCACCCAAAGAAATGAACAACCTGCAAATCACGGTGGAAATACACGCCTCACCAGTCCACAGAGCATTTGCAGTGTGCTATTTTTCAAAACCCTTACCTTTGACCTGAGTATCGTACTCTGCTATGATCTCCTTATCCTTTTTGAATTTGGCTGGAGACGTCATGTTTTCCTTCTTTCTTCCAAATTCGAATTGTGAATTGATAGATCCACGGAAAAAATCCAACCACCTAAATCAATACCTCCAAGACCGCTTCTCTCGAGGGCAGAAGGGGCCCCCCACGGTGGTCTCCAGCGCTCCGTGGAGCGCGGGCTGCGGGCTGGGCAGACGGCTACGGCGGGCACATGCAGACGGTGGGCGCTGAGGCCGGGTGCGGCGGCGGCTGGTGCCTGTGCTAGAGCCGGAGCCGCAGCCTCAGCATTAGCCGGGAGAACTGCAGCGCCCGGAGGCTGGCCTGGGGTCTGACATCAACGACACAGGCGGGGAGTGGAAGTCCTTCCGCACAACATGGTGTGGGGCTGCGGGGGTGTGGACGCGCCCAGCTGTGTCCCCGGGAGGGAGTGGGTGCTTTTCGGGGTGCCGGGGGAGGGCTGGGCGTGCTTCGCGGTTTTTTGTCGTAGAGGCTCAAAGATGCTGCAAATCAAATCCCAAACGGGAGCCGCAACAGCGCAGACTGGATCGGAAGTCGTTTGCTCCGGTTCACTTGCCTGTAAATGCAGGAAAAGGGGGAGGGGGCGATCAGCCAGAGCGCAGATCCTAATCGCGGCGGGGGTGGGGTAGGGGACGTCGTTCCGAGCCCGCCCTGGGCCCATTCCTGTCCGCTTAACGTCTCCCCGCCCGCAGAGCCTGGCGCTACGAGGTGGGGAGGAAGGAAGCTCCCTCCGGATTTTAAGGCTGAAAGAAAACACTTTGGAGCAGCCGCCTGCGCGGGCTCCGGGCGGGGACTGCAGGAACGCGGGGCACCGGGCGGGGAATGCGGCACCTCGGCGGCCTCCTGAGCCCCGCCAGCGCTGGGCAGCGGCCAGCCCGAGGGAGCCCTCCCGACCTAGCCCCCGACGTGGCCCCAGACCCCCGGCCGGGGCACCTCCCTGTACATCAAAGGGGATCAAAGCCGGGGAGGGACAAGCCACCAGGGCACAACTTTTCTTCCTCTCCCGCCCCTCCTCCCAGTTGTTTTGTTTTTGGTTACTAGCTTCTCTTGGCAGCAAAATGTTGATGGGGTGGGGGGGGCAAATCTGCAGGAAAAAGCCTGCTCGGCACGGGACACATCCAGGAAAACAATGTGGTCAGCTGAAGCAGGAAACGGGTTAGAGGATAGGGTCGGAGCCGGGAAAACCGGGGGGCGGCGAGCGGAAGGCAGCCGTCGCCTCCCTCAAGCTAGGGACGATAGTGACTATAAATGCCACCCCCAATATTTTTTTGACACCCAAGCTCAGAGATCCCAGATATCCCACCCAATCCCAGGCTGGGGATGGGAGGAGGTCGGTGAGGTCGCAGTCCTGACTCCTCGCACCAGGCGGTGCCCGAGAAGATCCGGCCCCGGACGAGGCCCAGGGGGCTGGAGGGACGCAAGCGGGAGCGCGGAGCCCGGCGACTAGCTCCCTCGCGTGCCGCAGCGGCGACCCTTTCTACTTGGTCTTTCCTTTTCCTCCGAGCGCCGGGAGGAGGAAGCTCCCGCTAGCGTCTCCCACTTCCCGCGGCTGGAGGAAGGGGCCACGCTGAGGAAACAAGACAGGGAGCAGAGGCGGCGGGGTTCAGGCGAGCGGGAAGCGGGAAGCGAGAGGCGGGTGTGAGATGGGGTCCTGAGGCTGGAAGGGAGCCCGGGGACAACTGGAGTTGCACACGCTCGGAAGGCGGGAGGCGGCAAGGAGAAGGCTGCCTTAGAGGTGAGGGGAATTGGGGCATGATCATGGGCCGCGATGTTGCGTGAAGCGCAAGGATGTCAGGAACTGTGGGGGCCGAGATGTGGTCTAGGGATGGGAGTGGGCGAAGAGAAGTCCATCGGGGCGGGCCGGGGGGTGGGACTCGGGGAGAGCCCCGGAAGCTGCGCGGAACACCCATCCTCCTGGGTCCTAGGCTGGGACCCGGGCTGTCCGCCAGGGCTGGGAGACACTGGAGGAGGCCGGCCGATGATTACGCGCGATGCCAACGACGACTGCCCTACGGTGGACCGCGGCTGCCCGTGTGCGGAGGAAAGGGAGAGGCGGCTGGGTGCTGGCTGCGCTGCGGTCCGTGAGCCAGGACGGAGTCCCAGGCTGTACAGTGATGGGCGGAGAGACTCGCAGTCCTGAGAAGTATTATGGGCTGTACTGGGAGATTTGGAGAGGGTGGAGGAGGGGCGGTCTGAGGGATTCCGGGCGGCACCGCTAAGGCGATGCCGCGAGCAGCATCCGCGCCCTCTCCTTCCCGCCCCAGCCCGGGTTTGTTCAGTCAGGGCTCCAGCCCGGCGGCCGGGAGGAAGAAAAGGAAGAGGGAAGGAGCCTTTACCTGGCTCTGACGCGACGGGTCCCAGGCCCCCGGTTCCGCTTCCCACTCAGAGCTCTCCTCCCCTCTCTTCCCCGCCACCCGTTTCTACGCAGATCGGTGCCCCAGTCCCTGGAGGAGCCTCCGCCGCCTCCGCCAACTCCGCAGGACCCCGCCGGGAAGTAGAGCCCACCCCTTTACCAATCACCGCCCGTTTTCTATCGACCGATGGGGCCCATAGCCAATAGGAAGAGCTGATACCGAGAGGCCCGGAATGAGGGGGAGGAGCTGGCAAAACTTGGAGGTGTGACTAGCACTGCCGAGGCGTGGTCACAGATTAAGCTCCACCCCGGGTTGTTGAACCCCGAAGTAGAACTGATGGGCGGGATTAAGGTGGAACCGACGACCAAACACAAACTCTTGAGCTAAGGCATGGCCAATTGGGCCGGGGTAGAGAGGAGGGGTGTTGCGGGGAATTTTAACCAATAAAGAGTAGAGGCCGGTGGAGACTGTAGTCCCTCTTCCAATAAGAAGCGGGAAGGGCGTGTCTTGCCACTTTCACTAGGGCTAAGGCAGGGTTTGCCGAAACCTCCCGAAGCCGGCCAATGAGATCGGAGGCGGAGCCAAGCTCAGCCGACCAGAAAGCCGAATTGATCTCAGCACCGTTACTGGGGCGGTGCCTACGGTCTTCAAGCCACTAAGCTCTCGTGAGGGGAGGCCCCGGAGCCTTCCAATGAGGGACTGGGGCTAACTCTAGTTCTTCCAATCGGTGCGCGGCGCTGGCAATTCAAACTGATACCGGGTTGGAGAGGCAGGAAAAGCGGAAGAGGGAGCGAAAACCAACGTGTTCGGTGACAGACCCCAGCGCCGACTGAGCCTCTAAAGCGACTTCAGCTCTGCCCCACCAACACCACCGCGCGCCCGGGAACAGCCGCTCCGGGAAGAAACCTGAGGGGACTGCGGGGGGCACGAGGGACAGCTGAGGGAAGGGAGGACGCGAGAGAAACAGCGCAAGCACGCTGAGGGCCGGGGGTTGCCAGGAGAGGGGCCCGCGGACCCGCAGAGCGGAGGAAGGTCCGGGAGAAAAGGGGCGGGACGGAGGAGAATCCGGGATCGCCTGGCAGAAAAAGAGAAGGGAGTTTCTGAATCCTGGGAAGAGGAGGCGTGGGTAGGGATGCTTAGCCCGAGATCCGACAGCAGGGAACCGGAGCGCTCCGGGGGAGGGGCTTAATGCTGGGGAAGGGATGTCTTAAAAGAGGAGAAGCTTTAAATTAGACGATCGGAGAAGGCTGAGGGAATTGCTATGAAGGGGCGGGAGCTGAAGTGTAGAGGACTCCTTTAGACAGCAGAAAGGGAAAGCCGTTGAGAAGTTCCCTTCAAACTCCACCTGCCTCCTCTCCAATTCAAACTCCACTCCCTTCTCCAAAAGTTAAAAGGAAAGCCAAGTTTGCCACGCTCCCCTGTTCCTACTCAATAAATACTTCTTCTACTCCGCCACCGGGAAAACAGAAAAAAAAAACTAATTTCCTTCCCAATATTAGGACTTAGAAAAGCTCTAGGTCCCGCAACTTGAATTTTAGCCTAGGGGAATCAAAATAGTAGGAGCATTACTCTTGTTTCCTTTTTCAAAATCCCACACCTCATCCTTCCTGCGACGCCATGTCTACCAACATTTGTAGTTTCAAGGACAGGTGCGTGTCCATCCTGTGTTGCAAATTCTGTAAACAAGTGCTCAGCTCTAGGGGAATGAAGGCTGTTTTGCTGGCTGATACTGAAATAGACCTTTTCTCTACAGACATCCCTCCTACCAAGTAAGTCATGCTAGTGGCGGGCAACGGTAGCTTTTAACTAAATGGGAACACTTATGGCTTGGATCTGTGGGAGTCAACAAGGAGGTTATCATTTCGGTGTTTCAGCCACTCCCACCAGTTTGATGATCCCCTTGGAATATATCTAAGTGGGCAGACTGTCTGGACAAAGTCTGTGGTTTAGCCAAGGTGGTCAGTCCTGATGTAATGCTTCTAGTTCAATTGCAGTCATGCGACCACACATCTCTTAAGTTTGATCCCTGGTTCAGTGCCCTGCCCAACCATCCTATTTCACTGAATCAAGTCCGTGGCGTAGACTTTAGGTAAATTCAGGCAAAATTTTCTGTACTGTTGGAGAGGAGAGGTCATTTAAGTTTTTCATTTTTATCCATGAAATTTTGCACCAAAAAAAAAAAAATCCGTTTTCTATCATTATTTGCAATTGGCATCCTAAATCAGATCCGTTGTTCATCAAATTCAGTTTTCTTTCCTCAAAACTCTCTCTCTCTGAAAGAGATGTAAATAGATTTTTATGGGATGAAAAATAGAGACTTAGCCTTAATCCTTATCTCCAATAAAGACTATTTTGGACATTACACATTTGTTCCCATAATTGAACCCTTTTAAAATCTGTTTGTTTTCAGCCACTAACTGCTTTTGGGTGTAGAGTCCTTAAGAATTTGCTTCCTATTTGGTAAAATAGCCATTTTATTTTACTCAAATAAACCTCTTTCTAGCTCTAAATGGTACTTTCCCTTTCCATAATCAACATATATATGCCCTACATGAATCTTCAAAATTTAGTTATTTATTGAAATTTTATTATTAAAAGGAAAGTAATTATCCAAAATATGAGTGGACAGTTATTCTCTAAGTCTTTGGATATAGAGCCAGAGGAAGCAGGTTAATAACCACAATTCATTTTAAATGAATTTCATGATAATGATAGAAACTTTACAAGTTTTTTGATTTACCCAGGTAAAGCTGTGTACTCTTCCTTTCTTGAAATCTTTTCTGAATTGGTCTAAGTGTAATCATGTCTAACAGCAAAGCCAAAGGCTCTCATTTATTGCAGAGATAAATGTGTTATTTTAAAATCTTTTTAATTTTTTTAAATTCTAAGTTAATATTTTACATTTGTGTGTGTGTACATCGTATATGTATTTCAAAAAAGGGAAAACACTAGAAAATAAATCATAGAACCTACTGTTACAAAGTTCTGTGATTCATTGTCCACTGCTTTTTCTTTTTAGTAGCTCATACACAAATCTAAAATATTAACCCATTCATCTTTGCAATAGCTATGGTAAGTAATAGGGCAGTCATAAGGAAGGCTAGGTGAATTGTTACAGGTTAGACCCAAGTCTAGAATAGAATCATGTTTTTCCTATTTTCTACCCTTCTTTGTAGGGGTTAAAATAATAATGAATTAGCGTGCTAAGATGTATGTGAATCAATGAACACATAAAAATTTTTTTAATGGAAAATTTGTCAGATGTTTATGTTGAGCTCACAAATATGAACTGACTCTTTAAAAATATACTATAGTTCTATGTTAGCTTTCAGCTCTTTGGATTGACAAAATTTGTGCTAAATCAAGCGTAGAATTACTATCTGATCCAGCAGTTCTGGGTACATATCCAAAAGAATTCAAAACTGGATCTTGGAAGAGATATTTGCACACCCATGTTCATTAACAGCATTATTCACAATAGCCAAGAGGTGGAAGCAATCCAAATGTCCATTGATTCTACAGATGAACAGATAAACAAAATGTGGTATAGGGCGCCTATAGTTCCACCTACTCAGGAAACTCTGGTAGGAGGGTCACTTAAACCCAGGAGATTCATTACACAGCAATGTGATTATATTTAACACATCTGCTCTGCACACATAAAACTTGTTAAGTTGGTAAATTTTGTTAATTTTTTGCCACAATTAAATTTTTTGTAAAGTACATCTGACTGTCTTTTTATACCTTTCTCTCTCCAGCGCAGTGGACTTCACTGGAAGATGCTATTTCACCAAAATCTGCAAATGTAAACTGAAGGACATCGCATGTTTAAAATGGTAATTTGTGGCACTATTCTGGATAGCTCTGGGTTTGGAAGATGGATATTGACACCAAAGCATAGAGAAAGGTTCAGTGGGCTGCAACAAGGACTGGTATAAAGCATGCAATGAGCCATTGAAAAATTACTTATTACTTAGAGCTATTTTTTAAAAGGGTTTTCTGATGCTTCACATTAGTATATAATTTTACAGTTTTCAAAGTGTATTCACAGTATCCGCTTCAATTTTCAGAACAAGGCAATGTAGGTTAGGGGGGAGAAACACCTGGATTTACAATAATAAAAACCATGTTTGAGGTCTGACCCTACCCTTACTCTCTATGTGATCTTGAGTGAACTCCTTTAGCCTCTAAACTGCTGAACCTCTGTTTTCTTATTTAATTTCTAGGTTATTACTCCTTTCTTTGTTTTTAGAGGGGTCTCATACTGTTGCTCAGGCTGGAGTGCAGTGGCATGATCATAGCTCACTGTAGCCTTGAACTCCTGGGCTCAAGTGATTCTCCTACCTCAGCCTCCTGAGTAGCTGGGACTACAGGCAGGCACCACCAGGCCTGGCTAAGTTTTTTATTTTTGTAGCAATAGGGTCTTGCTCTGTTGCCCAGGCTGATCTCAAACTCCTGGCCTCAAGTGATCCTCTCTCCTCAGCTTCCCAAAAGGCTGGGATTACAGGTATGAGCCACTGCATCCTACCTTAATTTCTTTCTTTCTTTCTTTTTTTGAGAAGGAGTTTTTGCTCTTGTTGCCAAGGCTGGAGTGCAATGGCGCGATCTAAGCTCACCACAACCTCCACCTCCCAGGTTCAAGTGATTCTCCTGCCTCAGCCTCCTGAGTAGCTGGGATTACATGCACGCACCACCATGCCCAGCTAATTTTTTTTTTTTTTTTTTTTAGTAGAGACAGGATTTCTCCATGTTGGTCAGGCTGCTCTTGAACTCCCAACCTCAGGTGATCCGCCTGCCTCGGCCTGCCAAAGTGCTGGGATTACAGGCATGAGCCACCCCACCCAGCCATTCTGTCTTATTAAGATAGAAATTTAATAATCTTCTGTGTTTACCTTATCAAGTTATTATAAAGAGCAAATATGAATGTTAAAGTGCTCAATAAACTATAAATTACAACAGCTGAGAGCTATTACTATAATCTTTTGAGAAGTAGACGTGTTATTATTTTCATTTTAGGAGGATAAAAGTTGAAATTTTCTCATTTAGATGGGGTTTGTATTTAGAAGGGGTTTGTATTATAAATGACAATCCTAATAATTTAAATTGGCAAGCTCTTCTTATGTGCTATTTGATTTCATTCCTTTATTTAAGCTATACTTGTATTGAGGAACTAGTATGTGGTAGTCATTGTTACAAGGGCTGGAAATACAACAAAAACTAGATGAAGTCACTGGCCTTTGGACATTATTTTCTTCTTTCTTCTTTTTTTTTTTTTTTTTAAGACGGAGTTTTGCTCTGTCGCCCAGGCTAGAGTGCAGTGGCACGATCTCAGCTTACTGCAACCTCCGCCTCCCAGGTTCAAGCGAATCTCCTGCCTCAGCCTCCTGAGTAGCTGAGACTACAGGCACGCACCACCATGCCCAGCTAATTTTTCATATTTTAGTAGAGACAGGGTTTCACCGTGTTGCCCAGGCTGCTCTCAAACTCCTGAGCTCAGGCAGACCACCTGCCTTGGCCTCCCTAAGTGCTAGGATTACAGGCGTGAGCCACCGCACCCAGCCCACACGGCTAATTTTTGTATTTTTAGTAGAGACGGGATTTCGCCATGTTAGCCAGGCTGGTCTCAAACTCCTGACCTCAAGTGATCCACCTGCCTCGGCCTCCCAAAGTGTGAGATTACAGGTGTGAGCCACCGCACCTGGGCAACGACATTTTTTTTGTTTTGTTTTGAGACGGAGTCTTGCTCTGTTGCCCAGGCTGGAGTGCAATGGCATGATCTTGGCTCACTGCAACCTCCGTCTTCTGGGTTCAAGTGATTCTCTCACCTCTGCCTCCCGAGTAGCTGGGACTACAGGCACGTGCCACCATGCCCAGTTAATTTTCGTATTTTTAGTAGAGGTGGGGTTTCGCCATGTTGGCCAGGCTGGTCTCGAACTCCTGACCTCAAGTGATCCACCCGCCTCAGCCTCCCAAAGTGCTGGGATTACAGGCATGAGCCACCGCACCCGAAGAACAACATTTTCAAAAGAAAACCAAAACAGGAAAGTTAATTTTAATCATATATTTTGTCTAACCCAATGTATCCAAAATATTATTTCAACATGTAACCAACATAAACTACTAATGTAATATTTTATATTCCATTTTTTGGTCTTACTCTTTGAAATCTGGTGTACATTTTACACTTAACAGCACATCTCAATTCAGGCCAGCCCCACTGCAAGTGTACAACAGCCACATGTGGCTAGTGGCTATTATTCTTGACAGCATAGATCTGGACCTTGGTATGGAAAGGTTTTTATTTTCATTTTTGGCTATTGAAGAGGTTTTAACCAGGGAGCAGAATGATCTGATGTAGCCTCGCTAGACTGTTAGCTCTGTGAGAACAAGGGCTTTGTTTTGTTTACCAGTGTATTCCTAGCACCTAGAGCAGTGCCTGAAAGATAGCAGATACTCAATAAATGTTAGTTTAAGTGATGAATCAATGGATGAATGAATGAATATAGGCGGTAATTAAAGTCATGGAATTTACTTTTGCAATATAGTCTTACAAATAACTGGCACTCCTAGTCCAAACACAACTTTTGTTTTCATTTGTTTGCCTTTCAAGCAAGTTATAATTAGAAGACATATTTTAGGTGGAATGGTACCTTTTACAGTAATCTTTATTGGGTCTCATAAAAATGACTGACTCACAAATCTCACAGAGTAAGACTAAGCTTGAATAAGAATTTTTACAACTCAAGGTATAAACAGTTCATGTTGCTATTTTTTTTAAAGTACTAGCTAAAACATTCCCTGTAGGTTCACTCTATTTAATATGTGACTAGCTAGTTAAAAAAAAAAAAAAATTGTGAAAGACTGAGGTACTTATAATCAGCTGGATAATTCTGAAAACTGTAAAAACTTTTGCAACTTTCTCTGGAGGCTGTAGATTGCTTTATTTCTGAGTTCCTTCAAAAACACTGAGACTAAAATTAGAGCAGCCAGATTGTATTTGGTTTACAGGGACTCATGCTGTCTTCCTACCTCTCCATCTGTTGAAACAGTTTTTAGGTGCTGGCATGAAACTAGAACATGTAAGAACCCAACTTGCCACAGTCCTGGGATAGCAAAAACCTTTACCCACAGAACTGAGTTAATTTAATTTATTTTGTCTGTACAGCACATCAATTTGGGTGGTTTATAAAACAAATCACAACATTATGGCATCTAGAAGCTAACTTCTGAAGGGAGAATGCATAAAATAATACTAGCAGGACAAGCATGGTGGCTCATGCCTGTAATCCCAGCACTTTGGGAGGCCAAGGCAGGTGGATCACCTGAGGTCAGGAGTTCGAGACCAGCCTGGCCAACATGGTAAAACCGCATCTCTACTAATAACACAAAAGTTAGCTGGGCATGGTGGCACACGCCTGTAATCCCAGCTATTCTGGAGGCTGAGGCAGGAGAATCACTTGAACCTGGGAGGCGGAGGTTGCAGGCACTCCAGCCTGGGTGACAAGAGCAAAACTCAGTCTCAATAATAATAATAATAATAATAATAATAATAATAATAGCAAAGAAATGTGAGAATATTTTACTATTATTCACTTAAAGACTGCTTTCCCACTTGATGGTAGAACTGCACCCCCATCCCATCCCAAAGATCTCAGCAATGAAAGTTGTTAGGAAATGAGATCTAAATTATATGGTCTATTTATATAAGCAATATGAAAAGACTTATCTGGCTAGTTATTACATGGTATCTAGTAACATTTACTTTCTTTTCTAGTGGGAACATTGTAGGTTATCATGTGATTGTTCCATGTAGTTCCTGTCTTCCTTCCTGCAACAACGGACACTTCTGGATGTTTCACAGCCAGGCAGTTTATGATATTAACAGACTAGACTCCACAGGTAAGAAACAATTGACTTGGACATTCCTGTAACATTTCTCTATCAATACCTGAGTAAAATTCCCAATAGATCATTTCAGGATTCCTTTTAGATCTTCTTAGCTGGATTAGCTAGAGTGAAACTTCAATTCTTTTTTCCCAGACATTCACTTATGAAAACTATTAGGCAAAATTCATTGTCATTTCTATGTTCATCCTTGTACTTAAGGCCTCAAACTTGGCTGAATTTCTTGGTCTTTTAAAATGAATATTATAATTGCTCTTAACTGCTGCCTTGATACATATTCTGACTCCAGAGAATTTTTGAAGATTTTAGATTTGATAGTCTAATGCATGTGTGTGTCTGTGTGTGTGTGTAAGAAAGGGAGAGGCCAAGCCTAGGGCAATGGGAGTTGAGAGGAGGAGGACTAAGTAACCTCTGTATTTAGTGATGCTTCAGAATAAAAACAGACATTTCGACATCTATGTTAATACGTTATGACAGAATTTTAGTCAAGGGAAATATTTGACACCAAAGTATAAAGTATGTTGTACAGGCACAAGTGGAGATATTGTAGGTTCAATTCCAGACCACCATAATAAAGCAAGCAAATATCACAATTAAAGCAAGTCACACAATTTTTTGGTTTCCCAGTGTGTATAAAAGTTATGTTTACAATATATTGTAGTCTATTAAGTGTGCAATAGCAGGACATTTAAAAAACAATGTGCATACCTTAATCAAAAAATACTTATTCGGCCGAGAGCAGTGGCTCATGCCTGTAATCCCAGCACTTTGGTAGTCCAAGGCGGGAGGATCACTTGAGCCCAGGAGTTTGAGACCAGCCTGGGCAGCATGCTGAGACCTCATCTCTACAAAAAAAAATACAAAAATTATCCAGGCATCGTGGGGCATACTATCGTCCCAGCTACCCAGGAGGCTGAGGTGGGAGGATCACTTGAATTTGGGAGGTAGAGGCTGAAGTGAGCTGTGATCATGCCAGTGCATTTCAGCCTGGGCAACAATATGAGACCCTGTCTCAAAAAAGAAAAAAAAATGCTTTATTGCTAAAAACTGCTAATGATCATCTGAACCTTCAGCAAGTCATAATCTTTTTGCTGGTGGAGGGTCTTGCCTTGATGTTGATGACTGCAAACTGATCAGGGTGGTGGTTGCTGGAGGTTAGGATGGCTGTGGCAGTTTCTTAAAATAAGACAACAATGAGGTTTGCCGCATGGATTGACTCTTCCTTTCACAAAAGATTTCTCTGTAGCATGTGATGCCATTTGATAGAATTTTACACATAGTAGAACCTCTTTCAAAATTGGAGTCAATCCTCTCAAATTCTGCTACTACTTTACCAACTATGTTTATGTAATATTCTAAATCCTTTGTTTTCATTTCAACAATATTTACAGCATCTTCATCAAGAGTAGATTTCACCTCAAGAAACCATTTTCTTTGCTCATCCATAAAAAGCAACTCTTCATCCATTAAAGTTTCATCATGAGATTGCAGCAATGCAGTCACGTCTTCAGGCTCCATTTCTAAGTGTAGTTTTCTTGCTATTTCTACCACATCTGCAGTTACTTCCTCCACTGAAGTCTAAAACCTCTCAAAGTTACCCATGAGGGTTGGAATCAACTTCTTTCAAACTCCTGTTAAGACTGATATTTTGACCTCCTCCCATGAATCAGGAATGTGCTTTTCCAGGTTTTCAATGTACTTTGCCCAGATCCATCAGAAGAATTACTATCTATGGCAGCTATAGCCTTATGAAATCTATCTCTTAAATAATAAGACTTGAAAGATTAAATTACTTCTTGATCCATGGGCTGCCAAATAGATGTTATGTTAAGGCATTAAAGCAATATTTATCTCCTTGTACAATGCCATCAGAGCTCTTGAGTGACTAGGTGCATTGTCAATGAACAGTAATGTTTTCAAAGGGATTTTTCTGAGCAGTAGGTCTTAACAATGGGCTTAAAATAGTTAGTAAAACATGCTGTAAACAGATTTGCTGTCGTCCAGGCTTTGTTGTTTCATTGACAGCGCACAGGCAAAGTATATTTGGCATAATTCCTAAGAACCCTAGAAATTTCAGAACAGTAAATGAGCATTGGATTCAACTTAAAGTCACCAGCTGCATTATCCTCTAACAAGAGATTCAGCCTGTCCTTTGAAGCTTTGAAGCCAAGTATTACTTCTCCTCTCTAGCTATGAAAGTCCTAGATGGCATCTCCTTCCAATAGAAGGCTGTTTTGTGTATATTAAAAATCTCTGCCAGATGCAGTGGTTCACGCCTATAATCCCAGGACTTTGGGAGGCCGAGGTGGATGGATCACCTGAGGTCAAGAGTTTAAGACCAGCCTGACCAATATAGTAGAACTCTGCCTCTACTAAAAATAAAAAATTAGCTGGGCATGGTGGTACATGCCCAGCTACTTGGGGGACTGAGGCAGAAGAATCACTTGAACCCAGGAGGTGGAGTTTGAAGTGAGCCGAGATCGCACCATTGCACCAAGAGTGAAACTCCATCTGAAAAAAAAAAAAGGAATAAGAGGCCGGGCGCGGTGGCTCACACCTGTAATCCCAGCAGTTTGGGAGGCCAAGGCGGGCAGATCACCTGAGGTTGGGAGTTCGAGACCAGCCTGACCAACATGGAGAAACCCCGTCTCTACTAAAAATACAAAATTAGCTGGGCATGGTGGCGCATGCCTATAATCCCAGCTACTTGGGAGGCTAAGGCAGGAGAATGGCTTGAACCCGGGAGGCGGAGGTTGCGGTGAGCCAAGATCACGCCATTGCACTCCAGCCTGGGCAACAAAAGTGAAACTCCATCTCAAAAAAAAAAAAAAAGAAAAGAAAAGAAAAATCTGTTGTTTAGTGTAGCCACCTTCATCCATAATCTTAGCTAGATTTTCTGGATAACTTGCTGCAGCTTCTACATCTGCACTTTTTGCTTCACCTGAACTTGTATGTTATAGAAATGGCTTCTTTCCTTAAACTTTATAAACCAACCTCTGCTAGCTTCAAACTTTCTTCTACAGTTTCCTCAACTTTCTTGCCCTTCATAGAATTGCAGAGAGTTAAGACCTAGCTCTGGATTAGGTTTTCGCTTAAGAGAATATCATGGCTGGTTTAATCCTCTATCTAGGTCACTAAAACTTTCTCCATATCAGCAATAAGGCTATTTCACTTTTTTATTCTTGTTTTCACTGGAGTAGCACTTCTTATGTCCTTTAAGAACTTTTCTTTGCAGTCACAAGTTGGCTAACAATTGGGCATAAAAGGCCCAACTTTCAGCCTGTCTCAGCTTTCAATATGTCTTCCTCACTATGCTTAATCATTTCTAGCTTTTGATTTACAGTGAGAGACATGCCACTCTCTTTCACTTGAACACTTAGAGGTCATTGTAGGGATATTAACTGGCCCAATTTCAATATTGTTGTATCTTAGGAAATAGGGAGGCCCCAGGAAAGAGAGAGAGAACAGCTGGTCAGTGGAGCAGTCAGAACACACAAAATATTTATCGATTAAGTTTGCAGTCTTAAGTGGGTGTGGTCTTAAGTGGGTGTGGTTCATAGCACCCTGAAACAATTATAACAGTAACATCAAAGATCACAGATCACCATAATATATATAATAATAATGAAAAAGGTTGAAATATTGAGAGAATTATCAAAATGTAACAGACACAAGGTAAGCATATGCTGTTAGACTTACTCAATGCAGGATTGCCAAAACCTTCCATTTATATAAAGCCCAGTATCTATGGTGTACAATAAACTAAAGCACAATTGAGGTATGCCTATACTAATTATTTTAGCAAGGCCAGGCATGGTGGCTCACACCTGTAATCCCACACTTTGGGAGGCCAAGACAGATGATCACTTGAGGTCAGGGGTTCGAGACCAGCCTGGCCAATATGATGAAACCCCCCTTGAACCTAGGAGGTGGAGGTTGCAGTAAGCCGAGGTGGCACCGCTGCACTCCAGCCTGGGCAACAGAGTGAGACCCTGTCTCAAAAAAAAAAAAAAAAAATTATTTTAGTAAGAAAGTACACTACCAATTCTTTTAAAAAAAAAATTTCTTTTTCCTTGTGTTAAGGTGCTGAGGCACTGAAATACTAATTCTTTTTTTTTTTTTTTGAGACAGAGTTTCACTCTTGTTTCCCAGGCTGATGTGCAATGGTGTCATCTTGGCTCATGGCAGCCTCTGCCTCCCGGGTTCAAGCGATTCTCGTGCCTCAGCCTCCCGAGTAGCGAGATTACAGGCATACGCCCAGCTAATTTTTTTGTATTTTTAGTAGAGACAGGGTTTCACCATGTTGGTCAGGCTGGTCTTGAACACCTGACCTCAGGGGATCCGCCTGCCTCAGCCTCCCAAAGTGCTGGGATTACATGGGATTACAGACGTGAGTCACCATGCCTGGCCTGAAGTACCTTTTTTTTTTTTTTTTTTTTTTGAGATGGAGTCATTCTGTCACCCAGGCTGGAGAGCAGTGGCGTGATCTCGGCTCACCGCAACCTCCACCTCCCGGGTTCAAGTGATTCTCCTGCCTCAGCCTTCTGAGTGGCTGGGATTATAGGTGTGCACCACTACACCTGGCTAATTTTTGTATTTTTAGTAGGGACGGGGTTTTGCCATGTTGCCCAGGCTGGTCTCGACCTCCTGACCTCAGGTGATCTGCCCACCTCAGCCTCCCAAAGTGCTGGGATTACAGGTGTGAGCCACTGCACCGGCCAAAGTACCAATTTTTAAAGGGGATTTATATAATACTTTTTATATTGCCTGGAGCCATTGAGTTTTGTTATAAGACACATGTTCTCCATGTCTAACATCTATTTACACAACAGACCAAGTTGATTTTAAGGAACTTTTTTTTTTTTTTTGGAGACAGGGTCTTGCTCTGTCACCCAGGCTGGAGTGTAGTGGCACAATCTTGGCTCACTGCAGCCTCGACCTCCCAGGCTCAAGCCATTCTTCCACCTCAGCCTTCTCAATAGGTGGGACCACAGGTGTGTGCCACCATCCCTGTCTAATTTTTTGTATTTTTCGTAGAGACCAGTTTTTGCCATTTTGCCCAGGCTGGTCTCGAACTCCTGTCCTCAAGTGATCTGCCCACCTTGGCCTCCAAAGGGCTGGGATTACAGGCCTGAGACACCTCGCCAGCCGACTTTAAGTAACTTGACAATCTAAGTTGACACTAGCATTCTTAGGTTCCTAAATGCATGTTTTAGTCTCCTTTAGAACTTAAATGTATTTTTTAAATATATGATTTGCCTTCACAGACCAAAAGATCACGAATTGCAAGATAGGTTGTCAAGGGTCTTTAAATCCTCCAATTATGTTTAGATTTTTGTAGATTTGATTTTTTTATCTGGGACTCAACTGTGGCTCTCAATCTATCATTTATGGGGTCTTAATTTAAAACTTTGGTATGTTAAGAAGGCCATTTTCATGTAAGGACTTATCTGAACTCCCCTAAGTGGGATACAGTCTCCTAATTTAAGCCTCCAGTTTTATATTTGTGTTGCCCATGGGACACATTAAAGGAAGTTTCTGCTTTGATAGTATTTTTCCTGCTTTACAGAATTCAAAACACAGGGTGGAGATTTTTCAAGTTTGATTTACTTTTTAATATTGGTCAATTTTTCAAAGATAAAAGCCCCACATTCTTCCATTTGCACTGAATCTAATCCATAAGAAACAGATGTATCACAGGATTTCCTTCCTCCCTTCTTAACAGAGAAAGGAAGGTGCTGCTTCTGTCAGATCCAATCTCTTAGTTTATTTTTCCTCCTTTGAACCAATTGTGCTGAGCTGCTTCATGTCTCTGAGTACTGACTCCAAGAATATCAAGCTTCTGCTTTGTAACCCTAATATTGTGATTTCAAGCAAGATTTTCTAGATGCTTGGTATCAAAGCAAGTTTCTAATGGCGCCACAACTGTCCTTGAATCACCTGAACCAGCAGTGTCAAAGGAATGCATAGACAAGCTTTATAAATTCTATAATGTTTAAACTGAAAAGGACTCCTGGAGGTCTGTTTTCTAGGCTAGTCTTCATTTAGAGACCTGATTTCCCAGAACTTTCTGGAGGAGCCTTGGGAAACCTCAGCTCAAATTTCCTGAAATTGGCAAATGCCCTCAGAGTCAAAATGGCTTCAGCCCTCCATTTACATTTATGGGTTCTAATTTTCACTTTGATTTTTGCCTCGCAATTCCTTACAGCTCTTCCTGTCAGCTCTTCCATGACATTTACCTGGAGCAGAACACCATTCATTCTTAGGGTGGGGGTGGGGATGGGGTAGCGTTTTCTATTATAAACAATTCAAACACAAAAAGATTATAGAAAATAATAAGATACACATCTGTATCCCTACCAGCATCAGATACATGCTAAATTCTTGCCAGATTAGATTCCAGTATCTCCCTCAGTCAAGGTAAACAGTTAATTATTTCTACTGTTTCAACAATGTCACACTACACATCCCTGTGTATGTCGCCTTGAACCACCTATGCAAGATGGGCAGCTGAGGAAGGGATGAGCAATGGGCTGTATTTGCAACATTTTTAAAAATTCACAAAATGGAATACTCTCCAGAAGTAAAAATAAATGAGCGAAATCTACACAAGTTAACATGGATTAACCTCAAAAACATGACGAGTGAAAAAGCAAATTAGAAAACAATATGTAGTGTAATAACATTCTATACAAAATTTAAATCCACTAAACAGTAATATATATTGTCTATGTTGCATGCATTTGTAGTAAAACCATGCATGGTGTACTAGCAGTGGTGAACACTGGATTCAAACCAAATCTCCAAATCCTGGCTCATTCCATTCCGCCATGTGGCTGCTATCTCAGTGTATATGGGGTGGGTATCCTGAATTGCTGGATCCTCTTTGTGTCCACACTGATAACTGGACAGCTTAAGATTTGTTTTTCTGGCCAAGTGTGGTGGCTCACATCTGTAATCCCAGCACTTTGGGAGGCCGAGGCGAGGGGGATCACCTGAGGTCAGGAGTTCAAGACCACCCTGACCAACGTGGTGAAACCCCATCTCTACTAAAAATACAAAAATTACCCAGGCATGGTGGCATTTGCCTGTAGTCCCAGCTACTCGGGAGGCTGAGGCATGAGAATCACTTGAACCTGGGAGGCAGAGGTTGCAGTGAGCCAAGATTACACCACTCGTCTCCAGCCTGGGCAATAGAGCGAGACTCCGACTCAAAAAGAAAAAAAAAAAGATTTGCTTTTCTTGTGAAGTTAATTGGCTATCCTAGAGGTCAGTTATTTTCCATTTAGTGTTTTTAACTAATAATGTAATATATGCCCAGAGTAATAAACTTGTCATTATCCTCTACTGTATGTTTAGTCATTTACTGTATACCTGTGCTTCATTCTTCAATATGAAATCTGACTATTCTTTCTCAGTGAAGTTTTTGATTATTCTTTTGTTTATTATAGTGACTGCTGCAACCTGGCCCTAAAGTTCAGTTTAAAGCTCTGCCTGTGGACTGAAACCCACTGGTACCAAGGATTGCAGTTCATATTATAACTGTCTCCGAACCCTTGCTTTTTTTCTGAATCAGAAAAATGGCACCAGCTACTTCTCTGCTTATTGAAGGGATGAGGAGGCTTATTCAGGACTTCTCCCTGAACCCTCCAAAGAGGCATTTAATCTAAAAGGATCTTGTGAGATCTCCATTCTTAAACATCATTAAAATAGATCAGAAAATTATCAGTGTATAGTGATTATGTTATAATGCAGCTGGAGGCAGAGTTTGAGTAAATGGACTCCTGAGAGCCTTTTGAGCTGTAAAATTCTAGAATTCAAGCCCTTGCTTAAAAGGATTTAAAGAATGTTTATGTCCTAGCCCTTTAAAAAAAAGTGTTTGCCAGGCATGGTGGCTCATGCCTGTAATCCCAACAGTTTGGGAGGTCAAGGAGAGAGGATTGCTTGAGCCCAGGAGTTTGAGACTAGCCTGGGCAACATAGTGGGAACCTGTATCTACAAAATAAAATTAGCCATGTGTGGTAGTACACGCCTGTAGTCCAAGTGACTTGGGAGGCTGAGGTAGGAGGATCACTTGAGCCCTGGAGGTTCAGGCTGCAGTGATCTGTGATTGTGAACCGTGATCCTGCCAGGCACTCCAGCCTGGGCAACACAGAGAGAATTTCTCTCAAAATAAATAAATAAAATTTATGTCCTAGATGGATAATATTAGGTAATTTTATTTGCAGTACATTCTTCAATAGCTACTCTTTTTACTGCTAACACTATGGTTTACATAAGAATATTAACATATAAAGTTTCGTAATTTGTGTTCTGAGTTATAACAGTAGTAAGCATTAAAGAATTTTATGATTTTTTATTTTCAGGTGTAAACATCCTACTTTGGGGCAACTTGCCAGAGATAGAAGAGAGTACAGATGAAGATGTGTTAAATATCTCAGCAGAGGAGTGTATTAGATAAATGGAATTATGATATATATGATATACAAACTTTTTTCTATTTAAAAATATATTAATGGATCAACTTTAAAATTGTTAGTTGCCAGTGATCTTTTTTGGAAAACAAAAATGGGGCATTTGTTGATTTATTTATTTTCCGTCTCTAATTAGTTACCTCAGTTTGATTGAAGCCAGTGGAGTTGTGCTTTTCCTCTACTTCTACTTCCTCTCCCCCACCTTTTTCTGCCCAGTGTAGGTGTATTCTTAAATTCAGACGGGAAGATTCTTTCACATATCACTCAGTTACCTCCCAATCTGGGGGAGTTTTTCTTACAACTTGATACCAGATACCATTAATTTTACATTCCTGAATAAAGGCCTAGTACCCACGCATATTTCAACCATGCATATATCAAGTTCAACTGAGTTTTAATAGGGGATTAAAAAAACAAGCTGTTAGGTTTCCATGGGCACTGGTTCTCATAGGTTCTATTGGTGATAACTGCTTTAACATGGAGCAAGAGTTTGTGAATCAGGAAATAGAATAAATTAAAATTTAAAATATATAGAGGAATCCTCTTGATTGCTCAGCATGATGTTAGATAAATGAGTTTGTCAGAAAATATCAGTATACGCTGTTTACCAATGTTATTTATTTACATTCTTCTAAAGCCATTATGGATATTGTATTATGAGAGCTAAACCTAAATAAGTTATCCTGTTCCCTAGGACCTTCTCTGTAAATAGTGAATTTTAGACGAGTAGTCTGTCCTAAATCTTAAATAGAAAAAAAACTAAAGCGATTTGCTTAAGCCATTGTACATTATAAAGAGCTGTTTTGTTTTGCTTTGCTTTGCTTTGTTTTGTTTTTTTAAAGCTGCATTCAGAGCCACAAAGGAATAGGAAAGTAGGGTAGTGTTGGATTCTGGTTTTATGTAACTCTAAAATAAATGTATCTCTTTAATATCTCAGTTGTAGGGATTTTGTCAATACCAAAGCAGACTGAGTTGTGGTTTTGTAAATAAAGTTTTTTCTAAAAATGACCATTCTTCCTTTAATTTTTTGTTATGCCCACATATTGTATGTAAAAATATAAATAAATAGTACTTAAAGTATAGAATATAAGGCTAATGTTTATTGAATACTTACCATATGCCAGACACTGTTCTAAGTGCTTTAGATGTTTAACTCCTCACAACAAACCTATGAGGTAGGTACCATTATTATTCCTTTTTTTTAAAACTGGTAAATCAGGTGAGACAGAGAGAAGTTAAGTAATTTGTTTAAGGTAGCATAACCGGTTAGAGGTGCTCAGACAGAAGACTGACTCCAAAAGCTCCTGCTCATATGATTTATTTATGGTCTTACTTAGCCGGGATACCTGCTGGGTAACTAACTGCATTGTTATGTGCCCTAGATGAGGGCAGAAGTGACTGATTTGAAGGTTGAATAAACTCATGCAGGGTCTTAGGGTATAAGTGACCTGAGGGCATTGAAAGAATCATTTGCCATAAACCAAGATAAAAGGTGCTTCAGGAAATGCTATTACTCCCTCCTGGAAAACGTTTCCAAAAATCTTTCACACCAACCATTAACACTGACAGAAGGCCATCAAAAGAACCAATGGAATGAGTATGGAATAATTTGTTTTGCGATTTGGTTTTTTGGGGGTGTGTGTGTGTGTGTGTGTGTGTGTGTGTTGTAACCTCAAGTTCTTAGGTGAGCATAATCTATAAGAGAAAAAATATATATATACTTCTTTGGTTAACTTGCTCAACTAGAGAAGAAAAGTTTAATACTAGACTAGGAAATGTGGCAAATTTAAAATTCAATAGAGTTCATCTGGTTTCCGTTCAGCTCATGCCTTCAAAGGCTATGGTTGACCTAGGGTCTCTCTGAAAAGCAAAAGCAAGACAGAGGTGCACTGATTGAAGCAAGCCCCAAATGTGATTCTACTCCAGCTGGGGAATATTTCAAATTACTCAACTACCTTTGGTTAACTGGATTATGGGAAAGCCAATTCTAAACAGAAAGCTGATTAATAAAGTTTTATCTAAAGAAATATATTCATGACACTAATGTGGTTTGAGGGTTTTTTGTTGTTGTTGTTGTTTTCTTTAGAGACAGGGTCTCGCTTTGTTGCCCAGGCTGGAGTGCAGTGGTGTGATCATAGCTCACTACAGCCTTGAAGTCCTGGACTCAAGCAATCCTCCTGCCTCAGCCTCCCCTGTAGCTAGGACCACAGGCATGCACCACACCTGGCTAAATGACACTGGTTTGTGGGGCTTTTTTTGTTTGTTTGTTTGTTTTTGAGAGAGGGTCTCGCTCTGTTACCCAGGCTGGAGTGCAGTGACATGATCTCAGCTCACTGCAACTTCCACCTCCAGGGTTCAAGCGATTCTCATGCTTCAGCACCCCCGAGTAGCTGGGACTACAGGCATGCACCACCATGCCTGGCTAATTTTTGTAGTTTTAGTAGAAGGAGTTTTGCCATGTTGGCCAGCCTGGTCTTGAACTCTTGGCCTCAAGTGATCCACCAGCCTCGGCCTCCCAAAGTATTGGGATTACACGCATGAGTGTGAATCCAACACTGTTTTTGGGATTTTTTTTTTTTAGATGCAGTTTCACTCTTGTTGCCCAGGCTGGACTGCAATGGTGTGATCTTGGCTCACCACAACCTCCGCCTCCCAGGTTCAAGCAATTCTCCAGCCTCAGCCTCCCAAGTAGCTGGGATTACAGGCACGTACCACCACACCCAGCTCATTTTGTATTTTTAGTAGAGATGGAGTTTCTCCATGTTGGTTAGGCTGGTCTCGAACTCCTAACCTCAGGTGGTCTCCCGCGTTGGCCTCCCAAAGTGCTGGGATTACAGGCATGAGCCACTGTGCCTGGCCTGTCAACACTGTTTTTAAATAAAAGCAAATTACATTCACTCTGGTAAGACCAAAGCAGAATCACATACATGGATTTAGGATACACCTTCTACTCCTAGTATAATTCCTAGGCCTAGAAGATCCATCTATTCTTTGGTCCTCTTTTAATATTTCATTCAATTCAACACACCTGTATTATTCTCCAATAGTGTGGCAAGAATTGTACAATGACATGCTCACACTTGCCTTCAGGGAGTACACAGTAAGTTGAGGAAAGGATAGAACTCTGTGAGTCCATTTATTTCATTGGGTTAAGTGATTTAACAAAGGCATGCTTAAAGTGCTATGACCCCAGAGATGAAAGAGCAATCATTCTGAGTAGCAGGAGAGAGTGGGAATTGAGCAAGAGAGCATAGGAATTGAGAAAGCTACTGAGAAGAAATGATACTTGAGGCAGGCTTTGAAGCAGTTAGGAGTTGCCAGCTGGGATGAGAGTTTTAAGCAGAGGGAATAGTGTAAACAAATTGATGGGAATTTAAAAGTATCTTGTTTATTTGGGAAGTTCTAAGTTGTCCCCCATACCTTCCAAGACATGTAATAAAAATTAATTCGGCCAGGCATGGTGACCCACACCTATAATACCAGCACTTTGGGAGGCTGAGGAGGAAGGATTGCTTGAGGCCAGGAGTTTGAGACCAGCCTGGGCAAGATAGTGGGAACCCATCTCTACCAAAAAATACAAAAATAAGCCCAGGGTGATGGCACAGGCTTGTAGTCCCAGGTACTTGGGAGGCTGGGGCGGGAGGATCACTTGAGCCTAGGAGGCTGAGGCTGCAGTGAGCCATGATTGGACCACTCTGCTCCAGCCTGCGTGACAGAGTGAGACCCTGTCTCAAAAGTTAAAAAATAAATAAATTTTTTTTAAAAAAAGAATTAATTACAAGGTGAAGTTAACAAGGAAGGTTATATGTTATGAAGAATATTCTACTATACGATTGTAAGTTTAGACTTGGTCCAGTAGCAATGTGGAGTTATTGAAGTTTTTAAGCAGGAGAATAAAATGATCAGATTGAGGATGATGGCTCTGATGGTAAAGTATAATCAAGTTTAGCTTTCCTAATGTCCTTTCTTTGATGCACTTAACAATTTGACCATGGAAATTAAACTTACTGCCTTTACCCTAAGAACCCATGTAGTTCTTCAAGTTCTCGGAATTTCTTGGGTTTCATGGAGCCTCTGGTCTGCAGTAGGGCATTGCCTTTTTTTTTCCCCTTTTCCATTTTGTCATTCTTGCAGTTCAAGGAAGGGGCAGTGAGTCATCAGCTCACCCACCATGACATTTCTGCTACTTTATCTTTCTCCTTAAGCTAGTTTCTCAACCTCAAACTTAGCCTCTGAGGAGGCATCTTGGGTGGAGCCTAATCTTAAAGACATACATTTTAAATAATCAATGGTTCTGAAAACCAGGTCCTTAAATATTAGCAATTGAGAGAGATTACCCAAAAAGAACACTCTTTTGACCTCTGAGTCACATGTGGCTGGTTAAGAATAATCTATATTGTTTAACTTTAGTGAGGAAGTGACCATGATATATAAACCATGATCTAGAAGACAACTAACCACAACACAAATACGGAGTGAGGGGAGGTAGGTGAGAATATGGATCAAATAGTCTTGATTCAGTAGTGAATTGCTCGATGAAAGCTTTCCCTATTTTAACATTCCTGCTTATAAAAGGAAATAGTTTCCTTTTCTGCCTTTTTTTTTTTTTTAACTTTAAAAGCAGCCTAAACCATAGTTTCTTTCTTGCCTGGTATTGAGCGTATGCCAAATCTACCCTAAACTGCACAGATGGAAAAAATTAGTCTATGTCTGTGGTACCTCTGGGGTTGAATATTTTTAGTACCGAAATATTTAGCTAAAGATTCCTTTTTCCAACACTCTCAAAGAATCCCTTTATTGTCATCCAATGGAAAAACTTACTGAGATAGAAATTAACTATATCATGCTTTTGTATATTCCTTTACAGTTTATTAAGAGCTTTCACATGCAGTGTCATTTACTCCTCAGAATAACCTTGGGAGCTATCATTCCCATTTTACAAATTAAGAAAGAGTCCAGGCATGGTGGCTCACGTCCGTAATCCCAACCCTTTGAGAGGCTGAGGCCAGAGGATCACCGGAGGCCAGGAGTTTGAGACCAGCCTGGGCAACAAAGTGAGGCCTAGTGTCTACAAAAATTTTAAAAATTAGCCAGGTGTGGTGGCGCGTGCCTGTAGTCCAGCTACTCAGGAGGCGGAGGTGGAAGGATCACTTGAGCTGGGACATCAAGGCTGCAGTGAGCTGTGATTGTGCCACTGCATTCCAGCCTGGGTAACAAAATGAGACCCTGTCTCAAAAAATAATAATAATAAGTAAATAAATAAATGAGCAAATTAAGAAATAAAATCCTGATTGCAATACCCAGAGAGCTGGAAGAATCTGAACTTCAATCAGGCTTCTCATCTTAGTTTAGGGTTTTCTTCTACCTCCCTGACTCTAAACTGCTGTCCATTTTTCCCTCACTAGCTATAAAACTTAGGAGAAATTTCCTTTGACTTTCAACCTCAAAGCCCAGTTATTTTTCATTAATCAGTTAGTTCAACGAATATTTATTCAGTGCCTACTATGGGCAAAATAGATGCTGGGGCTGCAGAACTAAGCAAGACAGAATTGCTGCTGTCATGTGGAGCTGACTTTCTAGTTGAGGGTAAAGAAGAAAATGAGTTACCATTGATAGAGGGCTTACTGTGTGCCAGGCATTGTTCCAAGTGCTTCACATGTAACCCCTAACTGATGGATCCTATCCTCCCCATAGAGATCAGGAAACTGAGGCACAGAGAGGTTAAAGAACTTGTTCGTGGTCACCCAGCTAGCAAATGACACCACTCTAAGATTTGGAAAGCCCAGAATTAAGTAGCTTAATAACTGTGCTTTCTTTTTCTTTTTTTCCTTTTCTTTTTTTTTTTTTGAGATGGAGTCTTGCTCTGTTGCTCAGGCTGGAGTGCAGTGGCGTGATCTCAGCTCACTGCAACCTCCACCTCCTGAGTTCAAGCAATTCTCCTGCCTCAGCCTCCTGAGTAGCTGGGATTACAGGCACATGCCACAATGCCCAGCTAATTTTTTTGTATTTTTACTAGAGACGGGGTTTCACCATGTTGGCCCAGCTGGTCTTGAACTCCTGACCTCAAGTGATCCACCCACCTCGGCCTCCCAAAGTGCTGGGATTACAGGCATGAGCCACCGTACCCGGTTCTTTTTATTTTTCAATGCAGTTGTCTTCCATTCAAATAAATAAAACAAATAAAAATTTAAAAATTAAATACAAATAAAATGTAAAAATAAAAGTTTTCCATTAGCAATCTTCCTGTACACATCTTTTCCTATTAGAGCTTAGTTGATTTTTGTTTTAAATTGAGATGGGGACAACAACATCACCCTTTTCAGTAAGGGAGATTTGGTTTATCTGTAAACAATAAAAATGCTAGTCTTATACACTATAGAGAAAGAAAAAAATTATGCAAAACTCTTACTTTGCAACTTTGCTGTTCTATCTAGAAACAAAGTCTTTTTTACAAGTCCAGATTTTTATCTTACAAGCAACAAAAGTTTACAGCAGAGTAAATAAGCTCTTTAAGCTATTTGTATGTCTCAAATATTTCATAATAAAAAGTGAATTAAATGACTGCCTTTTGCAAATTGCTCTAATCTCAGCCTTCTTTATAAGCTTGTATTTAAAAATCTATTCATATGGAATTTCAGAAGCAGCCTTGCCTTAAATGAGCACTACTGAATCTTCATAACAAGATTATGTATTTGTTATGTGGAAAGCAAAAATAGGTATCAAATTCATATTCGAATTTTGCATTTTGAGACTTACAGAGGAATGGGTTGACAAATAGCTGACGATTAATTGGATCTGCTAAATATGGGCACCAATGAAGTGTGCCCACCAGAATGCATCTCTACACCTCCGTTCACACAAATCACTTCCTCTGGAAAGGCGCCCGTGGTAAAAGTAGGCATATGGGAATGATTCACTTGGGGAAAGTTGTACCCAGAATATCAAAACAGTTTGCTTTCTGTCGCTATATTCTTGCCGTAATTTTTCTACCCAAAGGAACCACCTGCTATTATGGCTGTGACACCTGAAAAGCTTTCTGTATATTGCAGGAGATTGCTCATGTGTGGGTGCGTTTTCAGGCTGTTCAGTGGTATTTTAAAAAATAGTTCTTTGGGGAAAATATTCTCAGAGACTGGAACATTGCCTTGTCTTATCAAAATTGCTCTGTAGTCATGTTCACAAATACCTTCAAACATTGAGCTACAGATGGAATTCAGTAGAAGACATACTGAGCTAATTTCCTTTGTGTGACATTACTCAGAGAAATCAAGCTGTCAGTATCCTGAAGAACAAGCCCTCAAAGTGAGATGGTGGCCAAAGCCATAGGAAGCAGAAATGACTGAAGGGCTTGCCCTTCAAAACCTTCTTCCCATTCTCCCAAATTCATCTTTTCCAATTAAAATTTATTACAAAAAAAACCCAAATAGACTCAGCTTGTCTGACTTGGGATGGTTGTACACTTATAGTAAAGATGGTAAATATTGGGCTGAAAAAAATCCTGAATCCTAGATCTTTCTTGATATTCCAGAATATATTCATAAAAGAGAATTACTGAAAGAGAGTTTTAGGCATACAGAATTTCATACTTTGGGCGAACTAGAGACAGTCATTTCTAAGTTATGCCTTTGCTTTATCAAACTTTAGTTCAATCATTTAACAAATATTTAATGAGCATCTCTTTTGTGTGAACACTATTGTGAGTGTTACGCAGTGAACAAAGCATTTTTTAAAAAATTCTTTCTTCTATGCCTACCCACAGTGCCTAGGCCAAAAAGCTAAAAGTGGGCTGGGTGCGGTAGCTCATGCCTGTTAATCCCACACTTTGGGAGTCCAAGACAGGAGGATTGCTTGAGCCCAGGAGTTCGAGACCATTCAGGGCAACAAAGTGAGACCCCAGTCTCTAGAAAAAATCAAGAAATTAGCGGGGCATGGTGACATGCACATGTGGTCCCAACTACATGGGAGGCTGAGGTGGGAGGAAGGTCTGAGCCCAGAAGCTCAAGGCTGCAGTGAGTCATGTTTGCACCAATGCATTCCAGCCTAGGCAACAGAGCAAGACCCTGCCACAAAAAATAAACATAAAAAATAAAAAAGCTAAAAAGATTCTCTTGCAGCTAGGGGTTTATATAATTTACTTTTTGCTAGTTATATGCATTTGCATAAGTCTTGATTTCAGAACAAACTTCAGTGGGGAAAAGGTGGTCACAGCACTTTATCCATTTTGCTATCTAAAATTGATCTGTGGTATGATTCTGAAGCCAACAGACTTGTGGAGACTTCCTGATGTCCAGAGCATGACTAAGATAGTGTGTTTCTGAAGCTAGAAAGTGGTTGATGGCTTCTTGATCCTTAGCTTTCAGACTATGGTAGGAACGGCGATTCTTCTAACAGGCCAGTTCTGTGGTGTTATTCTGTGAGTCATTCCTGGAGGCCACATTTACAGCCTGCCCCACCAACCCTCCAATGGTTTTGCAATCCCTAAATTTAGTGACATTTCAGTTATCTCTTGCTGTGTAATAAGCACCCCAAAAACTTAGTTTGGCTGGGCAATTCTGCTGATCCTGCCTGGCTCCACATATGTGGGTGTATTCAGCTGTCAGTGGCCCTACTTTGTCTCACTCATATGTCTAGGATTTTGGCAGGGATGCCTTGAAAGGCTGAGACCTCTCTCTCCTATGGTCTCTCATCATTCAGTAATCTAGCCTGAGCTTCCTTACAGGACGGCTGCTTTCTTCTAAGAGGGTGAGAGTGGGAGCCGCAAAGCCTCTTAAGGCTAGGTCTGGAAGTGACACAGCATCAGTTCTGCCTCTTTCCATTGGTCAGAATTAAACCGAGGGCTAGGCCAGATTTACAAGGAGAGAAAAATAGACTTCATCTCTTTATGGGAGTTGTGGCAATTGCAAAAAGGTGGGTGAAACAGGAAGGATTTTTGTAACATCAATCTACCACAACTGTTTTGAATCCCTTTCTGCTTCAAATAGCTAGAATGGCTTCTGTTATCTGCAAATGAACTCTGGCTGATACAGAAAACATGCAGTGGGACCAGATAAGAGGCTGCTATCAGAAGTGTGTACATTAGCTGATAAATGAGACTTACCAGCCCGTTTCTGGATTATTGTCAGTTTCTTTACTGACGATACCCTATTCCATCCCAACATGTCCTTGTTTGAATTGATTGAAATCTTTCATTTATTTCCACTAATGCCAAATGTGTAGCTGTGAGTATACAATATAATATATCAAGTCTATAATATAATATATATTATATAATCAAAACATCATATTTTGATAGCAGCCTCCTATCTGGTCTTTGAGATAGAGGAAGATTTGGGGCATATTTTGAAAGTAGAGCTGACAGTACTCTGATGGATTGGAAATGAATATGAGAGAAAGTGAGGAAGATGCCAAGGATGCAGTCAACAGTGACTTCAAGGTTTTATGGTAATCATGGTGCTATTTATGGAGATGAAGGACAAGTTTGGAGAGAAAATTCAAGAGTTTGTTTTTGAATATGCCTATTAAATGTCAATCAGGCAGTAGGGTATAGGATTCTGGAGTTTTAGGGAAGAGGTGTGGGCTGTGGATATAAATTTGAGAGCCATCTGCATACAAAAAGACATTTAAATATGAGAGACTTGATTTGATTAACAAGGGAGAGGTGTAGGGAGGGAGATACTGAGCACAGCACTGTTTAGACTATGGAAGATAGATGAGTAGGCTCCATTTCAGTGTATACAGGAATCCCTGGAGACACTTGCTAACAATGTAGATTCCAGGGTCCTAGTCCCATAAATTCTGATTCAGGTCTAATATTGAGGCCTGGCAATCTGCATTGTCAACAATGCAGCTTATCCTGAAGTGGGTAATCTGGGAATATCCTTTGAAAAACACTGAAATAGACTACCAACATCTATGAAAACATTTACGGGTGCTTAAATTTCAGGATGTTTCTTTTCTTTCTCCCCATTTCCTCTCATCCATTATGCATGAAAGACTTCTGCAAGATGCCAAGAGGGGAACTTGGGCTTTTTCTTTTTTCTAATTGCCTTTTACAGAGTGATGGAAAGTTAACTACGAACTCCTGCGGGGAAAAGAAGAGACGATCTAGGCCTAAAAATCGTGTCTACTCTCCAAGAGAGGTATATTCTCCTTTAAACACCCAATTTGATGCCCAGTGGTAACACTTTATGAAGCAAGACCAAGAGCAAAGTCAACATTTCTTTGTTCCTTAATTATAAGCAGCATGTGCACCTTGCATATCTCAGCAAGTGATAAACAGTCATACTCCCCCAAATATTGAATGGAGGGTTGAGAAGATTAGATGAAAAACAAATGCTTAACAGCCTGTGGTAGATTTTGCTTTCCTATCTCTCAAAATTAATGCTGATTAAGCCTCTGTAAAGGGAAAATGCCCCTCCCTGTTTATACCATCATTTATACAAGACTGAATTCTTATTGACAGTGAACCTGTATTTCTAAAATATATAAATATGAAAATATGTTCACTCCTATCTAGTCTGAGATTGTGAATCAAATGTTGTGTTGGTGGTAAAATTCTACAGACATAGTCTCCTCTTTTGCAGTTCAGTGGTTGCAAGAGGGCCTGAAGCTGCAGTAGCCATGTGCTGTAATAATGATTGCATTGATTAAGTGCCAATTACTTCTGGAGACTTTTCAAAGGCCTCTGCTGCAGAGTTGAAACTAGGCTTTCTGTCTGATATTAGATACATCTCTAATGCTAGGTGATGGCTGGTTTGGGATCTCTGGCAATTACTTCTGTCATGTACTGTAATCAACAGCGTGCCTACTATTATAACAAGTCCCCACACCCACTGTGAAGCATTACTCAGACTCTCTTTCCCTTAACCCCCACCCTGCTCACATGAACCTGAGCTTCTGATCCATAGATGATTAAGTTGCTCTGGTGAATCACCCTCAGTGGGATGGGACAGCCTTCCAACCAGAGCCAGATCTTTACCACAACCAAGTGCTTGTCTGGAGGGATGATGAATCCTACGGGCCCAGCCAGAGGTCAAATTACCTGTCTAGCTATTCTGCTGGGTATCAGTCTTCTGGTAGGCATCCTATTTAGCACATGCTTCCATTAGCAAATATTTAGGAAGGACCTATGCTTGCATATAGTTCCCCGAAAAATTATTTGCAACTAAGTTTTGGATCTAATCACCATCATTGGCTGATTTTGCCACCATCTTTGAAATAGTTGGCAGACTGTGATAGAACATTGATGGACTGAAAGTTGAGCTAAAAGAGTGACTAAGTCACCAACTTGCTGTGTGACCTTGGGCATTTATTTCAAAACAAGGGGATTGTGCAATACATTTTCTGAGATCCCGTCCAACTCTAGCACTCGGTGGATTAATTTCATTTTTGCAGTGAGCTTCTTATTCATTTGCCAGAGGCAATTGAACTAATTCACTAGGGCTGCCATTCAAAGTTCTTCAAACTGGGTGACTTAAGCAACAGAAATTTATCTTCTCACAGTTCTGGAGGCTGGGAACCCAATATCGAGGTATTAGCAGAGTTGGTTGTTTCTGAGGGAAGTGAGGAAGGAATCCATTCCAGGCTCCTCTCCTTGGCCTGTAGAGGGCCATCTTCATCTTCATATGGTGTTCTTCCTTTGTGTGCATCTGTCTCCAAATTTCCCCTCTTTATAAGGATAGCAGGCATATTGGAGTAGAGATGCCCTAATGACCTCATTTTAACTTGATTACCTCTATAAAGACCCTATCTCCAAATAAGGTCACATTCTGAGGGACTGAGGGTTAGCACTTCAACATATGAATACTTGGGGGACACAATTCAACCCATAACAAAAAGTAAGTATTAAATATAGGTAAGGAATAAAGAATAATGCCTTGGTAGCCTTTAAGGCTGGTAACTGACAGGGACATGGTCAGCCAGCAAGTAAGCATAGATTGTCAAATTTATGTTGTAACTCTAATGGCTTAAACCTACATTAACACTAATTTTATCTCCACATATGGATATTGTGTAAGAGTCAGCTCTGAATTCTCTTCTACCTGAAATTTTTCAGCGTCGCCCTGCTTTCCAGTGTTATTTCATCTGTTTTTATAATTGGATGTGAAACTTCTTGAGAAAGGGTCCTATGACTCTTTAACCAATTATTGTTCAAAGGAGTACCCAAAGTGTTAAGCAGGTAGGTCATTGTTTAATTAAATGACTCTGTTGAGGTTTGAGTGTGTTTGGCCCTCAGAGGATATAATTATAAGTAGAATATGCTTTCTTGTGCTGATATGGGTCTCCTGATTATATAATGTTATTTATATATTAAGAAGAGAGAAAAGGAATGCATTAGATTTTGATGACTTACAGCTACACATCTGGCATTAATGGAAATAAATGAAAGATTTCAATCAATTCAAACAAGGACACTTTGGGATGGAATTGGGTATCGTCAGTAAAGAAACGGACGATAATCCAGAAACTGACGATAATCCAGAAACTGACTGGTAAGTCTCATTTATCAGCAAATGTACACCCTTCTGACCACTGATCTCTTTTCCAGAGTCTCTCTAGCCTGGAAATCCACTAGGTGGAGCAAAGGATCAAGAATTAGCTGCCCAAGAGCTCTCACAAGCAAATATCAACCAGTACTGCAACTATACCTTTTCCTCTATAAAACCTAGACAAAGGCTGGGGGAAAATTGAGTTTCTGAAGCTGCTTGAGATCAAATGTTCCCTGTTCATTAAAATGGACAGTAGCTCAAGGAATAAAGAAACTCAGATTTGCTGAGCTGGACCTGATTACTAAATACACAGGAGGCACACCCATCTTGGACTATTTCCCCATGGCTTGGCTCTTATTACATATTTCCTTTCTGCTTTCATTGGTGGCAGATGGAATTTGGAATAGACTTCTTATCCAAGCTCCTGTATTTGAAATATCCTGTGCTTAGATCATACATCTTTTTCCCGCCTACTCTAGGCATCCCAAAGTTCTCGTATCAACCTGGTTTCTATTTAAATATATTCTCTTTGATTCCTGGCCCTTGGATTCTAACATTTCCTTCCTTGGATTCCAATCTTGTCTTTTTTTCTGCACTTATGTGTCGGTTAGCTGAGCAGAAGCCAGGTTCTTATTTGAGGATTTTTAAGGTGTAAAAGGAGACTGTCCTTGTTTCCCTATCAGTTCTTTGTCCCTTGTGCAAAGTGTACTCTGTCTGCCTTTGCATTCAAACTGCAGTTGTTAACTGTCCTATATCTCAGTCAAAATCTGCTACCAATAGAAGGCATGGTTCATTACAATCATCATTCCATAACACGCAAGTCCAAACACTTGCAGAGGGAAACTTGAGGTAGGAGGTAAATTCCAAATCCAAAGTTATTGTTTTTCATGGCTATGACTCTGTGGCAGGATAATCTATTGAAATATTAATTTCTTTGTCTACTTTCCATACTTTCTCTACCCCTTTGATCTAAGTGAGTTAGGTAGGCCCTTAGTAATTTCTTACCTTAGAGATATTTTGCAGAATGATCTAGCTGTCTGTAGATAAAACCTGAACTCAATGAAGATAGTATTATCAATGTCTTTGAAGGCAGCAGGAAAAGGAAAGGAGAAAATTTCCCAAGAATATAAGGAAGTTTTCAGTCTATGGGTGAGGGTGAGTAGGACTACACATGGCCGCAGGAGAGTACTGGACTGCAATGGACATGTCAGTGGTAACCAGTATGTATTGACAACTGGCAGGATCTCTGCCAGGCTTTGGTGCCATGTAAGATTCCAGGACCTTGCAAAATCCTTGCAGTGGCGAGTCCAAATAATGACTGAGATTACAATTTCTGCCAATCAAGCTGGATGGGGACTCAGAGTCAGAGTTAAGTAGGTGAAAAGCAAATGAAGAAGTGAGATATTTCTTGTACATCTGAGTTTATCTGAGTTTCCTATTGACTGCACTCAATTAAGAGTTCATCATGGAGGTCTGTGACCTCAGAGCAGTATAGAATGGTGGGTAAAGTATGGTCTCTGGAAACAGGCTGCCTGGGTTCAAATCTGAGCTCTGCTACTGATTAGGTATGAATCCTTGTACAAGTTATTCAGCCTCTCTCTACCACAGGTTTCCCCCTGTGAAGTGGGGATGATAATAGCACGTATCTTACAAGGTTGTGGTTGAAAAATCAGTACCTGACATATAGCAAAATTGAATGTAAACTGTTATTTCTATAGGGTTTTTTGCATCACTATAACGGTTGTTGAAATTTAAATTAATTTTTAAAATACACAATACACACAAATGGTACAAAAGGTTTTGAAAGAGATACAATGAAAGATAAAGGTGTACAACAAAAAATTGTTCCCTAATTTTCCTCCCCAGATGCAACCTGTGTCACTAATTATATATTAAACAAATGAAACTCCTTACATATGTTTCTGTACCTTCCCCCTCTTAACAATACATTGTGAAAATTGTTCTTTGATAGTATTCCATTATATCGATATATTCTAGATTATTAACTTATTGAACTAGTCTTCCTCATGGACTGGTTTTTTACTCTTCCAAATAATACTGCAATAAAATCTTTGTACCTACATCTTTGAGCATGTCTGGAATATCTGTGGGATAAGTTCCTAAAAGTAGAATTACTGAATTCAAGGCTCTGTACATTATAAAATCTGATAGATACTGTCAAATTGCCCTCCATACAGCAAATTATACTCCCGAGGCCAAGGCGGGCAGATCATGAGGTCAGGAGTTTAAGACAAGCCTGGCCAACATGGTGAAACCCCATCTCTACTGAAAATACAAAAATTAGTCGGGTGTGGTGGCAGGAGCCTGTAATCCCAGCTACTCGGGAGGCTGAGTCAGAAGAATCGCTTGAAACTGGAAGGTGGAGGTTACAGTGAGCTGAGATCGTACCACTGCACTCTAGCCTGGGCAACAAGAGTGAAACTCCATCTCAAAAAAAAAAAAAAAAGAATGCCAGTGGAGGAGGTTGTTCACTTTTCTGATGTTTGCCAATCTGTTAAGTCCTCTTATAATTTGTATTTGCATTTATCTTAATAATGAGATTGAACATATTTTTCATATTTTAAAATCGCATTTCTATTTCCTTTTTGAGAAACAATCTGCTATAAAAAGCATTGTTCAGAAGTGACAATAACATATCTGATGGTTATATGAAGATCCTTCCAATCTCATCACCAGGAAAATATGTTTCTGCCATCAAAAGCTTCCTGACAGTTCCGTTATGTGATGTACTCTGAATTCTTTGTGGTTATCCCTCAACTCCACTGCACCAGGGAGCTAAGAGAAGATTTTTGTTTTAGTATATCTGGTAGTGAAAGGCACTCAGGGATCAAAGGATGAAAGTGATAAGATGCTTCCTTGGACACAGTCTTAGATGCAGTCACTTCCTCAGAGAATATGGAGAATCCAAAAGCAAAAGAACATGAATGAATCTTTGCAACCAAGACACCCCAGTAACATCTTTCAGAGGTGAGAGAAGCAGAATCAAATTTTTAAAAATGTCTGAATAATTTAAAAATGATTACCTTGTGCTGTTATACCTACTACAGTTTTTCTGTGAAAGTGAAAAATAAGTGAAATAAGAATGGTTCAATCAAATGTCAGCCATTTATCAAAAGAACCTCAGGGAAACCATAAGCTCCTTTTTCTAGGCTGTTATCTAGAAAGGGAGAGACACCAGGAGAGCTGCACAGTCAGAGCTAACAATAATGCAAGGAAGAAGGAAAAAAATGATCAGAGGGGGCTGTTCTGTCTGACACATAACTATTTCTTTTCCAGGAAGGAAACAGTGCTAACTAGGAAGCCAAATCCAAATTTAGAGATTTAATTAATTTTCCATTTGAAAGTTACAGTTAGGATAATCAGTGTCTACTTGTGGGACACCCTCTCTGCCACCCTAAGCATCAGCACACCTGTGTGTGTAATTGACCTAGAAGGTGGGCTGTTATTCCAACCATAAGATGGATAGAATCTAAAATTTTGGGTATCATCTAGTTCATCATTTTACAGATGCAGGAATCTAAGATGAGAGTCAAGTGGCTTCTCCAAGTCTACGCTGTGGAGAGTGGATACCACTGCTGAAAGGGAAATGTAAGCCCTTCACCTCATCATACTGTAGCATAGGGCTCTTTGCATCAGTAAAACCAGCTATGTGGCTTCTGCAGGGTTCCTATTCAAATATATGTTTACATATAAATCTATATTAGTCTGCCGGGTTGCTGATAGCAAAATACCAACAAATAACACACCAATACCAAAATGTCAACAAATACCAACAACAAACAAAATACCATAGACAAAATGTCTGTTAAACAACACACATTTAGTTCTCACAGTTCTGTAGGTTGGGAAGTCCAAGATAAAGGTGCTGACAGCTTCAGTTCCTGGTAAGGGCTCTCTTCCTGGCTTGCAGTCAGCTGCCTTCTTGCTGTGTCCTCACAGGACATAGAGAGAGCCCTGGTGTATCTCTCTCTCTCTCTTGTTTTTTCTTTCATTTTGAGACAGTCTTGCTCTGTCACCCATGCTGGAGTGCACTGATGAGAACCATAGCTCACTGCAGCCTCAACCTCCCGCCTCAGCCTCCCAAGTAGCTGAGACTATGGGTGTGTGCCACCACACTGGGCTAATTTTTTATTTTTATTTTTATAGAGATGGCGTCTCACCATGTTGCCCAGGCTGGTCTCAAACTCTGGGCTCAAGCGATCCTCCTGCTTTGGCCTCCCAAAGTGCTGAGATTACAGGCAAGAGCCACTGCACCTGACTCTTTCTCTTCTTAAAAGGGCACTAATCCCATCACGAGTCTCCCACCTTCATGATCTCTTCTAAATCTAATTATTTCCCAAATGCCCCATCTCCAGATACCATCACGTTGGCAGTTAGGGCTTCAACATATGAATTTGGGAGGGGAGGGAACACAATTCATTCCATTGCTCTTCCTCTGTGTGTATTCGTTGTTGTTGTTGGCCTCCTCCCCCAAGGAAGAAAGCTCCACAGATTTCGTCTGTTTCACTGACTTTAGTATACTCATCAGCCAAAACAGCAGCCACACCTATATTCAATAAACATTTATTGAATGAATGGATTTACTGAGTGCTTGCTCTATGCCATACTCTGTCCTAAGCACTTTAGATTAACTTTTAGAATCCTTATAATGGCCTTATAAGCTAGGTACTATTGCTCCCTTCATTTATACATGAGGAAACTCAGACATGGAGGGGTTAAATAGTTGCCCTGGTTTCATAGGAGACAGAGCCAAGGTTGTGAAATAAGGAAGCCTAGCTCCTTAGCTCATTTTCTTTTCTTTTCTTTTTTTTTTTTTTTTTGAGGTGGAGTTTTTGCTGTTGTTGCCCAGGCTGAAGTGCAAGGGTGCGATCTCAGCTCATTGCAACCTCTGCCTCTCAGGTTCAAGCAATTCTCCTGCCTCAGCCTCCTAAGTAGCTGGGATTACAGGCATGCACCACCACCCCCAGCTAATTTTGTGTTTTTAGTGGAGGCAGGTTTTCACCATGTTGGTCAGGCTGGTCTCGAACACCTGACCTCAGGTGATCCATCCGCCTCGGCCTTCCAAAGTGCTGGGATTACAGGCATGAGCCACCGCACCCGGCCCTTTAACTCATTTTCTTATCCATTACACGATGCACAGAGTATTATTTTCCCCCAAAGCTACTAGGAGGTGCCGATAGAGTTTAAAATTTGCATAAATGTAAAGTACAATGTTGGCTAATGTGTTGGCTTTTTTCCCTAATATTTCATAGTTTCTAGAAATGTTTCTGATTATAATACCTAAATTCTTGCATATAAAAGCTATCCTGGTGAGGACAGTGTTTCCCCTGCACTGTTGTTATCCAGGCTTATATTCTAGGTGTGTATTACTGGGTCTAGTCCTGTGTTTCTGGTAGCCAGGGGACAGGTTCCTTCCTACTCAGATCCTTCCTAACACAGTATTACCATTGACTTATTTTTCCATTCTCAGAGGCTGCTCATCATTGTAAAAAGTGATAATAAGTAAGGTTATTCATGGCACATGGACTTGGGGTGGGGGCAGAGGGCGGTGGAGAAGATCTTTAGAGGTGTACCAATAGCAAAACATGATACAGCTGTGTTTTGAGATAAAATGTCATCTTACTGGTCAGGATGGAAATTCCAAGAATATTAAATAAATTTCAAGTTTACTCTGGGTTGGGCACTTTTATATTTTATGTTATAATTCTTACTTAACCTTGAGATGTGGGTATGGAAAAGAAGCTGACGGCTCATAGCTAATAAGAGGAAGAACCGGAATTTGAAACCACGTCTGTGTGACTTCAGATGTCTGCTATTTCACTGGCCTGTTATTGCCTTCTTTCCAGGGAGAGCACCATCCCCTAAAAAAGTGAGATGGCAACGCACCTCATCCACTCTTTCAGGTAAGTATTTGCAGTTCTTAGGGATAGGAAGTGTGTGTGACCAAATCAGGAAGCGAATTATGCTACCATCATATCACAATCTGATCAAAAAGTAAAATTCATCAATGTACCAGTCATATCTCTAACCAATCTCCAATTCTTTTTTTTTTTTTTTTTTTTTTTTTTTGAGACGGAGTCTCGCTCTGTTGCCCAGGCCGGACTGCGGACTGCAGTGGCGCAATCTCGGCTCACTGCAAGCTCCGCTTCCCGGGTTCACGCCATTCTCCTGCCTCAGCCTCCCGAGTAGCTGGGACTACAGGCGCCCGCCACCGCGCCCGGCTAATTTTTTGTATTTTTAGTAGAGACGGGGTTTCACCTTGTTAGCCAGGATGGTCTCGATCTCCTGACCTCATGATCCACCCGCCTCGGCCTCCCAAAGTGCTGGGATTACAGGCGTGAGCCACCGCGCCCGGCCTCCAATTCTTTTCTGTAGCAACTGCATAGACTCTCTCTCTCTCTCTCTCTCCCCACCCCCCCAGCATTGAATGGTTATCCCAGACTGAAGTGCAGTGGCACAATCATAGTTCACTGTGTCTTCGAACTCCTGGGCTCAAGCAGTCCTCTAGCCTCAGCCTCCAGAGTAGCCAGGAATACAAGCATAAGCCACCACGCCCAGCTAGTTTTTATTTTTTGTAGAGATGGGGGGTCTCACTATGTTGTCCAGGCTGGTCTTGAAATCCTGGTTTCAAGCAATCCTCCAGCCTCAGCCTCCCAAAGTCCTGGGCCCTTTTTTTTTTCCTTTTTTAATAGCTTTATTGAGATAACTTACATACCATAAAGTTCACGCATTTAAAGCGTACAACTCAATGGTTTTTAAGTATATTTAAAGAATTGTGCATCATCACTGTAATCTAATTATAGAATATTTTCATCACTCCCCAAAGAAATTGTGTACTCATTAGCAGTCATTCCCCAGTCACCACCTCCTGAGCCCTAGACAACCACTAATCTATTTTCTGTCTTTAGATTTGCCTATTCTGAAGATTTCCTATAAATGGTTTCATGCGTTATGTGGTCTTTTTGTGACTGATTTCTTTGACTTAACATGATGTTTTTGAGGTTCATCCACATTGTGGCATATATCAATACTATATTTCTTTTTGTTGCCTGCAAAGTCTCCTTTTAAAAAACCCTTCCTTTACCCATAAATGTGTTTTGAGTTTGGGCTGACCTCTCCAGTGAGCCCAGCCTTGACCAGAGCCTGTTTCCTGGCGAACCAGCTTCCACATGTGACAAGGACAACGTCAGAACAGGACAGACCAACCTTGGGTTCCTTTCCTGGCCGCTGCCAGTAGAAATCCCAGAATTTCTTCGAAGGACAAGGTGTGGCTCTGTAGATGGCAGGCAGGGAATGACATCAGGATCTGTCGTGGCAGGGGCCAATGGCACCAGCTCCTCACTCTGTTTTGTTTTTGTTTTGTGTCGAGTTTAGATTTTTAGATTAAAGGTTTTTACTCAAAAGCTGCTTCTCCTCCGAAAACCATTTGAAACTTTATACAGCTGGCTGGCTCCAGAAGTTTCTGCAACCAGAAAGCTTGATTCTGCTGCCACCTGCTGTCTGAAGCCAGAAACAACTTTGGATAAGAGACCTTGTTCAGAACATGTTCGAGTAAGGCATGAGTTGCAGTTCTGAAAAGGCTTTTTCCCAATGCTATGCTTATATATTTAGGTCTCTTCTTTATGTCTGTATTTTTCTGTTTTCTGCCCAAACGTTCTGATCCCTTGAAAACCCACCAAAAGAGTGTTCCACTAAAGCTTTGTCAATATGAAAAGACCCATACAAGCTTTTTTCCTTTCTTTAATCCGGCCTCAGGTGCTACGATTGTTCATTTCTTTGCTTCTTTCCCTCTCTTACGTCCTTCTTGCCTTTCATAGGCATTTGTTTAGTGTTTATTATGTAGCAGTTTTTGTCAGGGCTGTGAAGGTATAAAATGTGAAAGACTTGGGTGATTGCCTTAGAAGAAATTACACTCTGGGTGGTGGTTATGCCCAGATAGCCAGGATGGCCTGCTGAGCGGTGAATCCCCTAGACTTTTTTCCATGAAAAAAAGGCATAATTCTGCACATATTTTTTACTTTTTTTTTAATCTTAAAATACTTTTTGGCGATCCTTCCATGCCACACAAATCTATTCTACTTTATATAGAATTTCTCTGTATTTATGAATCATGGTGAATTAAACCTTTCCCCTATCAGTGGGCATTGAGATCATCACTGTTTTACTTTTACAAACAATGCGTAAGGGAACTTCCTTGTACATGTCTCTTGGAGGTACCTTTCTAAGTATTTCTTTAGGATACACACCTGGAGGTAAACTTACTGAGGCAAAGGTATCTATGTTTTTCGTTGTAATAGATACTGCTAAATCATTCTTTTCAAAAAGCTGTCCAATTTACGCCTCCACCATCAGATTCAGATTTCCCATTTACACACAGCAAGATGGACACTTTATATTTTCAGGCTTTAGTTTTGGCCAATCTGATGAATAAAAATTGGTATTTCATTGTTTTAATTTGTCTTTACCTGCGTACTTAATAAGATTAAGAATATATTTTCATATTTTTATTGGTTATTTGTATTTTCAATTAATTGTTGATATCTTTTGCTCACTTTTTGTATATTGGTTTGTCTTTTTTTCTTATTGACTCTTAAGGTGCTCTCTATATATTCTGGAATTTTTTTTTTTTTTTTTTTGAGATGGAGTCTTGCTCTGTCGCCCAGGCTGGAGTGCAGTGGCACGATCTCGGCTCACTGCAAGCTTCGCCTCCTGGGTTCACGCCATTCTCCTGCCTCAGCCTCCCAAGTAGCTGGGACTACAGGCGCCTGCCACCATGCCTGGCTAATTTTTTATATTTTTAATAGAGACGGGGTTTCACCGTGTTAGCCAGGATGGTCTCGATCTCCTGATCTCGTGATCCGCCCGCCTCGGCCCCCCAAAGTACTGGGATTACAGGCGTGAGCCACCGCACGGCCTATTGTGGATTTTAATTCATTGTTGGGTTTGCTGCAGAATGGGCACTGTATGTACAATTTCTTGTTCTCACAGCAACCACGGAAGGTAGGTTTTGTCATCCTTGTGAAAGAATTGTCCTATCTGAGCCTAAATGTCCACTGGGCATGTGGGGCATGTGATCACCCCTGTCCCAAGCATATATTTGTATGATCTGATGGACAAGAGACTTTTGTGTGTGCACATATGCATGTGCATGTGTGTGTGTGTGAGTGTAAGAATGGACAAAGTTCCAGTACAGGTGTCTTGGAGGCAGTGGGAAGAAGAGAGGGAGGGAAGGGAGAATGGAAGAAGAGAAGGGAGAATGGAATGGTGTGGTGCCTAGTCTCCCAGCCCAGCCTCAGTTTGGTAGAAGGAGCTGTTGGGGCGTCAGGGGCAGGCAATGGTGTTTTAGGGCCCAGGTGACAAAGCACAGTGCAAAGTGGGAGGAGAGGCATTTTTCCTGTTTCTCCTAGAACACAGCAGAACCACTTGGCAGGCCTGCTGAGCAGCAGCAGTGAAGTGTCAGGAAGGTGCCTCCTCCTGGCAGGCATGGCAGCAGTGACAGTAGCCAGGGGTCCTCCCCAAATATCTTGTCAAGAGAACGTGGGCATCTATGAGAGACCTCCTCTAGGCACCTAGAAATAACAGAGGAGATTCTGTGGTTATGCAGCCAGGAATCAATTGGTCAGCATATTCTTGTGCTGGCCTGTTACCCATGGGCATAGGTGGCCCTGGAACATTTAGCTTACATGTATGGGAGGACATTGAAGCCCAGAGAGTTTAGGTAACTTGCCCAAAGTCTTCTAGCAAATAAGTATTGAAGAAGCCAAACGTCCTACATCTTTGTAACTTTTTTTAAAATTAAAAAGTAAACTTTAATGTCGAAAATGCAAACTGTAACCTTTCAAATATGGCTCCCAAGAGGGATCATCAAGCAAAATCAGAAGACATGATTCCTTGAATATTTTTATGAAGCTGGACCTGAAAAGGATAGAGCATTGACAGATTCTGTGTTAAAATCAACTCCCCACAACAGGACATGTAAAGTCCCAGGAGGCCCATTAGGGGAAAGTGTCACAATTCCAGATTTTTTATGGCTGTGCTGTAGAAGAGGCCTTCCCCACCCACTCTACCAGTCAAGCTGGGACTCCTGCCTCTGCAGGTCACAGGGAAATCAAGCTCAATTAGACTTTCCCCCAGATTCATTCAGATCCAGATGTTATCAAGACCCAAAGATTAAATGCACCAGGCTTGATTCAGAAATCTCATAGATCACTCATTCAACCTGTCAACCAACAATCACCGAGTTTCAAGGTCTCAGGCACTGTCCTAGGCTTGAGAAGGATAAATAGATAAAACCTACTGGTTCTGCCTCAAGAATTTTACAGTCCAGTGAGGGAGGCAACAGATAAATGGATATTTACAGCTCAGCAGTAAGTGCTATGTAGAGGGGAGCCCAGGACCATGAGATCCTAGAGGAAGGTCAGGTAATGAAAATTGGGGAGAGGTCATTTAAAAAAAAAATCTTTTGTTTTTTTTGAGATGTAGTTTCACTCTTGTTGCCCAGGCTGGGGTGCAATGGCGCAATCTCAGCTCACTGCAACCTCCAACTCCAGGGTTCAAACGATTCCCCTGCCTCAGCCTCTGAATAGCTGGGATTACAGGCGTGCGCCACTATGCCTGGCTAATTTTTGTATTTTTAGTAGAGACGGGGTTTCGCCATGTTGATCAGGTTGGTCTCGAACTCCTGACCTCAGGTGATCCACCCACCTCGGCCTCCCAAAGTTCTGGGATTACAGGCGTGAGCCACTGTACTCAGCCAAAAAATTTTTTAAATTGTGTATACTTGAGGTTTACAGCACAATGTTATGGGATACATATAAATAGTAATATGGTTACAGTTATGAAGCAGATTAATGTTTCTATCATCTCAAATAGTTACTTTTTTGTGACAAGGGCAGCTAAAATCTACTTATTTAACACAAATTCCCAATATGATACAGTTTTTTTTAACTTTAGTCTTCATGTTGGACCTTAGATGTGGAGACTTTTCATATTTCGTATCCTTTGACTTACAGTGCCTCATTTCCTCTCCCCACCACCCAATCATGGTAACCACTGTTTCATTCTCTCTGTGTATTTGAGCTCTTTTTAAAATGCCATGTATAAGTGAGGTCATGCAATGTTTTTCTCTCTGTATCTGGATTATTTCACTTAGCCTAATGTCCTCCAAGTCCACCCATGTTGTGGCAAATGACAGGGTCTCCTTTTCTTTTTTTAAGACTACATAATATTCCATTGTATGGGGGGAGCTTCAAAAGGTTCACGGAAAAATGGAATTAAAAGATAAAAATTGAAAATATAAACTATTTCTCAACATAATCTCCATCAAGTTCAAGATGCTTTTGAAAGCAATGATACCAGCCATTTAGTCCATCTCTGAAGAACTGAGGGTCTTGGGAATTTAACCACATCAATGCAGTCGTTTTTACATTATTAACTGAAGAAAAATGGGTGTACCTTATAGGGTTTTTTTAAGAATAGGAAACCAAAAAATGTCAGAAGAAGCCAAATCAGGACTGTAAGGTGGATGCCTAATGATTTCCCAATGAAACTCTAAAAAGATTATCCTTGTTTGATGAGAGAAATGAGCAGGGACATTGCCATGGTGGAGAAGGACTCTATGGTGAAGCTTTCCCAGGGAATTTTCTGCTAAAGCTTTGGCTAACTTTCTCAAAACACTCTCATAATATGCAGATGTTACTGTTCTTTGGCCCTTCAGAATGCCAACAAGCAAAATGCCTTGAGCATCCCACAAAACTGTTGTCATGACCTTTTCTTTTGACCAATCCACTTTTGCTTTGACTCGACCATTTCCACCTCTTGGTGGCCATTGCTTTGGGCTTTGTCTTCAAGATCGTACCTGTAAAGCCATGTTTCATCTCCCATTACAATTGTTTTGCTTTAGGAGCTTGATGTCACTTCTTTAAAATTTGGATTGAAAGCTCTGCTCTTGCCTGCAGCTGATCTGGGTGCAACGGTTTTGGCACCCATTGCGTGGAAAGTTTATTCAACTTGAATTTTTCAGTCAGATTTACGTAAGTGGAACCAGTTGAGATGTCTCTGGTGTTGGCTATTGTTTTTGCTGTTAGTCATCAATTCTCTTCAATTAGGGCATGAACAAGATTAATTTTTCCCTTGAAAATTGATGTGGATGGTCTGCCACTATGGGCTTCATCTTCAACATTGCCTCATCTGTTTTTAAAACAAGTTATCCATTTGTAAACTGCTGATTTCTTTGGGGATTGTTTCCATAAACTTTTTGTAAAGAATCAGTGATGTGATCATTCTTTCACACAAGCTTCACCATACATTTGATGCTTGTTCTTGCTTCAATTTTAGCAGAATTCATGTTGCTCCGACAGGGGACTCTTTTCAAACTGATGTGTTGTCCTTAGTGTCTCTAACTAGATCCTGACCAGACATGTTATAAACAAGTTAGTACTAGTTTATTTTGTTGTGAACAATTTTGAAATCCATACATAGTGTTTTCTTTGTTTGTTTTTTTGTTTTTGTTTTTTTTCTTTGAGACGGAGTCTTGCTCTGTCGCCCAGGCTGGAGTGCAGTGGTGCGAACTCGGCTCACTGCAAGCTCCGCCTCCCGGGTTCACGCCATTCTCCTGCCTCAGCCTCCGGAGTAGCTGGGACTACAGGCACTCGCCATCACGCCCGGCTAATTTTTTTTGTATTTTTTAGTAGAGACATTGTTTCACCGTGTTAGCCAGGATAGTCTCGATCTCCTGACCTCATGATCCGCCCGCCTCGACCTCCCAAAGTGCTGAGATTACAGGCCTGAGCCACCGCGCCCGGCCACATAGTTTTTTTTTTTTTTTTTTATAATACAGACTTTCCATGAACTTTTTGAAAATACCTTGTATGTACACCACAAAACCCATTTTCTTTATCCATCCTAAATGTCAATGGGCACTTAGTTTGTTTCCTTATCTTGGCTATTGTGAATAACATAACAATGAACAGGGGAGTGCAGACATGTTTACAAGGTGATGATTTCCTCTCCTTTGGGAATATACTCAGGAGAGGGATTGCTGCATCATATGGTAGTTCCATTTTTAATTTCTTTAGGAACCTCCATACTGTTTCCTATAATGACTGTACCAATCTACATTCCCACTAACAGTGTACTGTGGACCTGAAACCATAAAACTCCTAGAAGAGAACACAGGGGAAAAACCTCTTGACATTTGCCTTGACAATGATTGTTTTTTGAAACGGAATCTCTCGTTCTGTCACCCAGGCTGGAGTGCAGTGGCGCAATCTTGGTTCACTGCAACTTCTGCCTCCCGGGTTCAAGCAATTCTCCTGCCTCAGCCTCCCGAGTAGCTGGGACTACAGGCACGTGCCACCACGCCTGGCTAATTTTTGTATTTTTAGTAGAGATGGGGTTTCACCATGTTGGCCAGGCTGGTCTCGAACTATTGACCTCAAATGATCCACCCGCCTTGACCTCGCAACGTGCTGAGATTACAGGTGTGAGCCACTGCGCCCGGCCTGATTTTTCTTTTTCTTAATATCACATCAGAAGCTCAGGCTACAAAAACAAAAATAAATAAAGGGACTACATCAAACTAAAAAATTCTGCACAGGAGAGGAAACAATCAACAAACTTGAAAAGCAACCTATGGACTAGGAAAATATAATTGCAAACCACATATCTGATAAGGAATTAATATCCAAAAAATATAAGGAACTCTTACAACTCAATAGCAGAAGAACAAATAACCCAATTTTAAAAATGGGCAAAGGGCTTTTCTGCCTCCACTGCCACCATGGCGCCCGTGAAAAAGCTTGTGGTGAAAGGGGGCAAAAAAGAAGCAGGTTCTGAAGTTCACTCTTGATTGCATCCACCCCATAGAAGATGGAATCATGGATGCCGCCATTCTACCAATTTTGAGCAGTTTTTGCAAGAGAGGATCAAAGTGAACAGAAAAGCTGTGAATCTTGGAGGAGTGGTGACCATCGAAAGGAGCAAGAGCAAGCTCACCGTAACACCGGAAGTGCCTTTTTCCAGAAGGTATTTGAAATATCTCACCAAAAAATATTTGAAGAACAATAATCTATGTGATTGGTTGTGCATAGTTGCTAACAGTAAAGAGAGTTATGAATTACGTTATTTCCAAATTAACCAGGACAAAGAAGAAGAGAAAGATGAGGATTAAATTTTATTTATCTGGAATATTTTGAATGAATTCTTGAATAAAACTTGGGAACCAAAAAGAATGGGCAAAGGATCTGAGCAGACATTTCTCCAAAGAAATGGGTCACACCAGCTCATTGCTGCAGCAGTGGTGGAGTAAAAAAGGTAGGTAAGGAACGTGAGCAGTATGTGGGAGGTGTCTCATGTACTTTACTAGGGAGCTTGAAGTCTTCCCTGAAGGTAATAAAAATCCAACAATGCAATAAAATTTATTTTTCAAGTTCACCCTGGCAGCACTATGGAGAAAAATTTAGAAAAGATTAAGATGAGAGCTAGGGTCTGTAGATTAGCTTTTAAGGGTTGTCTGTTATATGTAAAATTTTGTGCTTGTGTGACCCTGTGATTCTTCTGTGGAGAGGTTCAGAGTTATTGTTGGATTCTCAAAGGGCTCCATGGCCCAAATAGAGGAGGGTGATCATTAAGGCATCTAATGCAACTGTGATGATGAGAACATGAACCAAGACTGTGGGTGTTACGGCCAGGTGTAACTGGCATTTCTCCAGGCATATCATCCTGAGGGTATGGTTGGGGTACAAAATGCTGCAAGCAGGATTATAGTCAAGCACTGCATAGTGACATTTCAGCCAAATGGACCACATATATGATGGGGTCCCAGAAGATTATCACGGAGCTGAAAAATTCCTGTAGCCTAATAACCATGTAGCTGTCATAAAGTCCTAGCACAATGCATTACTTATGTGTTTATGGTGATGCCCAGTATAAACAGACCCACTTGCTGCCAGTCATATAAGAGTCTAGCACATACAGTTATATACAGTACATAATACTTGAGAATGATAATAAATGACCATGTTACTGGTTTATGTATTTACTATATATTTTGTTGTTTTAGAGTGTACTCCTACTTATTGAAAAAAAAAAGGTAACTGTTAAACAGCCTCTGGGAGGTCCTTCAGGAAGTATTCCAGAAGAAGGCATTGTAATCATAGGAGATGACAGCTCTATGCATGGTATTGTCCCTAAAGACCTCCGAGTGGGACAAGATGTGGAGGTGGAAGACAGTGATATTGATGATCCTGACCCTGTGTAGGCCTAAGCTAATGTGTGTCTTTGTGTCCTAGTTTTTAACAAAAAAAAAGAAAAAATTAAAAATTTAAGATAATAGAATAAAGCTTATAGAATAAAGATATAAACAGAGAAAATATTTTTGTACAGCTGTACAATGTGTTTGTGTTTAAGCTAAGTGTTATTACAAAAGAGTCAAAAAGTTTAAAAAATTAAAAAGTTTATAAAGTAAAAAATTTACAGTAAGCTGAGATTAATTTCTTATTAAAGAAAAAAATGTGTTAAATTTAGTGTAGCCTAAGTATAGAGTGTTTATAAAGTCCACAGTAGTGTATAGTAATGTCCTAGCCCTTCACATTCACTCACCACTCACTCACTGACTCACCCAGAACAGCGTTGAGTCCTGCAAACTCTATTTATGGTAAGTGCCCTATACAGGAGTATACGTTTTTATCTTTTATACTTAGTGGAAAAAACAAAAACTGTTGTTACTCTCCTCTCACATCACAACCACAAAAGACTCCTGAGACCAAATGTATGGCGGTTTCTCGCCACCACCAAGCAAGCAGTCGATTCTACAGACACGCTAGCTTGGTGTCCTCCAGTTCAATTCATTCTGATGCTCTCTACCTGGAGATAGTGTCAGATCATACAGTCCCCAAGACTGCCCCTACTTCACATACCTGTCAGAAGTCTGGACCTCTGGAACTTCTGACCAACTGGCTTTAAGTTGAGATTCCTACATCCTCCTCTTTTGGCTCAATTAATTTGCCAGTGCTGTTCACAGCACTCAGGGAAACACATTTATATATTCTTTATAATACACAAAAAATTATATATTATAAAGAATACCACAAAGCATGCAGATGCAGAGACGCACAGGGCGAGGTATGGGGAAGGGGCTCGGAGCTTCCATGCCCTGCTTGGGTGTGCCACTCTCCAGAAACCTCCATGTGCTCAGCTACCTGGAAATACTCTGTACCCAGTCCTCTTGTGCCTTTGTGGAGACTTCATTGGGTAGTCATGATTGACAACCATGCAGAAATGGGCAAGAAGGGTATGGTCTAATACTAATAGACTGAGTGGAGAAACCCAGCAAGGCCTGTCTGTTCAGATTCTTCTTGGCATCTCTGTGCAGCATTTGTTCCTCCTGGGTGTGAGGCAGGACTCCTTCTGAATTGGGGGTTCTTATGACCTACAGTCAGATAGGGTAGGTAAGAGAATTTCTTTATGGTCAGCTCCAAGAGAGGTGAGAGAAGAGTCCTGCCTTGGGGAGAAAAAGGAGGGCAGGAGGTGGTCGGAAGGCCAGAGAGACAGACATTCTGTTTTCTGAGGCCTGAAGCACCCCAACATTATATAACAAGGGCTATGGGAGTTATGAGTCAGGAGCTGTGGACGAAAGCCAATATGTATACCAAAATATCACATATACCATATTTTTACTGTACCTTTTCTATGTTTAGATATGTTTGGATACACAAATACTGACCATTGTATTACAATTGCCTACAGTATTCAGTACAGTAACATGCTATACGTGTTTGCCACCTGGGAGCAATAAGCAACGCCATACAGGCTAGGTGTGTAGTAGGCTCCACCATCTACATTTGTGTAAGCACATACTATAAGGTTCACACAATGACAAAATCACCTATCAATGCACTTCTCAGAATGCATTTTTAAGTGGTGCATCACTGTATTTGGGGACTTTCTCCTTCCCCACTTATATTGCTAGAGGGTGAGGAGAGGCAGAAGTCCCTAGGGTATCTTTTAGCTGATGTCTTCCATTCTGTTTCCATGTAGCTCCTGACTTTGAAGGTGCTGTTTTGGTATCCTCTCTCCTCCTAACGTATCAGGCTGTCTGAAGCCATCACTGCCCCCGAAATCCACGAGCTACTGTTCTGTCCATCAGCCTCTATACCAAGGCCTGGCCTCAGGGAGCCACCCTCCACCATGAAAATTTTCCACCTCTTCTAGGTACATGGCAGCACTATTCTTGTGCCTGTATTATTTCATTCAAACAACAAATAATTGAGTGCCTACCAGGTATCAGGTACTTTGTTTGGCACCAAACGACAGTGAACTACAGACATGGTCCCTACCCCATGGAAGTTATAGACTAGCAAAGGAAATTGCCTTGTAACCAAGCAATGACAATGCACACTGTAAATGCTGTGATGATGGGGGAAATACAGGATCTGTCGGAGCACAGAGGAATGACATCTAATGCAGACTTAGGAGATCAGAAAAGGCTTCCTGGGAGAAGTAAGATCTAATCTCAACCCTAAAGGTTAAATTTGAGTTAGCCAGATAAACAGAGAGAGAAAACCTGGCCCAGGGAATATACCTTTTTTTTTTTTTTTAATTGAGACAGGGTCTCACTCTGTCCCCTAGGCTGGAGTATAGTGGCATGATCATGGCTCACTGCAGCTTTAACCTCCTGGGCTTAGGCAATCCTCCTGCCTTAACCTCTTGAGTAACTGGGACCATAGGCATGTGTCACTATGCCAGGCTAATTTTTTTAAATTATTATTTGTAGACACAGGATCTTGCTACATTGCCAGGGCTGGTCTTCAACTCCTGGGCTCAAGCAATCCGTACAATATGGCCTCCCAAAGTGCAGGGATTATAGGCATGAGCCACCATGCCTGGTCTGCAGCTTTTATTTTACTCATTTTATGCATTCTTCCCCTAATGGAAGCATAGTTCAAGGGGAAGAAGCCTGCCCTAGCGCTGTTGTTTCTAGGTGCAATTCACAGTATCCACTCCCCTCTAATCCTGTGTCCTCACTTCCCCACATCAGCTGGTACATCCTATCTCCCTCTCCTCAGGGTAAGGCCTTCCCCTGCAGCTAACACTGCTTTGGGGCTGGACCAGAATGAGACCTGCAGATACTTGGGTTGTATTTTCTTTAAATAGTTCCTCAGTGCCCTGTAGAAAAAGGATAAAGAGGAGGACCATCAGCTGCAAAGCCTCCAAAATCCAAGGGGCTTTAACTCTGGCCCCAAACTTATAACCTCTCTCCAAAACAACAGCCTCATAGTTCACTTGACTATCCTTTTTAGAAGGACCATCTGTTGTCATCCAGGCATACCCCTTGGGGTCTTACCTTCCACCCCCATCCCCAAGTGGCTCATCAAGGTATTTACTCCAACCCTATTGAGTACTCTCTGTGAGATTTCTGATTTAAAAAAATTTTCGTCTTTGAAGTTCTATTTCCAGTGATATTTTAGTGCACTAGTCATGTTTTACCCCTCGTCATAGATTGACAGCAAAGAGAATTGTTCAGCTGGTTGGTCACCCCTTAATGTAGGTTCTCCTTGAGGAATTTGAGAAATGAAGAGGTTATAAAGCAGCACCCACATGTCCAACACTATACTCTTCCCATAGGTTCCTCTACTTGTGATATAATTAGCTCTCCCTGGTGGGTCCATCTCTCCCCTGCACCCAGACTGCACCCCACGCCACCCCCTACAGGCCTAGACCTGTCTGAATTAGTTGAGTAAGTATAGATGAGGCTTACATGCTGGTGCCTCAGTTGACTTGTAACCCAATAGAGAAGGGACAGGGATTTATGATTAAGAGGCCAGAGAGGAGGAGCTAACAGCTCCTGGGTTTTAAAATATCAACAATACTAATACTATAACATTCCATTGTAATGTTCTCTATAATGTTCAAAGATCTTCGAATCTTTTTTTTTTTTTTTTTAAAGACAGGGTCTTGCTATGTTACCCAGGCTGGAGGGCAGTGGTGCAATCATGGCTCACTGCAACCTCGACCTCTAGGCTCAAGTGATTCTCCTGCCTCAGCCTCCTGTGTAGCTGGGACCACAGGCACCTGCCACCACACCCGGCTAATTTTCTGATTTTTTATAGAGACAAGGTCTCACTTTGTTGCCCAGGCTGGTCTCGAACTCTTGGCCTTAAGGGATCCTCCTGTCTTGGCACCCCAAGGTGCTGGGATTACAGGTACACAATTTGGTGAGTGAAAGAAGTGAGGTCCTCTCAGCCTTTCCAGACACCATCTACACCACCACAGGCACTGGCTACTTCAGGTTGGGGACCTTTTGAGGATGAGTCGTAGATAAGATGGGCTCCTTGCTAACATGTGTCATTCATTGCCTCAAAGGGTGTCTATTCAACAGCAGGAGCCTCCGCTTCTTCTTTTATTTTTTTTTCTCAAAAAAAAAAGAGGGTCTCACTCTGACACCCAGACTAGAGTACAATGGCGAGATATCAACTCACCGCAACCTCCGCCTCCCAGGCTCAAGCGATTCTCCTGCCTCAGCCTCCCGAGTAGTTGGAATTACAGGCCTGCACCACCATGCCTGGCTAATTTTTTGTATTTTCAATAGAGATGGGGTTTCATCATGTTGGCCAGGCTGGTCTTGAACTCCTGACCTCAAATGATCCACCCGTCTTAGCCTCCCAAAGTGCTGGGATTATAAGCATTAGCCATCATGCCCGGCCCAGGAGCCTTTGCTTCTAACTCCTATAGGGCTGCTGAAAGATTAGTTCCCTGTTTTAGTATTTAATCTAGTCCCTTGTCTCCATTTTATGGGTTGGTAAAAGGAAAAGTAACAATCTCAACCTGCTGTTACTTTCCTTTAACTAAAAGGTTGCTGATTACAACTGGAATACTATATGCATTAAGATAAGGTCTCAACAGTTTCATTTCTACATGAACAAATAAGATTAAAAGGTTTCAGGTTGTTCTTTCTAAGCACCTTTAAGCAAATAATACATTGTGGTGTGTAAAGTCTCCATTCTCTGTAAATGAGAAGCCAAATCAGATAGGCCATTACAGGGTCCACCGGAGTCCCCTTGCACTTGAGTTTGTGGCACAGGTCCAGGGTTGCTGTTCAAACCTGCGTGGGACACTCTAGGGCCAGTGTGGATTTCTTGCGCAGGGAGTCCTCTGGTTTCTTGGGTTGGGTTAGTTCTCTGGTTTCTTGGGTTGGGTTAGTTTTACAGTTTTGTTGTGTTTTATTGCAGGACTGGGAGGCAGCCAGTCAAAATGGTCTCTAGCCATCTAATTGTTGATCAGTTCAAGCATGTAATACAATTTCAACATCAAACAGACAAAGATGAGGTGGAGGAGTGACTGATTAGATGATCTCAAGCAGCAGGGACAGTCCAGGATTAGCTACTGCCACTCCAGTTGTGACTGTGTCACAAGTAGATTCAGGAAGCAACAGGAAGTTGAGATTCACATACCTCCCAGAGAATAGTAAAACAGTGTTTCCTATCCAGTGGGTCATGATCCGTGACAGGTTTACCATGTTACCCTGGGGGATTTACATCCTTAAAAGTGGAATTAATGTCTACTTTGTTTTGTAAAAATCTGTAAAATACATTGGTTTCTCAAATACAAGATAGAAGAATCAAATATCAGGCCTTGAAAGTAGTTTTTTTCTTGTTATATCATGTAGTAAATTTCAATGTGTATTTTAATATGAAAACCCCAAACCGAACACTATAGAATATGTCTTTTCAAGACTTATTTATTGACTAATCATCCTTTTTCATGCAATTAATTTAAAGTAAATTTGAGGAGCATGCATCATTTTTTGAATGGGGAGAAACATAAAACTGGCTCAGTGTTCTAGTAAAGCATTAGAGTAAAATGAACATCATAAATGCAATCCTCGATCATGTAATGAATTAAAGAAAATATTTGTTTTTAAAATCATATGTTATTATATACTTTGTGTGATAGCATTTGTCATTCTTTTTTTTTTTTCTAAGCTCTCTAGTTGCTTTGAATACTCTTTATATTTGGGACTCTCCCATCTAGTGAGTCTGCCTTTTGAAAATAGAGGCCAAATTTTCCCAGATTCCCTTGAAGTGAGGAAAAATTGTGGCACAGACTCCACCAATCAGTGCTCCTGCATGTGATTTCAGTGTGGAAGACTGAAGTCATGAAGACGGGGTCCTGAGGGAATCCATTCAGGTGACAGCAGAGAGGCAGCAAAGATACATCCAGTTTCCAGAGAGAATCAAGGCAGGGGCTTGGCATAGCATCCCTGCCCACTATTCAGCCTGTGTTGAGTGGCAGGGACAGCGGTAGCAGTATTGGTTCTGGCTGCTCAGCCTCTATGCTTGGTTTTCTGGTTGTGTCTCCTAGAGATTATGCTAATAGCCTTTTAATACAGTGGTCCTTCAACATTTTATGTGCGCACTCCCAAAACAAATGTAATGAAGCTGGCTTTCTAGAGTGTTCAGGTCATTACACAGTAGTTTACAGCTTAGGAACATTTTGTTCTACATAAGTAAATGTTCTACTGTTAAAAATGTAGTTTAATCTATCTTGTGGAAATAAATAGCAAAAGGAAAGGCAGGTGTTGAAGCTCTGGTAAGTGTGCTGATTACAAAAGATACAGTAATTATTATTTAAGTGCATTATTTTCAGTTGAATTCACAACATATCTCCATTGAATTAATCTAAATCTAGTAAGTACATACTTTGAATGACTAAACCCACAAAGTGGTTGATGAGGAACAGCAGGAGAATGTGTCCAAGTAAAAACTGAGTATGGTTTTATGACATCAATAAGCTTTTGGCCAAAATTAATGACAATTTTTTTACAAGTCTAAAGGAGCATTTATGGAAATATAGAATGCCACTACCTACTTTCAATTGCTTTTGCTAACTTGAAGATATAATGTTGATCTGTTGGAAGTAAATGTGTGACCTCACCTTCTCTTTGAAGTAATGCAAAATAGGCAGGGCATAGTGGCTCACACCTGTAATCCTAGCATTTTGGGAGGCTAAGGCAGGAGGATTGCTTGCGCCCAGGAGTTTGAGGCCAGGAGTTTGCAACATAGCTAGACCCCATTTCAAAAAAAAAATAAAATAAAATACAGTAAAATAAAAATGTAACAATGCAAAATACTCAGCTGACACATGGGTGAACACAAGTGAAATTTTATAGCATGTTGTTATTCTCTGACATGCTTCAGACAAAATTTAAATATCTTAATTCTAAGATGGATAAAAAGACAGGAAGGAAAGGAGGCAGGGAGGTGGATAAGGCACAGAGTCTTGTCATAAGTTTGTCTCCAGGATGGAATGAGCTCTGATAAGTTCTGTATTTTGTACTGAGCCTCTCTACTTTGCCCTCTCAGAACTCTCCTATAGTAGCAATGCATTATTTGATCATAATTAGGCAATGCAAAAGGCAAGACCCTTCAACAAAATTTGCCATAACCCCTGCCACTTCACTCCTCAATGTACATGAATTCAGGATGTCCCCAAATACCTTGTTTCTATATTATGCTGCACCCTTATCAAAAATATAAACACAAAAACATGTAGCCTTAGTGTAGGATTACAATTTCTTGACTAAAGGAGGCTTCCATATATTGAGTTGTTCTACAATATTATGCTGCAGGTAATTACACCCCAATGGAATGCCCCATAATTAAATTCAGGAAGCCTTAAACATGTGATAATCATTTATTCATTCATTCATTTTTAATAAAATGGAGAATGGGAATTGTGAAAGAGGAGGTGGAAATGATGAGACAGTATGACACCTTGACCTCACATATGCAATAAGACATATTAATTTTAAGAAACAGGCTGGGCGCAGAGGCTCACGCCTGTAATTCTAGCACTTTGGGAGGCCAAGGTGGGCGGATCATGAGGTCAGGAATTAGAGACAAGCCTGGCCAACATGGTGAAACCCTGTCTCTACTAAAAATACAAAAAAATTAGCTGGGTGTGGTGGCACACGCCTGTAGTCCCAGCTACTCGGGAGGCTGAGGCAGAAGAATTGCTTGAACCCGGGAGGCAGAGGTTGCAGTGAGCTGAGATTGCGCCATTGCACTCCAGCACTCCAGCCTGGGCAATAGAGGGAGACTCCATCTCGAAAAAAAAAAAAAAAAAAAAAAAAGGCTGGGCACGGTGGCTCACACCTGTAATCCCAGCACTTTGGGAGGCCAAGGCAGGCGGATCATGAGGTCAGGAGATCGAGACCATCCTGGCTAACATGGCGAAACCCCGTCTCTACTAAAAAAAAAAAAAAAAAAAAAAAAAAAAAAAAATTAGCCGGGCATGGTGGCGGGCGCCTGTAGTCCCAGCTACTCAGGAGGCTGAGGCAGGAGAATGGCGTGAACCCGGGAGGCGGTGCTTGCAGTGAGCTGAGATCGCACCACTGCACTCCAGCCTAGGCAACAGAGCAAGACTCCGTATCAAAAAAAAAAAAGAAAGAAAGAAAGAAAAAAAAATTGGTGATTTAGGCATTTGGAGAATGCATGCAATAAAGGAGCTTCTGGCCTGAGGAGCTATGGGGTTGATGTTAGGTTTCAGTAACATGGAGAATGCAGAGAGAAGAAATTGCTTTTATTTTTGTTTTTGTTTTTTTGAGAGAGTCTCTCTCAGTTGCCCAGGCTGGAGTGCAGTGGCGAGATCTCTGCTCACTGCAACCTCCGCCTCTCAGGTTCAAGCAATTCTCCTGCCTCAGCCTCCCAAGTAGCTGGGATCATAGGCACCTGCCACCATACCCAGCTAATTTTTTGTATTTTTAGTAGAGACGGGGTTTCACCATGTTGGCTGGGCTGGTCTCGAACTCCTGACTTCAAGTTATTCACCCACCTCGGCCTCCCAAAGTGCTGGGATTACAGGCATCAGCCACCACGCCCAGGCAGAAATTGCTTTTGAAAGCAAAAAGATGCATAAAGTCCCTCCCAACATTAAAAATTGAGATTCCTGTTCTCTACCTAGGAGAACACATCCACCAGTTGTTATTACTCTCATCAGTAAAGGGTCTCAGCTGGAGAAACTTGTGAGTAAGCCCTCAGCAAATCGATAAGGAAAACGAAAGGCAGGGAATTTGATGAGATCTTCCCAGGGGTTAGGGAGAAAAGAAGAGGGCTGAGACAGGCACCCTGGGCAAGCAGGAACATTGATGGGAGTTGGTAGATTAGGAGAATACCAAGAGACAGAGGATAGCTGGAAAGGGATGAGGACCACCAGAAGAGAGTATGTCCCAAGGAGGCAAAGGAGGTGTCAACAGGGTCATATTGGGCACTGAAGTTCAGAAATAATGATTATAACTTAACATTCCTTAAGCTCAGTGACTGCTGACTATGCTTGATATTTTATGTCTTACACATCACCACAACAATCCTGCAAGGAAGGCAGATGTTTTATCATTCTCACTTTACAGACTAGGAAGCTTTGAGTATTTTGCCCAAGTTCCCCAAACTATTAAGTGTCAGGGCCAGGGACTTTGTCCAAAGTGCTAGGTCTTCCAAAGTTCATGTGCTTGGGCAGAAAACAGCCACCAAGAAGCTTGTACTGGAAACTCAGAGAGGAAATGACAGGAGGCATTGTGACACACAGGGTTGAGGGCCTCACTGCTTCTCCTGACTTCTCTACCTTTTCAGACAGCATTCTGCTCAGGTTCTAACAAGCTTACCCTCTCCTACCTGTTTTAGCAGTTCCTCCCAGATTCATTTATCCTTCCAGTTCCCCGTGAAATTCTGAGTGCCGTCAGAATGAGCATTTTGCCTTGTTCATCTCTCCAAGTCAGCATCCTGGAGCATAGCAGATGATCAGGAAATGCCTGATTGCCCTAATTCCACTGGCCTCTGAATTCTCACTCAAAAGGGCATAATACCCAGGCCCCTCCTAGGTTTCAAAGAATTCTCAGGAATTTGCAGGCCAGAAGCAAGTATAGCCTGGACTCTGGAAGGAACTTCCTCCAGGTTGGCCCGAGAAGAGGGAGAGGTAGCTGCCCTAAGCTGTACCCCTTGCCTACAAGTTGCTACAGTCCACCATCAGGATAGTTGTGTAGCCTTAGCTGAAGGCAGAGTTCCCCTCAGTGCTCGAAGATAAATACTTTAGAAAGGAGTGCACATCTGTGGTAGACTGAATAATAGCCACACAGAGATATCCACATCCCAATCCTTGGACTCTGTGAATATGTTACCTTATATGGCAAAGGGACTTTGCAAATGTGAACAAATTAAGGACCTTGAGATAAAGAACTTATCCTGGATTATTGAGATGAGCCCTTAATATAATCACATGAATCCTTAGAGAGATGAGAGGGTCAATCAGGGAGAAGGGGGTGTGATGACAGAAGCAGACATTAGAGTGATCTGTCCAGGTGCTAAAAAATGCCAGTTTCTAGAAGCTGGAAGAGTCAAAAAGTGGATTATATACCTGGAGCCTCCAGAACAAACCAGTCCTTCAGACATTTGTTTTAGCCCCTTAAAACTTATGTTGGGCTTCTGACCTCCAGAATGATAAGAGAATAAATTTGTGTGGTTTTTTTCGTTTTGTTTGGTTTCATGTTTTTTTTTTTTTGAGACAGAGTTTCGCTCTTGTTGCCCAGTCTGGAGTGCAATGGTGTGATGTCGGTTCACTGCATCCTCTGCCTCCCAGGTTCAAGCAATTCTCCCGCCTTAGCTTCCTGAGTAGCTGGGATTACAGGCACGCGTCACCACACCCGACTAATTTTTGTGTTTTTAGTAGAGACGGGTTTTCACCATGTTGGTCAGGCTGGTCTCGAACTCCTGACCTCGGGTGATCCACCCGCCTTGGCCTCCCAAAGTGCTGGGATTACAGGCATGAGCCACCACACCCGGCAAATTTGTGTTGTTTTAAACCACTAAGTTTATGGTAACTTATTAATGCAACACTAGGAAATGAATACACCGTTCTTACAAAAGTCACTAGGCTCTTTTTATTTGACAGGGGCGGGGGGGCGGGGGGAGATCTGAGTGTCATCAGGAGCAGAGTATAAGGTATACTTGGAGGGAAAGAGGAAAGGAAGTGGGCAGCAGAGGTACAAAGGAGATCAGGAATGGGAAGTCGGGGGCCCCACAGTGAACCTTTCCTTACGGCTGACTAGGCTCCTTCATGGGCCTGCCCAGCCTCCTTCACCTGCTCAGCCCAGAATTTGTAGAGAGATCTGTCGTCTTTGCAAGTGGCACTGAGCTCTCCTAGACAATTGCTGGCCTCCCCCAGCCATGGACCTCTGTAGAGCTCCCTGGGGTCATCCAGGGCAGGAGGGTGACAGGCTGGCTTCACCGTGGTCATATAGCAGAAGTGGCAAGCTCTTCTTGCTCTTGAGGAAAGCTCACACCTAGATTGTTGCAAGGATGTTGTACAGGTTGAGCATCCCTAATCTGAAGATCCGAAACCCTATGCTCCAAAATCTGAACAATTTTGAGCACTAATGTGGTGCCTCGGTGGAAAATTCCACACCTGACCTCACACAACGGGTCATACAATGCACAGTATTTCCCCCAAGGAAATAAAAGGCCCTCCCAGCCCCTTTCCACTGAGATATATCTTTTCTGCACATGCCCGGTTTCCCCAACGTGCACACACCCACAAAGGGTCATAAAATGGCATGTGTGCAGGCCAGTGTCGTCAACAGCACGTTCCCCATAATGCCCCATGTAGGAGCCAAGACCTACGTGCCTTACTCACTGTGGGGTTTTTTTGCTTATTCTCTGCTCTGTGGTATAAAGATATTGTTGAAAATATCAAAAAGGCCTGCAGATACCCCATGAGTAACAGTGATTTTAAAAGAGAAAAAGCAAGGCCAGGCGCGGTGGCTCATGCCTGTAATCCCGGCAATTTGGGAGGCCGAGGTGGCTGGATCACTTGAGGTCAGGAGTTCAAGACCAGCCTAACCAACATGGTGAAACCCCGTCTCTACTAAAAATACAAAAATTAGCCAGGCGTGGTGGCACATGCCTGTAGTCCCAGCTACTCGGGAGGCTGAGGCAGAAGACTCACTTGAATCCAGGAGGTTGCAGTGACCCAAGATTGTGCCATTGCACTCCAGCCTGGGCGACAGAGCAAGACTCTGTCTCAAAAAAAAAAAAAAAAAAAGGGAGAGAAAACATTTATGTTTATCTATAGTACAGAAAGTCAAGTTGTTGGAGAAAATGGGGCACAGTGTAAGTGTGTATAAGGTATTTATGAAACATAGATGGATTTTGTGTTTAGTCTTGGGTCCCATCCCCAATATATCTCATTATATATATGCAAATATTCCAAAATCTGAAACCCGAAACAGTCCCAGTCCCAAGCATTTCAGATAAGGGATACTCAACCTGTGTTAGTTTCCTAGGGCTGCCATAGCAAATGACCACAAACTTGGTAGCTTAAAACAACAGAACTGTATTCTTCCACAGTTCTGGAGACCAGAAGTCTGAAATAAAGTACCATGCTCCCTCTAAAGGCTCTCAGGGAGAATCCTTCCTTGCTTCTTTCAGCTTCTGGTGGCTTCTGATGTTCCTTGGCTTGTGGCAGCCTCATTCCAATCTCTCCCTCCATCTTCACATGGCTTCTTACTCATCTCTGTGTGTCCGAATTTCCCTCTCCTTTCTCTTATAAAGATACCAGTCATTGAATTTAAGGCCCATCCTATATCCAGCATGATTTCATCTCAAGATCCTTAACTACTTACGTCTTCAAAGCCCCAGTTTCCAAATGCGTTCACATTTTGAGATGCTGGATAGACACGAACTTTAGGGAACATATTCAACCCACTACAGGTCCTGAGCACTAAGCCTTGTGGGAGGACACTCTGGAAGCAGGTCCAGACTTCCCCGGTCTTGCCTCTTCAGAACCTGCGCACTCTCCACCTCCAAAAGGCCCTTCTATCAGTCACTTACACCTGAGTATAAAACTAAGCATGATAGCGGTGCAATTTTGACCAACCCTCCCGTGTTCATGAGTGTAGGTGTTGGGGAACAGGTTGTGTCTCCACCTGGGGAACTCACAGCTTCAGGGGCAGGACAGGAAGATGTTGGTGGTCCTTGGCCAGATGCTTCCTATAATAATGAAAAGCCTGAATGGTTGGGCAGCTGGCAGACTGTGGCCTGCATTTACTTGCCTGGGAAAAGCTGGAAGGAAAGAAGACATGAGGCTAAAATAGAGGCTCAGTGTCTTAGTTTCAATATCTGTAAAACAGTAACAATAAATACACATACCTCATAGGATTCGTGCAGGGATGAATTGCTATACAGTCCATACAAAGTACTTAGAGCAGAGTCTCAACATGACAATAAATTAATAGTTATTAGCAATTTCATTATTTTTATGATAAACGTTACTTGATATATATCCTAGATCTTTCCCTTGGAAATATTACCATCATGCTGGGAAATAAGACAAGCACATGGAAAATAATGGGTAAATTATCTAGTCTCTAGATGCTAATTATGTAGAGATTCTTCTAGACTATGTGGCCAAGGCAGCAGAAATAACTGGGTTCCTAGGAGCTTTATAACTCACAAAAACCTTTCACTAACAGCCTCTCGTTTGAGTCCACAACAACCCTGGAAAGAAGAAAAGGCTTTTTCCTTATTTTAAAGATAAGGAAGTTTCTGGTAAAGATTAGACACCGGGGAACGTGAGTTACTCGGCTAAAACATGGCCAAGGTGGAATTTGAGCCTAGGTTTTGTGTTTTGCTTTTCTTTTTTTGTATTAGATTTGATGCTTTAGGAGAAAGTGATACATGGAATAGATACAAATAATATCAATATGTGTACAGTACAGCCCACTCTCCTGACCTCAAGTCTACAGTAAGAAATACATTCACATTGGCCGGGCGCTGGGGCTCATGCCTATAATCCCAGCATTTTGGGAGGCCGAGGCGGGCGGATCACGAGGTCAGGAGATCGAGACCATCCTGGTTAACACGGTGAAAACCTGTCTCTACTAAAAATACAAAAAATAAAAATAAAAAAAAGTAGCCAGGCATGGGTGGCGGGCGCCTGTAGTCCCAGCTACTCGGGAGGCTGAGGCAGGAGAATGGCGTGAACCCAGGAGGCGGAGCTTGCAGTGAGCCAAGATCTGCCACTGCACTCCAGCCTGGGCGACAGAGTGAGACTCCGTCTCAAAAACAAGAAAAAAGAAATACATTTACATTGCCTCCCAGTCACATTCACAGGAAAATAAAAATTGCAACAAGTTTCACAAAATGATAATTACTATTGGTGATATTTTCCCGTTTTATGATTCTTACAAAAGGGCAAAATGAAAGGAAAAGATGATCTCTACCAGGTAAATTAATTGCACTATGGATTACAACTTATAGTTGTGGTTTTTTGGGAGGTTTTTTTGTTTTTGTTTTTCTGGAATTTTTTTTTTTTTTTTTTTTTTTTTGAGATGGAGTCTCGCTCTATCGCCCAGGCTGGAGTGCAGTGGCGCAATCTCAGCTCACTGCAAGCTCTGCCTTCTGGGTTCAAGGGATTCTCCTGCCTCAGCCTCCTGAGTATCTGGGACTACAGGCATGCGGCACCACCCCTGGCCAATTTTTGTATTTTTTGGTAGAGAGAGGGTTTCATCATATTGGCCAGGCTGGTCTTGAACTCCTGACCTCAGGTAATCCACCCGCCTCCACCTCCCAAAGTGCTGGGATTACAGGTGTGAGTGACCGCGCCCGGCCTACAACTTACAGTTTTTAAAACTGGCTAGAGAAAACTACAAAGAAGAAAGTTAAAATCATCCGACTGATTTTAAAAGTCTTCATATTTCTTCTGAATCTTTCTGTGTATGCACATACAACCTGTCTGTCTTTGTGAGGAGGTGACCCCCATATCCAGAGCCAGAGTGGAAGGTATCCTGTGACAGATGGTGACTTGAAATGTAGGTTGAGGCCTGGTGCGGTCGCTCACGCCTGTAATCCCAGCACTTCGGGAGGCCAAGGGGGGCGGATCCCCTGAGGTCAGGAGTTTGAGACCAGTCTGGCCAACATGTTGAAACCCCGTCTCTACTAAAAATACAAAAAGTAGTCTGGCATGGTGGCAGGCACCTGTAATCCCAGCTACTCGGGAGGCTGAGGCAGGAGAATCACTTGAACCCGGGAGGCGGAGTTTGCAGTGAGCCAAGATCGTGCCATTGCACTCCAGCCTCGGGGACAAGAGCAGGACTTCGTCTCAAAAAAATAATAAATAAATAAATAAATAAATAAATAAATAAATAAATAATACATGCAGGTTGAGCTTTGTGGGAGCCAAGAGGGAAAGGCCAAGGCCAGCTGAGCAAATAAAGGAACCCTTCCAGGAGGAGGTGATATCTGAGCTTGGTTCTAAAGAATATTTAGGATTCGGGACATGTTTAGATTGGGGGTTTGGAGAAGATGATGTAATCCAGGCAAGAGGGGACAGCAAAAACAAAGACAGAAGAATTGTTCCTGGACCACATGCAGCATGGGCAAAGGTCAGTCATGAGAAGTAAGCTTTAGCAATGGGGGCCAGTTTAGGGGACCCCAAATGCCAAAGTAGGGAGGGAGTGCTCTATAAACAATGTTGGAGCAAAGGATATGAACAGGCAATACACAGGAGAAGAAATCCGAAAACTATCAAGCTCAGGTAGAGATGCTTGAACTTATGAATACCCAGAACAATGAAAACGAAAGCAATGCTGAGATACCACTTTACACCAGGCAGTCTGGCAAAACTTAGAAAGTTGGATGACCCGAGGATTGGGCCTGGATGTGGGCTCAGAGTCCAGCTACCTTGGTATTGGAAGTCCGGGACAAGCATTCTGGAGGGGAGGCTGACACTCCTTAGTTCAATTAGATATAAATAAAACTCTGAACAGAACTGCTGGTTTCTGGCTTCTCAGCAGTTCTGTTCCTGAGTTTTTATCCAAAAGAAATTCTTATATAGGTCCAAAAGGGAATATATACAACAATGTTCATTGCAGCATTTCTGGTGGTGATGGAGAATTGGCACAAGCCTAGTTGTCCATTGCTGGGAAAGTGGGGAGATAAAATGTGGTGTTGGAGCAACATGAAGTTTAATGCAGATTGACCTCATCTCTACAAAAAAATAAAATATTAGCCAGGCACAGTGGCATGCACCTGTGGTCCCAATTGCTTTGGGAGGCTGAAGTGGGAGGATCACTTGAGCCTGGGAGATTGAGGCTACAGTGAGCTATGATCATGCCACTGCACTCCAGCCTAGGGGACAGAATGAGACCCAGTCTCTAAAAAAAAAGAACATGGATGGCAAAGAGATGCAGGTTGGGTTCTATAAGGGTTGAAAATAAAAGGTAATTTTTTTGGGAAATCAATATGAAGTTTATTTAGGTTTCTTGTTTTTCCTGTTTTCCCTGTGAGCCAGATGACTGACAATTATCCCAAAATTTATATTATCAAAAATGGATACCTGCTTCCTAGCATTTGGAAAAATAAAATAATATGCCCCTGACATGAATTAATGAATTACCCCTCTAATTACAAAGTACAGAATTCTCTCTTTTTTTTTTTTTTTTTTTTTTTTTTTTTTTTTTTTTTTTTTTTTTTTTTTTTTTTGAGACAGAGTCTTGCTCTGTCTCCCAGGCTGGAGTGCAGTGGGATGATCTCGGCTCACTGCAACCTCTGCCTCCCTGGTTCAAGGGATTCTCCTGCCTCAGCCTCCTGGGTAGCTGGGATTACAGGCACGTGCCACCACGCCCGGCTAATTTTTGTAGTTTTAGTAGAGACGGGGTTTCACCATGTTAGTCAAGCTGGTCTCGAACTCCTGACCTCGTGATCTGCACGCCTCGGCCTTCCAAAGTGCTGGGATTACAAGCGTGAGCCACGATGCCCGGCCTGGTTTTTTTTTTTTTTTTTTTTTTTTTTTGTCGTTGTTGTTGTTTTGTATGTTTGTTAATTTTTAACTTTTATTTTAGGTTCAGGGGTACATGGAAGAGTTCAATTTTTAAAATATAGATTAGGCCAGGCGCGGTGTCTCATGCCTGTAATCCCAGCACTTGGGAAGGCCGAAGCTGGCAGATTATGAGGTCAGGAGATCAAGACCAGCCTGGCCAACATGGTGAAACCTCGTCTCTACTAAAAACACAAAAATTAGCCAGGCGTAGTGGTGCGCGCCTATAGTCCCAGCTACTCAGGAGGCTGAGGCAGGAAAATGAGGCAGGAGAATCGCTTGAACCGGGGAGACAGAGGTTGCAGTGAGCTGAGATCACACCACTGCACTCCACCCTGGGGACAGAGCGAGAGTCCGTCTCAAAAAAATAAAAAATAAATAAAATAAAATATAGATTAAAGGGGGGGAAAATAAGAAATAAAGTAAGATATAAAACACATTACCACTAACATGCACTTCGAGAAGCAGAAATTCGCTAGGACTGAGAAAATCAAAACCTGTTCTGCCATTCATTAGGCTGCACTAACAGAGATAAAGCTAGACTAGAAATGACAGAAAACATTCTTCTCCCAAGGGCATGCTACAGCTATAAAGGCTCATAACTCCCCTCTTTGAGTGACCACTCCTTTCTTATTCACTGAGGAACTTGTACTCAAAATCACAGACTATCAGAACTTTGGCTGCTTGAAATCCTATCAATCAGTAACAATGCAGTATCCCCCTCCTGTCTGGAGGACCTAAGCCACCTTGACACAAAAAACCAGCAGTAATTTTCAACCCAGGTGCAAAAACTTCAAGTAAGGGGTTTCTGAACACAGCATTCCACCTCTATCTCAACTTTGTAGTTTCTGAGGAAACAAGACCCTGGATCTACTTCAAAGTCCCATCCTATGCCTACCCTTTCACACAGCCCTGCTTTGCTTTGAGCCTATGAAAACTACACTCCACTCATCCCCCAAAATCAATGATAACTCTAATTTTCCTCTTGTTTGGTGAGCACCCTCCTCCCACCACCCTGCCACCAGTTTCTCTGTTGTGTGTTCTCCCTCATTGTAACAAGTCAACAGACTTGGCTTAGGTAGACTAAGTAGTGGTCTTGGGCTAATTGGGATAGGTTGAGTTTTTACTTAGAATTAACATAACTCATTTCAGCATTCCTACGTTGTCGGAGGTGGTTTTGTTTTGTTTTTAAGACAGGGTCTCTGTTGCCCAGGCTGGAGTGCAGTGGTGTGATCATAACTCACTGCAGACTGCAGCCTCAATCTCCCAGGCTCAAGCGATCCTCCCACCTCAGCCTCCCAAGTAGCTCAGACTACAGGCGCGCACCACCACGCCCAGCTAATTTTTATATTTTTTGTAGAGACAGGGTTTTGCCATGTTGTCAGGCTGGTCTCCAACTCCCAACAAACTTGCCCGCCTCGAGCTCCCAGATGCTGGAATTACAAGCATGGGCCACTACACCCCGGCTCTTGGTTGTTTCTAATCTTTTAAATTACTATCAATGTTGCATCAACATCTTACTTATTTGATATTAGTAGTGTAGTATAGTGACTAAAGGAAGACTCTGGAGTTGAAATCTGGTTTGGCACCGACTGTGTGACTATGAGAAAGTTTCTTAACCTCTCTGTGATTCCTCCATCTCCCAATCTGTAAATGGACATACTTATACTACCTACTTGACAGGGTTTTGTGAGGATAAAATGAGTTAATACATGTAAAGTGTTTAAAACATTCTTGGCACCAAGAAAAAGTATGTAAGTGTTAGAAAAAAATATGCATATATAGGCCGGGCGTGGTGGCTCACGCCTGTAATCCTAGCACTTTGTGAGGCCTAGGCGGGTGGATTGCCTGACCTCAGGAGTTCGAGACCAGCCTGGGCAACACAGTGAAACCTTGTCTCTACTAAAATCCAAAAAATTAGCCGGGCATGGCAGTGTGCACTTGTAACACCCCAGCGTTGGCAACAGATATCTTGTTCTCCCTTGGCTGCTTCAGGGTAGAGAAGAAACACGTTTGCCCCTTTCTGACTCTGTCATAACTCTTGCAGAATGTATCACAGTATTTTACATCTTTCTTTCTTTTTGAGGCAGAGTCTCGTACTGTCACCCAGGCTGGAGTGCAGTGGCGCGATCTGGGCTCACTTGAAGCTCCGCCTCCCAGGTTAATGCCATTCTCCTGCCTCAGCCTCCCGAGTAGCTGGGACTACAGGCGCCCGCCACCACGCCCGGCTAATTTTTTTTAAAAAAATATTTTCAGTGGAGACGGGGTTTCACCGTGTTAGCCAGGATCGTCTCTATCTTCTGACCTCGTGATCTGCCCGCCTAGGCCTCCCAAAGAGCTGGGATTACAGGCGTGAGCCACCGCGCCCGGCCTATTTTACATCTCTTTACATCTTAGTACTTCTTCGTCTTGGCTGTTTGTTCCTTACTGGCAGTGATTTTTTTTTGGGGGGGTGGGGTGCGGGGGACGGATTCTCCCTCTGTGGTCCAGGCTGGAGTGCAGTGGAGCGATGTCAGCTCACTGCAACCTCTGCCTCCCGGGTTCAAATGATCTTGTCTCAGCCTCTGGAGTAGCTGGGATTATAGGCGTGGTCCACCTCCCCCACCCCTGTTTAACATATAATCAAGAAATAACCATAAAAATGGGCAACCAGCAGCCCTCAGGGCTGTTCTCTCTATGGAGTAGCCATTCTTTTATTCCTCTACTTTCCTAGTAAACTTGTTTTCACTTTATGGACTGGCCCTGAATTCCTTCTTGCCGGATATCCAAGAACCCTCTCTAGGGGTCTGGATCGGGACCCCTTTCCTGTAACACATATTCCAGTGGAATACGTTACATAATAAAGGCAGAAATTGTAAAAAATTTGAGCTTACAGTACAGGTAGTAAGTATTAGGGACCAGTAGAAAGGAGAAGGGTGCCAAGTTTTATCAAATGAGCAAGATATTTAAGGAATGAGTTTATCTCATAATGGGGTAAGGAAAAAAGCTGAGACTCTCATGGCTTCTTCAACTTGGTCCAGGGCTGCAGACCATTCAAGAGAAATTCAAATCAGGCATAGGGCTTCATCAACCTACAAACCAATTCAGCCGGTCTCAGCTTATGATACTTATAACCCTGAGGATACTTGAAGCCAAAAAATGAAACATAAATTATCTTATTGGAACGTCTATGTTAACTTAGTCCGTTACTTTTGTATTAAAAGTAAACACATGTACATACAAAACATTATGTGCCTAATAATTCATTTATTAATATTTTCTTTTGCCTGCTTATTTCTTGTTAGGTAAATTTTAATCTTCTCTTGTCTATTCCCCCGTGCTACCTAATGAAATTTCTGTTCTCAGTATTCAAGCTGCACAGCCTTATAATTTCTGCTGAAGGACACTTCAAAACTTTTAGGAGGAATATTCCGTCTTTGTTACAACTGAAGGAAAGCAGAGCTTCTTTTGCACCATAAAGCTGTTTCTGATATAGTGGTGGATTGAGACCTTTCACAGAAATGTCACTCTAGTGTCCAATGTGGGGACTAGGTGAAATTGAACTAACAATTGATCTGAATTCTGTTATTAAAGATGACTTTTAAGGCAACTATACATCTGATTGTTTTATTTTGAGAAATGATACCTATAGCCATTAAAGTCTGATTGAATGCCATTTTCTTATTTAAATGAACACATCCTACATTATGGTCAAGACTGCATACATCATAGAGAAAGTATATTGCAAAGAAAAGTGATGCTTGGGTGGGCTGCTTTGGGCTATCATCCAGATTCCATGGGGTAGTTTTCCCTTCTAATGGGAATAGTTGGGTGTAGATGTTTGAGAAATACTAGATGATGTGATTGCATGATGGGAAAACGCTTTTGTGCTTTAAACTGTGTTGGCTGGGTGCGTGGGGCTCATGCCTGTAACCCAAGCACTTTGGGAGGCCGAGGAGGGTGGATCACCTGAGGTCAGGAGTTCGAGACCAGCCTGACCAATATGGTGAAACCCTGTCTCTACTAAAAATACAAATAAATAAATAAATTAGCTGGGGGTGGTGGCTTGCGCCTATTGTCCCAGCTGCTCAGGAGGCTGAGACAGGAGAATTGCTTGAACATAGGAGGCAGAGGCTGCAGTGAGCAGAGATCCTACCACTGCACTCCAGCCTGGGTGACAGAGTGAGACTCCATCTCAAATGAAAAAAAAAAAAAAGGTATCCTCTAAGCCTAATGAAATAGAAAGTTTCATCATTACAGTTTCATTCTTTTGCTTTAGAATATTACACAGGCTTTGTTACTTACCCAGGACAAGCCATAATTTCTCTGAGACTCAGTTTTCTTATCTGTAAAGTGAGAAGAGTAAGATCTATTTCACAGAGTAGGGATTAAATGATAAAGTGTATGTAGAAGAACTTTAAACACTGAGTAGTGCCTGCTGTCTGTAAGGCATTATTACAAAACTACCACAGAGAGGGATAACATTTGTTCACATCAGTTACACTTTTGTACATTTTAGATCTCTCGAGAGGAGGATGCTTCTGCCCATGAGAGACTCTTGAAGATATTAATTAAGCTCACAGATTTCTACTTTGTGTTTAGTGTTCAGGAAGTCCCCTTGAAATCACTTTTACTTTACTTTGACTTCAGTAGGAAGATAGTTCATAATGACACCATCAAAGTAAGTTTTAAGCGTTTTGGGCCTGCTTTTCTCAGGTTTGAGTTTTTATAGTTTGTAATGTTTTTTAGTAAAATAAGCATATGATTAAAAGTTTTATATTAACTACTACAACTTTTAAGTATCAGTTGCTTCTACATAACCACTATGATATTTACTGTTCTGAACAATACATACTTCAAAGCACATGAAATTGAAAAAGCAAAGCATGTTTACTCTCTTCATAGAGAACAGAAAAAAATATTAAACTTTTAAGCATTATAAAATACTTTATTGAATAAAATGTTAGCAAGTCAGCAATTGATGAATAATTTGCTTTGAAACTTTAACTTGTAATCTGGCTAATAAGCACTAATTTACAAACTATTCTACATTGTAAAGGAGAAATGAATTTCTGGTGTTGTCCTTCTTTGATTTAGAAGCTTAACATCTGCAGGACCTAATTGGCCATTGATGTGAGGGTGAGGAAGAAGGAACCACATCGCAGGGAGAAAAGACTAAAGGAAGGCAGAGGCTCTAATATCAGGTCAATATAGGTCAGCACACTACCCACATGAAATGGCTTTGGCTGGGTTCCAAGGTCAAGTAAATAAGATCAATTTTTTCATTCCTTCAATTACATATTTTTTTTGCTAAGCTTCGGTCATTCATGGTATACAATGCATCTAACTTGCTGAGCAAAATGCCAGACATGAAATAAATGTTAGCTATGGTAGAAGAGCTACAGTAACAGGTAACCTGAAACAGGCTGATAGCTCATAGAAGGGCATGCTTGAATTCGGGGAAAAAAAAAATCTCTGTTAAAATGGGATGCAAAACACTTTATACATTGCTTTTACAAAAGTTAGACTAATTTAAAGGAAAGTCTTCAAAAGCAATCCGTGATCGATAAAATTACAGAAAAAAATCAGGAAAGGGGGAAATAATAAGGGAAGAAAGATTAGCAGAACAATCTTCCGCCCCAGTAAAGAGGATTGAATTTTAACCAATGAGATCACAAGTTTGAAAATTTCCTTTTCAGGCCCAATCAAGAGGAGGCTATGTCTATAAATATGACTGCCTAGACCCTCTCGTATCAATGAGACAGCATGGCCCGTACTAAGCAGACTGCCCGCAAGTCGACCGGCGGCAAGGCCCCGAGGAAGCAGCTGGCTACCAAAGCGGCCCGCAAGAGCGCGCCGGCCACGGGCGGGGTGAAGAAGCCGCACCGCTACCGGCCGGCACCGTGGCTCTGCGGGAGATCTGGCGCTACCAGAAGTCTACGGAGCTGCTGATCCGCAAGCTGCCCTTCCAGCGGCTGGTACGCGAGATCGCGCAGGACTTTAAGACGGACCTGCGCTTCCAGAGCTCGGCCGTGACGGCGCTGGCGCTGCAGGAGGCCAGCGAGGCCTACCTGGTGGGGCTGTTCGAAGACACGAACCTGTGCGCCATCCATGCCAAGCGCGTGACCATCATGCCCAAGGACATCCAGTTGGTCAGCCGCATCCGCGGGGAGAGGGCCTAAGGTATATTTTTAAGTGGTCGATCTAAAGGCTCTTTTCAGAGCCACTGCCGTTTTCATCAAGAGCAGCTGTACCGGCTCTCCATCTGATGTGCGTCTGCCTTGCGCAGCAGTCAGGGGCCAGGGGCACTCGTGGTGGGTGACGTTACAGAACCCAAAGCCCAGCCGTGAGTTGGCCGGCAGTAGAGAAAGCCGCAGAGGCATGGTCCTTGTGGTTCCGGCCGAGCCTTTTCACGCTGGTTTAAGGCTAGATGTCCGGCTCCCAATTCTGTGGGTAAAGTTTTGCATGGGGGCAAGAGACTATGGGGAGTTTCTAGATGTGGAAGATCCTGAGTGTAAGGGTGGGGCGAGTCCCTTAAAAATTATAAACCCGTTTCCTGGTTTATTTAGGAACTATAAGCTTAATTAAAGCTCAGCATCTTCCTCATTGCATACTACAGGCGGTGTCCAAGCCAGAATAGTAATTTAAGCGGGCGGGAGTAAATATCTGGCGATTTTTAAAAATGTGTGGGTGAGGTAGTATTTCAAGGAAGAGAAAAAAATTTCCACAAAGTATAGAATAAAAATGCAAAAACGAGGCAAGAGAGTTAACTTGTCTAGCTGGCGTTAAGATTTCTTCCGTATGCAAGTCTAATGGAAAGTGAAAACCAAGAAAAAAACCTCAAGCCGTTGAAACTATCGCTTCACCTAGCTTAAAACTGGTTAGTGTGAAATGGAACATTCTGATTGGATAACAAGACTTTTGTTACAGTGACCATTAAGGAAGCAAGACTAGAATCTATTATTTACATAGACTCCACCCCCTCTGACGACACCGTTGTAAGTTAACCAATTAAAGCGCAGCACTTTGCGAGTCTTCATTTGCATACAGGCTCTATAAGTAGCGCATAACCAGCCCGTTTTGCGGTAGTTCGGATTACTTCTTTAAGTGTCTGTTCTCTTTTTTCGCGCAAAAATGCCGGATCCAGCGAAATCCGCTCCTGCTCCCAAGAAGGGCTCCAAAAAGGCTGTTAAAAGAGTGCAGAAGAAGGACGGCGAGAAGCGCAAGCGCAGCCGCAAGGAGAGCTACTCCGTTTACGTGTAGGAGGTGCTGAAGCAGGTCCACCCCGACACCGGCATCTCGTCCAAGGCCATGGGCATCATGAACTCCTTCGTCAACGACATCTTCGAGCGCATCGCGGGAGAGGCGTCCCGCCTGGCGCACTACAACAAGCGCTCCACCATCACATCCCGTGAGATCCAGACGGCCGTGCGCCTGCTGCTGCCCGGCAAGCTGGCCAAGCACGCCGTGTCCGAGGGCACCAAGGCGGTCACCAAGTACACCAGCTCGAAGTAAGAGTGTGCAAGGGACGCAATAGATCAACCACCTAACCCCAAAGGCTCTTTTCAGAGCCACTTCAGTAATTGAGAAAGCAGCTGTAAACACTTGTCAGAGCGTTTGATAGCTTTTGGTCAGGTAGGGAGTGTTACCATGGTCACGGATGCATTCGGGTTTAGGACTAAGGAGTTTCCTGTAGTCCTGTAATGAGTTGGCCCTCAGTCATCCCCGTCTAGTCTTACTGAGTTGCTTGTTATCTGTGCTACGAGATTAGAAAGGTTTGACTCATTCTGGGATATTTGGGAAGGATGGAGGGAAGGAGGCGGGGGGTGGTTCTACACCCCTTCAGCCTTTAACCTGTATCTTTAAAGTCGTTTTCCTTTTTGTTTCTGAAAGTAATGAACGAGATGAGATTTCCCATACAGATGAGAAACCCTCGGTCCAACCTCTTACTATTTCTTAGTGTTTTAATCTGTTTTCCTTACCATATACCTACAGGCGTCTGTCACAAACTTTGTCTAATATAGCCATGTGCTTTCGTCCCTTAGCCTTTTTGCAAGTCCTGACTTAGCCATCCTCCCCTAACTTCCATTCCAGTGACTTCAAACAGGGAGATATATTGCCACCACCCCACCCCCTGTGGAGTATTTGGCAATATCTGTAGATGTTTTGGGTTGTCAGGTGTGTGTGTGTTGGGGGGGAGGTGCTAGAAGTATCCAATGGGCAGAGGCCAGGAGTGCTAAGCATAAGGCACAGGACAGTCCTCTGGGGGGACAAAGAGCTACCTGGCCTGTAATGTCTATCTTTGGTGATTGAGAGACCCCAGCGCCCAAAGACATCCCTAACCTTCAGGATTTAATCCTCTTCAGTCAAACTTTTCCTTAACCCTATCAGCCCATGTTTTTCTTGGTGAAAGCTGAGCACTTCATAGGCTGTTTACAGGTCCTTCTCCACAGGAAAATACTTCCTCCAGGACAAGAACCCTGTCTTGGTTCCAAACTTTCCCAATTATAAGAGTCACCTTTGCGCTTGTTTTTTTTTTTTTTTTTTTTTTTTTTTTTTTTGAGACGGAGTCTCGCTCTGTCGCCCAGGCCGGAGTGCAGTGGCGGGATCTCGGCTCACTGCAAGCTCCGCCTCCCGGGTTCACGCCATTCTCCTGCCTCAGCCTCCCAAGTAGCTGGGACTACAGGCGTCCGCCACTACGCCCGGCTAATTTTTTGTATTTTTAGTAGAGACGGGGTTTCACCGTTTTAGCCGGGATGGTCTCGATCTCCTGACCTCGTGATCCGCCCGCCTCGGCCTCCCAAAGTGCTGGGATTACAGGCGTGAGCCACCGCGCCCGGCCTTGCGCTTGTTAAACCTGCTTCCAGGTGCTTCTCTTGAGGTTTCCTGATTCAGCGAGACTGGAGGTGGGACCTGACGAAGTGGTTGGTTTTTAGTGTTCTCAGGAGTGTGGATGTTTTAATAGGTGTTGGGTCCTCATGTTAATCGACCTGTGGGTGTGTCACAGTCTTTGTGTCACAGATGTTCTGAGAAAGGAAACAATTTGAGGATGAGTGGAGGGGAATTTGTGGTGTAGAGAAGGCCACAGTTAATATGTGGGGTGAATTTCTGAAGACCTCTAAGTTCAAAACTTGAATAACTCAAGACTCATCCTGACAAAAGCCAGTGGATGTTTCTTTTGCCAAATAAAATATACCCTTGGTGCAACTGGAAAATCTTAGCTTATAATTAACTTGACAGCCTTTGAAATTAAGCCATTCTTGATAAATCTTGGGGGAATTAACAACTTTGTGCTTAAAATGAATTTTACTAATTTTTATGATGTTGAAGTTCAAATTTACACCCAATTAAAAGATATAAAATGCGGTATACATGATTATTTTTCCACTAGAAAATAAAGATTCCCAGTTTAGTCATCTTTTTCTGATCACCAGACAAGAGGTCAGGGAAAGATAACTGAGAATCCAAAATTTCCGTTGAAAGTAAAGAAATCATATATAGCACATTCTCTGGTAGGAAAGGTTACTCAGTAAGTGAGACGGCCGAGGTGGTCTATTTTCTATACAGTTGGGCCATAAGAGAATTTATCCAATCTCCTCCTAGCTTAGGGTCCTGAAGTCAGGAGTTCCTTTTTTCTTAAGGATTAGGGACCATGTTTTTCAGGGCCTTTTGAAGTTGTTAAAGCATTGTCAACTGGCTCAACTACACAAATGCCATCATTTATTACCCACTGACCAAAAGATTAACTTCCAAATCCTCATCCTGACACTAAAGGCCACCTATTATCTAGCCAAAACTTACCTTCTTCACTTGTTCTCCCCAGTCCTCCAGCTTAGCCTAAATGTTCTACTGTCATGTAAAGCATCTTAACTTTGTCTTCTGTGCTTTTGTTACATTGTTCTGAGTTTTAGTACTCAGTCCTCTGGACTACTTGAAGCTTTTTATCAGTCTGTCAGTTCTTTTAAACTCTTGCTCAAATCTCACTCTGAGAAGCTTTTTCATCTCATTGTAGTTCACAGGGAAGTCTTTCTCTTAAGGCCTCATTCCTTGCATAACGAATAATTGTGTAGCTTTGTAAACTGTAGGCTTATTCCTCAATTTCTTTTTCTTGTTTTTACATTTTCTTGTCTGTCTTCTGCTAGAGACATGCTTCTCGGTATTTATTCCACAAAGGCTATCCCAATGCCTACTATAAAATAGCTTCTCAATGAAAGTTTGTTGACTAGTTGCCAGTCAACAGAACACTAGAAAATTGATCTGAGAGTGGTGGGTTCTAGTAAATACTCTAGTAAATATTTTTCTCTACTTTTTTTCTAACTTTTTTTCTTACTCCTTTACTATGGATACTCTTTTTAATTATTGCCCTTCATAATTATTGGCCCAGTTGAAACAACTGTTATAGATTCAAAAATCCTCAGAGTGGTAAAGTACTACACTTGGTATCTTCCCTTGAGCCAATGTATCTATGTAGCTAAAATGATGAGATTAGAGTGGAGCTTTCTCACCCTGGTTTGAGGTGCTGCAGAAATGGTCTGCTTTTCTAGTGCCTTGAAAAAGGATGAGAAGAGAGGTGCATTCCAGAAGACAAAAGGTGTGTAGTATCAGGATAAGGGGCTTTAAATATCAGATCCAGAGAACACTGCACATGTAGAAATGGGCTTGGCCTGGGTCAGGGCATTGAGATTGGTTACATAATCTTTTCAAGGATTGGTGAATGAGTTGGAGTATGTGTAGAAACCTACAAAGATGACAGTTTAATCTCATGTCATAATTTTTAGACAAATAATGTATTTTAAAACTGGGTGCAGTTCCTAAAGCTGTTCTAAAAGTCAATGCAACTGAATTTGGAATGTAAGCATAGGACAACAGATGGGAAATAAGTACATGACCTCTGTGGGATAAAGTGAGAGTTATCAAAGAATGTCAGTGTTTATAACAAGGAACAAGCTTGTTTTGGAGAATTACTAGATATTATGGAAAATTTTTTTCTTTTCTACATTTGGTTAACTATAGCTGAACTATAGCAGATCATATGACTTGGCAAAAATAGAAAACTTGATAAAAATCTTCTAGGCCCCACAATGTCAACATGAACAAACTTCTGAAAAGTAAAAGTAGACCGTGTTTTCTCAGTATGTGTTATCAAATATATGTTGAACATATAATTTTTGCCCCTCAGCCAGGTTGTAATATTTTCCTTTAGTTTATCTCTTTAATAATTTTTTGTTAATCCATTTTATTTTGAAAAAATAATGAGCTAGAGGATACAAAGATGTAAATGAATCTAAAAGAGAGAATTAAACTGGCATAAAGATAAATATAATTCAAGCAAGATATGTTATTCCCAAAAGAAGAGAAAGAAGGAAATGTTATGTGAATGGAGAGTGAAAGGTTGCCTCTGGTTGGAGAGTTCAGGAAAATTCTGTGAGAACTTACATGGTGCCAGCTACTGTGCTAAGTGATGGAGAAACAAAGGTATCCATTCCTCAAGTCCATAAGATTCAACTGGAGTTTTCTGTGTGACGAGTATATCATGTATCCTCTGAAATTATTTTTTAAGTTTTAGTTTTACCCAATTTTTACTGTAACCTCTTTCGACTTTTTAATTGTCTGATTTGGGTAGATGGAATTCTCATTCCATTTTTATTCTGTGATTAGAGGTTATTAATTCCTCACCCCTCATCCAGGTTGTAACATTTCCATTTACTTTAAAATATTGCTTAAGAAAATTTGTATTTTACTTCAATTGAGATTTTATTTTTTAATATTATTATATTGAACAGCTTTGGCTATCCCACCCTCCTACCTGCAGAGTGCAAAACAATTTATGCACATCACACTCAGTTTACAGCATCAGAACACTCTTGGAGCATTGTTCACCATGGTCCTAGCTTGATTTTCTTGGGGTGTGATTATTCTTTCTTTTCTCTCTTTCTCTCTCTCTCTTTCTTTCTTTTTCTTTCTTTCGAGATGGAGTCTTGCTCTGTCACCTAGGCTGGAGTGCAGTGGCACAATCTCGGCTCACTGCATCCTTTGCCTCTCGGGTTCAAGCGATTCTCCTGCCTCAGCCCCCCGAGTAGCTGGGATTACAGATGCCAGCCATCATGCCCAGCTAATTTTGTATTTTTGTAGAAATGGGGTTTCACCGTGTTGGCCAGGCTGGTCTCGAACTCCCAACCTCAGGTGATCTGCCTGCCTTGGCCTCCCAAAGTGCTGGGATTACAGGTGTGAAACACCACACCCGCCCCCCGCCATGCCTTTTTCTTTTCCCAGACAGGGTCTTGCTCTGTCACCCAGTCTGGAGTGCAGTGGCATGATTACAGTTCATTGCAGCCTTGACCTCCCAGGCTCAAGTGATCATCCCACCTCAGCCTCCTGAGTAGCTGGGACTACAGGTGCATGCCACATGCTTGGCTAATTTTTAGAGTTTTTTCTTTTTGTAGAGATGGGGTCTCACTATGTTGCTCAGGTTGGTCTTGAACTCCTGGATTCAAGTGATCCACCTGCCTTGGCTTCCCAAAGTGCTGGGATTATAGACTGGTGTGACTATTAGAGTGGTGAGTGAATAAGCTTTTTCTTATTTTCCAAATGCAATTTATCAGAAAATCCTCTTGGCTCAAAATATGTCCAGCATCCAACCACATCTCACCACCTCCACCACTGTTTCCCTGCTCCAAGCTTCCACCTCTCTTGGATATTTGCAATGGCATTTTAAATGGCCTCCTTGATTCTGCTCTCTCCCTCCTATATTTCCCACAAAGCAGCTAGAGTACACTTTTTGAAACATAAGTCAGATCATATCATTCCCATACTCCTCCTCAACAGAAAACCCTCCAATGGCTTCAGCATCAAGGCCCACATTCACTTCTCTGACCCTCTCTCTTACCTGTTTTGCTCCATTTCATCATAATTTTCTCCTTGTGCTTCCTTGAATACATCAAGGCCCTTCTATCTCAGGATGTTTGCACTTGCTATTTCCTTTTCTTAAAGGCTCATCCCTAGATATTTGCATGACTGGCTTCCTAATTTCTTGTAAGCTTTTGCTGAGAAGTTACTTTACCAACTGTCATTGAGGTCTTCCCTGAACATCTTAGGTAAGATAACAAGCTCCCCTCCTTTTCTTTCCTCACTTCTTGGTATTCCTTATCTCGTAACTTTTTTTTTTTTGGGGGATGGAGTCTCGCGTCTCGCTCTGTTGTCCAGGCTGGAGTGCAGTGGTGCAATCTCGGCTCACTGCAACCTCCACCTCCTGGGTTCAAGCGATTCTCCTGCCTCAGCCTCCCGAGTAGCTGGGACTACAGGCAAGTGCCACCACACCCAGCTAATTTTTTGTATTTTTAGTAGAGGTGGGGTTTCACTGTGTTAGGATGGTCTCGATCTCCTGACCTTTTGGTCCACCCACCTCGGCCTCCCAAAGTGCTGGGATTATAGGTGTGAGCCAGTGCGCCCGGCCTCTCATAATTTTCTTAATTTTTCTCCATATACCATCTGAATACTAATGTATTTATTTATTTGTTTATTTCTGAATGAGACTGATATCCATAAAAATGATCTTTCCTTGTATACTCTAACTCCCTGCTTTCTGGGCGCTTGGCTTCTCAATTAAAGGCTAATTTACCAGCTTCTCTTGCATCTGGGTTTGTCCAAAGTTTGGGGCCAATGAGATGTGAATGGAAGTTGCATGTATTATTTCTAGTTTGTGCCCTAAAAAAGAATATGTATGTGTTACCCTTGCCCTCTTATCCTCTCCACTGGCTGGGGTGCAGATGTGATGGCAGGAATTGGGGCAACTACTTTGGACCCAGAGGCAGAAGCCCTGTGATGAGGATGGCAGAACTGCTCTATTAGCCCTGGACTGTTACATGAAAGATAAATAAACTTGTATCTTATTCAAGCCACTGTTTTTAAAGACTTATTTGTTGTATTACTCAGATATAGTCTAAGTTATTATATCATTTGTCTCCCCTCCTACCTCCTCAGAATAAGTCCTATGAAGGTAGGTGCTTTGTTTCATACACTGCTCTATCCCTATTATGTAGAACTATATCTGGAATACATTAGGCACTCAATATCTATGGGATGAATGATGGATTCGAGAAACAGAAGTAATTGAGTACATGGGAAATGGGATTGTGTTTATGACAGGTGGAGCTCCAAGAGTTGAATTTAACAAGAAATGATTGAGTTTGAAATATTTTGCCCTCTAAATTAGGGACAGCACAACACAGAATGAGGATTTGGGTGAAGTTGCAACCACCGAGTTCCACATACCAGTTTAGAAGCCTCAGAGTATAAGTCATTGGGTATTTAAGGACCTTACCTAAGCTAACTCAGAAGCATTATGAAGGGCAGTATTGACATTAACTGCCAGGAATCTCCTAAAAGAGTCAAGGGATTATACATGAGTCATAGAAGGATACTTGAAGATGGACAATTATAGTCCCATCACTTTATGGAAGACTATGAGACCCAAATAAGAGAAATCCCAGTGGTCCACGAACTTAGCTCTGGTAAGTCCCCAATAATTATTTAAATTATTTCAGGTTCAATATCACTGATTGCTGTCACCATTTTCAAGGCTAATATCTAATCTGCTTTGGTTCTGCTAAGATCTCCCTGTTTTTTTGTCGTTGTTTTTTTCCTCTAGAAAAAACAGAAAAGAGAACTATCTCCAGATGGATACAGAAGAGGTGGTAAAAAGAATACACATAACGTGGCTCTCACATGATCACATATCACGCTGAAGGCTCTCAGAGGCAACTGAGGTTGGAGATCATTTTTAGGGTCTTAAGTTCAGAGCTGTATCTGTAATATCAACAACAGATATTCTGGCTCTTACCAACTTGCCCATTTCTCCTCTTAGCACTGTAAGAGTAGTTCTTGCTGAGAAGGCACTAGCCTGTAGTGGCGATGAACATCAGCTTTGAGTATAGCTTCCCCATGTAAGGACTGTATGACCTTGGAAAACTTTCTTTACTTGTTGTGATAAATAAACTTCCTTACAGCAAATTGATCCTCAAGTTATTCCCCTGTAAAGTGGAAAAAATAATGGAAACTACCTTCTAGGCTTGATATGAAGATTAAATGAGGTAATGTACCCAAAGCACTTAGTACAGTGGCTGGAACATGGTAAATATTTGATCAGTGTTCTTATTATTGTTATGGTTAGGAAGGCGCTAGCAAGAACACCATTGTACTTCCAGAGCACATTCCATTTTCCAGCAAGTGGTGCTTTAATAGATTTCTAGTGACTTGAGAGTGACTTCCCTAAGCATCTTGCATTAAGGAAATAAGACCTTCTGTATTCTAAAAACACCATCCAATAAGGGATTTTCACAATTTACTTGTAGGACCTTTGTTACGTAGAACCTTCAGTGTCTGCTATGTGGCCCATTAGGAAAATAATAAATTAGGAAACAAAAGACTTTATAGTGTCTGTTACTAGTGCTCTATAAAGGCCGATATAACATTTGGCAAGTACCTTCTTTTTCTATCAGATGATGCTTTTAATACTTCATGTCAATACTTTCAGAAAAAAGTGAAATCATTTCATTAAACACTTCTTTCCTATTTCTGATTTTTGAGTTGAAAGCTCTTAATTTTGAGGATTTAACATAAGAAAAAGTCAAGGGAATAGAAATTATCTAGAAAACTATTAGCTAGCATAGAGAAAAACAAGACTTACAGCCAAAAGAAGAATGTGCAAATAATTTGGGAAATGTTTAAATAGAAATTTAAAAATGGGGTTGGTGGAGTCATGTTGATGATTTTGGAGTTAATCATTTCTGCTTATTAAATTGTTTCCAGCATTTTCTAGCTGAAGTTACTGTTGTTGTCAACTACTCAGCATCCAAAATTTTCACAAGAAAACAAGGTTTTTTCTCTTCAAATTACAGTCCAAAGAGTGGCAAACAAGAAAGATGACAGAGTCCGAAGACCTTAAGATTTCTTTTCTTTGGTCAAGAACTCATTACACAATGGATGATACATCTTAGGTGGTCCTACTAAAAAGAGACACAAGAATCTAGAGACTATCTCACTGTCAACCAATCCAAGGAACTTTGCTTTAGATGGCCAAAGCCAGAAACAGCAAAGTAGAAGAACTACTAGAGCTTTAAGCAGTTCCTTAGTATTTTTCCTTGGCTTATCCAAGCCTGGATACTGGTCCACTTTCCCAAAGTTGGTAAAGAGGTAATACAGCTTGGGATTGATTGGATATTGAGACAGAAAGAGAGGGGGAGAGAGAGATATCTAGGTACTGGAGCAGCACTAGGCACTCAGAAGAAGGAACACTTGGAGCAAAAAATGAAGGATATAGATTAGTGAAGTGAAGTCAGGAGCAAATGATCTCAGTTGCTTTACATGATCAAAGGACAATAACTGCAAATTGCCAGAGGGTAGGTGAAGCTCCATATCACTTTTTAATATTAGTGTTTTAAACACCTAGGAATAGAATATACCTAAAGATAATAGCTTGATTTCCCCACACCCACCTTTGCAATGTTTTGATTTTGCACAAGTCTTGGTTTCTAGTTTGTGGGATTATCATTTTTCATTGCATTGAAGGAAAATTCTTTAGGCCAGGAGGGAGTCTAAGACTTCAGACACAGCACAGATACGATCCTGGGCAAGGGTCATTCAGTGTTCTTAAGAAAATTCTAAATCCTAAGGTGTGATGGTTAATATTAGGTGTCAACTTGATAGGATTAAAGGATGCCTAGATAGCTAAGTATTGTTTCTGGGTGTGTCTGTGAGGGTGTTGCCAGAGGAGATTAACATTTGAGTCAGTGGACCAGGAGAGGAAGACTCACCCTCAATGTGGGTTGGCACCATCCAGTCGGCTGCCAGGGTAGCTACAACAAAGCAGGAGAGAGAAGGTGGGCTAAGCTGGCTTGCAGAGTTCTGGCTTTCATCCCTCTCCTGTGCTGGATGCCTCCATCCATTCCTCCTGCCTTTGGACATCAGACTCCAGGTTGTTTGGCCTTTGGACTCTTGGACTTAACACCAGTGGCTTGCCTGGGGCTTTTGGGCCTTAGGCCACAGACTGAAGGCTGCACTATGGGCTTCCCTACTCTTGAGGCTTTTGGACTCAGACTGAACCACTACTGGCTTCTTTCTTCCTCAGCTTGCAGACGGCCCACCGTAGGACATTGCCTTGTAATCATGTGAGCCAATTCTCCTTAATAAACTCCTTTTAATATATCTATATCTAATCTATTATCATCTATCTATATCTATAGATATATGTCTCCCCTATTAGTTTTGTCCCTCTGGAGAACTCTGACTAATACAAAGGGTTAAGTCTTAAACTACTTATAATTTCTCTCTGGAACTGTATTTCATCTAGTTTGGAATGTTTACTTACTTAAGACCCATATTATATGTAGAATAATGAGCAGGAGAAAGGTATGCTGATTAACTTGTATATATATTAGCCATAGGATTAGTTCCAGCAAAGGAACATACTTGCTTTTTTTGGTTTCTTCAATCTTCTCCCTGTTACATTATGAAAATTTGATGATTTTACTTATTTAAGTGTCTTTGTAGGAGATTTTTCGTGGATCTTTTTAAGTGTTTGACCTCTGATTTTCATAATTTTTTTCACATTAGTATCAAGGTATTAGGTAATGGAAATTATTCTTAAATAACTCCCGCCTGCCCCCCTGAAACAGCAAGCATCTATAGAGAAGAAGACAGTTTTCAGATTAGCAGGAGAGTTAACCAAGTAAAACTTGAATTTTGATCCTTAGCCTGGAGAAAAAGGTAAGAAACTTTTTCATTTGTCTAAGAGAAGTTTATTTCATGGTGTTTATGATTGTGGAGATGTGTTTGTGGGGGAAAGTGGCATATTAAATTTTTCTAGACTAGTATGTGCAAATAATTTATAGTGGGGAGGGGGGAATTTGAGTCTCAAAGATAAAAGCATAGTGAAACAGAACTGTGACTGTTCTTCCTGGCATGAGGAAATAACATATGAATTACAAGCATGCTTGAGTAATGTAGATTGAGTTGATGGGTAGAAATGTGGCCCCTTACAGCACAGAGATGACAAAGTAAATACATTTGGCCCTCCTGGCAGGGTAGAAGTATAATGTGTTCCCAAAATCACCCGGATATGCCATCGTATAGTGTATTAGTAAAGAGTTCAGGCTACTGAGACGGACCACCTGGAGTGTAACTTGGCTCTGCTCTTTAGGATGTTTTTAATCTGTGTTTTCTCATCTTAAAACTGGGACTATAGTAATGCTTACTTCATAATGTTTTTATGAAGGATAATTGCTTAATGTTTCCTACTAATAAACAATTCAATAAATACTAGTTGGTGATTGTAGGGAAGTCCTGTTAAGTGCTCTGCAAGTTTCCCATCTCTAATGCACAGGTGAAAAATAGCTACTGATTCAAGATTGTGTCCTGAAGATATGTTGCTTTCTTCTCATATTCCACCCCAAATTCCTAGAAATGATAAAAAATTGACAAAGATGGCAGATGGAGTAACAGTGAAGAGTGCCAAGGAGGACTTCTGCAGAAGACAGGAGTGGACCAAAAAATGATCCACATGTTTTGGAACCAGGAGACAAAAGTTGGTCTTGGGGCAACTGATAGGATGACAGTTCAGGTACCACAGTAGGAATATCCACCCATCTCCTTACCTTGGTGACTGAAGTCTTTTTATTTATTTTCTAGAGACCGGGTCTCACTCTATTACCCATGCTGGAGTGCAGTGGCACAATCTCAACTCACTGCAGCCCCAACCTCCTGGGCTCAAGCTCTCCTCCCACCTCAGCCTCCCCAGTAGTCGGGACCACAGGCATGTACCACCACAACCAGCTAATTTTTGTATTTTTTGTAGAGATGGGGTTTCACCATTTTGCCCAGGCTAGTCTCAAACTCCTGGGCTCAAGGGATCCACCGACCTTGGCCTCCCAAAGTGCTGGGTTTACAGGTGTGAACCACCATGTCTGGCTGGTGACTGACATCTTTGACCCCAGCAGTGAGTGTGGTCATTTGGTTCAAGGAGGCAGGAAAATGTGCCAAGTAACTGGGCGCTCCCACATCTTGGAAATTTAAAATTTGATTATTGACATAAAAATTCAACAAGGGATAAATCCAGAACAGGATAGATAAAGCCAAGAGAAAATAAATAAGCTGAAAGATTGTGCTATTATGAAATATATATTTGGTCTTCAACCCCATTTCCTGACATACAACTCCTAAAATCCTTAGAAACACCAAAGTGTGATGTCGTTTTGCTTATTAATGAGTTGACTGATGTCTGGCAGCCCCTAGGTAGCTTCAGGATGGGGGCTGGTGACCAGAAAGAACAAGGGGAGGATTAGAGAGTTGGGACTTTCAGCCCACCTCCAACTTCCGGGGAGGGGAGAGGGGCTGAAGGTTAAGCCGATCACCAATGGCCAATGGTTTAATCAGTGATTCCTTTGCAATGGAGCCTCCATAACGACCCAAAAGGACAGGGCTTGGAGAGCTTCTTGATAGCTGAACATGTAGAGGTTCCTGAAGGGTGGCGCACCCAGTGGAGGTGCATGGAAGCTCCATGCTCCTTCCCCCATACTTTGCCTTATGCATCTTTTCATCTGTATTTTTTGTTATAAACCAGTAAACCCAAGTGTTTCTCTGAGTTTCATGAACTGCTCTAGCAAATTAATACAATGCAAAGGAGGAAGCCATGGGAACCCCAGCTTGGAAATGGTTGGTCAGAAGTTCTGGAGGCCCAGACTTGGAACTGGCATTTGAAGTGGGGGCAGTCTGGTAGACTCAGTCCTCAACCTGTGGGATCTCCTGATAAATAGTGTAAAAATTGAATTGGAGTACACTCAGCTGGTGTCCACTGCAGAACTGATTGCTTGCTTGCTGTGTGGAGAACCCCCCTCCGCCGTCAGTCTTCTGTGTTGATTGTTGTAGTGTGAAAGCACAGGAAACACATAGTTTGAGTTTCTCCCGCCTCATCGTGATCAAGATAAGCCAGAAATTCCTCCACAAAGCCATATAAAAAGATGCATGCAGAGATGAAAGAAAAGTTAAATGATATGAAAAATAGATCCAGATGTTCCAAACTCATGTAACAGGATGAGGAGTTAGAGAGGAGGGGAGAATTGAGAACAAGTAAGAAATAAAATACAGATCTACCAAATAAGATTTGCTGATTGTGCACTGCACAATTTCAGGGGCTGTCATTTGAATAGTAAGATTTGCCAATGTGTAGTGTACAACCTACTATTGTGTAGTATGCAACCATAGTCATGAGAAAATAAAGGAATAAAAGGAGGATATTTCACAGGATCTAAATGCATACATACATCCTTAGATTGCAAGGTCCTATTAAATTCTGAGCATACAGGATGAGAAGGACCCTCACCTAGATTCACAGTGACAAAATTTGGGAACAAGGAGAAATTTCTAAACATATTCAGGGAAAATGCTTATGAAGAAATGGAAGTCAAATTTACATCCAACTCATTTGGGCTCCACTGGATATAAGAAGACACGAAGCATTATTTTTTAAAATCTAGGGAAAATAATTTTGAATTCAATTAAACTATCATTTAAGTGTGGGTGACTTTTCAGAATTCTATTCCAGCAATAATTTTAAAAAGATCATAAGGGAAGATGTGAGATAATGGAAGCAAAGGTGGTCATGTATTTGGTAAAAGATATTGCTAAACAAAGTGAAATTAGATTCTAGAAAATTAAAAAGAAAACCTGGAATTCAAATTCCAGGTGATGTAGAAGGGTGGTAGGGAAAGCAAGAGTGAAGAGAAGTAAAACAAGCTAAGTAAGATTTATGTTATAAATAAATAGGATATAGATATTACTGTAGAAGTTAGAAAAATGTGGGCTTACATGGTGGGTCACACATGTAATCCTGGCACTTTGGGAAGCTGAGGCAGGAGGATCACTTGAAGCCAAGAGTTCAAGATCAGCCTGGGCAACAAAGCAAGACCCTTGTCTCTACAAAAAGTAAAAATATTAGCCAGGCATGGTTACATGCACCTGTAGTCCCAGCTACTTAGGAGGCTGAAGCAGGAGGATTGCTTGAGCCTAGGAGGTCGAGGCTGCAGTGAGCTATGATTGCACCTTTGCACTCTGGCCTGGTGACAGAGCAAGTTCCTCTTTTTTTTTTTTTAAAGTCGGTTTAAAAATACATTTATATATGGCACTAGAAGGGTATATCATATTCATAAAAGTAGTGCTCCATTAAGGAATGACCATGAATTGTTTGCATTTAACAAGGATACATACACATATGTGCATATAAGTCAACAATCACAGTGATAAGTTTAATATACCTTTCTTAGGAATTGACAGATCTAGTTGACTGAAACTTATTGAGGATATGGAGAATTTGAAGAACACGGTTAATAAGATTAATCATAACTATAATTATGCCTATACCATCTTATATTCAAAATAGGAAAGTTACATTATTTTCAAATTCACATAGAATATTGACAAAAATTGGCCATAAGTGAGATGGCAAATTAAGTCTCAACAAGTGCTGAAAAGCTGAAACCATATAGGACCAGGGCATAGTTAACTGATTATAAAACAATAAAATAATCAAACATGCCCTCCTTAAGTTGTACTCTTAGGAAAAAGCACATGGGTTAAAGGGGATATCAGAATAAAAATTATACACTCTTTAGAAATAACAAGAGCACTATAATTCAGCCATACCCTGAGACTTCACAAGCTTTGGTCCCAGTAAGCTAGAATTCAAATCTTAGCCCTATATTTAAATAACTCCTTGAATTGCCATTTCTTATCCCAATTATCTGTCATTCCACTGTGAAATATATTTCATGGCAAATAATATTAAAACCTACATGAATCAGTCAGGAGAAAATTTGTAGCTTTAAAATGCATTTAAGAGAAAATAATTGGTAGGCAGATCGCCTTGGCCTCCCAATTATTGCCTCTGGAATTGGAGACCAGCCTGGACAACATGGCAGGACCCTGTGTCTCCAACAAATACAAAAATTAGCTGGATGTCGTGGTGCACGCCTATAGTTCCAGCTGCTAGGGAGGCCGAGGCAGGAGGATCGTTGAGCCTGGGAGGTGGAGGGTTACAGTGAGTTGAGATCATGCCACTGCACTCCAGCCTGAGCAACAGAGAGAGAATTAAGCTTTTAACTCCAACGCTAACAAAGGAACACAACAAAAACCTGTGGAAAGTAGAAGGCATAAAGTAAGATGAAAGCATAGTCAATGAAACAGATCATACCTTCCTATTCCACCAAAATGGAATTTATAAAACCAAACACTGTGTTCCCTGAAAAGAAAATTAAGAGTTAATCCTTCCGTAAACTTACTATTGAAAAAGCACATAAGTAATACTAGATATAGTAGATATTAAAATGATGTGTATTTTTGATATATATTTGCAAATGTAGACAAAATGTTGACTTTTCCATACAAATTACCAAAGTTGAGCTAAGAAAAGTAAAATACCTGACTAAAGAATTAACTATAAGAGAAACAGAAAAAAAAATCAGATATACATATCCTTAAAAATAGCACCAAGGCCGGGTGCGGCAGCTCATGCCTGTAATCCCAGCACTTTGGGAGGGCGAGGTGGGTGAATTATTTGAAGTCAAGAGTTTGAGACCAGCCTAGCCAAGATGGTGAAACCTTGTCTCTACTAAAAATACAAAAATTAGCCGGGTGTGGTGGCGTGTGCCTATAATTCCAGCTACTTGGGAGGCTGAGGCAGGAGAATCACTTGAACCTGGGAGGTGGAGGTTGCAGTTAGCTGAGATCATGCCACCGCACTCCAGCCTGGGTGACACAACGAAACTCTGTCTCAAAAAACAAACAAAAGCAAGCCCAGACAGCTTTACCAAACACTGAGGAGAGAATATATTATACAAATTGATCAAAATAATAGAATAGTATTAAAAGCCACTGAGTGTGAGGCAATGACAACAGATATTATGAAGGCTAAATGAAATAACCCATGAAAGGTAAATAAGCATTTGTTAAATTAAAATAATAAAGTTGACTATTAAGTGCCATGATATAGATTTCACAGTGGAATGAAAGGATAAAATAATTGGAATAAGAAATTGCAATTCAAGGAGCTATTTAAGTGCAGGACCAAGATTTTAATTCAGCCATATCCTGAAATTTTACAATTTTTGGTCACAATAAACTAGAATTCCAGGTAGAAAATGATTATTTTCTAAAATAAAGATGGTACTTATAAACCTATATAAATGCTCATTTCTCCTCTTCGAAGTATTTTTCTGCCCTTCCAGAAGAACTGGGCCTTGAAGTCACAGCCAGGCTCCAGAGGACTGCTGTTTCACTGGATATCACGCCATTGCTTCTTCAAAATTATCTTCTCAGAGAATACCATATTTGGGGAATTTAATTTACTTCTCGAGAATCCCTAACCCAATTATTTCTAGTCTTCCTTAGAGATTTTCTTTCTCCATTAACTCCCATATTATGTCTGGGAATCTTTTACTTTCACATATGCTCCCTCTCCACAATTTATTCTTTTTTTATCTTCTTTAAGTGTTAAGGAGTAGTATACATGTGTGATAGGGAGATGAAGGGGAAAGGCAGAAAACTGAACTTCTTACCCTCATGGAAGTTTTAACCCCACATTTAGAAAAAACAAGAAGTGGAGAATAAAGGGAGAAGGACAGCAAGCAATTTTATTCGTTCCCATTTTCCTGCCAATGTGCATTAACAAAGAAGTCTGTACCTAAAAGACCTTATGCAAGACCAGATTTTCACATTACTAGCTTTGTGTGTGTGTGACATCCTGCTTTCCGTTGCCAAGCTTAATGTATATGTGTCTTAGGGTCTTTCAGTTTTTATACTATTATGGCTATGTTGTGGTAAACTGAGGAAAGGAGAGGCCAATATGGAAAAACAGGAGGATTGTTGTTTATTTTAGGTACGCACGGCTCAGCAGGTTTGCATCTAAAAAGCTGAGCACTGAACAAAGACAGAGTGGGGTTTTTATAAGCGGCCTTACAGACACAAAACAAAAGCAGTTAATCATACAGTGACAGGTCACATAATCTATAGCATAACATAACTTGTGACCTTGCATAGCTGGTGACCTTGTAGTTGCATCGAAAGAAAAACAAAAACTGGCTAAATACAGACATTTGTAAATAATGCTTAAGAGGCCTGGGGAAAGAGTAACAGTAAAAGAATCTTTCTCTTTTTCTTCCTTCAACCTTGCTCTGGAAGGGAGGGGTGTCTGGAGCCTATTCCTTTGACCTTGGCTATTTGGACAGCGTTATCTTATAACTGTCCTTGAAGTAAGCTTGCTAGGCAGAGGAAAACTTGTTTTCTTCTTTTTAACCCTTGTCTTGCCACATTCTGGGCCTTAGCTTTTACTTTTCTTGGAGTGAATAAATGCAGTACTTATTATTTATTTGTTTTAAATTTCTGCCTCAGCTGTGAGACTGGTAATAATCATTTATTTATTTATTTATTTACTTATTTATTTTTGAGACAGGGTTTCCCTCTGCCACCCAGGCTGAAGTGCAGTGGTGCGACCTTGGCTTACTGCAGCCTCTGCCTCCTGGGCTCAATTGATCCTCCTACTTCAGCCTCCTGAGTAGCTGGGGCTACAGACGTGTGCCACTGGCTAATTTTTGTATTTTTTATAAAGATGAGGTTTGCCATGTTGCCCAGGCTGGTCTCCAACACCTGGCTCAAGTGTCTGCCTACCTTGGCCTCCCAAAGTGCTAGGATTACAGACATGAACCACCGCACCTGGCCAATAATTACTTCTGAAGATTCTGACAATACCATTTACAATAACACAAAAATGAAGGACCTAAGAATACATCTAACACATCTAGAGAGAATATTATAATATTGTTGTGAGACATTAACAGTGACATAAATAAATGAGAGTTATACCTTGTTTATGGATTGGAAAGTCAGTGTTGGAATGATATCAATCCTCCCTAACCCTCTCCCTCCCGCCCCTGCCCCAAAAAGATCGACAGATTTAGTGCAGTCCCACTCCAAATCCAATAGTTTTCTCAGGAGAATTTGACATAGTTGATCTCTCTTTCTTGAGACGTTTTATTCTCTGTTTTCCCTCCTACCTCACTGGTACTCCTTATCAATATCCTTTGCTACCACCTCTTCTACGCAACCTCTAAAATGTGGCATATTTCATGGCTCAGCCTTAGACCTTTTTCTATCTGTACTTCCCCCTTACATTGTTCTTTCTAGTCCCCTGACTCTAAATACCACATCTATATGATGATTGGCAAATTTGTATCTCTAGTCTAGGATTCTTCATATATCCATTGCTTTTTCAAGAGTTACTCTTAAATGTCAAATAGGAATCTTAAAATTTCCAATATGAAACATTTGCTTCTTGCTACCCCGTTCCCCTCCTCCACCAACTTGCTGTCTCAATTCTGTCAATGGAATATTTATTGCTTTGACCCAAAATCTACGTGTTCCCCCCGCCTTCTCTTTCTCACATTCCCTACATCTAATCAATAAGAAACTTTGTTGACACTTCCTACAAAACATCTTCCAAATGTGACCACTCTCAATAGCTCCACTGTTACCATGTTAGTCCAGGCTGCCGCTGCCTCTCACCTAGACTCCTAACTGGTCTCTTTGCTTCTACTGTTGTCTCTCTACAGCCCGGGGAATCTGTCTCCAACTAAGCCTGGTGGCAGTGAGGACCGTCAGCCCCCTCCCAGCCAGCTGTCGGCTATACCTCCATTCTGTCTGGTTCTCAGGGCTGGAATCGCTGGGCAGGTCTAGCTAATCCTTGGCCCTCCTAGGAAAATATTCCTAAATCCTGAAGGCATTTAGCTAGGAAAGATCCAGAATGGACCCAACTATTCCTGTTTTACCCCAAACCGGTTGGTCTGCTTTGGGGATTACTTCTCAGGCTAGGAACCTCTGAGTGTTCTGAAACGGGCCTGAACTCTTACAGAAGCTCTTGTGGCCCTAGGATGAATTTAGAGGTCTCCATACCCAGCCTGGAAGGTGAAGAACTACCCCTAACGACCCACCCTCCCAACCTAATGCCGGTTCTGCTCCACTTGTCCACTCTGGGGAGCTGTGCTTTGGCTTGGAAGCTCTCGGATTGAAGGATGGGCCCAAGACCCTCACAGGTGAAGCCTCGGTAGGTCCCAGGGAGAAGAAAGATATTCCTCCACCCCACCACCCCTCTAAGTCCGACCCACCTTTCTCCCCGCCAGCTGCATCAGATCCCTCCAGGGGCTCATTGTCAGTCCTGTAATCTTTTCGTCCGTGATAGGATGGGCCGTGGGCCCTTGTGAGTGAAGCTCGGCGGTTCCCGAGTCCATGTGGGGTGGCCCCTGCGGAGCCTGGAGCCTTCTTGCCCGCTGGCTTGCTGATCCCGCTGAGCCAGCTCCCTTCCTGCTTTTGACGGTGAGGGAACCAGCTGGGAGGTCCTCCGAGCTGGACGGGGAGGCGGGCGGCCTCTCCCACTCCCCACCCGCTCCCTCCCTGCCGCCGCCGCCTCCGGCTGCTCTTGCGACAAGCCAAGAAGCTGGGGCGCCTGCTGGGAGCCCAGCGCCGTCCTCCCGTTTCCTGTGATCTACCAGTCCTCCTCTCCGCGGAGGCTTGGCCGGGCGCACCTGAGGCCGGCAGCATCCCCGTGGCTTGGCGGCAGCTGCAACCTCCACAGACGGCCGCCAGGTGGCGCCACGCCGGGGCCCGAGAGCAGGCGGGCCCGGGGCGGGGTTGGAGGGACTCAGCTACGCGCCTGGGGAGGCCGCGGGCCCTCGCAGACTACCGAACTTCCATTCTGCCGCCGGGTTTTCACACCTGCCGGCCCCGAGGAAACAATGACGTTGGGATTTTGGGGGGCCGCCCCTTGACTCGGGCGAATGGGACACGAACGGCGACCCCTTGCTCTCTTCCATCCGCCTGCCGCCGTTGCTGCCCACCGACTCCTACAGCTCATTTCTCGCTCCTGCAGGCTCCAGGAATGCAAATAATTTCTCACTGGGTTTTGGCGGGGGCGCGGAGCTGCGGAGAAGCGCGCGCCCGACAGCTTTCGCCGCAGCTGGGTCCCCGGGCGCTGGCGGCTGCGGCCCCCAGATACGGGCGGAGGCTGCAATATGCACATGCGGCCACAGTGTGGCTCCAGGGGCCCGCCGCGGGACACGCTCGGAGCGCGACGCCCCATCCCATCATTTACGGATCAAACCAAATAATCTAGAATCAAGTTGCTGTGTGTGTCATACTCCTCCTGTTTTTTTTCCCTAAACTTTTAGTAGAGTCATTTACATAGTTCAGTTTTTACCTCAGCTATGTTACACAGTGGCAGGAAAATATTTTGTCTCCAAACTACAGCCCAAGTATGAGAGCAGCGTATCCTGAAGCTAATTAGTAACCAGAAAATCAGGAAGGTAAAGCAAATCTCTGGAGGCAAGATCTGGACTCTATGATATCGCCGCTTCTCCCCACTTGAAGCGTCTCTTTGCAGTGCCGCACTTGGAGATTTGGACTTAATCGTTAAACAAAAAGAACAGTTACATTCTGCCTTCCTACAGGGCAGGGGCCTAGGACTGGCAACATTTTTGTTGTCTCTAGAAATAGAGGGGTTATGAGAGAGCCTCAAAAGAGAGGGCAAGAATAACACATCCATTTCTCATCATGAGTTACCCCCTTGTATGCCTAGAACGCGTATGGAGACATTCTCTTTTAGTAAAGTCAAAGAGAAAAGCCATGAACTAAGTATCCTGAACACAGAGGCGTGAGCCCTCTCAGTCTCACAGTCCCTTAGGAGTCATTTGTAAGTACTATTTCCTTCCTTATTGTCTATACTATTCCCTCTTGTCTCCCTGAAATCTACCCACTCCTGGCTGTGTGTGTGTCTCTTTCTGTCTGTTTCTCTGTCTTAATCTTCTGTACATATGCACCCACTCACCTTTTTACCTTGTTCTGAGAAATAAAATACTATTTTTCAAACTATGTAATAGGATTATCAGGCTAGGCTTGACTTGTAAGTTTTTCAAGAATTCTTTAGAGTAGGCCTCATTTCAAGTCATCTTTGATGACCACATTTCCAAATGTATCCCAGTTGAAGTCAGTTCATTTATTTGCTTTAAGAGTTATATACCATGAGACACACAGTTCTGGTGTTGTTGAACTTTTGGATGTTTGTACGCAGTGCTCACGGGGAGCAAGTGGGCAGGGGACGGTCCAGATCGATGGCCACCAACTGAGCCGCTGCTACGTGGCCCCCTGGGGCTCCTTCCGGTGCACCCCTTCCTGCAGCTGTTCTTCTTTTTGTTCCTGACATTTCAGCTCTTCTTCTAAATGTCTGTCTTCTTGAAGGCTGGAAATTACCTTCTTCTCATGACCAGAATCCAAAGAGATTTCTAAATTCCACTTTTTCTTTCTTTTCAGTTCTTTACGTATTGTCACCCAGAGAACAGTGTTCACTAAAAACATTATTCCCACTGCCAGATAGAAAAGGACATGAAACCAGACAGGAGTTGGTAACTGGAGGCCTGAAACAGAAAAAGACAAAGAGAAGAGATACTATTTAGAGACCAGAGGGGTCTGGCTGAGTTATGTTTGGAAGGGAAGGTTGGCTGAGACCTGATGTGCCTGTCCTTAGGGAGGCACTGGTCATTTCAGGGAGCAGGAAGGAACTGGCGGTAGCTCTAACTGGCTATATGGTGTATAGACAGGGACAGGCTCCTTGGAAGAGCTTAATTGCTGGGCCCTGTCAGTGGACTTACTCCCTAGTTCCAGAGACAACTGATATCTCTGTGCCATTTAATACTTGAAATGAATTTGGGTTGAAGATGAACTTTTTTCCCCCCCAAGGAGACTTTGTTCTAGAGCTCACAATCCCTCTGCCTCAGTTAAACAGAGATACTTGGGGAGGTGGTGATTTGCAGTTTACAAAATCACTGTCTGATAAATCCACCTTGTGAGCTCCTTGAAGCAAGAACTATACTCAAATGTCTTTATATCCCCAGACGTATGACAACAGATAGGAAGAACTTGATAAATTGTTGGTGAGATTGTTGGTGAGGAGGAGGGAGGCAGGGAAGCAGGGAGAGAGAGAGAGAGAGAAGGAGGGGTCATGGAGTGGAGGGAAGAGTGGGAGGGAGGGGAAAATAAAATGAAGGAGAAGAAAAGAAGGACAGAGGAGAAAATGAAGGAAAGAAATGGAGGAAGGAAAGAAATAGAGGAAGGAAAGGCAAAGGAAAAAGAAAAAGAAAGGAAAGGAAATTTAACAGTTTGCGAGGAGAAGAGTGATGTTGTGAATCAAGGATGGAAAGGCCTGCTTGTGGGCTTTTCCTGAAGAGACTTTCCCCTCTTGTCTGGGCCAAAAACCCTTGAACAAACCTCAGTCCCATGGGAGATAAGGGAGTCCCTTCTTCTGTGCCAGTGGCTTCCCGTCATTCTCACCAAGCACTTGAAGCTCCAACTCAGGGCTGTGCTTAAGGACATTTCCATCCTCTGTGGCAGCCTCGCACCAGTATAACCCAGAGTCTTCTCTTCTAGCAGTTAGTATTTGGTATTCAGAGGATGTGTTCCTGCCTCGCAGGGTCTTGCTGCCCATGTAGAAGGAGAAGTAAAGCTACAAACCAGGCCTCTGCAAGAGCAACTTTGTTTCACAGCTCAGGGTGACCAGATTCCCCTCCAGGAGTGGGGATGTCACAGATGCATTCAGCACTGGAGCTGGAAATAGCTCTAAGGAGAAAGTTGATGGGGGACAGGGTTGCCTGTTTAGCATCCAGGTCCTTTTCACAAAAGACATGCCCTTTACCCCCTTGGGAAACCTGGCCCTAGAAAATGAATCCATAAGGCATTAACCCTTTTTACTTCCAGCAGAGAGCCATTCTTGGGGTGTCCTAATAGACATAATTAGGGTTGCCAGCTTGCTGAGTCCTACTGAGGATACCTCTATACCAGTGGTCCCCAACCTTTTTGGCACTAGGGATGGATTTTGTGGAAGGCAACTTTTCCACAGCCGGGGGGTGAAGTGGGGACGGTTTTGGAAGGTAACTGTTCCACCTCAGATCATCAGGCACGCACAATTCACAGTAGGATTCATGTTTCTATGAGAATCTAATGTCACCACTGATTGGACAGGAGGAGGAGCTCAGGCCGTAATGCTGGCTCATGAAGAAGCTCACCTCCTGCTGTGCAGCCCAGTTCCTAACAGGCCACGGACCAGTAAGGGTTGGGAACCCCTGCCCTACATGGTCCATCCTTCCCTGAATGACCGTGTCATCTGGTCAATAACCATGCCCTTTTGGCAGTGGTCAACTAGGAGTGAACCCTGACTCACACACTTGCCATTTCAGTGACTTTATTATCATTATTATTATTATTATTTGAGACGTAGTCTCGCTCTGTTGCCCAGGCTGGAGTGCAGTGGCGCTATCTCGGCTCACTGCAAGCTCCGCTTCCCGGGTTCATGCTATTCTCCTGCCTCAGCCTCCCGAGTAGCTGGGACTACAGGTGCCCGCCACATTTCAGTGACTCATTATTTTTGTTCCTGACTTTAAAAGATAATCTGGGACAATAATTTCTTTCCCACAGGAGTGAACTTTTTTTTTCTCAGACAGAGAAAGGTTGCTAGTGATTGTATTAAGAGGAAAGGCCGTGAAAGGGTCAGAACAAGGCCATATGCAAACTGCTTAGCCTGCAGATGCTCAGGAAGAAGTGGCACCACAGAGGCTGCTTTGTCCCTGAGAGGTAGATGGACAGTATAGCCCGTTCCTCATGTTTTCCAGGTTTCTCTTTCTATGGGGCTTCCATGAGATTCCATGGTATTATTTTCTAACTCTCCTATCTACCTAGAGTGAGTCTGTATTCTTTACAACTAAAATAATGATGGATGAAATGGATCACCATTATGCCCTGACATTGACATTAGCTCCTGTGATTATTGATGGGGGTTGCGGTACACTGGAAAGAGTATTGGACTAGGACCCAGAGACCTCAGTTCTGGTTCCAGCTACTGGTCATGGTGTGGCCTTTAGTAATGCAGTTTACCTCTCTGGAGCCCAGTTTCTTCACTTGTAAATTAAAGTGAGGAGTTTAGAATATTTATGATGGTCCCTCAGGGGGAGGGACTATCAGTTCTATGACTATTCCAATACAATACCTTTCACAGTGTATTGTGATATTCCTGCTGATGTGTAGCGATGCTTTCCCATGCCTGAGCAATGGTAGGTGCCATTGTGACTTATGTTGGTTTTCAGAATGGTGAGGTTAGAATTCCAGTGGAAAAACTTAAAGGCTTTGCCATTTCGATAGTAAAGCACATTGTACACCAGCTTATCCTTCCACGCATGACACCTCAAGGCCAGAGGTTCTCCTTCCATGAAGACTCTGCTGGAGACCTGCAGTAGTAGCCAGCCTGAAAAATATGAACCCAAAATGTATGTATACAGTGGAGGAGGTACAAGGAGGCCCAAGCTTGGCCCTGTGGGCTTCCTATTTTTTCTCCTTGCAACATCCAGCCTCAGAGCTCTGCTAAATCTCAGGCCTATATCCGGTTCCTCAAATATCTTTAGCTTTGGTGGAAAGAAAAGCAATCTTTACTGGCAACTGCATACACAGCCCTTTCTTATCTTCCCTTTCCAGATCTCAGAAGTTGGTTGAAACAAAAACAGTTCATACAGCATGGTAGGCAGAATTCTAAAATGATCCCAATGACTCACTCCCTTGCATAATCCCCTTGAGTGTGGGTGGAACCTATGACTTGCTTCTAGCCAACAGAATATGACAAGGGTGATGAAATGTCACTCTTGGGATTGCTACATTATGTAAGACTCTATCTTAGCAGTCTGGATGGAAAGTCTCCTCCTGAACTTGAAGAGGTAAGCTGCCACGCCAGGAGAGGGCCTGCAAGAGTGCCACAAGGCAAGGGCCTCTAGGAGCTGAGAGTGGCCCCCCACTGATGGGCAGCAAGAAAGCAGGAACCTCAGTCCTACAACCACAAAGAACTGAATTCTGCCAGTGACCTTGTGAGCCTGGAAGAGCTGCAAAAAGAAACACAGCAAAGTCAACACCCTAACTGCAGCCTTGGAAGACTCTCAGCAGAGCACTCAGCTAAGCTGTGATGGGAGTCCTGACCCATGGAAACTGGAAGATCTTAAATGTATGTTGTTGCTAAATTTGTTACACAGCAATAGAAAACAAATACACTCCAACTCTTGACAAATTTGTTAATAGGACCACGCATCCTGAGACAAACACACAGAAGGGCAAACATCCAGATATAAACATCCTACTACATTGATATGAATACTCACATATGTAAGATCAATGATATCACTAGCAAAACAAGCTCCAAGTCAATGGGTTTTTCCTTTCGACAAACACCTCTACACATAACCAAAAATGCTTCAACTACTTTTCTTTTCTCCAGAGGCAGTTGGTTTGGCTAAGTAAAAATGGGGTTCTTAGGAGACTAAGGCGGAAAAGAGACAATAGTGCCTTTTTCCCCTCCAGAACTTATCTAAGAATGGAAGACAGGTGTTTCTATGCTATACATAGCATGAATTTTACAGTCATGGATACTGATATAATGCTTCCAAATAGAATTAATTCTCTTCCCTCCCTTATTCCCACCCACAGCCAGCAGATGCTGAAAGACTGCACTGCCCAAACACTGCCATCTTTGCTTTATATATCCAAAAGAGTGGGAAATGCTGTCACATCTCCATCAGAAACTGTCAAACACTAGTAATGGTAGAAAATATCTGAATGACACAATTAATAGGCTTGATTTTGTGGATGCTCTACTTTAGAAAGAAAATTCATATGCTTTTCAAACACACATGCAATATTAGAAAAATTAAGTGTGAACTAGACCACAAAGCAATTTTCAACAAATACTAATGAACTGATACCATGTTTAACACAAATTCTAACCAAAGTGCTATAACATTAGAAATCAATAACAAAAAACTACCCTCCAAAAAACATCTAAGTAATTCATGAATAAAATAATGTATAATGGAAATTTATGAGTTTTTAAACTTAAGTGGTAATGGTAGTATTATATATCAAAACTCAAGAGATGCAGCTTTTAGCAGACATTACTAATTTCCTACTCAACAATCATTCCCCTACCTTCATGACTTTGGTGTCAGCCATATGATTAGGGCTCGGGTCCACCAACCAGCTGCATTTTCTTGGTCTTAGCATATACTGATTAAATTGAAATGACTAAGAGTCAGTGAGCTGCAATTGAATTCCCCATGGCTGACTGTGGCGAAACATTTTAAAATAGGGCATAGACAGCACCAACCAAAAATGTTGGTGTATTGTACTGTAGTAAAATTAACAAGTCTTGTTCATTGAAAACAAACAAAACTTTAATATTATAGTGAAAAGAAAAGCCACAGAGTGGGAGAAGATATTTAAGACTCTTGAAAAAGGACTTATATCCAGAATATATAAATAACTCCTATAAGTCAGTAAGAAAAAGACAGACAATAGAAAAATTATCAAAAAGACCTTACAAAAAAGGATACCCAAATAGGTAATAAATGTGAAAAATGGTCAATATCATAGTCATTAGGGAAATGCTTAATTTGCATTTGTATATCCAAAAGAGTGGGAAATTGTAACATACCTCCATCAGATACTGTTGAACATTAGTAATGGTAGAAAATATTTGAAACATGTAAACAAAAATATCCACAGCATTACTATTTGTAAGTGGTCAAAACCAGAAGCAACCCGAGCCCCTCAGCAGAATGGGAAAATATGAAATATACAGTAATAAGAACAAATGAACTTCAATTTACAACATGTATACAGTTCACAATCATAATGTTGAGAAAAATAAACCAGACACAAAAGAGTACATCCTGTCCCATACCGTAGCCCTTTATATGAAGTTCAAAAACAGGCAAAAAACCTATGGTGCTGGAAGTCAGTGTCAGGGGTGGACTAGAAATGGGCAAGAAGGAGTTTCTGAGGTGCTGGAAATGTCTAAAATAGATCTGGATGCTGTTTACTTTGAAAAAATTTACTGTGGCGTACATTTATGGCTTATTGTACATAAGTTATATTTCAATGAAAATTCACATTAAAATGTAATGTAAAAAAGATATGATTCTCAGTAAGTCACTGATGCTGAGTGTCCTAGAGTCTGTGTAGAGGTAAAGAAAATGGACTCTTCCCAGCCCTAGTCCTTTTGTTGTCACTTGAACCATGAAACACTTCTGCTTGAATTACCCAAAGTGTCTTGTTGAAACAGCTCTGTCAGAGGTTGCAGTGAGCCAAGATCGCACCACTGCATTCCAGCCTGGGCAACAGAGTGAGACTCTGTCTCAAAAAAAAGGAAACAGCTCTGTCAGCTTCCCTAACCTCTCCATCCTAAGAACTTATTTACAGAGACCTAAGGGACACATGAGGAACATCAAGCCTTCCCTCAGACATTCTCAACATTTCCTTGGCTAAAACACATTTCCTCTAACAGCAACCATGTCTGCATAAAGGCAATTTTGCCTCCAGTGTGGATTAACTTTTGCATTATCATTTTTAAAGAAGTTTAAACTCATCACTTCTGAATAACTAAATAATACATTTGGTTATTTTGTCTTGCATATTGAATGAAGCATTTTTCCCTGAAGAATATTGCAGTCTCCGTCTCTTGATGAATAGAAACTCCTTACAGGTTTAAGTGGGTGGTGGGCTTTTCTGCTTCCATTTATTAAAATATGACAATAATTCCATGTCCAGAATATTATCTTACAGATACCCTATGAAATGTGCCCCCGGAATGTATGTATAAAGATAATTATTGCAGCAATGCTTGTAAAATCAAAAGAGTGGAAACATCTTACAAATTTGCCAATAGGCAGAATGGTTAAATTAATTCTGGTACAGCTGTGCAGCAGACATTTTAAAGTGGATTTCTATTAATATAAACAGAACTTCAAGGTATTTTAAGTGATAAAAGTAAGATATAGGACAATACTTAGAAAGTGTTCTACCACCCACAGCTTTAAAACTATATATATGTGTGTGTATATATATATAGTTTATATATAATAATGCTAATATATACATATATATGCATAATATGTATATATATATTAGCAGTTTTGTTTCTGTGGAAGGTGACTGCAGATCTAGGGTTTTGGGTGGGAGGAAGATATTTCATTATTCATTATTGCTCATTTGTTTGAATTATTATTATTTACTATGTACAGGCATACATTTGGAATAATGATACAATCTTAGGGCCGAAGTCTTACTCTAGACATCCTACTTAGAGCTGGCCCAGCTGAGGTACTGTTGGTACACAGTTTAAGGACCCTGCTGTGATGTTTTGAGTATACTGATTTAGTTTCACCTGGTAGGTACATAGTGCTGAGACCTGCACCCAGATAAATCGACACACACACACATCTGGCATCCAGAAAGGAGAGAACGCAGAGGAAGACCTTGTAGTTTCCGGCCCTCCTGGTCCAAGTCATAATTACCTCTGTGGATTTCCAGCTGTATGGGGTCACTTCGCCCTGAGAGACCTCTCTGGCACCTGTATTCACCACTGTCATTGACACTGGCAGAGGTGATTCTGTAGCTGGGGGTCGAGGTCTGAGTGGCTGTGCCATTGAGAAACCACTGTGTGGAGCTGCTCCCAGGCAGATGGAGCACCTCACAGTGCAAGGTTATGGTTTCCTCTTGGAACACGCTGACCCATGGAGGCTGCAAAGTGATCACTGCCTTTGTGGTGTCTACTTGGAGATTACAAGAAGAAAAAGAAAAAGATCAAGTGGAGTAAAGGGGAGGGCTCTGAGCAACTGGTGAGGCTTTTGTGGATAGCACAAGGGAAAAATACATATTTAGATTTATTTGAAAAATAGGCAAGTGGAAACCTACAAAAGCCAGCCTTTAAGAGTGTCCTCCTGCTGCAGAGACCTCTGTTCATTGTTATTAAATCCTCATCTGGGTGTTGGGAATCTGGGGCTCCTGAGGATTAAATTACTGATGTAGGTTTTTCTGTTGGGAGCAATGAAGCAGGGTTTTAGACTTGGGCAAGCCAAGCGGAGCTGTTTTCCTTATCCTCTGAGCTATACTGTCTCTGAGAGTACGTTGCAGGGCTTCAGCAGCTTGTACATTGGAAACGGAGGTTCAAACTCCTCTCTTTGAAGCCTTCAGTATTTGCCTGGCTCTTTCTGAGGAGAAAAAACCCACTCTGCTTTCTTGTAAAGGGGACTGGTTTAGGGGATGTTGGGAAACCCAGCAGACTACTTCAGTGTCAGCAGACTACTTTAGTGTTTGTGCAATTCTGGCCCTTTCCTGCTGTTATATATACATTCAGGCATTTCGCTCAGAGGAAAGAGCTCATTCAGAAAACTTTAGAAAGAAAGCCTACAAATCATAGTTTTTATGAAAATCATGCTCTGAATATGGGAGATTTTACATAATTTATAAATCTTTCTTCTTTCTCTGCTTTCTCTATATGCTCTTCTGCAGGTTAATAGGACCCATCCTTTGGAAGTAGGAAAGTGGCATAGAAGGAGAAGCTGAGTTAGAGATCACTCACCCACTTGCCCATCAACTGGAACTGCAAGAGATCAGAGAATAAAGATATCAGTTGGTCCAAGGAAAATAATGAGGAAGAGAGAATTGGGGAGACAGAATTAATGTAGACTCTGAGGGATCAACTCAGATCTCTTGAGTTTCTATTTCTCTTTCTCAAAATCCAGTACTAACAGAACTGAACAAGCTACAGGTGGTTATCAAGGAAACTTCACTGCGGTGTGTCCAGGCTTAATGCTACCTCAGGGTTGCCCTTCCCATCCTTTTCATAAAATAAGCTCTAATAAACAGTGGAAGCACAGATACAAGTTGCTTCATACTCATGAGTTCTACCCAGAGTTACCACAGGAAGACAAAACTCTTGACTCACAACAGCCACAGCCTGTACCCTTCTAACTGTCCCCTCTGAGTCCAACTTACCCCAAAGGAGCAGAGTTGTCAAGAACCACATGTTGTCTCCAAGCTGGTGGGAGTAGTGAAATCTGTAACATGCAAGATATTGAAGAGGTTCTGCTGGTGGCTCCAGAGCCAAATTAGAAAAGAGGAAGGAAATTGCCTTTTCTGACCATTTTCATCATGTTCCTTTTCTGGGAAATACATCTCAAATTCTTGAAACATGCTTTTCCCATGCTCATACCTGTTAGCCCATCTCTCCCAGTTTGAATCTCTGATTTTCAGGTTATGAACTCTCAGAATCCAGGGAAAAGGCTAAAGTTGTATTGACATTCTATTCTATTTTTACCCTCTACCGTTTCTGTTTCTTAGGGTTAGAATATGGCAAAACCTCACTCTTTATAATTGGTTCAATGCCTGGCTAATGCCTCCAAACAATCATTTGAATCCAGAAGTTTCTATATCAGCCTCTATGAGGCCATGGGAAAAGTTACTCATCTACAAGAGCTGCCCTAATACAAACCAGCCTCTGCTCCTCTAGGGGACACAGACAGGATCAATCTCCCATTTTGGTTAAAAAAGAAAACAAACTCTCTTCCTGAAAGACATCATGAATTTGGAGTGTTTATTTTGGCTAAATCCAAGGTAATTAATTGTTTAATGTGGATGCTATGGAGAAGAAAAATAACTCATGCACATGGATAGCAATATCTTCAAGAAAAGAGTTTCAGAGTACAAGTGGGGAGCTCTGTGCCACCAAACTGAGGTGGCTCCTGAGACAGAGTTGTAACCCCATAAAAAGATTTTTAGGTATTGTGGTAAGAGAGAAAGAGAGCTAAATGGAAACTAGGATGAATTCAATGAGTGCAGAGAGACTTTGGCAATCTTACTAGCAGAGAATGAAAAATGATGACAAATCATGCTGTAGATTGGTGTACTGGCCCCAGTTTCTCACCGCTCCCTGAATCTACACTCTCTCCACAGCCTCATGAGGGTACATCTCTGACTCTTGACTGTGGCTCATCATGAGACTTTCATTGGCCAGCGAAATGTGAATGGAAATGACATGGTGCTAATTTCAAACTTAGCACTTAGGAAGCTTCACACATTATCTCTCACCCTCTTGTTCTCCTGTGATTGCTGAGACAAGAACATTTTTTAGCTAGTCAGCCACCGTGTGAAACAGAGCTGTCCTAGACATTGTGGCTTGAGGCAGACCTGCCTCACCTGCCCTGCAAACTTGTAAGTGAGAACTAAATGCTTACCTTTATATGCTACTGAGATTTGAAGATTGCTATACAAGCAAGAGCTGACTGACACAAATGAAAAGCAAGGAAGAAAGGCCGGGAAGAACTCAGGGTGTTCTGAAGAGATGAGAGAAGCCTCAGCTTGTTAAAATTTATATTCAAAGCCTATATCTGTAACTATTTTACTATTTTGTCTCCAAAGTTTTCTACTGTATGCATGTACCATAATTTATTTCACCAACTTCTCTTCATGAACATGTAGGTTATTTCTAATTTTTTACTGTGTGACCAGTAAAAAAGACTGCTTACTACCAAAATAGTCTTGTGACTACCTTTAAACATTTGACTTATTTTTTCCTTAGGACACATTCCTAGAATCAGTAGTGCTTACTCAAAGGAAATGCGCATTTTTTCCTTTGGATAAGATGCTATCAGATTGTCTATGATCATTATCCTCATCACTGCATAAATTTTAGAGTGCTTATTACAAGCCAGACAAATATGCTTGATACATGTTTTCTTATTTAAGCCTCACAATAATCCATGAGTAGACACTAGTATCTCCATTTTACAAATGATAAACCTAGTGAAAGAGGAAATCAGTAATTTGTCCAAGGTTGTGAAAAATAGAAGCAGGATTCAAAATCAGACAGTTTGATTTCCTTTACATACTCACTGATGGAGTATAACAGTGCCCACCCCATGCCTTGTGATTCCTGCTTTGTAGTAAAATAGCTACTTCTTTGAAAAATAAGTGAAATCATTTCATTGATCAGGATAACATGAGGGAATTAGGATTGTTGTGTAAGAGGAATGTAAGATCTATAGCCTGGAAGGATAAAATACTTTCTTTCTAATAAGTATTGTTGTTTCCAAATGTTGAGGAAATAGCCATTGATGTAGGTTTAAATTCATGTAAGAAGAGCTAGAAAAATGGGGCAAACATAGTAACAAAAGCAGAGTAGTCTTCTAGCATTTGATGGACAATGAAAATCATGATGCTCTGTTCTCACTTATATGTAGGAGCTGAACGATGAGAAGACACGGACACATGGTGGGGGAACAACACATACTGTGGCCAGTCGGGTGGGGTTGGGAGAGAGAGAATGTCAGGTAGAAGAGCTAATAAATGCTTTGCTTAATACCTAGGTGATGGGTTGATCTGTGCAGCAAATCACTATGGCACACGTTTACCTATGTAATCAAACTGCACATCCCGCACATGTACCCTGGAACTTAAAATAAAAATTCATGGAAAAAAATCATGATGCTCAGAAGAACAATTAGGAGAATTTACATCTATATATGACATTTGTATTTCCATATATTAATACTTTTTTTTTTTTTTTGAGATGGAGTCTCGCTCTCTCACCCAGGCTGGAGTGCAGTGGCACGATCTTGGCTCACTGCAACCTCCACCTCCCAGGTTCAAGCAATTCTCCTGCCTCAGCCTGCCCAGTAGCTGGGATCACAGGTGCACACCACCATGCCCAGTTAATTTTTGTATCTCTAGTAGAGACGGGGTTTTACCATGTTGGCCAAGATGGTCTCAATCTCTTGACCTTGTGATCCGCCTGCCTCAGCCTCCCAAAGTGCTGGGATTACAGGCATGAGCCACTGCGCCTGGCCACTGATACTTTTATAATGCCATCATACTCATAGGCTTCATTCTTTTAAAATCACTTTACAAATACAATTTTCTCAAAGGTAGATGCAAAATCTTATTTGCCAATTTTAAGAAAAATTGCTCTCTACTACAGAAAATGATTTATGAACAATTATTTGATATGTTTTTTTTAAAAGATGAGATAGGCTGGGTGCAGTGGCTCATGCCTATAATCCCAACACTTTGGGAGGCCAAGGTGTGTGGATTGCTTGAGCCCAGGAATTTGAAACTGACCTGGGTAATATAGTGAGATCCTGTCTCTACTAAAAATAAAAAGAATTAGCTGGGCATGGTAGTTCATGCCTGTGGTCCCAGCTACTTGGGAGGCTGAGGAAGGAGGATTGCTTGAGTCTGGGAGGTTAAGGCTGCAGTGCGCTGTGATTGTGTCACTGCACTGTAGCCTGAGTGACAGAGCAAGACCCTGTCTCAAAAACAAACAAATAAATGCTAAGATAATTTAAATCTCATAAAGAATTGACCAATAATTTATTTTATTTTCATCTCTTTATGAGTAAAAAACAGTAATGCTTTATTTCCTACTCAATTCCTTCTTTGATGATCATGTGTTTTAGAAACTATTCAAATGTATCTGCTAAATTTTAAGTAAAGAATTGCATATAAGTAATTGTCTATAGTACAATTTTGCTTAATATGTTTTGTATACTGTTGTAACAGCTCTTGGACAGGTGAAATGTATAACTTTTATGTAGTTGCTAATGCTTGAGGTGTTTCTCAAATATTCATATAAAGTTTACCCAATTTTTTTCTTCAACTGCCATTCATTATAGAAAGTCCCCCAGTGGTTCAATTTTAAGTTTCCACTAGGAACTCATTAATTTTTTATTCTTAGTTATTCTTACTACTCAATCTTTTATTTTAAAAAATTATCATCTATGATTTTATAGGAATCTTTACAGTTAATTTCTGGAGATATTATAATTTATCTTTTATAAGTTATTTCAATTTGGGATGACCTTGTCCATTTCCTCTTCCCGACTTCACCTTCTTGTGTTGTCATGAATATATCTATCAAGCCCTTTGCTTATTTTCCTATGTGCCCTTGAGATTCTTTCCTAAGCTTTTAAGGGATCAACTCGTTATAAATCTCAGTCTGTTTGCTTTTGCACATGCAGTTTTCATCTTTCCCCAGATAGCAAGGTCACTCCATTTTGATTTTCTTCCTGTATCACAGCAGCAAGAGGAAAAGGATGGGAAAAGGGTTAAAACATTTATGTAGCTTGTGTTCCTAAAAATAGCTATCATCTGAAATGGAAAAACTCTTCACATGAGCTCATTCCCCAGCTTTTAACTGCCTAATAGTGTGAGTCAGGTGCAGACACTGAAGCGCTATTCTGAAAGACCCTCACTTAGTATATAAATGTGAGAGGCTACAGTGGCTTGTCAGATCATAAAGTATGAAAGCTCATGATCTTCCCTGTCACCTAACCCAGCACCATTTTTCCTTGACCATCTTGGTGTGTCAGAAAGGCACCTTCAGAGTCATGGTGACAAGGACGGGGGAGCTGGCTGAGATGGAGGGCTCTAGGTAGAAGAGGTAGAAGGGTCAGAAAGGTACGTGAGTTAAGAGGTTGGCCACAGACTCTTCCTACTTCTTTGCCCTTGTTCCGCCCCAGGGCTCTTCACTTTCTTTTAGAACTTAAAAAAGTTGACTAATATTTTACGCAAATGAAAAAATGTGTAATATATATGTGTATATGGTTAATGATGCAAAATAAGAAAATGAACATTTATAAACCCACAACCCAAATTAACAACAAGAATATTATTAATGATATACCAGATTTCCAGCCAAGATGGAGTAGCAGAGACTGAATTTATCCTCTCACCTGAAACAAAATTAAACTAAACAAAATTAAACAAAACAACAAAATACATGAAACAATGTTTTTTTGAAACTGTGGACATCAGGCAACAAAAGACAGTCACCCCTGAGAGATAGGGAAGAAAAAAGATGAGCCCTGCAATTGCCTCACCTACTGCATTGAGAGGGTCTCCAGGCTGTGGTACAGGGGAACTCAGGCAGGTCCCAGTGGAGTCCCAGAATTGAGGAGACAGAGCTGAGTCTGGAGAGACCAAGGTGGCTAGAACTCATGGATCCAAGAAATGGAAATGAAAAAGCTGCACACAGAGAGAATTCCAGAGATCTGCTGAGGGTCCCCACCAAGTATTCAGCAGAGTAGTAATCAGTGTGCTGATCTAGAAGGAAGGGGCTGAAGCACAAGATATAATTTAAAGAGTTTACTTGAGCCAAAGTGAGCACAGCTGCCCAGGACACACTTCCAAGTTAACTCAGGGAGTGCTCAATCAGCTTTTGTTACAAGCAGGTTTTTAAAGGCAAAAGTAAGAAGAAGTGGATGGATACAAAGTTCTTTGATAGAAATTTTCATTGGCTTACAGAGATGACATGGATTAGTTATTGGTTATACACTGTTGAACTATAGGATATGAGTCGTGGTGTCCAGCATATGGTATTTTATGGCTGCTTGGCATCAGTTAGTCTGGAGCCCGTATAGCAAGTGGCTTTACAAGATAATCACTCAAGGGGGAGTGATGTGACTGCAGTTTCATTCCAATGCCTCTCCAAGCTTGATAATTTAAAGGGGCTCACATTCCTCAGATAAAAAGTTTCTTCTTCTTCTTTTTCTTTAATTTCACAGGTGCATGTGTGTGAAAAAACTACCCCAGGAAAGAACCACTTGAAAGCATTAGCTAGAACAGTACCCAACACTCACACAGGGCTGGAAATAGTGCCAGTTCCCAAAAAAGGAGAGCACAATTCACAAGGCATGTGATAGAGAACCCAGAAGGGTCTTACCTCAATTAAGACATGGAAAATAGAAAAACACTAAAATCCAACTTCTAGAGATGAAAACCAGTATGCTGGATGGGATTGAGAGCACATTAGACCACAGAAAACAAGATTAATGAATGCAAAGACAGAGCAATAGAAACAATCCAAAATGAAACAGAGGGTTAAAAAAAATGAAAAGAGAATCAGTGAGGTGTGGGACAACTTCAAGTGGCCTAATATATGTGTAATTTTGAAAGGAGGGGGCCAGCTGGGCTTCCTGAGTCAAACAGGGGCTCAGAAAGCTGTAAAACTCACTCATTTTCTGCATCAGAACTTACTTCGGTCCTGAATGAATAATATTAAAGATATATGCTTAAAATATTCCTAACACCAGGATTTGTGCATGTGTTTTCTTCCCAAAAAAAGCTATAAACAGCAAAAATTTTGCTGTAAGCTTCCCTGTGTCCTCTCTCCCTCTCTCCCTTCCCCCTCCCCTAAAACTAAAAGGAATATTAAATGCCTGTTTTTCTATGACCAGCGAACTTTATCTATACTCCCAATTCCAATTCCTTGTAAACATACTTTATAAAGTCCTGTAAGATTGTTTCCTTTGCCATACTGCTGCAAGGTCATAAAATAAGTAAAACCTAAGTTACAATTCTGGTTTTCCTCAAAATCTAAGACATGTCACAAAATAATTTACTGCCTTTGTTTCTCGCTCTGATAACATCTTCCCTCTACACGTATTTCCCGCCTTAAAGAGTTTCAAAAGCAACTGCATCATCGACCTCTGACTACCCGCTCGAAACCCCTTCCACGCTGAAAAGCTTTGTACTGTCACTCTGCTCAATAAAGCCTACAGCTTTTTTTCTCTTGGTCCGTGTTTCCATCGCCACGGGCAGCCGCCACACCAATTGTTTGGTCTGGCTAAGGCAAAAATCTTTAGCGTTACAATTGGAGTCCTTGAAAAAAGAGGAAGGTGGATATGTCAGAGGCGTTTGAACCAGAGCAACTCCATCTTGAATAGGGGCTGGGTGAAATAAGGCTGAGACCTACTGGGCTGCATTCCCAGGAGGTTAAGGCATTCTTAGTCACAGGATGAGATAGGAGGTCAGCACAAGGAACAGGTCACAAAGACCTTGCTGATAAAAGGATATGGTAAAGAAGCTGGCCAAAAGCCACTAAAACCAAGATGGTGATGAAAGTGACCTTTGATCGTCCTCACTGCTCGTTATATGCTAATTATAATCCGTTAGCCTGTTAAAAGACACTCCCACCAGCACCATGACAGTTTACAAGTGCCATGGCAACGTCAGGAAATTACACTATATGGTCTAAAAAGAGGAGGAACTGTCAGTTCCTGGAATTGCCCCCGCTTTCCTGGAAAGGAATAAAAATCCACCCCTTGTTTAGCATATAATCAAGAAATAACCACAAAAATAGCCAACCAGTAACCCTTGGGGCTGGTCTGCCTATGGAGTAGTCATTCTTTATTTCTTTACTTTCTTAAATAAACTTGCTTTCACTTTACTCTATGGACTCACTCCAACTTCTTCCTTGCATGAGATCCAAGAACCCTCTCTCGGAGTCTGGATTGGGACCCCTTCCTGGTAACAGATAGAAAAAATATTTGAACAAAGAATGACCAAAAAGTTTTCAAACTTGATGAAAACTTGTAGGAGACAGGCATGTGCCACCCTAAAATATGACTTTTTGGCATAAGGATTATTTTGAGCTGATTATTTTGAGAAACAGTAGACACAGGAGAATTCTAAAAACACAGTAGAAGTTACCCTTCTGTAAGGGAAATTTACATTTTTAAAAGAAATCTCCATTTCTAAGGCTATCTCCCTCTCTGGGCTGGGAAAAGAAGGAGGACTAAATCACAAAAGGCTCTTATCAATGGAGAAGGCACCAATTTAAATCTGCATAATAAACCTTACTCTTGTTTGATTTTCCTGAACACTTTCCCATAGCTTGCTTTCCCAACACCCTTCTTTCTTTCTTTTAGTTGAAGATGCTACATAAGCTAAAATTCTAGGCCACCTCTTTGAGAGTTACTCATTTTTCCCTGATTATCTGCTTTTCTGTTGTTAATCTGTCTTGTTATAAAAGTCCCAGCTGAGAACTCAGAAGGGTAGAAGAAAAATTATTTTTTCTCCCCTACACTATAAATTTATAAATCCAAGATTCTCAATGAACCCCAAGCACAAAAACAAATAAAAACACTCCCCAAACAACAAAAACCATGAAGAAAACAGCGTAAGGATTTAATAATCAAATTACTGAAAGTTAGTGAGAGAAAATCTCAAAAGTGATCGGAGATAAAAAGACATGCTACACACAGAGGCACAAAGAAAACATCAGATTTCTTGTTGGAAATAATGCAAGTAAGAAGACAATGTAGCAACAACATCTTTAAAAGGTACTGAAAGAAAAATAAGGTGTTATAGATGTGTAAATTTTTAATTTTATAAGATGATGCCAAGTTAATTTCTACATGGCTATACTACTTTGCCCTGTCATTAATAGGATATAAGGATTTCTATGTCACTAAATCCCTTGTCAACACTTAGTATTTGTCAACAAAAAAGTCAAACTCTGTGAAATATTTGAAGAGATTTATCCTGAGCCAAATATGAGTGACCAATGGCCTGTGACACAGCCCTCAGGAGATCCTGAGAACATGTACTCAAGGTGGTCAGGATGCAGCTTGGTTTTATGCATTTTACAGAGACATAAGACATCAATCAATACATGTAAAATGTACATTGGTTCAGTTTGGAAAGGCAGGACAACTGGAAGCAGCAGGCAGGGGTGGGGTGGCTTCCAAGTCATAGGCAGATTCAAAGATTTTCTGATTGGCAATTCGTTATTATCAATAGAAAGGAATATCTGGCTTGTGATAAGGGGTTGTGGAGACCAAGGTTTTGTCATTCAGATGAAGCCTCCAGGTATCCAGGCAGCAGACTTCAGAGAGAATAGATTGTAAATGTTTTTTATTTTATTTTTTTTTATCAGACTTAGAGTCTGTTCTACCAGTAATTCCAAAAGGGAGGAGGGTATGATGAGGCATGTTCAGCTCCCCCTTCCCATCATGGCCTGAACTAGTTTTTCAGGTTCACTTTGGAATGCCCTTGGCCAAGAGGAGGGGTCCATTAAGATGCTTGGGGGGTCTTACAATTTTATTTTTGGTTTATATAATGTAAGAAGACTTCTTAGTCCCCATTTCCATTTTTGTAGTTATAAAATAGTACTCTATGGTAGACTTAATTTAGATTTCCCTGATTACTGATGAGGTTGAGTCCTTTTTCATATGTTAATTTACCATTTATGCAGTTTCTTCCATGAAATATCTGTTTGTGGCTTTTATTTTGTTCATAGTGTGCACTTTTGTCTATTTCTTATTGGTTTATAAAGGTTTAAAAATTTAGTCTGATACAAACCCTCATGGCTTACTTCTGTTGAAATTATTTTTTTCTGATTGGCAACTCATTTCCTGACTTTCTTTATGTTGTCTTTTCATGTACAAAAGTTCTTAATTTTGATGAGGTTTAATTTGTCAGTATTTTATTTTATGATTAGTATTTTTGTCTTGCGTATGAAATCTTTGCTGATTCCAAAGTATTTTCTTCTAAAAGTATTAAAGTTTTGCCTTTTACAATTAAGTCTTAAGTCCATGTCTGTAGGTGATGTGAAGCAGGTATCTAATTTCTTTTTTTTCCCTTGTGTATAAGCAGTTGTGTCAGTACCATTTAAAAGACCTAATCATCCTGTTTTTGATATGAACTGACAATTCTATCACAAAGTTTCATATATATGTGTTTTTAGAGCTTAGGCTATTTGACCAGCAATTTGCTTATCTTTGTCTCAATACCACATTGTCTTAATATTATAGCTTTATAATACATCCTTATATATGGTAGTGCACATCTCCTTAATCATCTCAGGATTTTCATAGTTATTCTTGGATTTTTGCTCATTAATGTACACATTGAATCAAGTTGTCAGCTTTCTTAGTATTTGTTGGGATTTAGATGATTTACATTGAATATGTAAACAAATTTGAAGAAAATTTGTACTTAATGACATTGAGTCTTCTAAACCGTAAACTTAATGTATCTATTAAATTATGTGGTCTTTCTTAATAACTTCCCATAAATTGCACAGTTTTCTTCATAAATGCCCTGCACAAATCTTACGGGATTTCTTTCTAGGTGTGTGCGTGTGTGTGTGTGTGTGTGTGTGTGTGTGTGTGTGTGTGTGTGTGTATCTTTGTTAATTCAAATGGTAATTTCTAAAAGTTTATTTTTGATATAATGGAAACACAGCTGATTTAGGGAACACTGATTTTTATATCCAGATACCTTACTAATGTAAGTCCTGGGAGATAGCTATTTGCATGAAAATCTTACACTTTGGGGGATCAGGAGGAGCATGTGCAGTGGTTCTATTCCTTGAAAAAAATTTTTTTTGAGACAGGGTCTTGCTTTGTCTCTCAGGCTGGAGTGCAGTGGCATGATCATGGCTCGCTGCAGGCTTGACCTCCCGTGCTCAAGCGATCGTCCCACCTCCTGAGTGGCTGGGACTACAGGCATGCACTACCAGGCTTGGGTAATTTTTATATTTTTTGTAGAGTCAAGGTCTTCTTATGTTGCCCAGGCTGGCATTGAATTCTTGGGCTCAAGTGATCCTCCCACCTTGGCCTCCCAAAGTGCTGGGATTACAAGTATGAGCAGCTGCGCCTGGCCTGAAAGGTTTTGCACAATGATTTTGTTTCTTAGGGTTTTATCCAGTCTGTAAGGGTAATAGTGATCCTTACTCATAGTCTTGTTCTTTGTCACCACAACTTAGTTTCTCTTCCTCCAGTCACCTCTAGGCTGATTCTTAAGAAGTGAAAACAAGACTTATTGGAAAGACAGAGTAACAGAGAGAGAGAGTGAATGAGTGTGTGTGTGTTTTCCATCTATCTAAACAAGCCTGGAACACTCCAACATTTCAACATTTTACTTAGATGAGAACATCTTACTGTTGTCTCAATTTTGTACATGAGATAAAGCTACAAGAGGTTAAGTTACTTCATCAGGGTCAAAAAATTAGTAAATGGTACAGTGAGACATAAACTAGCTCCATGTCTAGTTCTGTGCAGTAGTGATATAAGAATTATAAGGTTTAACAGAAACAGAATTGTTGCTAATTGTCCCTGAGTATGCTTCCCTCTACACTGTAACTCAGCAGTCTTCTCTCAGGCAATTAGCAGCTTTATTATGTGGAAGAGGAAGAGGCTAAAATTCAGTCAAAATCAGGTCCTCTGGGGAAAATTAGTCTTTTGCAGTAGGGGTGTAGAAAGAGAGTCAAGAAATAAAGCATTGTTGGCTGGGCACGGTGGCTTACGCCTGTAATCCCAGCACTTTGGGAGGCCAAGGCAGGTGGATCACGAGGTCAGAAGTTCAAGACCAGCCAATATGGTGAAATCCCGTCTCTACTAAAAAAATACAAAAATTAGCTGGGCGTGGTGTTTTGTGCCTGTAGTCCCAGCTACTTGGGAGGCTGAGGCAGGAGAATTGCTTGAACCCGGGAGGCAGAGGTTGCAGTGAGCTGAGATTGTGCCACTACACTTCAGCCTGGGTGACTCTGTCTCACACACGCACAAAAAAACATAAGCATTGCTGAGCCTGGTGGCTCATGCCTATAATCCCAGCTACTTGGGAGGCTGAGGCAGGAGGATCACTTGTGCCCAGGAGTTTGAGGCTGCAGTGAGCCATGATTGCACCACTGCATTCCAGCCTGGGTGACAGAGTGAGACTCTGTCTCTAAATAAATAAATAAATAAAAATAAAGCATTATATCCTCATAGTGGCTTAGCATTTGGTAGGAGTAGCAGATGTTGTACATCTTCTGACTTTTCAGAGGGTGAGCACCGGCTTCTTGTAGTCAAAAGGGACAAAGGGGAGACCATTCTCCTTACAACTATAATTTACCATACTAAGGTAGAACTCAATAAAGACCCTGTTTAAGATACCATTAGCATTCAAGACTGGATCCTCTGGCCTCCCTTCTTCTCACCTGACTCTATGAAGATGTTGTAATATAGGGTTAATGCGTAGTTTGTGTCAAGGTTTTCTTTTGAACAATTTTCCTAGAAAAAGGGGGGATAGCAATGCTTGTGCCCACTGCTGAGTCACAGAGGCTTGAATCAAATCCCTTCAGCAGCAGCCTAAGTAAACGATGACAAATGCTAACCCAGGAAGGACTGAGGTGGTTTCTAAGTTACGACTAGATTCTTTCCCATTCTACTACTCACTTCTAGATCCAAGTCCTGGCTCTTTTCACTTTAGAGACATCCTGTTTCCTACATGGCAGTCTTCAGTGCTGTCTCTGCAGTTTCAGGAACTATGACCTTTGATGCTGCTGGGGCTCAGAAAACAATACCCCAAAATATGGCACTTTGACATGCTGAACTAAAGAAGCAGCCTCAAGGTATCTCTCTCTGACCTCTCCTCACCCTTACCTACACCTCACCCCCATCCTCTTACTTTCCTGAAGCACTAGCAGGGACTCTCTATGGAATTTCCTCAGCTGACTAAGAAAGATTCTTTCCAAAAGAATTGCTGGGCACGGTGGCTAATGCCTGTAATCCTAGCACTTTGGGAGGCTGAGGCAGGAGGATCACTTGAGGCCAGGAGTTCAAGACCAGCCTGGCCAACATGACGAAACCTCATCTCTATTAGAAATACAAAAAATTAGCTGAGTGTGGTGGCATGCACCTGTAGTCCCAGCTACTCAGGAGGCTGAGGCAGGAGAATTGCTTAAACACGGGAGGCAGAGGTTGCAGTGAGTTGAGATTGTGCCACTGCACTCCAGCCTGGGTGATAGAGCAAGACTCCATCTCAAAAAATAAAATAAAATAAAATAAAATAAAATAAAATAAAATAAAATAAAATAAAATAAAATAAAATAATAAAATAAAATAAAATAGAAATGCAATTGCCTTAAAACTCCCTCCCTAGGAATCTCATGAAATAACCAGGAAAGATTAACCACAAGAGAAGAAACTAGTAGTCCTCACCTTGCCCTGACAGACTTTTCATGTATTCCTCCAAGGGCAGCTCAGAGAGAGTACCTGAGAGGCTTTATCTGAATAATAAAACAACCTTTGTTCACAGTAAAGTTCTGTCCTTCACATTCTGGCCACTGACCCCAGAGCTCAGAGGAACTTTGTCCCAGATCACTGTTCTTTGGGTTCATTCATTCCCCCTGAAAACCATTTACTGCTACACCCTTCATCTCCCCTTTCTCTATGAGGAAGGGTGTATAACCATTTGGACCTTACTGGGTTGTTGGGTAACCATCCTCCTTTAATTCCCCTGAGCTATACATGTTAAATACATTTTGTATGGCTTTTTCTCCTATTAATTTGTCTATAGTCCATTTTCAGCAAACTTTCAGAGGATAGAAGGGGAAGCTTTTTCTTGGTCCCTACAATGTCAAATTAAACAGATGAGACTAGAAGTCTGGGAGTGCAAGGACTTCTTGGGATCACATCATTGTTTTCCCTGCTTTGGTTAGGAATACTGTCTTACTAGTGCAAATCGATGGCAGTTGGTTCAGTTCAGAAAACTCACATGTGGAAAGGCAATTTCCTGTGTGTCACATTTGTGGGAACTTCACTTCCCCAAACCAGTGAGTTTAAGGGTGATTTCTCTTTCATTCACTTGTAGATGTCATACTCTCTAAAACATCTCCTTTCTCATTTTAGTGATTTCCAAGCTGTCTCTTCAGTCAAATGGACTTATTTCAGTTAAATTACAAATAATTGCTGCTAGGATGAATCCTGACTGAGAGTAATCAGTAATTCTCTTCCTGTCCATCCTCCATCACATTTAGATAAAAATTCAATAATGTTTTTAAATCCCTGTGGGTTGGTTAGGAGAGGTGGGAGAAGATGACAGAGAGATGATGGAAAGGGAATTTAGGTAATGTTGCTGTATTTACTCACGTGCTTCCTTATTCCCTTAGTCAACTCAGTTTCATAAATTTCTTCAGGATCTTTTTCAAGAAGATCTTTCGATTTTTTTTCAGCCTACTCTAATTACTCCTTGTCTATGTTACTGTTCCTATTTGTACAGAGCTCAGACTACCCTATCATGTGTTCCTGCTTTTTCATTTCTTTTTTTTTTTGAGATGGAGTCTCACTCTGTCACCCAGACTGGAGGGCAGTGGTGTGATCTCAGTTCACAGCAACCTCCACCTCCCAGGTTCAGGGGATCCTCCACCTCAGCCTCCCAAGTAGCTGGGATTACAGGCCTGTGCCACCACGCTCGGCTAATTTTTATATTTTTAATAGAGATGGGGTTTCACCACATTGGCCAGGCTAGTCTCAAACTCCTGACCTCAAGTGATCCATCTGCCTTGGCCTCCCAAAGTTCTGGATTGCAGGTATGAGCCGTCGTACCTGCCCCATGTGTTCTTTTTTATAGTCTATTCATTATATACATGATATATTTACTTCCCCAATTGTGGTGTAAGCATTTTTAGAGGATGCTTACACCACAACTGGGGAAGTAAATATATCACGTTCCTATTCTATTTGTATATTGCTTTACAAAGACATTCAGATAACATATGCTTGATAATGAATACATAAATAAATGTATATTATTTACATTTAGCATCTTCTCTTCCCTCAGTCTTTGTGTATCCTGAAGACAGCTTATATGCAAAATTAGAAGTATGGAAGTTATCAGAGTCTCTCCTGGCAGTTTCTGTATCTGTGTGTCTTGTACACAAACATTTGCTTAATGACTTTATGTTTGAAAATCTTACAACTAAGTGAAAATATGTGAAGTGAATAAAAAGTTTTTGTTATTCTAAACAGAAAAATTAACCCAAGATACCCAAAAGATAGAAAACATATAGATTAAACAAATTAAATTTATGTAAATAATAGATAAAAATAAAATAAATACAGTTTTCACATATGAATTTTTATTGTATTCATCAAAGGAGGAAGAGGAGACTTGGTTATAGGTGATGGTCAATAGAGGAGGACTGGGAGGGGATTATTCTTTCAAAGTCAGTGAAGATTCAGTGCCAGACCAGCATTCAATATCAAATTTAATGTGATTAATAATTTCCTTTACCTTAAGGCTTTGACCAAATAAAAGCTAAACACAAAAAGGCTTTATAGAATATTGAAATGGTGAACATGTACAGCAGATTGAAGAGTCATAGAAGATGCAACCCTCTCATTCACTTTGCTTGGCATGTGTATGAAAAACAGTATTTTGGGTTCATCTAAATATGTCATTGATTTGGTTTGGCTGTGTCCTCACCCAAATCTCATCTTCAACTGTAGCTCCCATTATCCCCACATGTCATGGGAGGGACCCAGTGGGAGGTAGGTGAATCATGGGGCCAGTTACCTTCATGCTGTTCTCATGATAGTGAATGATTCTCACGAGATCTGATGGTTTTATAAGGGGCTTTTCCCCCACTTCGCTCTGTACTTCTTGCTGCTGCCATGTGAAGAAGGACACGTTTGCTTCCCATTCCACTGCGATTGTAAGTTTCCTGGGGTATCCCTGGCCATGCAGAACTGTGAGTCAATTAAACCTCTTTCCTTTATAAATTACCCGGTCTCAGGTATGTCTTTATTAGCAGTGTGAGAATGGACTAATATAGTAAATTGGTACTGGGTAGTGGGGCACTGCTGTAAAGATACTTGAAAATGTAGAAGCAACTTTGGAACTGGGTAACAGGCAGAGGTTGAAACAGTTTGGAGGGCTCAGAAGAAGACAGGAAGATGTGGGAACGTTTGGAACTTCCTAGAGACTTGTTGAATGGCTTTGACCAAAATGCTGATAGTGATATGGACAATAAAGTCCAGGCTGAGGTGGTCTCAGATGGAAATGGTAACTAGTTGGGAACTAGAGGAAAGGTCTCTTGTTATGCTTTAGCAAAGAGACTGGCAGCATTTTACCCCCTGCTCTAGAGATCTGTGGAATTCTGAACTTGAGAGAGATGATTTAGAGTATCTGGTAGACGAAATTTCTAAGCAGCAAAGCGTTCAAGAGGTGACAGAGCATAAAAATTTGGAAAATTTGCAGCCTATGTGGTAGAAAAGAAAAACCTGTTTTCTAGGGAGAAATTCAAGCTGGCTGCAGAAATTTGCATAAGTAATGAGGAACCAAATGTTAATCGCCAAGACAGTGGGGAAAAGGTCTTCAGGGCATGTCAGAGACCTCCCTGCTGTGTACAGCCTAGGAACTTGGTGCACTGTGTCCCAGCCACTCCAACCATGGCTACAAGGGGCCAAGGTACACCTTGAGTCATGACTTCAGCGGGTGCGAGCCCCAAGCCTTGGCAGCTTTCACATGGTGTTGGTCCTGCAGGTGTGCAGAGGACAAGAACTGAGGTTTGGGAACCTAGATTTCAGGGGATGTATGGAAATGCCTGGATGCCCAGGCAGAGGTGTGCTGCAAGGGCAGAGCCCTCATGGAGAACCTCTGCTAGGGCAGTGCAGAAGGGATATGTGGGGTTGGAGCCCCGACACAGAGTCCCCACTGGGACACTTCCTAGTAAAGCTGTGAGAAGAGGGCCACCATCCTCTAGACCCCAGGTTAGTAAAACCACTGACAGCTTGCACCATGCACCTGGAAAAGACTCAGACACTCAATGCTAGCTGTGAAAGCTGCCAGGAAGAGGGCTGTACCCTGCAAAGTCACAGGGTCAGAGCTGCCCAACATCATGGGAGTCCACCTCTTGCATCAGTGTGATCTGGATTTGAGACATGGAGTCAAAGGATATTATTTTGGAGCTTAAGGATTTAATTACTGCCCTATTGAATTTTGGACTTGCCTGGGGCCTGTAGCTCCTTTGTTTTGGCCAATTTCTCCCATTTGCAGTGGCTGTATTTACCCAATGCCTGTACTCTCATTGTATCAAGGAAGTAACTAACTTGCTTTTGATTTTACAGGCTCATAGACAGAAGGGACTTGCCTTTGGATGAGATTTTGGACTTGGACTTTTGAGCTAATTATGGGATGAGTTAAAATTTTGGGGGACTTTTGGGAAGGTATGATTGTGTTTTAAAATGTGAGGACATGAGATTTGGGAGGGGCCAGGGCAGAATGATATGGTTTTGCTGTGTCCCCACCCAAATCACATTTTGAATTGTAGTTCCCATAATCCCCACATAATGAGAGGGACCCAGTGGGAGGTAATTGAATTGTGGGGGGTGGTTTCCCCCATGCTGTTCTCATGATAGTGAGTTCTCACGAGATCTGATGGTTTTATAAGGGACTTTTCCCCGCTTTTGCTCTGCATTTCTCCTTGCTGCTGCCATGTGAAGAGGGATGTGTTTGCATCTCCTTCTGTCATGATTGTAAGTTTCCTGAGGGCTCCCCAGCCATGCTGAACTGTGAGTTAATCAAGTCTCTTTTCTTTTTAAATTACCTAGTCTCAGGTATGTCTTTATTAGCAGTGTGAGAACAGACTAATACAGTCATGCAATTCAAAGTTGTTTCACACAATATTCTCTGACTACAAATGGTCATGTCAGGTAAATTGGTGAGTAGTACTGTGTGTCATTCAGGGTCTAAAAGGAAAATGGGCTGGGCATGGTGGCTCACACCTGTAATCTCAACACTTTGAGATGCCAAAATGGGAGGATCACTTGAATCTAGTAGTTTAAGATTAGCCTGGGAAAAAGAGTGAGACACTGTGTCTAAAAAAAATAAAAATTAGCTGGGCATGGTGGCACACTCACTTGAGCCCAGGAGTTTAAGGCTTCAGTGAGCTATGATTGCACCACAGCACTTGAGTCTGGGTAACAGAGCAAGACCCTGTCTCAAAAAAAAAAAAAATAGAAAATGAACAGTATACCAGAGGGAATTTAACACAAGGAATTATACAGGTATTGGAGGTCTAAGAAGGCAAAAGGGGAACTGATGTAACACAGAGATAGTAAGTGTAGAAAGCGAAGCAGTGATCAACCCTAGGGTTGTAGAAACAAAGGTAAAATGGTTGGGTTGTTAGAACTTGGTAACTTGGATGAAGGGCCACACATAACTGGGAGGATGGCTTCTGAGAAGGAGGTTGCTGGTGGCCTTGGAACTCAGAGGAAGTACCTAGTGTAGCAGGGACTCAGACCTCTGAAGAAGAGGTGTCCACTGGCTGATGCTCATGCCTTTGAGAGGGGGCCATGAGGCTGGCTCCGGGATTGTAAGAAAAGAAAAGAAATGAAACTGGAAACAATGACCACTCTCAGAGTAAAAAATTATGGCTGGGATGATGCTAATTGAAACAAGAAACAAAATAGGAAGCAGCCAGACCTATATCCCTCCTCCAGCCTTTCAGTCTCTTTTTAACACCCCTTACTGACAGAAACTAATAAAGCCAGCAAGCAAAAAAAAGATGTGGTTTGCAGAGTCCTCACCTTAGCATCAAAAAGCAGATTACAGAGGGTGGGCCCCTCTTTGGCCACTTCCCTACATGCTCATTCATACACATCCTTCTATATAGTGTCTGCTTGAAACCATGATGTCAAAATATAATTTCTTATAGCATGTTTATTTATTTTGGGGTGACAAATCATTATAATAAAAAAGGAGTTGTCCAAAAAGTGACATAGCTTTATAATAGCCATTATGGCAAAAAGTCATTAATTGAACAGTCATTACATGAGGGGATCAGGAACTAAAAATCAACGCTCATTATGGTCATAATGTAAAGAAACATCACAGGAAATCATATATATCCACCATTCATGAATAGAGGAAGTCTGAGACCTAAGAACAGGAACTGGTCCAAAGGGGTAACCTGGAGCTGTATCTTTTTAAAGACAAAACACCCTCCTCCAGGCTTAACAGAGCTTGAAGTGTGAGAACCAGGAAAAGAGGAGTCAATCTCTGGGAACTTAGCTAATATCTACTTTCATGGACACCCCTACAGTCTAACTTTCATTCATTCATTTAACTATTATATGTTGAGTACATAAAATGTTCTAGGCACTAGAGTGGTGAATGAGACTTAATCCATGCTCTGATGGAACTGATTCTTTTTCTTTTTCCTCGCCCAGGTTGGAGTGCAGTGGTGTGATCTCGGCTTATTGCAACCTCTGCCTCCCTGGTTCAAGCGATTATTGTGTCTCAGTCTCCTGCGTAGCTGGGATCACAGGTGTGCATCACCATGCCCAGCTAATTTTTTTATCTGTGGTAGAGATGGGGTTTCACCATGTTGGCCATGCTGGTCTCAAACTCCTGGCCTCAAGTGATCCATTCACCTGGGCCTTCCAAAGTGCTGGGATTATAGGCGTGAGCTACTGTGCCCAGCCAGAATTTACTCTTTAGTGGGTGATTACAACAATTAACAGGTAAAAAGTAAATATATAAAGCTTAAATAAAGATATCAAGAAGTAGTAGGTACTACAAAAGAAAATAAACAGAAAAATGAACGGAGAATAGAAATTTAAACTAACCAGTAATAAGGGAGATGCAAGTCAAGACAATTAAATGTCTTTTTCACTTCCCAGATTGGTAAAAGTATAAATTATTGATAATAGCACCTTGTAAAGGATGAAATAAAATGGATATTTTCATACACTGTCAGTAGGAGTAAATTGGCAAAGCGTTTCAGGGGGATATTATTTAGTAGTATAGAAACAAATTTGAATTTTGCACATTAGGTTAATATATTAAGTTGAATCATATGAAATTGCCAATATTTGACAAATTTTGGCCTAAAAAATGAACTTGAAAATAGATCAAATGAAATTATCCACACTGAAACACTAAAAGGAAAAAGAGTAAAATGTTTTCAAAATTTCAAGAACATACTGGTCAAAAGGGAACTGAACCAAACCACAATTTATTTTTCTTTTTGGTAGCTCCAAAATGAAAGAGGCTGTCTGTTATCCACTGGTTAGATAAAGTAAGCATTTCCCTTCTACATAGGCGATGAGGGGATGGGTCAGATAATTTCAGTTTCTCCTTTTATCTGGTTTTTCTATCTCCTGAGAGAGCATCCTTCCTTTTCTGATTCTCAATCCATGTACATAACTCATCTGAGGGATCTTTATAAGCTTGTAAGTCATAGACATGACTGTTTCCTTTCAAAGTCCAAGTATTTTATTATGTGTGATGTCTCTGGAGTCTATTTGCCACCTAAAAATTGAGAATATGGTCCCAAGCCATCATTTCTGGATATCATTTGAAGCAGGAAATGTGACAACCATTCAAATAGGAAACAATGACAATGACCATTCCCAGAGTCAACATTAGATAATGCATGGACCTGTTGCATGGGATTTATGATGGTCAGGGGTGACCGAAATCAGGTTTCTTGGGTTCCCTCAGTCTAAGATGTCCTTCCAGTTGGAAGGGATCCCCAAATCATTCTACGGCATGGTCACAACCACAAAGGCACCTCTAGGATAAAAAGTGGTGGATAATTTCTCTACACTTCCTCGAAGTTCTGAGTAAGTCTCATCCTGTCCTTTTGAGTTTGAGTCACTTTGGCAGCACAGTCACTTTCCTGTGCTGACTTAGATCCTTTTATTTAAATCCCTGTTCCTGTCACTTGAAGGTGCTTGATGGAAACTGAAGCCCTTTGTTTATTAATTCCATGTGACCTGTTCTTTAGTGGGTAGTTAAACATTTCAAGGACACTGAAAAATACCAAAATACCAAAGAGTGTGCTGTCAGTTGTAGAGGAAACTAGGCTATGCCATCTGATTCAGATAGTTAAAGTTGGCATTGATAGTTCTATGGTAACATTCTTGATTTCCATTTGTGAAAATTTTAGCCCAATTTCTGGCCAATATACACAAATGTATATCTCTATTAGACTATTAAGAAAAATAATAAATGTTTAATTTTATATGATGTGGCTTGATTCTCTTTCACAAAGTAAAATCTGAGCATGTGTGAGATTACCAGCTGGGGGTTGTTAGATTTTGAGACCGGAGTTTTTGATCTTGTGGCCTAGAACCGATTGGTCACTGGATGACTTAAGAGGGAAAAGAAAAATTCTGCATTGCTAATAAAATCTGTATTTGTGGTGACCTGACAGTTTCACAGTGGGGGGACTGATTTGTGCTCCAGCTCATGGCCTCATCAACTTAGTTTCAAGTCAGAGCCATAGCAGTAAAATATGACTTTATTTTTTTAAGCATTTAGTATATTTTAAAAGTTGATGATACATTTCTGGTAACACTGACTAAGCTATTTAGGTACTATATAGAAAACAAATATTTTTAAAAGCATCAAGATGATGATTAACACTGAAGAATTACGAGGCCTGAAGTAAAGGAAAAACTGGAACCCAGAGCCGTAAGCAAGCAGAGAAACCATTTTTTGGCTAAGGACATTTCCTGACGTGCATATTAGGGTTTGACAGCCTTCTGTGACTAATGGGACAGAAATAGAAGACCAGAGTCTGCCCAAGTTGGGGAGTTTATCAGGAGAATAATCCTACAATAAGGTAGGACCTTACATTTCTATAATCTTGGGATAAAAATGAACTATAAAAGAAACATCCCTTATGTTACACAGTTTAAGTTCAGAGCATCTTTCACACCTTTTACTTGATTAAAGGTGGTTCTGGGCTGGAAGTACCCCCAGGTGCTGGGCAAGAAAGCTTTCATTGTAGATCTCAGATTATTCCAAAAATATTTTTCCAGATACAAGATATGGCACATACTCAAAAATAATAATGAACCCAAAGAAACTAAACCAGGTGTGAAAACCAGCAGACATGTCAGGCAGTTGAAATCAAGCCCCCAAATATTAGATATATTAGAAAGACTGCAAAACAATGATGTCTACATTATTCATGAAACAAAATTTGGAAGAATTTTGCCCACTTGGATGTTTTCTTAGCTTCAACTTAACGTTCAGGCTCACAAGAATCTCAGAGGCCATACTTGGCACCAGATTAATCCGAGAGACGTAGGATAAGAATTATAGCTTGCTATCAGGGCAGCAACAGGCATGATATTTCTATAGGAGCAGTCCCTGCAGCAGCAGTCCACACAGTACCTAGGAGATAGTCTCTTGACTCTCCACCCCTCATTGTCTACTTGGGGACAGCTGAGGTGCATGTGGCACCATCCTGGAGCCATTATCTCTTGTTAAGAACTTAATAGAGTAGTTTCCAATGCCCATGCCAGGTGTATGCAAGTTATAGGAGTCACTGCATTCAGAGAAGCTCAAAGTCTGGCTTCTTCCAGATACTTAGTTTTCCCAGTCCAAGTGTAGTCCATCAGTTAGGAGTCTTTTTTATGATATGCAATGTTTGCTTAGTAACATAGTTGACATTTTGTCATTAGAAGGCTCTAGGTGGACAGAGCTGGAAAGTTAATTAAGGTCAAATTATCATGCAGAAGGAGAAAAGGGTTTTGTTAACAATTTACACACCAATTGGAAACAACAAAAAAATGACAGAATAGATTTAGAGAGAGGCAAACAGAAATTTGGAAAAAAAAAAACAAAACAAAATTAAGAGCTCAATGGAAGAGTTTAACAGGAGAGCAGTCACAGCTGAAAAGAGAACTAGTAAAGTGGGAGATGAGGAAGAAGAAAAAAATTCAGAATATATAACAAGGAGAAAAAATAATATTTAATACACAAACACAAAAATATAACAAATAGAGTGAGAAAGTCTACTTTATTTTTAGTTAGAGGCTCAAAAGTAGAAGAGAGAGAAAATAGAGGCAATAACTGAAGAGATAATACTTGAGAGTTTTCCAGACAAAATGAAACTCAAAAGTCAACAGATTCTAGAAGGCCTACCAATCAAAGAAGATAAATAAAGGGAACTCCATACCTAAAGACAGAGTAGTAAAACTGCAGACAATAAAAAAAAAAACAAAGACAAAAATAGCAAAGACAAAAAACAGAGGAAAAAAAGGAACATTACATTCAAATAAGCAGCAGCGAGACAATTGGCTGCCTTCTGAAAAGAAACAATCAAATGCAAATATCTTCAATATGCTGAAAGAAAATAACTGCCTCCAGAATTACATACTTAGTAAAAATAATCTCCAATAATTAAAGCAAAATAAAGACACTTTCAGAGAAAAATAGCTGAAACAGTTTTTCACAAGCAGACCAACACAAAAGGAAATTCTAAATGATGTTTCTCCGGCAGAAGGACCATGATTACATATGGAAATTCAGAGACATAGCAGAAATAAAGAGTAAGATAGCAGCACATATGTTGATAAATCTAAATTAACATTAACTACATAAAATATATGCCTAGTCTTCTGGGGTTTAAAACTATTAATACTTAGACCTAATAAATGATAACAGCATATATATAGAATGAGACTAAATGGAATAAAAGTATTCCAACATCCATATATTGTGCAGGAAGAGGATAACGGTATCAATTATTACTATGTTTAATAAATTAAGGATTAGCTGGGCACGGTGGCTCACACCTGTAATCCCAACACTTTGGGAGGCCAAGGTGGGCGGATCATGAGGTCAAGAGATGGAGACCATCCTGGCCAACACAGTGAAGCCCTGTCTCTACTAAAAAAATACAAAAATTAGCTGCACCTGTAGTCCCAGCTACTCGGGAGGCTGAGGCAGGAGAATCACTTGAACCCGAGAGGCAGAGGTTGCTGTGAGCCAAGATCGCGGCACAGTACTCCAGCCTGGAGACAGAGTGAGACTCTGTCTCAAAAAAAAAAAAAAAAAAAAAAAAAAAAAATAAGGATTAAGATTGTAATTTTTAAAGTAACCACAAAAGAATAGAAGCAACTTAAATACAATTAAAGGAAATACAATAAGGAAGAAAGTGAAGCAAAGCATATAAAAAAGTAAAAAAATATAATGTTATAATAGTTAAAAATAACCAATCCAAAACAGACAAGAAAAGACATAGAAACAGAACAAGCAGAACAAACAGAAAAAAATAAAGATGGTAGATTTAAAATTAATATATATCAACAATTACATTAAATGTAAGTGGACCAAATTATCCAGTAAAACAAACCCCCGAAATACTGCTACACTGGATTTTTAAATTAACTATATGATATATTTAGGAGTTGTATCTAAACCAGAAAGTGAGAGAAAGGTTGGAAATGAAAGGCAAGAAAAGGAGCTTGACTGAAAACATTAACAAAAAGGTGGCTATATTAATAGACTCTAAAGCAAAAAACATGACATCAGAATATATCTCTTAGAGAATATAACCATTCCTTTCTAAATACTTTTTATGCTGACTGGTTATCATAGGTGACAATATATGTTAATCTGTCTGCACCATTTTGTTAAGACAAAAAGCTTTGGTATTTTCTTCTTCACTCTCCAACTATAAAGCTATAATAAACTAATAAATCTTTAAATATTCCTTATCTTTAAAATTTTTGTATAAGTGATTATTGTCATGTTATTTAGTGCAGTGGTTTATTTTCATCCTTTCTTCCTAATCTCCAAGTATTGCCGGGTACTTGAGCTTTTCCAATGCACACGTATCAAAGCCAGCACGAGTCCAGAACCTACTGCCTCTGAGAGCTGATCCATGGTAATTCTTTTCCCAACATCCTCTTGGTCTCTAGGACTCTAATGACCAAAGGAAAAGAGATTGCTGTTGCTTGGCTACTATGTTGGTAGATATGATTTAAGGCTACAGGTATGTCCAGATTTACACTGTGGAAAGGTCACTCAGGATACAGTGTGGCAAATGGGTTGGAATAGACAAGACTGGCTGTAGAGAGGCCAGTTTTTGATCTACTTATGTTAATGGAGGTGATGGATGGACCAGCGTAGTAACAAAGTGGGAATGAGTCTGTATAGAGTCCAATAAATTTAAATACTATAATTCTTTGGAAATGAATTGTCGTGTTGGGAGATTGGGAGTGTTTAAAGAAGATATCAAGATCTGATTTGAGGAGCAGGATGCATAGCAGTGAGGATAAGTGTCTAGGCAGGGGTAGAAGCAGGTTTTAGTGATCTGTTGAAACACCCACGACAACACACTACTCTTTGGGAGATGCTGGCTTGGGGCTGATCATTGAGGTAGAGGGTAGTATATGATGCTGACAGGGAACTCACTGGTGTGTTGAGTTTTAGCATCTGTGACTCTGAGATGCATATGAGGCCTCTTGTAAATTTTGGGGTTGAGAGTAGAAAGTACAGGTTTGTATTTTAGAAAGAGATTTGGGAATAAATGTAGCTCTGGTTGACACAGACAATATGTGAAGGTTTGTTGGCCAGAACTAGTATGTGTCTTGGGTGTTGGGCAGAGAACAGATAGAGCCAAAGCTCTGCAAGGTCAATGTGAAGGGTGATTTCCTTGTTGGGTTCAAGTTTATGACTCAGCCTGGACCTAGCTTGGCTTCTCAACTAGAGAAGAAGCATGATTCCATGTCATACACAACTCCTGTCTTTGAAAAAGTCATAATGACTCCCAGACCCAACATGTGGGGCAAACTTTCCAGATTTTTCTCTTCAGTTTAATCTTTCCAGGGAAAATTGGGGAAAGAAATCTCTCTATTTGAACTTCATCAAAAGACCAATATGTTAATATTTCAGCCACTAATATGTCTTTAAACCATGTTACTCCTTAAACAGCTATTACACGAAAGTGTATTAACTGAGGAAACTGGGTTCTCCCAAACAATGAAACACTGACTGCAAGCATTATTCATCTTTTTATATCATAAATTCCTTCAAATATTTTAAACATTTTAGAAAGCAAATAATAGTATTATAATGATTACAAGACTGATCATTACTCTTTTACAAAAAACGGCCACAAATAACTAACTCCATTAGCATTACCTTCTGTCCTTTCATTTCCTCTTTCTTCATCTTCTTTTTTTGCCTATGATATTCTGGTATAGCATATTCCCTCTTTCTTCTAATTCTAATTCTGATTCTGCTTCTTATTTCTTCCCTAGATTAAAACTTTACTTACCTATGCTGCCAGTTAGTGCTTCCTTCCCAGAGCCACTAAAGCAACAGTTTGAGGTTGAGGTCCTAAATTGAAGATTTAGGATCAGAAACAAGGAACCTGGATGAATTTCTGATGTTTTTCTATAGGAGTCTGTTACGCAGTTGGAAGGAGCCTTTTTCGGAATTAAAGTTTGATCAAATAAGCTATTTTAATATTTATAGTTTTGTCTAGTAAAAGTATTCTGTAAAAACCTTGGTTTTGGATGTCTACTGTTAGCTTTTAGTCAATACTACAAAAAGCTTCTTTTGGAACAATTTCTGTCTTTTTCAGTATTGTATTTCAATTGTTTCTCCAGGACCACACATAAGAGCCGGATTTGTGGTCCAGTGGTAGAATTCTCACCGCCTGCATAGGAGACCCTGGTTTAATTCCTGGCCAATGCAACAAGTTTTGTGCTTCACTTCTCTATATTCTTTATACTTCTGCCCTGCACAGGCTATCCCATGTTTAAGGGCCTTGGTTGTGGAGGCTTTTGACTTATGACAATGGTAACCCAAGTGATGGCCAATACCTGAAGCATAAGATATTCAGGAAATGATCTAATGATCTAGGGACCTTGCAGTTAGAGTCAAGAGCCATTCCTGTAATCCCAGCACTTTGGCAGGTCAAGGCAGGTGGATCACCTGAGATCAGGAGTTTGAGACCAGCCTGGCCAACATGGTGAAACCCAGTCTCTACTAAAAATACAAAAATTTGCCAGGCATGGTGGCACACACCTGGAGCTACTTAGCATAGTCTATCTTTGAAAGTGGCAAGTGTTTCTGGTAGTTTGATGCAGTTTTGAATATTGGTATGTAAAACTTTTGTTACTTTCATCTATTCTCCAGGTAGATCCCTAGAATCCCAAAGAACCATCACGTCCCTGATTTGCATGCTAGACCTTGGGCTGACCGCTGGGTCACGCCTCACTATGGAGCGAGGAACAAGAAGTGAAGTCCCCTGAAGGAGAGAAGCTGTGGGGAGGAGCAGTCACCTTGGTGGTGTCAGGTGTCGGCAGTCCAAGAAAAGGGGAGGCACGTGGGGAGGAATCCGTGCGGAGATGAGGGGAGCAGTGGAGACGTGGCTTTGGGCAGAGGTGGCGAGTGGACCCTCAGGCCTGTACCCTGGACACCATGAACAGAATTAGTTAACATTGTCACCCACCATGGCCTCCGTGTGTTCCGTGAGCCCATTTGCTTTCCCAAAGGGATTCCTAGCAATGTGTGTCAACAGGTGTTGGCCTGATTTTTTTTTAATTTTTATTTTTTGAGACTGGGCAGTGCAGCAGTGGCTTGGTCTTGACTCACTGCAACTTCCGCATCTTGGGTTCAAGTCCTTACCTGGCAATACTGTGTTGAAGCCATTGAAACTGTCCCTATAAACTTTATAAAATTAATCAGGGAAGAAGGGAAGGGGAGAAACAAAAATAAACAAGCTTGCAGCAATTTTGCATTACTCTTGAGAGCAGCCTGCTCTTGGACCTGCTTCCTCACAGTTGTTTGGTGCTGTTTGTGCTAGAATCAGGCAGGCCCTAGATTATAGTTCTCCTGAACTGTTCTATAGATAACAACCTGAACATTATGAAATGTTAAGTTTCCCATTAGAGATATTCTTTCAGATCCTGTGTACCAGTGAAACTACTGATGTCAGCTGGTCTGAAGGACCCCACTGAGGAACTGACTCAGTATGCAGTTTCCAAATCCTAATGATTTCATCCCCCTTCCCCTGCCCAATCAACAACCTTAATTTTCCAACCCCTCACCCTCCACAATCCCCTTAAAAACCCTAACGCAGAAGTTCTTGAGGAGATGGATTTGAGGGTCTACTCATATCTCTCCCCTTGGCTGCCCTGTGATCATTAAATTCTTTGTTGCAAACTGCTGTCTTAGTGTATTGGTCTATTACTGCACAGTGGGCATATGAACCTACTGCTCTTATAACACCAGAGTTGTTTTCTACTTTGTTTTAACTATTCTGGAAATCTCTGTATTTGTTGAATAAAATTGTAATGCGATATATAATGTTTTGTTTTTTTTTTTGTTGTTTTGTTTTGTTTTTTTAGCATTTTTTTTCTCTAAAGGAGAATCAGGCTTTCAGGTGAACAATCTAGGAGACTTGATTTACAAAAATGAAAATGACATTACTTATGTGATGAGGCACATTGAAAGAGCCCATAAAGTGGCAGCAAAAATTAAACCAGGATGATCAACTTCAAGACAATATCCTAGTAAAATTATTAGATTTTAAAGATAAAACATACTCAGGTCTCCAGGCATCACTGTGGAACAAGTTACAAAAGCAACTGAATTAGATGGGCACTAACATACAAGGCAAGGTAACAGTGAAGCAGCATTTTCAAAAAACTTATATATAGAAAGTGCAGTGTGGCTGGGCCACCCCAGCCCCCAGCAGTGGGGTAGGATGGCACTAAAGTGGATCCTGAAGGAATTAACCAACTTGCAGACGAATCCTCCTGCCCAGTGCTCCACGGGGCCTCTGGGTGATAATTAATGACAGTCCTTGCCAAGGAGGTGTTTTCTTCCTGACCATCCACTTTCCTACGGATTGCCTGTTCAAGCCCCCAAAGGTTGCTTTCACAACCAAAATTTATCACCCCAATATCAATAGCAATGGCAGCATCTGCTTCGACATCCTATGGTCTCAGTGGTCTCCAGCATTGACTGTCAAAAGTTCTCTTGTCCATCTGCTCACTGCCCTGCATCCCCAACCTCAATGATCCTCTGGTGCTAGAGATACCCCACACCTACAAGGCCGACAGAGAGAACTACAACAGACTAGCAAGACAGTGGACAGAAAAATATGCTATGTAAGTGCCTAGGTGATTTTACGGGAGACATTGTCTCCCTTGAATTCAAGGTCTTCCCTTGAAATTCTGGGCTGTGGGCTGGGCCATTCAAAGTGTCATCTGTTCTTCAAACAAATTGATATAGGAGTTAAAAAGAAATTATTTAGGCATTAGGGTAAGGAAGTCCTTGGTAAGGTTCCCTTTTAATGAAAAGCAGCCCCCAAATAATTTCTTTTCTAACAAAAAGCAGCCTGTAAAATGGAGCTGCAGACATAGATAAGCAAGCTGGAAGCTTGCACAGGTGACTGCTGGCGGCTGTGCCAATAGGACAAGGCTACCTGGGGGGTAGGCATGTTCAACATGGTGGCTCCATCTTCCCTTTTCCTTTCTAACCACGTGTACAGTAAGGAGCAGACAACATGGCGCGAGTAAAGTAGAAAACCCATTTGCATAAGAAGAAGATTAGGGTTGGGTGGCCAGCTTCTTCCAGCGCTATGTAAATGTCACACCTGGTCCAACCAATCTTTGGGCCCTATGTGAATCAGACACTGCCTCCTCAAGCCAGCCTATAAAACCCTGTGCACTTCACCACAAAACCAGAAGTTCCACTCTGGCAACCCTCTCTCTCTCAGGAGAGAGAGCTATTTTCCTTTCTCTTTCTTTTTTTTTTTGAGACGGAGTCTCGCTGTTGCCCAGGCTGGAGTGCAGTGGCGCAATCTCTGCTCACTGCAAGCTCCGCCCCCTGGGGTTCACGCCATTCTCCTGCCTCAGCCTCCCGAGTAGCTGGGACTACAGGCGCCCGCCACCTCGCCCGGCTTTCACCGTGTTAGCCAGGATGGTCTCGATCTCCTGACCTCGTGATCCGCCCGCCTCGGCCTCCCAAAGTGCTGGGATGACAGGCGTGAGCCACCGCGCCCGGCCCTTTCTCTTTCTTTTGCCTAGTAAACCTCCACTCCTACACCCACTTCTTGTGTGTCCACATCCTCAGTTCCCTTGGTGTGAGGCAACAAACCTTGGGTACTTACCCCAGACAACTATGCCACTTCAAAATGTTGGTCACCCACTCTCTCCAGCTGCAGCATGTTGGTGCCATTCTCAACAATTGTGGCTTTGACAATGCCACATCTTTGATGCCAAATCAGCAGCCATAATTGTTATGATCTGCAGCCTTCCCGGTTACACTGGAATCTCTCTCTCTGCCCCAGTTTATCTGTTGGTCTTTTGGGGAGCTAGGCCCTGCACCTCTCTCCTACCCAGCCTCAAATCGTGCCACTGCTCACAAAAGTACCACACCAGGTCTTCAGCCAGGCCCCTCACCACATAACCTTTACGTTTTAGAACTCAGTGCCATCCTGGGTAACCAGGGCTGAGCAGGGTTTCCTCACACCCTGTCTGCTGCACAACCACAGCCTGAGGAGGCTCAGCTCATGCTGGAGGGAATTGGGAACAGTGTCAATGGGAAGTGAAGGCCTTGCCCTGAGGCTTCCATCAGTCTTATTCTCCATTTGCCACATGCTGGCATTTCTCCCCTCAAACCAAGAAGCGGCAAGAGGAAAATGTTAAGATATAAGGTACATAATACCCCATAAGACATGACTATGTTTTTAGAAGCAAGAGGAAAATTATGAAACCTCTAGAGGTTTGGGTTATGTTTATCCATATGATGAGGATTTTCGCCACCCCTGCTCCTCCCACTAGGAGCCTACACTAAGTTCAAGTGTGAGCCATTCACAAACCAGAACACAAGGAGGGAGAGAGACTCCTTGGGTGGATCATGAGGTCAGGAGATTGAGACCATCCTGGCTAACATGGTGAAACCCCGTCTCTACTAAAAATACAAAAAATTAGCCAGGCATGGTGGTGGGTGACTGTAGTCCCAGCTACTCCGGAGGCTGAGGCAGGAGAATGGCGTGAACCTGGGAGGTGGAGCTTGCAGTGAGCCGAGATAGTGCCACTGCACTCCAGCCTGGGTGACAGAGTGAGACTCCATCTCAAAAAATAAAATAAAATAAAATAAAATGAAATAAAATAAAATAAAATAAAATATAAAATAAAATGCAATTTACTCATTAAAAAGAAGAAAGTGCAAATTAAGGATATTATATCCAATGAAACTCTCTTCAAGGTACAAGGTACAAGGGAATGGCTTTGCTTAAACTTTACATAGGTAAGGCTCAACCATACTATGACTCAAACCTTGACCAAATGCCCTCCTGGACCATGGTAAGGGAAATAGTCTTGTGAGGCATTATCATAAGACTATTTCTTACTCCTCTCTTTTGGGGGCCTCCTTGTCTTGCAGCAGGCTACCAGCAGGCAGTTTCTCACCTGTTTCTGGTAAGCCATGGAAATTTCCATCTTGCCCCGATCCCCTCAATGGTACAGCTACAGACTGTAACTGCCTAGCTGCAATATAAAATTGGCCCCTTCTTGACAGAGCAACCCACCACTTGGGTTGTCATCTAGTAACTCCAGTTTTGTGTCATGCTGTGGAATTATGGATGTGGGGAGCTGACAACATACTAATCTTTCTTATGCATAGATATCCCCTATTACTTATGCTGTGTGCGTAAGTCCAAGTGTGAGCCATTCACAGATTTGATGCCCAACATGGGACCAGTAAGGTCACAATGCCTTCTAGGAGAAAAAACAGAAAGAACCACATGGGGCCAGGTTAGGGGGCTTGAGAAGGGCCTCCAGGATCTGGTAGCAGATGTTCTCTCCCACGTAGTAGGTGTGAGAGGAGAGTAACAGTCCTCCTATTGTTCTATGTGTTAGTGAATATTTGGAGGCTGAGCATTGACAGGGAAGACTGAAACCAGCCACCCAAATGGCATTTTTTGTTGTTTAAAGTTCATTGAAACTGAATGGACAGGCTGGGCATGGTGGCTCATGCCGGTAATCCTAGCACTTTGGGAGGCCGAGGCAGGTGGATAACCTGAGGTCAGGGGTTCGAGACCAGCTTGGCCAACATGGTTAAACCTCATCTCTACTAAAAATAGAAAAAATAGCCAGGCATGGTGGCAGGAGCCTGTAATCTCAGCTACTCAGGAGGCTGAGGCAGGAGAATTGTTTGAACCCAGGAGGTGGAGGTTATAGTGAGCTGAGATCATGCCACTGCACTCCAGCCTGGGCAACTCCGTTTCAAAAAAAGGAAAAAAAAAAAACCCAAAAAACTGAATGGACAGCCTCTTAAAACCAAAAGCAATTGCAGAGTTGTGCTTCCTGTTGTGTGCCTGCTCTCTTTGTGCTCCTAATTCTTCTCTTCCCCTCAACCTGACTCAGGTACTTTAAGGAAAGAAGTCTCTCTACTGCTTCTTGATGGCTGGTCACATCTCCCTGCACTCCTTGAACTCTCAGTCAAGGAGGTAAGATATTCTCCTGGCAGGTGTTGCTGTAACTAAAGTGCATGTGTTAAACTTCTTGATATGTGTTCCTGTAGAGTGTGAATTCAACTGACAGAGTTTGGGTAAAATTTGTAGTAAAGAGGGAAAAAAAGTTAAAGTTATGAGTGAAGCCTCTGAGCCAATTCAGTGTATAGTTGTGAAAATGTGTCATTGAGATTGATGATTTACATGCTTATACAATGAATGGTCTTAAATTGTTAGAGGAGATTCTTCTGTTCAGAGTACCATCATGAGTAAAAAAAGGGCTAATGGGGCAAAAATCCCTTAACATTTGTCACCAATGAATGGGTCAGAATTTAGCCTGAGTGCCTGTAGCCTCTGATGTCTAAGTTTTACCACATAAATAATGTTCTGTTGGTTGGCAAGTCAAAATTTTAAAACTCAACTACTCTGACTGCAGTGTTATCACATCTCTGCTAGTAGGGGTGACTGATAAACACCATCCCACCCCCGCCAAAATCAATAGCTTGCTTGCCAAGTAAAGTTTCTTGGGACTATGCCAATGAATTCACAATGTTCAATTCCTCTGGCAGCCAAAAGGAAGACAAAGAACTAAAAACTCCTGCCTCTCACAAAGTAAAAGACTTGATTTCTGATATAGAAGCCACCATTGCATGCCAGATTTGTCACTCCTGCCAAAGTTTGTCCTGTTTGTTTTGGAGAAAATATTGTTGCTTCACTGCTTTCTGGCTTCCATACGTTTTGATAAGAAACCTATGTTATGGTTAAAATTACAAAATTACAGAAATAATACTGAATAATAGTCTTCATTTCCTTTAACCTGAACTCTCCAAAATAAACAATACTTAAAATTTGTTGTATATAATTTCAAAAATGGTGGAATCAGAGTACTAACTGATAGTGTCTGGCCAGAGGACCAAAATTCCCAAACCTCATTCTGCCAATAACCTAGGTTCTCTGGTGGATGTGGGGATTACTGTAAAAGATATATACACAGATAAAACTGACAAGGTATAGATAATCACAATTTACGGCAGGGCTTGTGCCACAGTGGAGGGAATTCCAGTAAACTGTATCAGAGGATAAGGCTTAGTTCAAGACCTTAGGGTTTTTTCTTCTGTCTAAGCATAAAGTAACCTTTATCAAACTTCTCCAAATGAATCTGATGGCTGCAAGTTCTCTGAGAAGAGAGAACCAGAAAGAAGTCACATGGAGTGGGAATTCAAGGTTAGAAGCTCCCCTTAACACCAGCCAAGTTACCAGTTTTGATGCTCTGGTAGAAAAGGGACAGTAATAGCCACACCCCTTTGTACAATATACTAAGTCCCCATATAGTAACAAACAAGCTCAGTACTTGTCCTGGTATGTAAAGAATAAGAAGAGAAAACCTAACCTGAGTCTAGGTTTCCTCCTTTGTTTATTAAGGATTGGGGGAGAAAGACAGCAGAGAATTTGTCTTTTTTACACAATTACTTCATTCCAATTTTCTGATGTCACTCCAAGTAATGCTAAGGGAGAAGTTTATTAGGCAAGTCCTTCAGAAGGCTATTTTCTTCCCATTTTCACTCCTTTCGTGTATCATATTGGGCCAGGAAATGGACAATTTAGTGGGCCAAGGAAATGCCATTTTAATATTACAGCATAGATATCTGAAGTATACAACACCATGCCATAAATTCAGCTATCTTATCCCTACACTATCTAAGAGGTTACCAACACTGTCCCATTATATTTAATTTACCTTTTGAAATTATATATGGTTATATATACATATATACCCACACACGTATACATGTGTATATGTATATACACATGTATACGTGTGTGTGTATATGTAGTAATATGTATTACTACATAGTTGAATGTAATTCATCAGGTAGTGTTATACAGTGGGCAGCATATTGACAGCACAAGCCAACTAAATCAAAAGTGAATAATGTAAGATGTGAAACATTATTTATTATAATTTATTATGAAATTATTATTAAATTTTTCTGAGACAAAGATTTATAGGGAAATTGATGATACGATAAAGAGACTTTCCTCCACTAGTGTCTTTGTCAAAATAAAGTGGCCATCAAAATGAAAATTAAATTATGAAAATTTAAATCAAATTTAAATTTCATCAAAATAAAAATTAAATTATTAAATTATGAACACAAGCCCTCTCTGGTTTTGAAAAATCTGCTTTGGTTTAAACCAGCCTTAGGTCTTCAGGCGCCGTTGCCTTTATTACTGGTGCCTATTTACTCTGCCAACACTTCCAAAGATGGGTTTTGGGACCCTTCTGTGCACCAGGTGTCCCAAGGGCCTAAAGTCTCAAGCATACCCATGAGACCATCCAAGGAACCACATTCACAAAATTTAGACCCAGTGAGAACACTGTGAGCAAAACGTCCAGGCTTACATTTTTATTACATTTATTAATTATTTTTCTATTGTGTCCAATCTTAACTGGAAGAAAAGGGTAGGTGCCAAAACAGGAAAAAACAGAGAGACTATTGAATTCAAGTTTGCTGAAATTCTAGGCAGTTCTTCCAGCTTTGCCATCTCTTGCGGATTTATAGTCTAAGGGGAAATTGACTATGAAGAAATCCTTTGATGATAAATAAGCTTAAAATTATCTCTAAAAGACTGATAATTTCTAGCATTGGTTTTAAATTCTGGGGAAAAGACGCAGTCTCACACACTTTGGGGAATGTAATTGGTGCTTATACGTTGTAGGGCTGTATATATCGGAATCTTAAATTCACAATAAATTTCACCTAGCAGTTCCACTATTTGGAATTTATCCTAGATAAATAGCTTAAATTTTAGGATCGACATTAATTCCATTTCTCCAGCAGTCTTGAAATAATTGAGCCACAGCGGTGGTAGATGGCAAACACAGGAAAGAACAATACCTCACAGTGAGGCCGAGACCCAGTGCCCTGATCTGGAATCAACCAGTCCCGGCGGTGAGAGCGCCAAACTTTAGCCACTAGACTACCAGGGAACCACAAAGCACATACTTTTTTTTTTTCCTCCTTCAATTGTTTCAGCAGAAATTACGCTGACATTGACCTCTAGAAAGCTCCATCTACCCTTCCTGGTGCCACCTGCCCATCCAAGGAATAGTCCCAAAAGACTGTCCTCTCCCTGCTTTCTCCAAGTTGCGAGCCCACACGCGACGTGCAGAGCTCTCTCCTTTCCTTCCAGCCAGTGGCGCTCCTCGAACACCTGCCAGGTTTACAAGTCCCGGAGCGAGTTGCAGCGTCCCGGCCGCACCTCACTACCGACCTAAAGATGCGCCTTTGCTAGGCGGCAGCGCGTGGAGAGACTGTCCCTGGTCGGCGGGGCCAGAGCGCACCAGGTTTCCGGGAGGAGGCTGGAGCGGGGAGGCGCCCGGGGTGAGACCGTGGCACCCTCAACATCATAAAGGACTCAGATTCCTGCATTCCCGACATCATAAACGACTCAGACGGATGCGGAAACCGAGACGGCCTGGATGGAAAACTCTTTCAAGGAAGACCCCAGGGCCCTGAACGGAATTCCGGATATTTTCTCTACAACGTAGTACACCTGCCTTTTCCCAGGTTAGTTAATGGCAACTCCACCCTCCACACGTTCAGGCCAAAAACTCGACGCAGGTCTTTCTCTCATGACCCACATCCGATTAGTTAGGAAATTATGTTCTTTTTTTGGTTGATTTTTTCATCTTTCTTCCCTCCCTCCATCCTTTCCTCCCTTCCTTCCTTCTTTCCTTCCTTCTTCCTTTTTTCCTAAGTAAGCTAACACAGGATTATGTTTCTTTTCTGGTTAATTGCAGACTTTGATCCACACAACTATTCTCTTTCTTGGTCTGAATTTTGGCAAACGACAAGCAAGGCATAGAGATCGCTTCAACTAGCTACCCGCGGCTGGCCCAGACGTTAGGGTTTTAGGCCGCCGTTAGACTTTGGCCCTGCAGGTCAAAATCAGCTACTCTAGGCCTGTCTTCTCGGAGGCCAGTAGCAGCACCTGGTCCTCTCCGCGCGGCTTCTCCCGCCGGGTACGCAACCCTGCACCCCTTTCCTGTGACCTGCAGCGAAGCTCGGCGGCAGACCGGGTATTCAACTGGCCAGGAGTTCTCGAGGCGCAGGTGCGGGTGTGCAGGGACGCGCGCGGTGAGTTTGCAGTTCCTGCCGGCTCCGGCAACATCCCGGGTCAGTCCGAACTCCGAAGGCGCCAAGGCAGGGAGGGACCAGTAGGTGAAGGGCAGCCGCCCTCTTGCGCCCTGTTTCAGTCCTCCAGTCGCTGTTGAATGGAGTTTCCGTCTCCAGTCTCAGCCAAAGCAGGCAAGGCGGACAACCTCGGCCTGGCAACCAGTGAGTATGCAGTCCCTTCTCCACCCCGTTGGGCACTTGAACTTGTGCCGTCGGATTGTTTCTCCCCAAGCTTTCTGTGAATTCCAAGAATGCAACTGATAACTATTTAAAAACTGCCCTTAACTTGAAGAAAGAATACTTTAAAGTCTTAGCAAAGGAAATGGGTGCATATGTCTACAAAAAGAATTGTACTAGAATATAGCAGCTTTGTTCACGAGAGCCAGAATTGGAAATAACCCAGTCATCCACACAGAAATAACAGTCATCAATAACACCAAAATAATATACTAAAAACATGGATGCATCTCAAAAACATTATGCTGCAGGAAATTAGAAGTCAGACACAAAAAAGTATATTCATTTATGTGAATTTCAGAAGCAGTCAACATTTGTCTGTGAAGATAGAAATCAGAATGGTTTGTCTAAGTGAAAGGAAGGTGGATGGGAATCTAAAGGAGGTTATTGACCTTTCTGGGCTGATGGAAATTTTCTATAACTTGATCTAGGCGATGGTTACGTTTCTATGCCCTTAAGATTTGTGCATGTTACTCTATGTGAATTATACTTCAATAATGTACTATTAGCGCTCCCATTCCCCCGCCAAATAATTAGGTGGGGGAGGTGGAGGATGGCATCAAGTTTAGGTTCTATTACATTTATTGGGTTTTATATGATCAGATTTTATTGTAAAATACCCTGTTGAATGAGAACTCGTACAAAGCTCATTGCCATTGCATCTAAAAAGGCCTTACTGACCTTTGAAATATCTCAGCCAGAAAAATGGTTATTACCACACCATTACGTCAGTTGAAGCTACAGACAAGGCTCCTGAAGAGACAGGGCTTTACCTTTTGAGATGGTTCCTGCACATGCTCAGACACACGGTCCCTTCTAACCTTCCCCAAAGATTCTGCCGTAGGTTAGTGCACTGTAGGGGTTTCCTTCTCTTGTCCTGACTGCGTCACAGGGAGACACAGTAAACTCTGCTCTCTGACCACAGCTACTGGGTGCAGTTGGTAAGGGGATTTAAAAAGTGAAACTGTAACACATACCAAATCTTGCCAAGAAGGAAGCCAGATGCTACTGTGGCTCCAATTCCAGCCAAGGTTGCTTCGGTCACAATGAAGAGCACTAACTGTTATATCATCATGGTGCACCATAAACCTGGGGTTGCCAGTGGGCTGCTTTTAATATTTTTGATGCAAAAATATCCACGATATTTTCCTGTTTTGTTCTTGGATAGCTACAAGTTCTTGTGTTTTTTCTCTTTCATGTCCTTTTTCTATTTCTTCTCATTCAAATACATGACAAAAATAATTCTCATCTCTCAGGATCCAGCCTTTGCCTCTGCACAAGTCTCCTGGGAGGTGTCATTGTCCCTGCTGTTTCCCTCTTCATGTCTCCTTTGGTCCCTGCCCCTTTCCTGATCTTGCCCACTGACCCCAAAAGACATAAGAAAAATGTTCAAAATCATTACTCGTTAGGGAAACACAAATTAAAACTTCAGTGATGAGCTACCTTTATGCATTGCTATGGTCTGAATGTTTGTGTGTCTGCGTCCCCTCACCAAATTTATTTGTTGAACTCCTAATCCCCAAGTTGGTGGTAATAGGAGGTTTAGGCCCTCGGAAGCTGATCAGATCATGAGGACTTAGATCTCAGTTCTGTTGAGAGCCAGGAGCTGCAGCCGCACAGATGGTGCACTCTAGGCCTCTTTGTGGCCTACCCCATGGGACATTGCACACTTGGAAATCAATTGACCAGAATAAAGCCTTTAAAAAAAGAACTTCCCCCTTTGAAAAATCCTTTCATTTATTTTCCAGTCTCAGAATCCTTCAAAGGGCTAAAAGCTTAAAGATGACAAAGTGTGAAAACGAAGGCCCATCAAATGAAAAAAGCAATGGTTATTTATTCTGACGCAAGGGCGTCAGCCACCGGCATCAGCCACCGGCACTTGCATTTTGACAGAGCTTAGAAGGCAGGTAGAGGAGTGGGACAGCTTTATAGCTGAGGAAAGGGAAGGCTTCAGGTGTGCCCTGATTGGAGACTGCTGGTGTGGGGAAGCTGCCTGTGGGCTAACTAGAAGGGGGACATCCAGTGTGCTTGGTTAGGGGTGCATATTTGGCTTTCCCTGGTTGGTCCTAAGTTGCAAGTGGGAACATAAATTAGGGAAAGTGTCAGTTACTAACCAAGCTCTTGCCATTTGGAGCCGATTGTTATGGATGTTATTGTTTGTTACTACAGATAACTGCCTGGCTCCCTGTGAGTCTGACTTATATAATAGCAGGCTGGCTTCCCCGGTTGTTTATTCGTAGATAAGGAAGTTGATTTCTTGGGCAGGTGGCCCCAGGTTGTGGATCAGAGTTATATTTTTACGTACAGTCCGGCCATTGTTCGATTGTATATTCTGTCTCTCAAATGTATTATTAATTCAACAAGTCCTAATTGAGCGCCCTGGGCGTTTCAGCTTCCCTGGGGCCCAAGTCGCTCTAACAGGAGTCGCGATCCCGGCATCTCCGGAAGCGCCGGCTTCTGAGGCAGGTGAGGGGGCAAGGCGGGGTGCGGGGTGTTTCGGAATCACTCAGTGCACAGGTTTCAAGCTTGACAAACAAGTAGATTCGTCGCTCTGACTGCTCCGGCTTTCCGAGGCTTTGGAGATTACCCAGTCATTTTGCAAAAGGCGGATAGTGCTAGCTAGCGTTTAGTGACAGCTTACCCTCTTTTAGAACGAAATTAGGAGCTCAGCCATGTCTCTGTGGCGCAATCGGCTAGCGCTTTTGGCTGTTAACTAAAAGGTTGGTGGTTTGAACCCACCCAGAGGCGTCGCTGATCTTTTATAACTCCCACGGTGGTCTGCTCCCTTGAAGACTACATGCCTCACTTCCCCTCCTGTCAACTAGTGGCTGCTTCTCATCCTCCAAGAAGGTCTCTGTTGGAAAGAAATGTAGTTGGAAGGTACAGAAGTTCCTTGGACCAGGGAACAAGAGAAATTTTGTGTGATCTGTTCACGGGTTCTGGGTGAAATCTTGCTTCTCTTTGTGCCTTTGGGCTATTGACAAGCTATTTGTACCTCAATATTTTTTCAACTGTAATATGAGGATGGTAATAATATCGCATTTGCAGGATGTGCCTAGATTTAATAATTGCTCGATCAATAATGTTATCAGTAGACTCAAGATTATTATTATCCTCTGCATTATTTTTGATGAAGGCATTTCTTCTTTTGTTTATTCCATCATCTAACCCTTTACATGTTGTTTTTTAAATTAAGTTTGTTCCATGAATTTACGATTACAAATAATGCTGCAGTCATCATTCTTGTACAAATATCTTTTGCTATTTGTACACGGATTTCTATAGGGTAGAGTTCTGGAAGCGCAACTGCTGTATCATAGTGGTTACAGTACACATTTTTTATTTTAATTAATAAGCCCTGTAAATTTGCCTTCCATAGAAGTGGTACCAATTTATATTCCAATTTGTTTTTTCAACTCAGAGAATCCTTTTCTTCATACTGTTGCTAGCACAATAAACTTTCTATACATCTGTCTGATAAATAGAGGGGCCGAGAGCTGTGGCTCACACCTGTAATCCCAGCACTTTGGAAGGCCGAGGTGGGCGGATCACCTGAGGTCAGGAGTTCGAGACCAGTCTGGCCAAAATAGCAAAGCCCCATCTCTACTAAAAACACAAAAATTACCACAGGTGGTGACCTGTGCCTGTAATCTTAGCTACTCGGGAGGCTGAAGCACAAGAATCACTTGAACCTGGGAAGCAGGGTTGCAGTGAGCCAAGATCACGCCACTGTACTCCAGCCTGGGCCACAGAGCGAGACTCCATCTCACACACACATACGTACAAAATAAAATAAAAAATAAAGGGAGTGTTGCCCTCCTGACTTAACTAAGGGGAGGTACAACAGATGACATGGCGCACATTGAGCAGTAGAGTATCTCCTCATCTCTTCAGCTAAACTTCCAAGATATTTTGTACAGCTACAATTTGTTTCTGTGGTGACCAGTCTGGAGAAGATATTCTGATATTTATTACTCCACTCTTTCCTCTATAAATGGCAAGGGTGAATTAGTATGCTATCTGTATTAGTCAAGGTTCTCCAGAGAAACAGAATCATCCATCTATCATCTATTTTTATTGATTTATTTTAAGGAATTAGCTCACATGATTGTGAAAGTTCAAGGCAGGCAGGCTGGAGACCCAGGGAAGAGTTGTTATTTGAGTCCTAAGATATTCTGTTGGTAGAATTTCCTCTTCTTCCAGGAAGGTCAATCTCATTCCATTCAGGCCTTCCACTGATTGGATGAGGTCCACCCACATGACATGGGGCAACCTGCTCTACTCAAAGTCTACTAATGCAAATGTTACTCTCATCCAAAATACCCTTTCTCAGAAACCTCCAGAATTATATTTGACCACATACCTGGGCACTGTGGTCTAGCCAAGTTAACACATAAAATTAACCATCACACTGTCTCTGTATTATTCCTTGACAGTTTTTCTTTTTTCTTGCTATGTCCACAAAGATTTGCCCACCTGAGACATATAATCTTAGCTAATAGAATCCTGCACCTTATGGGCATCCCATGCGGACCTGTAATCTCAGAGCTATCGGCATATGTTCCCTCAGTTCATCTGTTGAATCTCATGAGCAGAAATTGAGCTATTTGGCTTTTAGACACTAAATGTAATTCTTGGACAAGTATTTTTTCTCTCATTTGTACATTGTCAACTATTTTTTTCCATGATCCACATGGAATTCTGTTTTTGATTTTATGAAATGAACATCTGGAGATAGTGGTTAACAGGGATACATTATCTGTTAGGTGGTAGATGACAGCTTATCTAGTCTGTGAGTCTTTTTGGACTGGCTATTTGTTTGTCCTGAGGTTCTTAGTATTTCCTAGTATTTGAGTCTGCAGCGTTGAGAAGTGGTTCACATCTTATCTATCTAATACTAGATAAAATCTTACGGGTCCAACAAATGTCAATATCTGCAAAAGTGGAATATCTTTTGATCTACTATTGATTCACATTTGATCCACAAGGATGATCTCCATACACAATGATTTTCCCTTAGGAACTCTGACTTCAATATGTCGCTCTAGCTAAAGGGATCTTGGAACAGAAAGAAAACTGAATTTCTGGCATCCAATATTCTCCTTTCTTAGACTAAAGTTCCTAAACCCTATACCCATTAATTTCCCATTCTTCCCTCCCTAGCCCCTGGCACAACCGCCATTATTTCCTGTCTCTATGACTTTGACTACTCTAGGTACTTCATATAAGCAGAATTATATAGTATTTTTCCTTTTGTGACTGGTTTATTTCACTTTGCATAATATCCTCATGTTCATCTATGTTGTAGCATGTGTCAGAATTTCTTTTCTTTTTTAAGGCTGAATAATATTCCACTGCATGTATTTGCCACATTTTGTTTATTCATTTACCTGTTGTTGGACACTTGGGTTGTTTCCCTTCTTTAGTTATTGTAATACTGCTATTGATGCAGGTGCACAAATATCTCTTTGAATCCTTGCTTTCAGTTCTTTTGAGTATATATCCAGAAGTAAATTTGTTGGATCATGTGATAATTATTTTTAATATTTTGAGGAACCACCATATGGGTTTCCACAGTGGCTGTACCATTTTATTAGGTTGGTGCAAAAGTAATTGCGATTTTTGCCATTAAAAGTAATGACAAAAACCGCAGTTACTTTTGCACCAACCTAATAGATTCCAAACAACAGTGCACAGGGGTTTCAATTTTTCCACATCATCACCAACACTGATAATTTTCTTTCCTTCTTTTTAAAATAATAGCCATCTTGTAGGCCTTACTTTTAATTTCCATTTTGTCCTTGAAATCTTGGAGATTGAGCAAGAAGGAGGGAATGCACATCTTAGTGAGATCTTCTTAGTTACCACCAAGCCTAATGGCTCAGAGCGAGGGTCTGGATGAGTCCTGGCTCTCACTCTCATAGAGATGATGGGACCTTGGAAAGGTAAGCTCAGCCTTTCAGTGCAATGTTCTCATCTGCAACAAGGGGTTGTAATAATCAACACTATCGGCTGCGCGGGGTGGCTCAGCCTGGAATTCCAGCACTTTGGGAGGCCAAGGTAGGTGGATCACCTGAGATCGGGAGTTTGAGACCAGCCTGACTGACATGGTAAAACCACCCTGCCTCTACTAAAAATGCAATAATTAGCTGGGCATGGTTGTGGGGCCTGTGATCCAGCTGTTCAGGAGGCTGAGGCAGGAGAATCGCTTGAACCCGGGAGGCAGAGGTTGCAGTGAGCTGAGATCACACCACTGCACTCCAGCCTGGATGACAGAGAGAGACTCCATCTCAAACAACAACAACAACAACAACAACAACAACAACAACCAAACAAAAAAATCAACACTATCTTGTAGGGTCGTTATGTGGACTAAATAGGTTACTACACAGTAAAGCACTTAGAAACAATGCCAGTCACATAATAATGCTCTTGAAACAGTTATTATTATTATTACTATTATTATTGTCTTTGTTTTCATTTCTAACTGTACCAGTGAGAAATTTTAACATTCCCTACAATAAATTAGAAATATTCAATGGTTTTTTTGAACTCTTCTCCCCATATTAGTGGCCAGGTGTCTGAAAAACTGGTTACTTGAAGTGTCTACTCAAAGTACAGACGTAGAATCCTACAGCAGGATTCTATCCTCCAACAGGATCTCTGTTAGTGCACCAGAGGACTGGATCCAACCTGATCAAATTCTTGGACCTTGGACAGGCCTGATTGTTTAGGTCATGGTAGACAATCTTTGGCACATGATTCTAGCAAGAGCCTTTAATACCCATTCAGACTTACGCAAGTATTACAAGAAAAATGCAAGTATATACTACCAATGGCCTCTTCTCTTTTTTTTGTTTTCTTCAGAAATCAAGGTAGGAAAATTTGATTTACCTGGAATTTGTAGAAGATTTCCTCTTTCAGTTACGATGGAGTTTTGTGGCAAACCAGCACTCCCTTCGAAAAGAAGTAGATAAAATCTGGTTTAAAGGAATTCTGTTTGAAGTCTTTGAAAAGCTAGGACCCACAGGGCCAGCTACAGAAAGCGGGTGGAGAGAGAGAGGGAGAGAAAGAAGATCATTGGAATGAAACAATTTTTCCCCCTCAGGGTATTTGCTAGTTCTTGGCAAGGGACAAGAGGCTGAGAAGCTGGGGAGAGGGCAGTGGTTAAAAACCAGAGAAAACAGCAGCACTTTAAGTAACCTCATGGGGGTGGGGAGTGGGTAGACGTGTGGAGCTGTCCAGGTATTTTGACTTGAAAAGCCAAGATTCTAGAATGAATTGAGATGTGAACTGAACACTTGGTAAAGGTTTTCCCCTCAAGGCATTTGTGAATTGAGCTCTGTGCTGGTGAGAGGCTAGCAGAGAGTGGCTGAAAGCAGTTTTCATTGGGAAGGATGCAAAGGAGACAGAAATCAAAATTCACTACCCTCCAAAAAAATGGCGCCTCTCAAATTGGGAGTCCTAGAGGTCTGTAGCCTAGGAATGTGGGCAAACCAGATATAGACTGAGCCTTCCCATGAGTGCAAGCAAAGGTGGGTGGAATGGGAGTTTGGAAGGCTCAAATCGACCTCATATTAAATGAAACCCCTACACGTTGCTACTGCAAGGGAAAGGAAGCAAGTATCGCATTGGGATATATTATTTATTATGTATTAAAAAGTAATACAACATGAGGCTAAATTTATTAGTCAGACTTAAATGATTATTCTCCAGTTTTAGTCACTATACTCTTGAAAGAATGTAGGAAGTGAAAACCTGGAGAGTTCCTAAAAACGAAGAGTAAGAATCACTAGAAGTTAAAAAAAAATTCATTTAGGAAAAGCCACAAGAATTGTTTTTACTGAAATTGTCTTCAAGAAAATAAAAGCTGCTGAGAAAATGTTTTGATGTTTTCAAGGAGAGGTATACTTAGGTTATTTTGCTGTGCTTAGAAATTGGTTGACAACGTAAGCAAAAGGGTAAAAAAGCTGGCTATTGAGGGGGTGGCCTCCCCTGTTAGAGACCTCCAGGGTGAAATACGCAGCCTTGCATTGAGTGTAGCTATCAGAAGGCAGGGCTTCCTTGGGTTCTGTAGCTACTTCCACATTCTAATTCTGTGATTGTGACTCAAGAGCTGGCACCCTGAGTCTTCCCCATAGCACTATTGTTGATGTCCCAGTGACATGGGATTTGAGCTCTGGCATCTCAAAATGTGTTCCTGCCTTCATGACTCTCAAAACTTGTGGAAGCAAAATGCTTCCTGACCTCTGAAGGGACATTCCCTGGGAACTTCATAAGAACCTTATCTCAGCTATAAGAAACAAAAATACTCATCCCTTAGCTTAGTTTAAACCCCATTTGTTTTCATTCATTTATTGCCTGTTTTTTCTTCTAAACACCTGTGGGACCTCCCCTTCCTTCTCATAACAGCACCCACCCTGACCCCACCCCAGCACTTGCTGCATCTTTCTTTTACCCAGTGGATTGTTGGGTCCTCATGGCTGAGGAAGTTGTAGGCTTCACTCTACTTCCTGGTAGGCTCTGCTCTTGAGATTCTATCGTCCTACAGGATCTCCACTAATAATCTAACCTCTGTAAGCCATAATTTTGTTTCAATTGCTTTAGGTAGTTTTGGAGAAAAGCCTGGCCATTGTGAAGACATAGACATCTTTCTTCTCTGTCCTTCCTTTCAAAGACGGCTGTAAGAGAGCTCTTCATGAGAAAATGTCCCAGCAGAAGGCTGGGATGCATCAGCCCTCAGAGAAGAAGGGACCTGCTGAGAAGGGAGTGAATGAGCAGAAGCCTCGGGTTGAGGAAGAATTCTCTGTATCCTGCAGTGGGCAAGAGACTTCCCACTATCAGCATTAAGTCATTGCTCATCAGAGTAGCTTTCAGGGCCTGCAGCCAGCCTCCATACCTTAATTGTAGGGCTTTCTCTTAACACCTTCCTGGAAATTTCTTCAGAGAAAAATCTATAAAAGTTTTATTAGTAATGACTTTATATTATTCAGAGAAATTTGGTTTTATTCTAACTAACATTGCCTGTATTCACCAAATATATGGCCTTTGTGGTTACCTGAGCTGGAAATCTTCCAGTCATGTGAGTGGTCTCTCTTCTGGATCCCCAGGAGCATGTAGGAATCTCCTGTTTCTTCATACGTTACTCTGGTGAATGCTGAACTGTCCCAGTTCCCGAGGAGGTAGATTTATACAGAGGCCCCTCCATTCTACTCCATCCTCTATGGAAACTCAGGTCCCTGGCTTCTGGAATGGCAGTTTTGATAAGCTGAATTTTAAAAATAAGCTTGCAGAATTGTCAAATAGTGGCCTGTTGGCTAAATTTGTCAGTTTGTTTTTAATGGCCATTTTCCTATAGCTTTTTGGAAGCATTTAAATAATATGGGGTTAATCCATTACGCATTTGCCTGTGAGCACCAGTTACTGAAATACTAAGTTACTGAAATCACTACTTTGCCTAAGTGGTTGGTGTACAGCTTTGGAAGTGATTCAAATCCTGCTTCATGCTCCATTAGGTCACTGCCCAATATATTCCACTTAAGTTTCACTGACCCAGAGAATAATGTTAGTTAGGGCTAAAATAACGCTAGGCCAGGCACAGTGGCTCACGCCTGTAATCTCAGCACTTTGGGAGGCTGAGGTGGGCAGATCACTTGAGGTCAGGAATTGGAGACAGCCTGGCCAACATGGTGAAACCCCGTCTCTACTAAAAATACAAAAATTAGCTGGGCATGGTGGTGGGCACCTGTAATCCCAGCTACTTGGGAGGCTGAGGCAGGAGAATTGCTTGAACCCGGGAGGTGGAGATTGCAGTGAGCCGAGATAGCGCCGCTGCACTTCAGCCTGGATGACAGAGCAAGATTCCATCTCAGACAAAACAAAACAAAACAAAACAAAACAAAACAAAACAAAACACCCAAAAAACTCTAGAGTCAGTTAGTCTCATTACCTCATTTTAGAACTGAGAACACTTAGGCCCTAAGAGATAGTCATTTGATCAAAGTTGCATAATAGCCTCTGGCAGAGATAACATTAGAATCCTGTGCTCTCGATTCACAAAGGCTACACTACACCCACTTCATCAAATATATTTTTAAAAATTATACTTCTGTGATCATTCTTTTTTTTAATGGACTTTTTAAGAGCAGCTTTAAGTTCACAGCAAAATTGAGTGGAAAGTAACAGAGAGTTCCCATATGCCCCCTACCCCTGCAAGGACACAGCCTCCCTCACTATCAACATCTTGCCCCCGAGTGATAACATTTGGTACAACTGATGAACCCACATTGACTCATCATCACCCAAAGTCCACAGTTTACAGTGGGGTTCATTCTTGGTGGTGTATATTCTATAGGTTTTGACACAAGTATAAATGTATAATGGCATGTATCCACCATTGTAATAAAGAATGACTATTCCCTGCCCTAAAAATTCTCTGTGCTCTGCCTATTCATTCTCCTTTTCCTCCTAACACCTGGCAACCACTGATCTTTTTACTCTCTCCACTGTTTTACCTATTCCATAGTGTCATATAGTCAGAGTCATACAGTATGTAGCTTTTTTAGGTTGGCTTCTTTCACTTACACACTTAAGGTTCTTTCATGTCTTTTCATGGCTTCATAACTCATTTCTTTTTAGTACCAAATAATATTCCATTGACTGCATGTATCAAAATTTATCCATTCACCTACTGAAGGACATCTTGGTTGCTTCCAAGTTTTTGCAGTTATGAATAGAGCTGCTATAAACATCATGTGCAGGTTTTTGTGTAAACTTAAGTTTTCAGCTCGCTTGGGAAAATACTGAGGAGCAGATGGTTAGGTCATTTGGTAAGAGTATGTTTAGTTTCACAAGAAAATGCCAAACTGTCTTCCAAAGTGGCTGTACTATTTTGCATTCCCACCGGCAAGGAATGAGAATATCTGTTGTTCCACATCCTTACCAGCATTTGGTGTTATCAGTGTTCTGGATTTTGCCATTCTAATAGGTGTAGAGTGGTATCTTGTTGTTTTAATTTGCAATTCCCTAATGACATATGATGTTGAGCATCTTTTCATATTCTTATTTGCCATCATCTTTGGTGAGGTGTCTGTTCAGGGTTTTTTGCCCATTTTTTATTGTGTGGTTCATTTTCTTATTGTTGAGTTTAAGAGTTCTTTGTGTATTTGGCTTAATAGTCCTTTACCAGATATATCTTTTGCAAATATTTTCTCCCAGTGTGTTGTCTTCTCATTCTCTTGATGTGCCTTTTGCAGAGCAGAAGTTTTTAATTTTAATGAAGTCCAGATTATCAATTATTTCTTTTGTGGATCATGCCTTTTGTGTTATATCTGAAAAGTAATCATATAGCTGGGCTCGGTGGCTCACACCTGTAATCCCAGCACTTTGGAAGGCTGAGGCAAGAGGATCACTTGAGCCCAAGAGTTTGGCTGCAGTGAGCCATAATCACACCATGATCATGCCCAAGGAATGCTTCAGTGAGCCATGATCATGCCCTCCAACAAGTAAATAAAATAATTAATTTATTTAGAGACTCTGTCTCTAAATTAAAATTGGTATTGCATTGAATCTTTAGATCAATAAATAAAATAAATAAAAAGTCATCACCAAACCCAAGGTCATCTAGATTTTCAGCTGTTGTTATCTTTTAGGGTTTTTTTTTTATCATTTTATGTTTTACATTTAGGCCTATGATCCATTTTGAGTAAGTTTTCATGAAGAATGTGAAGTCTGTGTCTAGATTCACTTTCTTTGCATGTGGATGTCCCGCTGTTCCAGCACCATTTTTTGAAAATACTATCTTTTCTCCATTGTATTGCCCTTGTCCCTTTGTCAAAGATCAATCTGCTATATTTTGGAGTCTTGTGGAATCTCTATTCTGTTCCGCTGACTTATTTGTCTATTCTTTCACAAATCTTATACTGTCCTGATTACTGTAGCTTTACAGTAAGTCTTGAAGTCAGGTCATATCAGCCCTCTGTTCCTTTTCAATATTGTGTTGGCCATTCTGGGTCTTTTGCCTCTCTATGTACACCTTAGCATCTATTAGTTGATATTCACAAAATTTATTTGCTGAGATTTTGATTGGTATTGCATTGAATCTTTAGATCAAGTTGGGAAGAACTGACATCTTGACAATATTTAGTCTTCCTGTCCATGAACACAGAATATCTCTCTGTGTATTTAGTGCTTCTTTGACCTCTCTCAACAGAGTTTTGCAGTTTTCCTCATACAGATCTTGTACATGTTTTGTTAGATTTTACCTTGACATAATCACTTACTAGTTCCAGGAGATTTTTGTTGTCAATTCTTTCAGATTTTCTTTTCTTTTCTTTTTGTTTTTGAGATGGAGTCTCACTGTGTCGCCCAGGTTGGAGTGTAGTGGCTCAATCTCGGCTCACTGCAAGCTCCGCCTCCTGGGTTCAAGCCATTCTCCTGCCTCAGCCTCCTGAGTAGCCTGGCTACTATTTTGTTTTTTCAGTAGAGACGGGGTTTCGCCGTGTTAGCCAGGATGGTCTCGATCTCCTGACCTCATGATCCGCCCACCTCGACCTCCCTAAGTGCTGGAGTTACGGGCATGAGCCACCGCGCCCGGCCTTTTTTTTTTTTTTTTTTTGAGTCAGTGTCTCACTTTGTCACTCAGGGTGGAGTGCAGAGTGGCACGATGTCATCTCACTGCAACCTTTGCTTCCCGGATTCAAGCAATTCTCCTTCCTCAGCCTCCCAAGTAGCTGGATTACAAGCGCATGCCACCACGCCCGGCTAATTTTTGTATTTTTTGTAAAGACAGGGTTTCACCATGTTGGAGATTTTCTATAATACATAGATAACTGCATCATGTGTGAACAAAGACAGTTTTAGTTCATCTTTTCTAATCTGTATACCGTTTATTTCCTTTGCTTATCTTACTGCATTAGCTAGGATTTCCAGTATGATGGTGAAAAGAAGTGGTAAGCGGGGAAATTCTTGCCTTATTGTTGATGTTAGTGAGAAAGCTTCTAGTTTCTAGTATGACATTAGTGTAGAGTTTTTATAGATGTTCTTTATCAAGTTGAGGAAGGTCTCCTCTATTCCCACTTTGTTGAGAGATTTTATGATGAATGAGTGTTGAATTTTGTCAAATGCTTTTTCTTCATCTATTAATATGATCAAGTGATTTTTCTTCTTTAGCAAGTGGCAGGGAAAATGACAATCTTAGAAGGGATCTTTCACATAAAGATTGTTTTCATTTCCTTCATTCCTTTTACCATATTCAGGACACTAAACATATGCTAGAATTCAGTGTGTGGCCTCCTTTGGTGATACTCTCAAGTTCCTTCTCCTAAATTGCTATAACCTATCAGTTATTCCTATCTACCTTTACTTCTTTTTTTCTACTTTAGGAAGTATCATTCCTTGATTCAGGATCAGGCTCAAGAGTTAACCCACCTACGGCAGAAGATGAAGCTTGGGAGAGTGGCCTCTGCTCTTCTCATCCAGCATGTCAAGAACACACTAAAGACCTTTGAGGAGCTACTCCAGAGCAATAACTTTGACCACTATATGGAGCAGCACTACTGCGAGCAGCTGGCCAAAGGAAGCCAGCTGGCAGAGAGCCTTGCCAGAAAATTCAGCACAGGTAAGTTGGCCGCAGAGCTTAGGAAGATTTTCAGTCTCTCCCAAGGTCCTAAGTTCACAGGATGCCACCCCCATTCACATGTCACTTTTCAACCTGGTGTCCTGCTTTGTAATCACCACCTTAAGACCATGACAGAGTCAGGACTGGCTGGAGAGGAGCTCCAAGAAGAAGGGTTGAGGATGCCATGATGATCACCAGCACCTCCATCCCTCATGGAATATGACTGTTAGGGCAGGAGGCATCCCCAGGGATGATGGTATTCCTCTGAAACTAATTGGCAGAAAGACAGAAGGAACAGGGGCAGCTGGTTTTTGTGAAGGGCCCTGAACTGGGAATCCAAAAACCCTACCTCTAGCTTATATGTGTTCCTTACCAGCTCTGGACAGGTTAATATTTATTTTGATTTCTGTTTCTCTACCTAAAAAATTAAGTCAAATAATTCCAGCCCTTGAATGTTGCATGATTGTTCTAGGGATTAAATAAGTAACATTAATCGGCGCACTTCAAAAAAATGATAAAGAATCATGCTGACTTTGGCATGGTTCAGGCACTGTGTGTACTAGTACACGGTGGTGAGATAATTAGCTGTTTCAGGAGCATTTTACATGAAATTCCCCCTTGAGAACCCAAGGGCCCATAGTAGCAGAAGGCTTGAGTTCACTGTGCTGTCTCCTGATGGTAGGTGGGACACGGATGTCTATCATCTCCTTGGAGAAGGGAGGAAGTTCTGCATGAAAGCTATGGTGGAACACACAGCCATGGGTTTGGGTGCTGGCCTTGTGCCAGGACTTGGAGGCTTTGGCTGGAGTGGATATGTGTTCCATGATATGTGGGAATAAAGACATTTTTAGCTTTTTGCTGTGACTCAGGGCAAAGCAAGTGGAGATGATGACCTTCATGGTGGGCTCAGGAAAGCCTGCCAGACAAGCTCTCTAAAGACTCAACCCAAGATCTGAGAAAATTCAGAGTATCCTGGAATCAAGGCAAGCATCAGGTAGTCAAGTCTCTGGTCCCAGATAGACCTCCATGTTTGTTTGCAGTCTGGGAAATGAGACCTGCTTAAAGCATGACTGGCCTTTTTGAATTTTGTTCTCAGATGACTGTACAAGTAAGAAGAATCAAGTAGGACAGGTGTCTTCGACTCTCAGGTAACTCCAAATTTTCAGGGGCTGTCGAAGATGTAATCTGGTGAAGGATCCAGAAACAAGAGCCAGAAGCTCAAAGAAACAGGAGCATACATGGCCAGTAAAAAACAAATAGCTTATTTATCCATTAAACCATTATGTATCCTTAGTGATAAGGCAGTCTCATTTTTAAAATTTTTTAAAAAATATATTATTCTTTTATTTTCACCAATTAATTCACCAATTTAGTAACATAGAGCTGCTCTAACCTATCTGGGTCTTAGGAGTCTTCTGAACCTCCAGGGATCACCTCTGGTTTCCCTTATTTAAAGACCAGAGTAAGATTATATCTGATTTCTTCAAGGGTGACCCAAGGAGCGCTGGAAGATGTAAAACGGCTACAAATTTTTCTTGCAAACAAAAGTTTATACTGTGTCTCTATACTTAGGGAAGGAGATCTAGAAACTGCAAGACACCAGTGAGGCTACATTGCCTGGGGAATCTGTTTTAAATGGCCTATGGCAAATACTATTTTAAAAATTATGTTCACAGAATGAGTTGAATTCTTTTTTTTTTTTTTACATTTTTAAAATTTTATTTTTGAGATGAGGTCTTGCTCTGTTGCCCAGGCTGGAATGCAGTGGCATGATCACTGCTCACTGCATCCTTGACCTCCTGGGCTCAAGTGATCCTCCTCAGCCTCCTAAATAGTTGGGACTACAGGTGCACACCACCACACCCAGCTCATTTTTTATTTTTATTTTTTGTAGACAGAGGGTCTCACTATGTTTCTCAGTTTGGTCTTGAATTCCTGGACTCAAGCAATTCTCCTGCCTTGGTCTCCCAAATTGCTGGGATTACAGGCATGTACCGCCATGCCCATACCTGGAGTTGAACTCTTATGGGTCTCTGGGTGTTTTGTGAAGGAATCATGAGTGTTATTTAAGGGGCCCATTACGGCTTCGTTTTTCCTCAGGATGTTTGTAGCCAATGCACCGGACAACTGTTGCTCTCTCTGTCCCCGCCTTCCCTCCATACTCTATCCTGAAACAGAAATGATTTGTTTGGCTTCTCCTCTGAAGGAATGATCCTCTTGACCTCCCCTTTACATCTCCTGTGAGCCCTCAGATTAGTACAGCTGTGGCATTAGGTGACCTTTATTTTTTCTTCTTTCTTACCCCACTAGTATCTTGAGGAAGATGCATAATATGAGTAAAGTGACAGAAGTCCTAGAGACCAAGTGGGATGCCCGGTCCCAGACTCAGCCCCAGATCTGGTGCAGCAACCACACCCGGTCTACCCCACATCACTCCCTGAGCAGCACGTCTCCACAGCTTGACAAGGAGGAAGTGCATCCTTCAGTGACTGTAGTCAGTGAGTAGCCACATGGCTCCAGTTTTTGGGGGCTCATGCATTGTCTAGGCCAAGAGGTGGCATCTTTGCAGCCGGGCCCTGTAGATCCACCGTGATGTACCTGGTCGGGCACAGCTCCAGGACTCAGTGCTGAGCATAAGCCCCAAGGTTTTCAGGTAGCTTTTCTCCGTTCCCAGTCTCACATGCCATCAGTCACTAGATCTCCTCTGGCACATACATGGTGTTGGTCTTGGGGGGCATGGGTTGGGAAGGGGAGAAAGGGGGCAAATAGTTCCTCTTCACTGCACACAATTATGTCATCTTTCAAACTAGGGACATGAGTGTTGCTAACATTGTGCACCTAATCCTGGAATCCCTGGGGTAAACAGCAACAGTTCCTATTTTTTGTTCATCACTAAATCATCTTTATCATTTATGCATTTACAGATCCCATCCATCATCCTAATAAGTTTGCTGTAACACCCTCTAAACCATCAGTGAATGGGGCCATGCTGTGAGGTTCAAGCTGAGTCTATCACCAACCAGCGTGTCCCTCCTGAGAATTTCCCTGAGAGGGTCCTTGGGATAGCCTTGATAGAGACGGGAAGAGGAGATTAAGTTTTAAACCAGACTTTCATTTTTCTCCTGCTCAGTTTTCTCTTTAATTTTCCTCTTGAGAAAAGTGTTTGAAGTTTTAGGCCAGTATGAATCATATCCTAATGTGGACAATACCAAGAAATTATTTTTAGTCCCTGGCTGTATCTGGTGTTTTTTTCTAAATTGGCAATTTTAAGTAATGAGTGAGCCATAATGGTTTTTAGTTGTTGTTGTTGTTTTTGAGACAGAGTTTTGCTGTTGTCGCCCAGACTAGAGTGCAGTGGCACAATCTCAGCTTACTGCAACCTCTGCCTCCCGGGTTCAAGTGATTCTCCTACCTCAGCCTCCCAAGTAGCTGGGATTACAGGTGCTTGCCACCACGCCAGGCTAATTTTTATATTTTTAGTAGAGATGGGGTTTGACCGTGTTGGCCAGGCTGGTCTCAAACTCCTGACCTCAGGTGATCCAACTGCCTCAGCTTCCCAAAGTGCTGGGCTTACAGGCATGAGCCACCATGCCCGGCCCATAATGGGTTTTGATCTGGTACTATTCCTGTTTCTCATTTCACAATGAGGAGCAAAGCGGCAAAATGTTTCCTCTAAGATTATAGCAGCCAAGGAAAGACAGAAACTTCTCATTGATTGAGCACCTATTATGCTCACAATATTGACCACTATACATATATTTCCTCATTTAATTGACACAGTGATCCCCTCAAATAGGTAGTGGTGTTCTGCTTTTATAGTGGAGGACACTGAGGCTCAGCAAAGTTAAGGAACTTACTGAAGACAAAGCAGCTTGGGGTAACATACACTTTGAGTCTACCTGACTGAAAGCTCAGGTTGTGAGCATTTCACTCTGCAGCCTGAGAAGTCAGGGGCTGCACACAAAGGGTGCTCACTCCTTCTCAGCACCTCTTTTGCTAGGCTTCTGGAGCCAGGGTTTTTCTCATTCCACTTTTTCTGCTCTGTGCACCCAGCAGAGTTCTGGCCTCTGAAGATGGGACAAGACCTTACACATATTACACTTCTATCTAAGAATTTGTAAATAGATGAGCTTCCCTTGATATGTACATCACCTATTCCAAGGGGCCAATGGGACTTTTATGTGCATCCTTGATTCAGTTGCCCAGAGGCACTTGTTTCAACCTCAGCACTGCCCCAAGAGATGGCAGAAGGGCAAGCCCATGCTTCCCTTACCTGCAATCCCTGCCACTGCCTGCAGTGAGGTGTGGCCTCTGGAATGATGCTTCTGGAGAGCACCAGCTTTACTTTTTGCCACAACTGTCTTTCCTGAGGGAGATCGAAGCCCTTCTCTTTCCCACTTGAAGTCACTGTCCTTTCACAGGGGCAACGGTTTATCACCACTTCCTCTTTGGTTTTTGAACCAAAATTTCTAGAACAGTCAACCTGTAGTGCACTGGCATGACAGCTACATTGTGAGGCCAAATTTCCTTCACAAAAGTCTAGTCTCTGTTGCTTTCCATCTGCAGTGTAGGGCATGTTCCCCGTGTGGTATGGCCAGGGAATGTTAAAACACTGATCACTGTTACTGATAAAACTTAGAGCTTCCTATGGCCATGGTTGAGAGTAAACTGATTTTCTGAGATAAAGGAGGTTTGAAAGGGGGTGGTAATCACATTTTGATTGAGTTCCTACTTTAAGTCAGGCATTTATTAAAGACTTAACATAGTTGTCATTACTCTTTATCTCACAGTGATTCTAATTAGTATCTGATATTTTATAAATTGGAGAAGGAGAGACCTACTGGTTACTGATTTAAATATACAGTTCCTAAAAGAACGTGATGTTGTTGAGGGCAAACAGAAACCTCACTCCCACCTGCTCAGAGGAGAAACTTGTCTATTCTTTAGCCCTTGATAATAATCCTTGAAAGGGAAAGACTCTAAAACTTTTCTCTGAATTATGGCCCTGCCACCCCAGCTGGGTTTTTCTCTCAAAGGGAGACAGTAATGAAGGGCCCAGAGGATCTGGCCATGTTCTCATGGCATCATTGAGCTGTAAGATGCCATGTATTTTGTGATTCTACAATCCTCTATGCAAGAGTACACTAGCTATTCTGTGGACAGGAGCCAGACAATGTGAGCTGTACATAAGAATTATTTTTGCAGTGTCAAAAGCCATTCTAGGTGGAATCCAAATCACCACTTGCCTTAGACAGACACCCCCTCAGCTTCACTGCAGGTCCAGAGTCAGCCGAGGCCAGAGAGAGAACCACCAGGAGTGGAAGCAACACTCTCTAGGTTCTCTGCACATTGTCCAGAAGTGGAGGCCATTTTCTCCTCCTCCTCCAACAGCCTCAGTGTAGAACAATCCCAGGAAGGAGTAGCTGGTGTGTTTCTGGCAAGGGCATAGAATGTTGAATAAATAGTCACCTGTTTACAGACCAACAAAATGCTTCACCCCTCACTGTCTGAACTCCTAGGATTGGCTGTGAGTCCTGCTATTAGGAGAAACATTTCTGAAGTACCTCCCCAGGATCATTCCAGCATTGGGAATCATAAAGGGAGCTAGGAGAGGGGCCCCATATTTTTCCTGTATGTGCGCTGTGATGCTCAGATATTACAACTAACACTACTGCTTATGTCATAGGCTGAGAAATGCCAGTTACTTTAGGGTGAAATGGGGAGTCCTTGGGAAATGAGTCTGCTGACATCTGCCTTAGTCTTCATTCCGTGGATTGCTTTATTAGCTTTCGAGGGCTTCCAAAACAAAAAAACACAAACTGGGCGTCTTAAAACAGAAATGTATTCTCTCACAGTTCTGGAGATGAAGACGCCTAAAATCAGGGAGTCAGCAGGGCCATGCTCCCTCTGAAGACTCCAGGGAAGGATCCTTCCTTGCCTCTTCCTAGTTTCTGGTGGTTTCTGGGTTGTAGACACATCACCCCAATCTCTGCCTCTCTTGTTACATGGTCTCCTTCTCTGTATGTCTCTTTATCTCTGTGTCTCCTCTCCTCTCATAAGGACATCAGTCATGTTGGATTTAAGACATACCCCCAATTCAGTATCATCTCGTCTTAACTTATTATATCTACAAAAAACCCATTTACAAATAAGATCACATTCTGAAGTTCCAAGTGAACTGAATGAATTTTTGGAGGACACTATTCAACTCACTATAATTACCTTTAAAACACTCATTTATGACTTCCCTGTTGGTTTCTCACTCACATTCCTTTCTGGACAGATGCCAGCCCTGCCATTTCTGCTGATTCAGCTGCTTTGCCCAGCAACCAAGGAACCAGGTCTGCCCAGCCCTTCCATCCTTCGAGCGGCACTGGCCCAGCAGAGCAGGACACTAGAACACGGTAGCAGTGGCCCATGGGAAGAGATGAGGCCTCAAAAAATGAATGCATCTGGAGACCTAGCCTCCTTCTCCTCTTTGTACCAACCCAACTCCGAAACCTCTGGTAAAACACAAAGGAGCACTTAGTGAAATCGAGCCCATTGGTAGGAATGACACATTCCTTTCCTGGCCAGAGGACTTTTTGGTTCCTCTGTTAGAACCTGGTTCATAAAAAATGACAGGACAATATGTAGATCAGCCAGACAGTGAGAACCAGCTCAGTGCTTGTTCTTTGAAAGTGCCTTCTCCTAGCCACCCTACCTAGGAACTTACTCTGGGCAGGAGAGTAGGAGAAGTCAGGGACATTCTGAGGTGCTCTACAAGGAGGATAAGTTACCTCACACTTAAATGTTGCCTTCTCTCTGTGCTACAACCTTCTTAGGCCTAGATTAAGACTGTCCTGGAATGCTAAGCTCAGATTTCCATGGGGAAGGTCTTCCTTAGGTCAGGAGCTACTGTCGGATGGGAAACTATTTCTACAGAGTCACCCACCCCTACACACTCTTTCCACTCTTTCACACACATCTTTCACACACACTGTGCATACAACCACGTGCCAATCCTGCCCCCATAAACATTGCTTTTGGATTTGGAGCCAAACATCCTGGCACCTGGCAGCTAGGAGTGCAGGTATTTAGAGGAATGGCTTGAAGCAGCTCCATTTCTGTGTCCCAGGTAGTGTAACAATAAGACATTTTAAATTCTCAGAGAAAAACCTGACCCTACGCAAAATCTCCCAGTGGGTGAGGCCTATTCTCAGCCTCCTCTCTCTGTGCATCTTTTTCCTTCCTTGGAGATTGTTCCCTTCTCTCCTGTTCCCCCTCTTCAGATCCTGATACCTTCCCAAGCTCTTCCATGTTCCTCTTTGCCAAAACTGGTTAAAGGAGAACATTCACTATCACTCATTATTCACAGCCTGGTTTAATTTCATATGCACTTACCTTGGTCTTTCTGTCTGTGAGTGAGTGAAATCTCAAAGGCTGTTGAGTCGGGATCATCATCGGGGAGAGGGATGAGGTAGAGAGGGAGATTCTCTGGATTGTTTTCCATACCAAGGAGGTAGACAGCCTTTCCCATTACTAGGCCAGTTCTGCCTAGAGGCCTTTAGCAGTTTCTCACCCTGTGTCCATCTCCCTTAGATGTACTTGGTGGTCTCTGTCTGGGAGGAGGCCTGTGGTGTTTCCTTACAGGGGGCCACCCTGTGATTGAAAGCCCAGGACTTTTAAGTAAAGTTGCCTGGTGCTTCCTGAATGCCCAGGAGAGAGGAAGAAGCTGACAGAAGGATAGAGATAGGTAGGGATCTTGCAGAGAGTTGCCAGGCAGGCCCCACAGCTGCCCAGGGATGATCAGGCTTCCCTACCTCCTACCTCTCCTATGTCTTGGTGGTTTGCAGTAGGGGCCGACCTGCTGGAAAAGAATCTTGCTGAGATACAGAACCTGCGCCAGCGCCTGGAGGAGTCCATCAGTCTCAATGACCGCCTGAGGGAGAGGCTGCAGCATGTGCTTAGCAATGGTGACCAAGGAAAAGGTAGAAAGGCAGAAATTTTATGTTTCTGTCCACGTCTAGGGAGTCTCAAAAGGGCACATAGCTTCTTGGGGCAGAGTTTTACCGGTTTAAAGCACATTGGTGTGCATGATTTCACTTGTTCCTTACAATTAGCCCAGATAGGGAAGCAGAAGGGTACTATTGCTCCCACTGAGTGGTTTGCCCCAAGCAGGGATAGGTCTAATTCTCAGGACTATCTGAAGTGATGTCATTCTTATATGTCCTTATACTGCCTGGTGCTGTTCTTGGGCTTGTGGCCTGACTGGCGAGTGGTAGCACCAAGGTTTCCATGGTGCCCACTTCAGCAGAATGAGAGCAACGTTCCACCTTTATGCCATTACTACATGCCTTTGATATCACCTGGCTCTTCTCTTGTGCTAATGACCCTTATTTCCACACTCTTCACCCTGGATGCTCTCACTTGGAGACCAGTTCTTCCCCATCCCTTCTTCTCTCGTATTAAAGCCAGAAGAATGATGACCTACAACATCATAACTGAAGCCAATTAGTGGGAAAGACCCTGATCCATACCTGAAGCCACTGCACATGAGAGTGTGTGGCCTACTCTGGTGTGCCCAGCAAAACCTGAGCCTGAGCCATATTGCACTGCTATCCCAGTGCATGAGGACCGCAGGTTTTCAGATTAGCTGAGACTAAAACTTTAATGGGTGCAGGAAAGTACATCTTTGAAAGTATCTGTTACCTAAAGGTATGACTTGTCTGGGTTGTTTTTATTCCCTGTGAAGTATCTACCTCCATCTTCCATGGGTAGGACCTGTAGTCCACACCCTAGTTGTGCAACAGGAAAAGGGCTCAGGGAAGCAAACTGGAGTTTTCAGGCTTCCAGAAGGAAAAAAATCAAAGCTGAAGTCACTTCCATATTTCTTCCTTTCTGCAGCAATGCCCAGTTGTAGAAGCAAAGAGAAGTAGGCAGCACAAAAGTTGACCAGATCCACACAGCCTAAAACTATAATAGCTTATTCCCAATCTAGATAAGGCTGCTTCTTAAAAGATCCCACCTACGTGTTCGCAGACTCCTGGCTCCAGGAGTAAATATCTCTGGAAAATCTACATGTCATGTTTAAGTTCCTTTCCCAATCTTTGCAGATAATCAGAGAGTCACTAGCTGTCAACTAGAAAGCTTGGTGTCTCTCTTCCTGTCTTTCCCACTTTCACCTGGGTACGGAATAGGAGAGAAGAAATGTAAGTTTTTGTTTGGTACAATCAATGAATTTCCTAAATCCCTCCAGACTTCATTGCAGCCCTGTCTCTCCCTCCCTAGGTACTGGACAGTCCACTGTAGCCCCTCATTCATATACTCAGAGTCACTCTTCTGGCTGTGGCGAGGACATCCTGTGACATGATGCCTAGAGAGTCTGGAAGAATGTTCTCCAGAACTTTTCCAGCCCTATCCAACAGAATTCTTGGGTGGGAACTTGGAGGCATTGGATATTATCTTTAAATGAAGAGATCAAATTAATAAATTATTTTTAAAATTAGTGTTTATATTTATTTATTGAACACCTATAAAGAGTAAAATTTGTGTAGAAAAGAATAAAACCAGAATGGTCTGAAATGTGTGGAAAAGGTTAAAGGAGAAATGAGTTTTCTTTATTAGCTATCTCTGTTTCAGAAGACTAGAATGGGAATTTCACTGCTGTGGAAAGGTAAGAAATATTAATAGATAGTGAGGATGTAGAATTCCTTGACTTCCATTACATGCTTAGGAAGAACAGAAAAACTGTCACATGTGAAAGAATTGCAGAATAAAATCTGAATGTTTTAAAATGAGGACAACTTACCATACCAGGTGAGCTTCACTCAAGAGAATGACAGAACTCGTGAAGAGCACGCTTGCCTCGAGCCTGGAATATAGCCATTCTGACTACTGTGAGATGATATCTCACTGTAGTTTTAATTTGCATTTCTCTGATGATTAGTGATGTGCATTTTTTCATATGTTTGTTGGCCGCTTGTATGTGTTCTTTTGATAAGTGTCTAGCCATGTCCTTTGCCCATTTTTTAAATAGGGTTATTTGGTTTTGTCTTGTTGATTTAAGTTCCTTATAGAGTCTGGATATTAGTCCTTTGTCAGGTGCATAGTTTTCAAATATTTTCTCCCATTCTGTAGGTTGTCTGTTTACTCTGTTGATTATTTCTTTTGCTGTGCAGAAGCTTTTTAAGTTTAAGTCCCATTTGTCAATTTTCATTTTTGTTGCATTTGCTTTTGAGGTCTTAGTCATAAGCCAATGTCAAGAAGAGGTTTTCCTAGGTTTTCTTCTAGCATTTTTATAGTTTGACGTCCTATATTTAAGTCTGTAAACCATCTGAATTAATTTTTGTATATGGTGGGAGGTAGGGGTCCAGTTTCATTCTTCTGCATTTGGCTAGCCAGTTTTCCCAGCACCATTTATTAAATAGGGTATCATTTTCCTCATTGTTTATTTTTGTCAACTTTGTTAAAGATCAGTTAGTTGTAGGTGTGTGACTTTATTTCTGGGTTCTCTATTCTTATCCATTGATTCATGTGTCTATTTTTGTGTCGGTACCTTGCTGTTTTTGTTGCTATAGCCTTGTAGTATAGTTTGAAGTTAGGTAATGTGATGCCTCTGGATTTGTTCTTTTTGCTTTGGATTGCTTGACTATTCGGGCTGTTTTTTGGTTCCATGGGGATTTTTTCTTTTTTTTTTTTGAGACAGGGTCTCACTCTGTCACCAAGGCTAGAGTGTAGTGGCATGATCTCAGCTCACTTCAACCTCTGCCTCTGGGTTCAAGTGATTCTCCCACCTCAGCCTCTTGAATTAGCTGGGACTATAGGTGTGTGCTACCATGCCTGCTAACTTTTGTGTGTTTTGGTAGAGATGGGGTTTCACCGTATTGGCCAGGCTGCCCTTGAACTCCTGACCTCAAGTGATCCTCCTGCCTCAGCCTCCCAAAGTGCTGGGATTACAGGTGTGAGCCACAATGTCCAGCCCCATAAGAATTTTATAATTTTTTTTTTAAATTCTGTAAAAAATGACATTGGTAACTTGATAGGAATTGCGTTGAATCTTTAGATTGCTTTGGATAGAATGGTCATTTTAACAATATTGATTCTTCCAGTCCACAAGCATGGAATGTTTTCCCATTTGTTTGTGTTGTCTATTATTTCTTTCATCAGTGTTTTGTAGTTCTCCCAGTAGAGATCTTTCACCTCCTTGGTTAAATATATTCCTAGGTGTTTTGTTTATTTGTGTGTGTGTGTGTGTGTGTGTGTGTGTGTGTGGCTATTTTAAATGGGATTAAGTTCTTGACTTGGCTGTCAGCTTGAGCATTTTTAGTGTATAGAAATGCTACTGATTTTTGTATGCTCATGTTGTAACCTGAAACTTTACTGAACTTGTTTTTCAAGTCTAGGAGTATTTTGGAGGAATCTTTAGAGGTTTCTAGATGGAGGATCATGTCTTTGGTGAACAGAGATAATTTGACTTCCCTTTTTCCTATTTGGATTGCTTTTATTTCTCCTGACTGATTACTCTGGCCAGGATTTCCAGTACTGTGTTGAATAGGAGTGGTGAGAGTGGACATCCTTGTCTTGTTCCAGTTATTAGGGGGAATGCTTCCAACTTTTGCCTATTCAGTATGATATTGGCTATGGGTTTGTCATAGATGGCTCTTATTATTTTGAGTTATGTTCCTTTGATGCCTGGTTTGTTGAAGGTGTGTATCATGCAACGGATGTAACATTTTATTGAATGCTTTTTCTGCATCTATTGGGATAATAGTATGGTTTTTGTTTTTAATTCTGTTTATGCAGTGAATAGCATTTTTTTTTGCGTCTGTTGAACCATCCTTGCATCCTAGGAATAAAGCCCACATGATCATGATGAATTATCTTTTTGATGTGCTGCTGGATTCAGTTTGCTAGTATTTTGTTGAGAATTTTTGCATCTGTGTTCATCAGGGATATTGGCCTGTAGTTTTCTTTTTTTATTGTGTCCCTGCCAGATTTTGGTATCAGGATGATACTGGTTTCATAGAATGAGTTAGGAATCCCTCATCCCCAATTTTTTGGAATAGTTTTAGTAAGATTGGTACCAGCTCTTCTTTGCACGTCTGGTGGAATTCAGCTGTAAAATTCTGTCTGGTCCAGGGCTCTTTCAGATTAGTAGAATTTTTATTACTGATTCAATTACATAACTCATTATTGGTCTGTTCAGGATTTCAATTTCTTCCTGGTTCAATCTTAAGAAGCTGTGTGCTTCCAGGAATTTAACTATTTCTTCTAGGTTTTTCTAGTTTGTGCATGTAGAGATGCTCATAGTAGTCTCTGAGGATCTTTTGTATTTCTGTGATATGAGTTGTAATGTCACCTTTGTAATTTCTGATTGTGCTTATTTGGATCTTTTTTTCCTGGTTAATCTAGCTAGTGGTCTATCAATCATTCAAATAACCAACTTTTCATTTCATTGATCCTTTGTATTTTTTTTATCTCTGTTTCATTTAGTTCTGCTCGATCTTAGTTATTTCTTTCCTTCTCCTAGCTTTGGGTTTTGTTTCTTCTTCTTTTCCTAGTTCTTTAGGTGTGGTATTATGTTGTTAATTTGAGATCTTTCTATCTTTTCAAGGTAGGTATTGAGTGCTATAAACTTTCCTCTTAACACTGCTTTTCTATATTCCAGAGTTTTTGGCACATTGTGTCTCTACTTTCATTTGTTTCAATTTTTTTTTATTTCTGCCTTAATTTTATTGTTTACCCAAAAATGATTCTGTTGTTTAGTTTCCATGTATTTGTGTGGTTTTGAGAGTTCCTCTTGGCATTGATTTCTGCTTTTATTCTACTGTTGTCTGAGAAGATACTTGATATAATTTCATTTTTTAAAAAATTTATTGAGACTTGCTTTATGACTGAGTATGTGGTCAATCTTAGAGAATGTTCTGTGCACAGATGAGAACAATGTATATTCTGTGGTTGTTGGATAGAGTATTCTATAGACATCTATTAGGTTCATTTAGTCAAGAGTCCAATTTAAGTCCAAAGTTTCCTTGTTAGGTTTCTGCCTCAGTGATCTGTCTAGTGCTGTCAGTGGGATGTTGAAGTCCTCCACTAGTATAGCATGGCTGTCTATTTCTTTGCTTAGGTGTAGTTGTATTTGTTTTATAAATTTGGGTGCTTCAATGTTAGGTGCATATATATTTAGGATAGTTAAATCTTCTTGTTGAATTGAATGCTTTCTGATTATGTAATGCCCTTCTTTGTCTTTTTTCTTTTTTTAACTCTTGTTGGTTTAGTCTGTTTTACTTGATACAAGAATAGCAACTCCTGACCTTTCTTGTTTTCCATTTGCATAACAGATCTCTATCACTTTACTTTGAGCCTCTGGGGGCTATAACATGTAAGATAGGTCTCTCTTAAAGGCCATGGAAAGTTTGATTTTTTTTTTTTCCCAATTTGCCACCCTATGCCTTTTTTTTTTTTTTTTGATGGAGTCCCAGGCTGAGTTCAGTGGTGCGATCTTGGCTCACTGCAGCCTCTGCTTCCTGGGTTCAAGTGATTCTCCTGCCTCAGCTTCCCGAGTAGCTGGCATTACAGGCGCCCACCACCACGCCCAGCTAATTTTTGTATTTTAGTGGAGATGAAGTTTCACCATGTTGGCCAGGCTGGTTTCGAACTCCTGACCTCAAGTGATCCACCCACCTTGGCCTCCCAAACTGCAGGGATTACAAGTGTGAGCCACCACACCTGGACTACTCTATGCCCGTTAAGTGGAACTTTCAGGCCATTTACATTCAAGGTTAATATTCATGTGTGAGGTGTTATTTCTGTCATAGTGTTAAGCTAGTTGCTTTGTAGACCCAATTATATATTGCTTTATAAGGTGTACGAGCTTTGTAATTACATGTGCTTTTATGGTAGCAAGTACCATCCATATTTAGAACTCCTTTGAACATTTATTATAGAGACTATCTGGTGTTAATGAATTCCCTTAGCATTTCTCTGTCTGGGAAAAACTATTTCTCCTTCATTTATGAAGCTTAAATTGGCAGAGTATGAAACTTTGACAGGCAGTTTTTTTTTTCTTTTAGGTGGCTAAAAATAGGTCCCAGTTTCTTCTGACTTGTAAGATTTCCGTTGAAAAGTTTGCTGTTAGTCTGATGGGATTTCCTTTATAGATAATCTGGCCCTTTTCTTCAGCTGCCTTTAAGATTTTTTCTTTCACATTTATCTTGGGAAGTCTGATGACTGTATGCTTTTCAATGGTTATCTTGTATAGTATCTTGCAGAAGTTGTCCGAATTTCTTGTATCTGAATATCAATCTCTCTTGAAAGGTTAGGAAAATTCTTTCCTGAATTATTCCT